>NC_000009.12:121970552-122595552 GCF_000001405.40 Homo sapiens | reverse complement strand
GACAGCTTTGAAGAGAGCAGTGGTTCTCCCAGCACGCAGCTGGAGATCTGAGAACGGGCAGACTGCCTCCTCAAGTGGGTCCCTGACCCCTGACCCCCGAGCAGCCTAACTGGGAGGCACCCCCCAGCAGGGGCAGACTGACACCTCACACAGCCGGGTACTCCAACAGACCTGCAGCTGAGGGTCCTGTCTGTTAGAAGGAAAACTAACAAACAGAAAGGACATCCACACCAAAAACCCATCTGTACATCACCATCATCAAAGACCAAAAGTAGATAAAACCACAAAGATGGGGAAAAAACAGAGCAGAAAAACTGGAAACTCTAAAAATCAGAGTGCCTCTCCTCCTCCAAGGAACGCAGTTCCTTACGAGCAATGGAACAAAGCTGGATGGAGAATGACTTTGACGAGCTGAGAGAAGAAGGCTTTAGATGATCAAACTACTCCAAGCTACAGGAGGAATTCAAAACAAAGGCAAAGAAGTTGAAAACTTTGAAAAAAATTTAGAAGAATGTATAACTAGAATAACCAATACAGAGAAGTGCTTAAAGGAGCTGATGGAGCTGAAAGCCAAGGCTCGAAACTACGTGAAGAATGCAGAAGCCTCAGGAGCCAATGCGATCAACTGGAAGAAAGGGTATCAGTGATGGAAGATGAAATGAATGAAATGAAGCGAGAAGGGAAGTTTAGAGAAAAAAGAATAAAAAGAAATGAACAAAGCCTCCACGAAATATGGGACTATGTGAAAAGACCAAATCTACGTCTGATTGGTGTACCTGAAAGTGACAGGGAGAATGGAACTAAGTTGGAAAACACTCTGCAGGATATTATCCAGGAGAACTTCCCCAATCTAGCAAGGCAGGCCAATATTCAGATTCAGGAAATACAGAGAACGCCACAAAGATACTCCTCGAGAAGAGCAACTCCAAGACACATAATTGTCAGATTCACCAAAGTGGAAATGAAGAAAAAAATGTTAAGGGCAGCCAGAGAGAAAGGTCGGGTTACCCTCAAAGAGAAGCCCATCAGACTAACAGCTGATCTCTCGGCAGAAACTCTACAAGCCAGAAGAGAGTGGGGGCCAATATTCAACATTCTTAAAGAAAATAATTTTCAACCCAGAATTTCATATGCAGCCAAACTAAGCTTCATAAGTGAAGGAGAAATAAAATACTTCACAGACAAGCAAATGATGACAGGTTTTCTCACCACCAGGCCTGCCCTAAAAGAGCTCCTGAAGGAAGCGCTAAACATGGAAAGGAACAACGGGTACCAGCCGCTGCAAAATCATGCCAAAATGTAAAGACCATCGAGACTAGGAAGAAACTGCATCAACTAACGAGCAAAATAACCAGCTAACATCATCATGACAGGATCAAACTCACACATAACAATATTAACTTTAAATGTAAATGGACTAAATGCTCCAATTAAAGACACAGACTGGCAAATTGGATAAAGAGTTAAGACCCATCAGTGTGCTGTATTCAGGAAACCCATCTCACATGCAGAGACACACATAGGCTCAAAACAAAAGGATGGAGGAAGATCTACCAAGCAAATGGAAAACAAAAAAAGGCAGGGGTTGCAATCCTAGTCTCTGATGAAACAGACTTTAAACCAACAAAGATCAAAAGACACAAAGAAGGCCATTACATAATGGTCAAGGGATCAATTCAACAAGAAGAGCTAACTATCCTAAATATATATGCACCCAATACAGGAGCACAAAGATTCATAAAGCAAGTCCTGAGTGACCTACAAAGAGACTTAGACTCCCACACATTAATATAGGGAGACTTTAACACCCCACTGTCAACATTAGACAGATCAACAAGACAGAAAGTCAACAAGGATACCCAGGAATTGAACTCAGCTCTGCACCGAGCGGACCTAATAGACATCTACAGAACTCTCCACCCCAAATCAATAGAATATACATTTTTTTCAGCACCACACCACATCTATTCCTAAATTGACCACATACTTGGAAGTAAAGCTCTCCTCAGCAAATGTAAAAGAACAGAAATTATAACAAACTATCTCTCAGACCACAGTGCAATCAAACTAGAACTCAGGATTAAGAATCTCACTCAAAACCACTCAACTACATGGAAACTGAACAACCTGCTCCTGAATGACTACTGGGTACATAACGAAATGAAGGAAGAAATAAAGAGGTTCTTTGAAACCAACGAGAACAAAGACACAACATACCAGAATCTCTGGGACACATTCAAAGCAGTGTGTAGAGGGAAATTTATAGCACTAAATGCCCACAAGAGAAAGGAGGAAAGATCCAAAATTGACACCCTAACATCACAATTAAAAGAACTAGAAAAGCAAGAGCAAACACATTCAAAAGCTAGCAGAAGGCAAGAAATAACTAAAATCAGAGCAGAACTGAAGGAAATAGAGACACAAAAAACCCTTCAAAAAATTAATGAATCCAGGAGCTGGTTTTTTGAAAGGATCAACAAAATTGATAGAGTGCTAGCAAGAATTATAAAGACGAAAAGAGAGAAGAATCAAATAGACACAATAAGAAATGATAAAGGGGATATCACCACCGATCCCACAGAAATACAAACTACCATCAGAGAATACTACAAACACCTCTACACAAATAAACCAGAAAATCTAGAAGAAATGGATAAATTCCTTGACACATACACCCTCCCAAGACTAAACCAGGAAGAAGTTGAATCTCTGAATAGACCAATAACAGGCTCTGAAATTGTGGCAATAATCAATAGCTTACCAACCAAAAAGAGTCCAGGACCAGATGGATTCACAGCCGAATTCTACCAGAGGTACAAGGAGGAACTGGTACCATTCCTTCTGAAACTATTCCAATCAATAGAAAAAGAGGGAATCCTCCTTAACTCATTTTATGAGGCCAGCATCATCCTGATACCAAAGCCGGGCAGAGACACAACCAAAAAAGAGAATTTCAGACCAATATCCTTGATGAACATTGATGCAAAAATCCTCAATAAAATACTGGCAAACCGAATCCAGCAGCACATCAAAAAGCTTATCCACCATGATCAAGTGGGCTTCATCCCTGGGATGCAAGGCTGGTTCAATATACGGAAATCAATAAATGTAATCCAGCATATAAACAGAACCAAAGACAAAAACCACATGATTATCTCAATAGATGCAGAAAAGGCCTTTGACAAAATTCAACGACCCTTCATGCTAAAAACTCTCAATAAATTAGGTATTGATGGGACGTATCTCAAAATAATAAGAGCTATCTATGACAAACCCACAGCCAATATCATACTGAATGGGCAAAAACTGGAAGCATTCCCTTTGAAAACTGGCACAAGACAGGGATGCCCTCTCTCACCACTCCTATTCAACATAGTGTTGGAAGTTCTGGCCAGGGCAATTAGGCAGGAGAAGGAAAGAAAGGGTATTCGATTAGGAAAAGAGGAAGTCAAATTGTCCCTGTTTGCAGATGACATGATTATATATCTAGAAAATGCCATTGTCTCAGCCCAAAATCTCCTTAAGCTGATAAGCAACTTCAGCAAAGTCTCAGGATACAAAATCAATGTACAAAAATCAGAAGCATTCTTATACACCAATAACAGACAAACAGAGAGCCAAATCATGAGTGAACTCCCATTCACAATTGCTTCAAAGAGAATAAAATACCTAGGAATCCAACTTACAAGGGATGTGAAGGACCTCTTCAAGGATAACTACAAACCACTGCTCAAGGAAATAAAAGAGGATACAAACAAATGGAAGAACATTCCATGCTCATGGGTAGGAAGAATCAATATCGTGAAAATGGCCAGACTGCCCAAGGTAATTTATAGATTCAATGCCATCCCCATTAAGCTACCAATGACTTTCTTCACAGAATTGGAAAAAACGACTTTAAAGTTCATATGGAACCAAAAAAGAGCCTGCATCACCAAGTCAATGCTAAGCCAAAAGAACAAAGCTGGAGGCATCACGCTACCTGACTTCAAACTATACTACAAAGCTACAGTAACCAAAACAGCATGGTACTGGTACCAAAACAGAGATATAGATCAATGGAACAGAACAGAGCCCTCAGAAATAACGCCGCATATCTACAACTATCTCATCTTTGACAAACCTGACAAAAACAAGCAATGGGGAAAGGATTCCCTATTTAATAAATGGTGCTGGGAAAACTGGCTAGCCATATGTAGAAAGCTGAAACTGGATCCCTTCCTTACACCTTATACAAAAATTAATTCAAGATGGATTAAAGACTTAAACGTTAGACCTAAAACCATAAAAACCCTAGAAGAAAACCTAGGCATTACCATTCAGGACATAGGCATGGGCAAGGACTTCATGTCTAAAACACCAAAAGCAATGGCAACAAAAGCTGAAATTGACAAATGGGATCTAATTAAACTAAAGAGCTTCTGCACAGCAAAAGAAACTACCATCAGAGTGAACAGGCAACCTACAAAATGGGAGAAAATTTTCGCAACCTACTCATCTGACAAAGAGCTAATATCCAGAATCTACAATGAACTCAAACAAATTTACAAGAAAAAAACAAACAACCCCATCAAAAAGTGGGCGAAGGACATGAACAGACACTTCTCAAAAGAAGACATTTATGCAGCCAAAAAACACATGAAAAAATGCTCACCATCACTAGCCATCAGAGAAATGCAAATCAAAACCAGAATGAGATACCATCTCACACCAGTTAGAATGGCAATCATTAAAAAGTCAGGAAACAACAGGTGCTAGAGAGGATGTGGAGAAATAGGAACACTTTTACACTGTTGGTGGGACTGTAAACTAGTTCAACCATTGTGGAAGTCAGTGTGGCGATTCCTCAGGGATCTAGAACTAGAAATACCATTTCACCCAGCCATCCCATTACTGGGTATATACCCAAACGACTATAAATCATGCTGCTATAAAGACACATGCACACATATGTTTATTGTGGCACTATTCACAATAGCAAAGACTTGGAACCAACCCAAATGTCCAACAATGATAGACTGGATTAAGAAAATGTGGCACATATACACCATGGAATACTATGCAGCCATAAAAAATGATGAGTTCATGTCCTTTGTAGGGACATGGATGTAATTGGAAATCATCATTCTCAGTAAACTATCGCAAGAACAAAAAACCAAACACCACATATTCTCACTCATTGGTGGGAATTGAACAATGAGAACACATGGACGCAGGAAGGGGAACATCAGACTCTGGGGACTGTTGTGGGGTGGGGGGAGGGGGGAGGGATAGCAGTAGGAGATATACCTAATGCTAAATGACGAGTTAATGGGTGCAGCACACCAGCATGGCATATGTATACATATGTAACTAACCTGCACATTGTGCACATGTACCCTAAAACTTAAAGTATAATAATAATAAAATAAAATAAAACAGCCTGTTTTTCAATTTAAAAAAAGTAGTTTTGTCAGTTCTCTCTCTCTGACACACACATACACATACACACACACAAACACGCCTGCATACATGCACATGTGCATGCAGGTACACAGAGATACTGGCAGGATTTTACTTGGAATTGCTGGGCCAGTTGAATATCCATTTGGAAAACCTAAGTGTTTTTTAATAGATTTGATTTTAATTTCCAACTGTATTGGGGTTTAATTAGGCAACAAGACAACATAGCAGGTTTAATAATATAATTAACATATTTGATCTAATGAAATATATCAAGAGCACTTCCTCCAAAATCATAGGAATAGTCACTCCCAGATTAAACAATTATAAAAATGGATGATATATTAGCTTATAAGAAAGATTCAAAGATTACATTAAGATCATACAGATCACATTCTTTGGTCACAATGTAATTCAGTTAGAAATCAATTATAAAAGATAATCAAATTTCCATATATTTGAAAATTAAAGTGGACACATAAAAAAGTCTTGGGCCAAATAATCAATCATAAGAGAAATATGAAAACATTTATACATAGGTATATGAAAGACATAAAAGATATATCTTTCATATATCTTTTATATACCTTTCATATACATAGATATATGAAAGATATTTATATGTCTTTTATATACATAAAAGTTCTCAAATTTTGAGATGTGTATTTTTATATATCTTTTAGATACATAAAAGATATATAAAAATACACATCTCAAAATTTGAGAACTTCATAAAAGCACAGAAAATTTGATAGTAAAAGGATATGCCATGCAAATATTAACCAAAGGAAAGCTACTATAGGTATATCAAAGTGTGCTTTAAGATGTCATCACCTTTGATAATTAGTCTATAGAGTGAGTCAAAATATAACTAATTGCAAAATTCTAAATTTTTAAGAATCCAGGCCATAGTTTTAAAACAAAATTGCATTTATTTAAGGTTTACAATGTGATGTTTTGATATACATCTATATAGTAAAATAATTGCCACAGCCAAGAAAGTTAAATGTCCATCTTTAACTAGGGATTTTGGTTCTTTTGTATTTTACTTGATTGTTGATATATTCATATTGTAATATGTGAACTTTTTAATTTTTTCATTTTCCATGTTTCACTTATTTTCTGCTTTCCTTTTTTTGGATTGATCAAATTTTCTCTTTTTAAATTTGTTTTCTTTTGGTAGGTTTGGCAGTTTTTGTAAAATAGGTATTTTAATTTTTATTTACATGGAAGATTTATTACTCATATTCAACTTACATTTTAAGGTTAGTCAATACTTTTATCTTCTTTGTAAAAAAAAATACAGTTATTTGCAGGCTTTAACTATTCTCAATTCTTTCTTCTTGGACTATTCTCCCTTTACTGAAGGACTTCATTTAGAAAAGCCTGGTGTTGGTTTTCTCTTACATTTTTCTAATAATATTTTCATTTCACTCTTAACCTTAAACAAATTTCGGCCAGGTGCGGTGGCTCACGCCTGTAATCCTAGCACTTTGGGAAGCTGAGGCAGGCAGATCACAAGGTCAAGAGATCAAGAGCATCCTGGCCAACATGGTGAAACCCCATCTCTACTAAAAATACAAAAATTAGCTGGGCATGTTTGGCACGCACCTGTAGTCCCAACCACTCAGGAGGCTGAGGCAGGAGAATCACTTGAACCCGGGAGCCAGAGGTTGCAGTGAGCCGAGATCACGCCACTGCACTCCAGCCTGGTGCCTGGTGACAGAGTGAGACTTGGTCTCAGAAAAAAAAAAAAAAAAAGAATTTACAATCCTAAGTTGAAAATTATTTTCTCTTAGTCTTTGAAGATATTATTCAACTGTATTATGACTTCCATTGCTGGTGATTAGGAGATGTTTGCCAGTTTAATAATGATCCTTTGCATACAATTACTTTTCTCTTTTGCTGCTTTTAGCTTTTTATATATTTATTTTCCTCATTTGCATTATAATGTGTTTAGATGTAAATTTCCCTCATATAAGCTATTTGGGATCATTTGCTTGATGGATCTGAAAATTTGTCCTCTTCTTCTCAGCTTTATTTGGGCATAATATATATAATAGAATCTACCATTTAAAGTGTAAAATCTGATGAGTTTTGAGAAATATAAACACTTGCAGATCCACCAACACAATCAGGATGTAGAACACCACCATCCCGAAAGCTCCCTCATGCTCCTTTGTAGCCAATCCTCTCCCCTACTCAATGCTCCTAATAGTCATCAATGTTCTTTCTGTTGCTATAGTTTTGCCTTTTCCAAAATTTCATATTAATAGAATCATTCAGTATATTTTTTACACCTGACTTCCTTCACTTTGCATACTAATTTTGAGATTTATCTATGCTGTTATATGTATTCACAGTTTTTTCCCCTTTGCTGGTTAGTATTCCACTGCGTAGACATAACACAGTTTATCTGTTCACTAGCTGATGGACATTTGGGTTGTTTTTAGTTTTTGTTTGTTATGATTAAAGTGTCTATGCATACGAATCTTTATGTCAAGAGAATTTTATTTCTCTTGGGTAAATATACAGGACTGAAATTGCTTGGGTCAAATGCATGTTTAACTTTATGAAAAACTGACACTGCTTTCCAAAATGGCTCTACATAATGCATTACTACAGCCAGTGATTGGGAGTTCTAATTTCTACATGTCCTTACTACCAACTGGGATTGTCAGTCATTTGAATTTTAGCCATTCTAATGGGTTTGTCATGGTATTTCATTTGGTTTTCACTTCCATTTATCTAATTATGAAAGATGCTGAGTGTCTTTACAAATGCTGATATACTATATATCTTCTTTGATGAAGTATCTGTTCAAATCTTTTGCACACAGTTTTTTAAATAATTGGATTGTTTTCCTTCTGTAGATACTACACATTCAATAATTCCTTAGAGATCTGTTTTGCAAATATTTTCTGCCAGCCTGAGGCGTGGCTTTTTATTGAGTGTCTTTTTTTTTTTTTTTTCAAGATGGAGTCTCGATCTGTCACCCAGGCTGCAGTGCAATGGCATGATCTTGGCCCACTGCAACCTCCACCTCCCAGGTTCAAGCAATTCTCCTGCCTCAGCCTCCCGAGTAGCTGGGATTACAGGTGTCCACCACCATGCCCAGCTAATTTCTGTATTTTTAGTAGAGATGGGGTTTCACTATGTTGGTCAGGCTGGTCTTGAACTCCTGACCTCAGGTGATCTGCCCACCTCAGCCTCCCAAAGTGCTGGGATTACAGGCGTGAGCCACCGTGCCCAGCCTATTGAGTGTCTTTTGAAGAGCAAATGCATTTTATTTTTATGAAGTCTAAATTAGAAATTTTTCTTTTGTAGTTCATGATTTTTGTGTCCTATTTAAGAAAATTTTTGCCTACCCCAAGTTTGCCAGGATTTTTTTCCAATGTCTTCTTCTAATAGTTTTATAGTTATAGTTCTTACATGTTTGGCCCATTTCAAGTTTTTTTTGTATATGGTACAGCATAAGAGCCTATGTTCATTTAATTTAAGATATATTGATAGTGATTGTTCTAGCCTCATTTGTTGAAAACTATCATTTCCATATCGAATTGCCTTGGTGCATTTGTAAAAAATTAATTGACCATACACATATTGGTCTATTTTAAGATTTTCATTTATATATATATGCCTATCCTTATGCAATTATCAAATTATCTTCATTGTTATGAATTTATAGGAAGTTTAAAATTATATAAAGTTCTCTGGTTTTGTTTTCCACTTTTAAGTTGTTTTTGCTCTTCTGGTTTCTTTTTATATCCATATAAAATAATTAGCTTCTAAAATAGCCTGCTAAGATTTTGATTTAGATTGCATTGAATCTATAGATCAATCTGGGTAGAACTGACACCATGATATTGAGTAATCTAATCTATATGCAAGGTATATCTCTTCATTTATTTGAATCTTCTTTAATGCTTTATAGTTTTTAATGTATAATATGTTCACATATTGTTAAATTTGTCCTTATGTATTTCTTAGTTTTTATACTGTCATAAATTTCATGTTAAAAATTTAAATTCTCAATTGTTCACTGCTAGGACATGGGAGTTCCATTGATTGAAACTGGACTCCTATCTCTCACTTTGTACAAAAATTAACTCAAGATGGATTAAAGACCTAAATGTAATACCTGAAACTATAAAAATCCTAGAAGAAAACCTAGGAAATTTTTTATGAATTTAAAATAAATTTATTAACATATAATTCACATACAATAAAATTTACTTTATAACAGTATAACACTTTAAAAAGTGTTCCATTTAGTTGTTTTTAGTATAGTCCCAGAATTGTGCACCCATCACAACTGTTTAGCATTAGAATATTTTCATTACCATAAAAACTAACCCTGCACCCATTAGCAGTCACTCCCATTTACCTTCCCCGTGGTGCTGGAAACTACTAGAGGTACATCAAAATGAATGTTCCACCCAGCCTTTTCTAGTGATACTTTCTCCAGCCTCAGGTAGTTTATTCACACACATGTTCAGATCTAAACCCAGTCAAAGGCCCAAGAAAGCCCACCAGAAAATATCTGATATTTCTCTCTGCACAATTTCCTTTTTTCTGGTATTGTCCCAAGAATTCTAGCTTTCTTGGCTTCCCTGGCCAACATGGTGAAACGCGGTCTCCACTAAAAATACAAAAATTAGCTGGGCGTGGTGGTGCACACCTGCAGTCCCAGCTACTAGGGAAGCTGAGGCTTCCCTGGTCTTCAAACATTGTCTCCTCAACTAAAAGAGTTTGCTGGAATATTTTTGATTTTTCCTTTCTACAGTGAAGCCTGGAAATGCTCTCCAGATAGTAGGACTGAAAATAAGAAAGATCATCCCTAAGTTTCCAACCTTGTTGAGGATAGCTGTTTTGCATAGCCTTTTAAAAATAGCTTTGTTCATATAATTCCTATACCATAAAATTCAGTGTAATTTCAGTAAATTCAGTAAATTTAATTCAGAGTCGTAAAATTCTCCCAACTATCTCATTTTGAAACATTTTCATAACCCAAAATCTAGTACCCATTAGCAGTAAGTCATTATTCTACCTTGTCCCCAACCCCTAGGAACAACCCATCTACTTTCTTTCCCTATGGATTTGCCTCTTATAGACATGTCATGTAAATGGAATCATATAATGTGGCCCTTTTATACTAGCTTCTTTCATTTTGCATAATGTTGTATATATATACACACATTATATACATATATACACACATATACACACACACACACACACACACACATATATATATATATATATATATTTTAGACAGTCTTGCTCTGTCACCAAGGCTGTAGTGCATTCGTGCAATCTTGGCTCACTGCAACCTCCACCTCCTGGATTCAAGCAATTCTCATGCCTCAGCTTCCCTAGGAGCTGGAAGTGCAGGTGTGCATCTCCACGCCCAGCTAATTTTTGTATTTTTAGTAGAGATGGCGTTTCACTATGTTGGCCAGGCTGGTCTCGAGCTCCTGGCCTCAAAAGATCCGACCCCCCACCCCCGCCTCCCAAAGTACTGGGATTACAGGCATGAGCAACCATGCCCAGCCCATGTTTTCAAGGTCTGTCCATGTTGTAGCATGAATCAGTACCCTCACAGACAAACCCAGGAGCAATACTGTGCATCCTTTAATCCAATCACGTTGACACTCACTATTAACCATCACAGTTGACTAGAAGTGGCAAGTACTGTCATCTTTATCTAGTTCTTGATCTTAGGAGGAAAGCACTCAGTATTTCACCCTAGAGTATGATGTTAGCTGTGAGGTTTTCATAGACGCCTTTTATCAGGTTAAAAAAGTTTTCAAGCTTTCCCGGCTTGTTAAGTGTTTTATCATGAAAGGGTGTTGAAGTTTGTTTGATGCTTTTTCTTCACCTATCAAGATGATCATATGGTTTTTTACATTTTTATTCTTAATATGGTGTATTACATTGATTTCTATAACTTATGAATATATATTTTACTACCTATTATAAATATATTTACATAGCTGATTTAAAGTCTTTGTTTAGTAATTCCAACATCTGGACTACCTCAGAAACAGTTTCTATCTTTCTGGCTACATTTGCCAGGTATTTTTTTTTTAACTAGATATGGGGTCTCACTTTGTGGCCCAGGTTGGTCTCAAACTACAGGGCTCAAGTGAGCCTCCCACCTCAGCCTCCTAGAGTGCTGGATTACATGCTAGCTTTTGTTGTTGCTTTTTTTAGGAGCAGATTTTCTGAAGTCCTTACACTTCAATTCTGAAAATTCTATCTCCCCATGCTACCTTTTTCAATATCTAAAATCACTTGCTTTGTACATTTTGTCTGGCTTTCCTGATGTTTATTTATTTACTAACTAATGTTCACACTTTATTCCTAGTTCCTTACTTTTTCTTTTTTCCTTTTTTTAACACAGAGTCTTGCTCTTGTCACCCAGGCTGGAGTGCAGTGGCACGATCTCTGCTCACTGCAATCTCCACCTCCTAGGTTCAAGTGATTCTCCTGCCTCAGCCTCCCAAGTAGCTGAGATTACAAGCACACACCACCATGCCCGGCTAATTTTTTTTTATTTTTAGTAGAGATGGGGTTTCACCATGATGGCTAGGCTGGTCTCAAACCCCTGACCTCAGGTGATCCACCAGCCTCGGCCTCCCAAAATGCTGGGATTACAGGCGTGAGCCAGTGCGCTCGGCCTATTTCCTTACTTTTAAAATCTAATATCCTTTTTTTGTGTTCCAGGATCCCATCGAGGATATTATATTATATTCAGTCATCCTGTCTCCTTCGGCTTCTCTTGACTGTGAGTTTCTCATATTTTACTGTTTTTTTTTTTGTTTGATGACCCTGACAGTTTTAAGGAATATTGATGAAATATTTTATAGAATGTCTCTCAGTTGGGATTTGCCTGATTGTTTTGCAAAATCAGACTAGAGTGAATAGGGGCGTATCCATTTATTGTTTACTCCATGTTGTCCCACATGGAAGTTTTCCTGAACATTGGTCTTTTGCCTCTTTTGGAAAGTATTTATAAATTTACACATCAAAACGTATTGCTATTCCTGTTTATTGAGTCTCTGATTATATTATGTTAAAATAATATAATAAAATAATCCCATTTCCTTATTCTTTTATATTCTCTCTCTGCTATAATCTATATGATTTAGCTCTATTTTTTATTTAATTCTCTTTTGAGCTGTATCTAAATTGCTGTTGAGCTGCTTTTAGTTTTCATTTTAATTACACTTTTATTTCTAGAGATTTTTATTTTGTTCTCATATATATGTACTCCTGATTATTTTTAAATTGTGGCTACTAACTTTTTTAGTCTCATTCTGTTGTTATTTCTGCTAACTCTTGCTCATTATGTCTTTTTTTCCTTTAACTTAAAAAAATAACTTTTTTTAAGAGACAGGGTCTCACTCTGTCAACCCAGCTGTAGTGCAATGGGGTGTAGCTTACTGTAGCCTCAAACTCCTGGGCTCAAGTGATCCTTCCATGTCAGCCTCCTGCATAGCTGGGACTACAGGTGTGTACTACTATGCCCAGCTAATTTTTTTTTTAATTTTGTGCAGAGATAAGATCTTGCTATGTTGCCCATGCTGGCCCCAAACTCCCGAACTCAAGTGATCCTCTTGCCTAGGCTTCCCAGAGTGCTGGGATTATAAGCGTGAGCCACTGCGCCGAGCCTTGTTTGTATTTTTTAAACTCATAAATTTTGGAACTTTATCTCTAGAAAGTCTTTGAAGTCTGGGCTTAAACCATTTTCCAGAAAGGATTTTTGTTTACTTTTACCTAATTCCAACGTAAACCAAATTCTTCTTAGTTTATTATTTTTAAGCCATGGATGCAGTTTGAGTGTATTCTCAATCTTTCATTAGACGTTGATACTTCTCAGAAGTTTAAAAATATATCCTTGTCAAAAACGCAACACTTCTCAGAAGTTTTAAAAAATATGGTTAAGTCAAAAACGCAGAAAAAGAAATTTGCTTTTTCTTGCTATCTCCAAAAATAAATTAGACTTAAAAAAAATAATTCTTACACTATGAGCTTAGTCCTTCAGTGGTCCTAGCTTTAGGGAAAGGTCTCCAATACCATGATCTCCTCCCCATGCTTTGACACCGTGCTTTGTCTCTTGTTTCTTGTGAAGCTTTAAGAAATAAAGTTCTGTCTTTATTTACTTATTTATTCATTTATTTATTTATTTATTTTGAGATGGAGTCTCACTGTATCGCCCAGGCTGGAGTGCAGTGTCGTGATCTCGGCTCACTGCAACCTCCACCTTTTGGGTTCAAGCAATTGATGTGTACCACCACATCCTGCTGATTTTTCTAGTTTTAGTAGAGACAGGGTTTCACCATGTTGGCCAGGCTGGTCTCAAACTCCTGACCTCAGGTGATCTACCCGCCTCAGCCTCCCAAAGTGCTGGGATTACAGACATGAGCCACTGTGCCCGGCCTCTGTCTTTATTTTTAAAGAAGATTGGCACTCGCTTACCTCTGTGAATTCACATTTTCTTGGTATTTCTAGACTTCTAAATTTTATTTTTCTTACAAGGAAGTAGATATATCTAGGAGTTTTGAAATGAAAATGTGTTCTATGCATTTAGTTTGCCTAATTGCTAGAAACAGGAGTCCTACAAAGATTTTTGAAAATTTTTTGGAAGTCTAATTATAATGACCTACCTTTTTACCTAACTGTAATTGCTTTGACTGATGATCATAATATAATATTTGTCACTTTTTTTTTGTTTTGTTTTGAGACGGAGTCTTGCTCTGTCGCCAGGCTGGAGTGCAGTGGCGCCATCTCGGCTCACTACAACCGCCGCCTCCTGGGTTCAAGAGATTCTTGTGCCTCAGCCTCCCAAGTAGCTGGGATTACAGGCACATGCCACCATACCCAGCTAATTTTTGTATTTTTAGTAGAGACGGGGTTTCAGTGTGTTGGCCAGGATGGTCTCGATCTCCTGACCTCGTGATCTGCCTACCTCAACCTCCCAAAGTGCTGGGATTACAGGTGTGAGCCACTGTGCCCAGCCCATATTTGTCACTATTATGAAATAAATATAAACCATTATAATTATATTTAATATTCAGTCGAATTCTTTTTAGAGCTGGCCTTAGAGAGACACTGAGTATTGCTTAATTTTATAAATAAAGGCCTATTGCTCATTCTAGGACCTTATTTTATTGTAGCTGTGCTGTGGTGTGTTCTTATTACTAAAAGAAAGCAAATTACCATTATAGTAGTTACTTGGGACACTTTTTAGTAGTTTTATTGATCCACAGTGTAGTAGCTTCAGCCTAGAACAAAAGTATATTTTTTAACAACCCCAAAACAAAAAACAAATACAACACAAACATACCCTGACACCAGCACAGTCTTATCACACTTTTAATTCCCTCATAATACAATACAACAACCATTCTTTTATTAATGGAGGATGGGGTAGGGAGTATGTTATCAGTAGACTTAGAAAAAATTAGCTTAGTCATTGAAACCTTTGCCTTTTTTCTAGGAATTCCTTTCTCATATTCTTGTGTCTTCTTGGCATTGTTACGATCTTCAGCATGAGTCATATGCCCTGAAAAATGCAGACTGTACTAAATACCTTAGCACTGGTGTTCCTCTGCTTTGACCATATGGAAACTTACATTATTACAGATTAGACCTATCAACTAAGGGAAACAGAAAGGTTATTATTCAATGGTTTTATTTGTAAATGATCATTGGCACTCGGCATTCATTCTGACCGCATTCTAGTGTGCCATCCTGTACGTCGAAGGCTAGAAATAAAAAGAATACATTTCCTAGAATTCTTTACAGTTAGAGTCCTCAATATGAATTAGTTGGGTGCACTTATATGAAATTTAAAATATTGAAATGACGTGGAAGGTGTCCTATGTTTTTGCTTTTTCTACTGTCAGAAATATTCTTGGAACATTTTTTTTTTCTGCAGCAGATTTTCATTGTCCAGTTACTAGGTACATTATTGCTGACAGGCATTTGCTTTAGGAGCGGCAGCTGAAGTCCACTTTTTGTGACCAATTACCCAGTTAGTGAGAGACAGGAAGTAGTTTTGATGCTGATTCCTGATAGTTGGGCTGCAGTTGCACCGATAAGCTCTTGAATTCAATAGTTTCAATGGCGACCT
This sequence comes from Homo sapiens, assembly GCF_000001405.40. Taxonomy (NCBI): domain Eukaryota; kingdom Metazoa; phylum Chordata; class Mammalia; order Primates; family Hominidae; genus Homo; species Homo sapiens. The sequence continues at coordinate 122,579,969 of NC_000009.12, read as the reverse complement.
TCTGATTCTCCTCCTTCCTAATTGGGTAAGAGAAGTACTTTAGGTGGGTCAGATTATTATTGCGCTTAAGTTTATTCCTAGAGACTCATCCTAGAGCCTGTGATTCTATAACATTTCCAATGACTTTGTAAGCACTCAATTTCCTGGTAAATAAAATATTTCAGTATTTTATTTACTTCATTTCTGCTTAAAACATCAATGACAATTTTTTCTTCCCTACACAAATCTTGACTAATACAACAGATAATAAAATGTAGACTTAATCCTGAAATAATTATGACACCATACCCCTTATGCTTATGTATATAGACAGAAAACTCCTTCAGTCTCAAATGTAAACATCACAACTAATATCTAATTAAAAAGGAAGAATTCTCTTTTTGAAGTACTTAGTATTCTCTAAGAAGCCCTCACTTATACCCTTTGTAATAGAATGTATAAGAACCTCATCCAGCAGCTATTAGTTGACAACCTGAAATTTCCTAGCTGCCTTTTGCTCCAGTACAAGGAAATGACTTCAATTCTCTCTTAAAGGAGAGAAAGAGCGACTTTATCTCCAAAGCAATCTCCAGACAAGGGATAGGTATTACCTTAAAAAGTTAGTGCAAAATTTTTAAATGTATTCAATTTTTAAAATTCAATTACAATGTATTCAAATTAAATTTAAATATAACTCAATTAAAATGTTTCAAATTTATGTTAAAATTATAATTTAAATTTATAATTATTAAGATTATTATTCTGTATTCAAAATATGCTATCAAATAATTAGTCCACACAATAGTCAATTATATCAACATATTATAATTTAACCAAGCCCCATTCATGAAAACTTGGATGATTTCTGTTTCTCTTACGTGTACTATCCTTGTACATATATTCTTGGCAGTATTTTTCTTTCTTCTTTTTTAATGACTTTCTATTTTTTTTTAATTTCAGTAGGTTTTTGGGGAACAGGTGGTGTTTGGTGACATGAATAAGTTTAGTGGTAATTTCTGAGATTTATTTTTCAGAATTTTTTTTAATTTTAGGTTTTTGGGGAACAGGTGGTGTTTGGTTACATGTTTAAGTTCGTTAGTGGTGATTTCTGACATTTTGGTGCACCCGAGCAGTGTACACTGTACCCAGTGTGTAGTCTTTTATTTCTCACCTTCTCCTACCCTTTCCCGAGTCCCCAAAGTTCATTGTATCATTCTTATGCCTTTTGTTCTCATAGCTCAGCTCCTACTTATGAGTGAGAACATACGATGTTTGGTTTTCCATTCCTGAGTTACTTTACTTTACTTAGGAAAATTGTCTCCAGTTCCATCCAGGTTGCCGTGAATGCCATTATTTTGTTCCTTTTTATGGCCAAATAGTATTCCATGGTATATGTATATATCACGATTTCTTTATCCACTCACTGATTGAGGGGCACTTGGGCTGGTTCCATATTTTTGCAATTGTGAATTGTGGTGCTATAAACATGCATGTGCAAGTATCTTTTTTTGTATATAATGATGTCTTTTTTTTTTTTTTTTTGAGATGGAGTCTTGCACTGTCGCCCAGGCTGGAGTGCCGTGGCATGATCTCAACTCACTGCAATCTCCGCCTCCCAGGTTCAAGCTATTCTCCTGCCTCAGCCTCCCGAGTATCTGGGATTACAGGTGACTGCCACCATGACCAGCTAATTTTTGTATTTTTAGTAGACACGGGGTTTCACCATGTAGGCCAGGCTGGTCTCAAACTCCTGACCTCATGATTCACCTGCCTCACCCTCCTAAAATGCTGAGATTATAGGCGTGAGCCACTGCACTCAGCCTTGTATAATGACTTCTTTTCCTCTGAGTGGATATCCAGTAGTGGGATTGCTGGATCAAATGGTATATCTACTTTTAGTTCTTTAATGAATCTCCACACTGTTTTCCATAGTGGTTGTACTAATTTACATTCTCACCAGCAGTGTAAAAGTGTTTTCCTTTTCACCACATCCACACTTGGCAATGTTTTTAGTATTTATATGATCAGATTCCTGAAAGTGAAAGACTAGGTCATAGACAATATAAATAATTAATTAACCACATATTGAATTTCTATGCCAAACAAACACTATATTTGGTACTGATGATATGAAGGTGAGGGGGAACAAAAACAAGAATGTACATGGCTTAATGTAATTGAGAACATTTTTCTTCAGATATGTTTGTACCACTTTCAACTGTTTCCTTTGGATAAATTTCTTAAAGTGAAAAATATTTAAATAAATACTGTCAAATTCTCTACAGAGTTATTGTGATACTTTACATTTCCACCTGCACTCTCAGTGTTAATACTAGGTATTATGATTCTTTTCAATCTTTGATAGATAATATGATTGGTGAAAAAATGGTATCACTGTTATTTTATTATTTTATCCAATAGTTCATTATTGCTAGTTTCATTAATTACTTGTTCACATGCTTACTGAACCTTGTATTCTTTTGTGAATTGCCTGTTCATGTTCATTGCACTTTTTTATTATTGAGGTGTTTGCCTTCTTTTATAATTCTGTTTTTAAATTTAAACACAGACTATCCCAACGATTTTTGTATGTGGAGGTCATATGTGTAAAACTACTGAAAACTTTTGGCTAAGTAAAGTTATTGTAAGCCCTTAAATTTGAAGTCTGCCTACAATAATAGGATCAACCCAATTTGGAGACTTTTCTAAATTGCTTAACACTGTCTATGTCTATATGGGCTTATACCGAAAGACTAAATTTAAGGCACCAGTGTATGAATAGATTAAATGCTTCTTTAGAGGTTAAAAAAAAGACTAGGTCATAGAAACAAATATTTTTAATGTTTATAACACATGCTGTCAATTTATTTCCTAGAAGCATATGCCACTTTGTATTCACACTACTAGCAGCAGTAGAAAGTATCTCCTTTTCCTGCCTCCACCCAGAATCAATTATTGTCATTTAAAAACCCAATTATACATCAGAGTTACTTCCAGTTTCTGGTCCAACATGTATGGATCTTGGAGGTTGTTACTCCTTCTGAAAGAGTAAAAGGCCTAACAAACTGAAAAATCAACATTCTTTTTAGATCCATCAGAGAAGTGAGGTCACACGGCAACCCACTGCCCCCCAAATTGGAGAGACAGACAACAAAAATACAAAGAATCACAGCTTACTGGAGCAGAAACCCACAAACAGAAGCCTCTGCAGGAATCAGTGCTAAGGTAGGAAAACCTGAACTGTAATTGATGAATTGCTGGAGGCTCAGTGTAGACAAGTCTGAGAGTTAAAATCTCTAGGGGGAACCAGTCATAGAAAGGCCCACACACTGTTGTGAGTTTTACCTCCCAGAGTTCTACCTGGTTCTCACAGTGAAGATATATACAGTATTCATAATAGCCAAGATATGGAAACAACCTAACTGCCCAACAATGAGTGAATATAAAGAAAATGTTGGCTGGGTGCAATGGCTCATGCCTGTAATCCCAGAACCTTGGGAGGCCAAGGCGGGCAGATCATCTGAGGTCAGGAGTTCAAGACAAGCCTGGCCAATGTAGCGAAACCACATCTCTACTAAAAAATACAAAAAAAAAAAAAAAAATTAGCTGGGCGTGGTGGCTCACACCTGTAATCCCAGCTACTTGGGAGGCTGAGCCAGGAGAATTGCTTGAACCCAGGAGGCGGAGGTTGCAGTGGGCTGAGCTCATGCCACTGCACTCCAGTCTGGGTGACAGAGCAAGACTCTGTCTTAAAAAATAAAAAAAAATGTAAAAAAGAAAATGTTACATGTAGACATACATACATATATATGTATATACTTTCTGTACTCTTACAAGTCAACAGCAAAAAAATGAACTATCTGTTCTTAAAAGGAGCAATGTATATTTATTCAGCCTTACAATATTATTAAGACTTAAAGAAGTAGATCTTTCCATTTGCCACAACACAGATATACCTGGAGGACATTATGGTAACTGAAATAAACCAGACACAGAAATAAAAATATTGCACACTCTCATGTATATGTGAAATAAAAAGAAAGAAATATGCAGGGATAGAGAATGAAACAATAGTTACTACAGGTAGGGGGAGGGACAAAATTGGGAGATGTAGGTCAAAGGATACAGACATGAAGCATGAACAAGTCTAGAGATCTAATGTACAACATGAGAACCAGTTAATAATATTGAATTGTATTAGGGATTTTTGTTAAATAAGATTTTAGTTGCTGTTATCACAAAAAAGTAACTGTGAGATTATAGATATGTTAATCTGCTTCATAATAATAACCACTTTACTCTCTATATGTATCTCATAGCATCATGCTGTAAACCTCAAATATATACAATAAAATTTAGTTTTTAAAAATTGATAAGCTTCTAACCATGCTGACTATGAAAACAAGACAGAGGACACAAATTATTAATGTCAGAAATAAATAAGGGAACATCACTACAGATCTCATGGACATTAAAAGAAAATAAAGAAATACTATGAACAACTCTGTACCCACAAATTTGATAACCTAAATGAATGGACAAATTCTTTGAAAGACATGATATGTCAACAATATGTCAAAATGCACACAAAAAGAAATGATGAAATTGATAGAACTGTATCTATAAAAGAAATTGACTCAATAATTAATAAACTCCCAAAGCAGAAAGCACTAGGCCCAGATGGGTTCACTGGTGAATTCTACTAAACATTTAAAGAAGAATTTATATTAATTATCTACAATCTCTTCCAGACAATAGAAGCAAAGGAAACACTTTCTAATTCATTCTACGAAGCCAACAATATCCTAATACCAAAACCAAAGACATTATAAGAAAACTATAAACCTGTATCTCTCATAAACATACATGCATAACTCTAAACAAAATGTTTGCAAATTGAATCCAACAATGTATAAAAAGATTTATACATCACAACCAAGTTTAATTTATCCTAGGTATGCAAGCCTGGTTCAACATTCCAAAATCAGTTATTGTAATGCATCACATCAATAAACTAATAAAGAAAAGCCACATGAATACATAAATAGATGCAGAAAAATCATTTGACAAACTCCAACACCCATCTATGATTCTAAAAACTCTCAGTAAACTAGGAATAGAAGGAAAATTCCTCAACTTGATAAGAAAAAACTACCCCCAAAAAAATCCTACAACTAACATTATACATGATGGCGAGAAACTAGGAGCTTTCCCATTACATTCAGGAACAAGATAAGAATGCTCCCTCTCACCATGGCTTTTCAACATCATACTGGAAATCCTACCTAATGCAATAAGACAAGAATAGTAATAAAAGATATACAGATTTGAAGGAAAGAAATGAAACTATCTTTGTTCACAGATGATTTGATTGTCTATATAGAAAATCCAAAAGAATTGACAAAAAAATTCCTGGAACTAATAAGCAATTACAGCAAGAGTGCAAAATGCAGGATTAATATACAAAAGCCATTGTTCTCTTAAATATTAGCAACAAACAAGTGGATTTTGAAATTAAGAACAGAATATCATTTACATTAGCACCCCCCAAAATAAAATAGTGGCATAAATCTAACAAAATAAGTACAAGATGAACACAAGGGTTACCACAAAACCATGATGAAAGATAAAAGAACTAAATAGTAATTCCATGTTCATGAATAAGAAGGCTCAATATTATCAAAAGGTCAATTCTCCTGAATTCGGTGTATAAATTCCATGCAATACCGATCAAAATCCCAGCAAGTTATTTTGCAGATATTAAAAAACTAATTCTAAAGTTTATATGTAGAGGCAAAAGACCCAGAGTAGCCAAGTCAATATTAAAGGAGAAAAACAAACTGGAGGACTGACACTACCTGACTTCAAAGCTACAGTAATCAAGACAATATATACTGGCAAAAGAATAGGCAAATAGATCAATGGTACAGAACAGAGAACCAAGAAATAGACCCACGCAACTATCTTTGACAAACAGCAAAGACATATAACGGAGCAAAGACAGTTTTTTCAACAAATAGTGCTAAATTATCTGGACGTCCACATACCAAAAAGAAAAATAAATTCACCCTTTATAAACATTAACTCAATGGATCATAGTCCTAAATATAAGATGCAAAACTGTGAAACTCATAGAGGATAACATAAGAGAAAATCTAGATGATCTTGGGTTTAGAGATGACTTTTTAGATACAACACCAAAGGCATGATTCATAAAAGAAAGAATTCATAAGCTGGACTTCATTAAAATTAAACTTTTCTGTTCTGCAAAAGTCACTGTCAAGAGAATAAAAAAATAAGCCACATACTGGGAGAAAATATTTGCACAAAACATATCTGATAAAGGACTGTAATTCAAAATACACAAATAACTCTTAAAACTCAACAATAAGAAAATATACAACCCAATTAAAAACGGGCCAAAGGTCTTAACAGACACTCAGCAAAGAAGATGCACAGATGGAAAACAGGCATGTGAAAAGATGCTCCATCTCATGTCATCTGGGAAATTCAAATTAAAACAACAATGACATACCACTGTATACCCATTAGAATGGCCAAACATAAACATTCCTAAACATAAAAATATTCACTCACATAAATATTTATCCACTCTTGATAACCATTACTTGAGGAAAGAGAAGCATTCCCTTCGGATATTGCAGTGAAGTTAAGAAGCTCTGAGTTTAGCCCCAACATCTAAATGGGAAGCCTCAGGGGTCCCTGTCTCCTTGGAGTCAGCTCTGTTAACTGTTATTTCCATTCTGCTTTCTTTGCTGAGGGAGATCACAGGACAAACTCCCCTGAGGGGTCAGCACACCACAGCTATATCAGCCTAACAAGGATCACAGAGGCCAGGAGGGCAGAACTCAAACCCATGGAAAGCTCACTGGGCTTCCACAATCAAAAGAGTCCTTGCCACTTGAGTCAGGGCCTCCCTGCCTTCTGAGATGTGCAGCTGAGAAAGGCAGCATTATGTTAGGAACCACAGATTAGGAAGGAAACAGGGAGTTAAGGTCAGAAAAGGGAAATGTGGTATTCCTTTAGAGTAGTGTTTCAGTTCTTCCCTCCTTGCTAATTAGTCCAGAAGTTCAGAGGAGAAACATGAGGAAGCTGAGCTTTGGCTAAGAAGCAGAGTTGGAAATCACAGATGTGCAGAAGATCCACTTCTTGAGACACATGGAAGCAAAGGAAAAACGCTGGATACAGAGGTGAGCTTCAGTGAGCTAGCCACCTACCTAGCCAACCCAGTTTGGCACTTTCTCTTTCCTTTCTGAAAGTTTCAAATATTTCATGAATTAAGAAGTCATAACCACCATCTGACTCATTTAGACTCATTGAGCTTGATCTGGAGGCCCTCTACACCACATGCTTTGAGAGCAGCAAAACCCTATTAGTAGAAAAAAAAAAACCAAACCCAAAACCAAAAAAACAAAACAATGATTGCATTCCCAGCCCCATACACTCACCCTGTACTTTAGAACTATTCTCCCTGATTTTCATATCCTAAACCTTCTTCCTTTTTCCCCGTGATAAGCATGGGTGATCCTCATGTCTACAGTCTGGAGCATCCAAACCCACTTAACCCAAATCTCCACTATTTTTTAAATTCTGTATTCCCAAGGCAGCCTTTTCATGAATGACTGCTTTTTAAATAATGATCTGTGTTTGACACACTGCTTTTCAGACATGGTATCTCACTTGCTATTTGATATGGTTTGGATCTGTGTCCCCGCCCAAATGTCATGTGGCATTTTAATCTCCAGTGTTGAAGGTGGGCCCTAGTGGGAGGTGATCATGGGGACGGATCCCTCATGAATGGTTTAGCACTGTCACTGGTGCTAGTATCATGTTAGTGAGTGAGTTTTCACAAGATCTACTTGTTTAAAAAGTGTGTAGCGCCTCCCCCCACCTCTGTTCTGCTCCTGCCATGTAAGATGCCTGCTCCGGCTTTGCCTTCCACCATGAATAAAAGTTTCCTGAGGCCTCCCCAGAATCAGAAACTGCAAGGCTTCCTGTAAACTCTGCAGAACTGTGAGGCAATTGAACCTCTTTACTTTAAAAATTACCCAGTTTGGAGTATTTCTTTATAGCAGTGTAAGAATAGACTAATACACCTTTCATAAAACATCAGGAATCAGCCTATGAGCAGGTGATAGAGGACAAATCCAGCCTGCATCTTCTGCCTCAAGTCCAAGGCACTGTCCACTGCACCACTACAACCCTACACACAAGACCCACCTCCACCATGCATGGTCAATTTTTTTTTTTTTTTTGAGACTGAGTCTCGCTCTGTCGCCAGGCTGGAGTGCAGTGGTGCAATCTTGGCTCACTGCAACCTCCGCCTCCCGGGTTCAAGCGATTCTTCTGCCTCAGCCTCCCGAGTAGCTGGGACTACAGGTGCGCCCCACCACACTCAGCTAATTTTTTTTTTTTTTTTTTTGAGACAGTCTGGCTCTGTTGGCCAGGCTGGAGTGCAGTGGCAAAATCTCAGCTCACTGCAACCTCCGTCTCCTGGGCTCAAGCAATTCTCCTGCCTCAGCCTACCGAGTAGCTGGGATTACAGGCCCCCGCCACCATGCCTGGCTAATTTTTGTATTTTTAGTAGAGACAGGATTTAACCGTGTTGGCCAGGATGCACCCAATCTCCTGACCTTGTGATCCGCCTGCCTCAGCCTCCCAAAGTGCTGGGATTACAGGTGTGAGCCACCGCGCCCGGCATGCATGGCCAGTTTTACCCACCTGATTGTGACCAGTCCCTCATTAGTGTTCAAGCTTTCAAATCCCACCATCTGTACCACACAGAAAGATTGGTAATCACCCTTACAGCTGCAAGAGTGGATTCTGAACATGGGACAAGAAAGTTTGTCAGTTGTGTATTTGTGTGGCAAGAGGGTAATTCTGTAGAAATTTATCAGAGTGAGGAAAACATAGCACCAATGCACGATTGTAAGATATGTATAGCTTTACCAAAATATGAAGAGGCTTAAGGTTCAAATTTTTACTATTATTCACTTCCTTACTGACCTTGAACAGATCACTTCACCTCTCTAAGCCTCCTGTATGTAAAAATGGCAACAGTAATAACATATGCCTCTTAATTCCTTATTACGGAATTTAGTGAGATGCTTACCATGTACCTAATACTAATACATTTTCAATAAATATTTGTTAATATTATTGACTTTAATTACTGATTCACTCAATATATCAGCAAATATTCCTTCTATAAAATCTTGCAATATTATAAAATTAATCTGAGAGACAGTGAGGGATATGATATTTTAAGCATGTGAGATAATTAGTTTTGAGAACATGCAGGAATATCAGATAAGGGACGATGACGCTGAGGTGGCTGGGGAACAGCTTGTCCTGAATGTTTTTACAATATCCTTGTCCCTCTTTTAAGTCTTTCAAATGCTTTATCTCATTAAATCCTCATGACAATGTGGATATTTGTGTTCGATTTTATACATGAAAAACCTGAGATTTAAAGGTGTTTAGTAACTTACAAGAAAAATGTAAGCATTTAATTTTTTAGTACATCAATATATAAATAGCCAACATTTAAAAATATGTGAAAATTCTGGTGTATTAAGGCCCATTCACAATGTGTAAAAGAATATACTGCTGTAAAGAAGTTGTTTCACAGATGCTGGAGAGGATGTGGAGAAATAGGAACAATTTTACACTGTTGGTGGGACTGTAAACTAGTTCAACCATTGTGGAAGTCAGTGTGGCGATTCCTCAGGGATCTAGAACTAGAAATACCATTTGACCCAGCCATCCCATTACTGGGTATATACCCAAAGGACTATAAATCATGCTGCTATAAAGACACATGCACACATATGTTTATTGCGGCACTATTCACAATAGCAAAGACTTGGAACCAACCCAAATGTCCAACAATGATAGACTGGATTAAGAAAATGTGGCACATATACACCATGGAATACTATGCAGCCATAAAAAATGATGAGTTCATGTCCTTTGTAGGGACATGGATGAAATTGGAAATCATCATTCTCAGTAAACTATCGCAAGAACAAAAAACCAAACACCGCATATTCTCACTCATTGGTGGGAATTGAACAATGAGAACACATGGACACAGGAAGGGGAACATCACACTCTGGGGACTGTTGTGGGGTGGGGGCAGGGGGGAGGGATAGCTTTAGGAGATATATCTAATGCTAAATGACGAGTTAATGGGTGCAGCACACAAGCATGGCACATGTATACATATGTAACAAACTTGCACATTGTGCACATGTACCCTAAAACTTAAATAATAAAATAAAATAAAATAAAATAAAATAAAATAAAATGAAGTTGTTTCAAACATCTTGGTGGTGCAAATATGTTCACTGTAGAGATTTTATGGTAGCCAAAAATGTATAAATAACCAATATCTAAAAATGCTTGAAAATCTCTATGTAATATGCCTATTCACAAGGTATGAATGAATATGCTTACTCAAAAACTTTAATTGCAAAAAAATTGTGACAACATTTTGCTGATACAAAAATTCTCATTGCAGAGTTTTTTTATAGTAGCAAGAAATGGAAGCCACTTTGATATCCATTGGTAGGTAACTGGATCGGGATGAAAAATATATATACCAAAAAATTAACATGTTTCTCATATATATTTTTAACACGTAAAAGATAAATTAAAAACAGATTTAACACTTAACAATGGGTGCTTATTCTGTACAAATGTGATTTAGGACAGAGAATTAAAGAAGGGAAAAACAATTTACAAAAAAAGGGAGACTTGTGCAAACTAATGATGATAGCATGTCATGAGCTAGGGAGGATGAACCTTTCATTCTGTGAGCAGAGCAGAAAAAAAAATCACTCTATTGACTGCGTTCAACAGTCGTCTTAGATTTGCCCTGTTGGCTGTTTTGAAAAACCATTAGTTTTTTTCAAGACAATGCAAAGATAAACTTCAGCGTGACACAACTGAGTATGCTTTGATAGGGAAAGAGTGTCCTGAAACCTCCCCATCTAAAATACCCCCAGTCTGACTCCCCAGCAACCTCCATCTTCTAATACTATTTTATTTTGTTCATAAAATGTATCCCTAACTGATGCTATACTACATATTTTGTAGTATAATGATCTACCTCCCCAACTAGAAGGTAAGCTCCACATAAGCAGAAATCTGTCTGCTCTATTGCTATGTCCCCGGCAGGTGAATAGTGCTTTTCACAGAATAGGAAATACTGAGTCTGAATTAGAGGAGTCCACTTCTGAAAGTTTCTAAAGGAAAACTCTCCCTCTGTCCCTCCAGATTTCAATATAATGCCCTTATGGAGCCCATAGATTTGGGAAGGGAGGACCCCATCAAGGACCATGAGGTGAACAAGCCATCCCACAATTAGCACAGTAGCTAATTGTGACCAAACAGAAGAAACAAAGACTTGCTAGGTTCTCATGATTGGTGTTATGAAATCAGAGCATGTTAAATGACAAAACTTCTTGTTTATAACTGAGCCCAAGTCAATGGAAAGAATCAACCACACCAGCAGTGTCTCCGAGTTTATCCTCCTGGGACTCTCCTCCCGGCCTGAGGACCAAAAGACACTCTTTGTTCTCTTCCTCATCGTGTACCTGGTCACCATAACAGGGAACCTGCTCATCATCCTGGCCATTCGCTTCAACCCCCATCTTCAGACCCCTATGTATTTCTTCTTGAGTTTTCTGTCTCTCACTGATATTTGCTTTACAACAAGCGTTGTCCCCAAGATGCTGATGAACTTCCTGTCAGAAAAGAAGACCATCTCCTATGCTGGGTGTCTGACACAGATGTATTTTCTCTATGCCTTGGGCAACAGTGACAGCTGCCTTCTGGCAGTCATGGCCTTTGACCGCTATGTGGCCGTCTGTGACCCTTTCCACTATGTCACCACCATGAGCCACCACCACTGTGTCCTGCTGGTGGCCTTCTCCTGCTCATTTCCTCACCTCCACTCACTCCTGCACACACTTCTGCTGAATCGTCTCACCTTCTGTGACTCCAATGTTATCCACCACTTTCTCTGTGACCTCAGCCCTGTGCTGAAATTGTCCTGCTCTTCCATATTTGTCAATGAAATTGTGCAGATGACAGAAGCACCTATTGTTTTGGTGACTCGTTTTCTCTGCATTGCTTTCTCTTATATACGAATCCTCACTACAGTTCTCAAGATTCCCTCTACTTCTGGGAAACGCAAAGCCTTCTCCACCTGTGGTTTTTACCTCACCGTGGTGACGCTCTTTTATGGAAGCATCTTCTGTGTCTATTTACAGCCCCCATCCACCTACGCTGTCAAGGACCACGTGGCAACAATTGTTTACACAGTTTTGTCATCCATGCTCAATCCTTTTATCTACAGCCTGAGAAACAAAGACCTGAAACAGGGCCTGAGGAAGCTTATGAGCAAGAGATCCTAGGAAGCACCCTCTTGAAAAACTCGTAAGTGGAATCTGCTCAACTTGGACGTGTTTTCTACTGGTTTCTGGTGAACAGTCAAAGCTGTTGGAAGCTAGCACTTCTGACCCATGTGAGACAAGGCTATTGTGGGCACTTACATCCATTGATGATGACCCAACAATTCGGCCTGTATCTCTTAAATCACAATCGTTTCCTGTCTGTGTCTCCTCTTTCTTGGAAAGATTTATTTTTTCCACTTTCTCATTTTCCAAAAACTGCTTTAATCTAATCCTTTCCCCATGAATATTTCCTAAACAAATTTCTCTCCTTTTATTAAGGCAGATCCTCCAAAATTCTTCACATTTCAATATATTGCTGAAAAATGTGTAATTTGTAGCCATTGAATGTTTTTGCAAAAAAATTGAAAAGAGAAAGAATGAAGGAAGAGGAGGATATATATTTTAGCTAATTTTCTCTTCTTGAGAATTTTTATAATTTTTTATTTTTCTCCTTCTAAAAATGTTTTATTGCTTAAATCTTAAGCTTTTACTTTTTTATCTTTCTATCCTTCCTTTATTATACTGCTGTAGTTTTATTTACTTTTAATTTCCTCTTATATTTTATCATACAATTTAAAAATGCTAATGGTCAGAAAGAACAAAAACCACAAGGGATAACATGGAAATTATCCATTTCACACAGGGGAGGTTGAAACATTTCTTCTGGTTCACCTTCCCATAAACTATGTGTTTAAAATGTGTGATTTAATACTTCGTCTAGAAACTGTCATTTCTAGGACTCTAGCCTATAGAAATATTATTATAAATTTGTATTGAGTAATATTATTGTAAATGTGTATTGAATATTGTGAGATATATGTATATATAATCTCCAAAGATGTTCAGGGAAATCCCAGTTTATAATAGGTAAAAATGGCAACAACCTAAAACCTTTTCAATAGGGAAATGGAGAAAGATGCTATGACTAATTCCATAAAGTGTAACTATATGCAGCATGTTCAAAGAATCAAATATATCTTTACTGCTTCCTTGAAAAGCCATTAAGTAAGAAAATTAAGATATGGAACAAATGTAAAAGTATGAATCCATTACATTAAAACATTATATAAATATGAATGTACATATGTGTGTAGCCACTGGGGTAAGAATGGAAGGGCAGGGGGAAACATGGAGGGAGAATATTTCCTCATCTTTATACACAGTTGTAATGTCTGAATTTCTTCAAATAAACATTTATTGCCAATGGAATAGAAAACTATTAATAAACAAGATGACCTATGCAATGGTGAAAGACTTCATAAATTACCAGTTGAAGAAAAACTTTCTGAGTGCATGCATATCTAAAAACACGATTTTGGCACGTTTACTTTAGTAGACAATTTGATAATTTGATAGGATGCAGCATTCTAGGTCCAAAGCTTTTCTTTCAGATCTTTTAAAGATACATCTATATTATTCCAATGCCTCGGGTGTTTTCAGTGATAAATAAGAGGTCACCCTAATTTGTGTTCCTTTGTAATGATTTCCTTCTCATTGGATCATACTCCATAGATCCCTAACACCAAACATGGCTATGCTGCCACTGCTTAGGCCTTGGAAGAGCAGACCCTGATTCCACCTACTTTACTCCAAGCCTGAGTTTAGGAGTCCAGTCATTGTTCTTGACTGTGTGTATTCTCATGGGTGTCAACATGTAACAAAAAGGTAAAAAATAAAATACTAGGCAAACAGTTCTTAGAGTTGAAATCAAAAGCAAAGAGCATGATCCATAAAAGGAAAAATTTTAAAGTTGAACTTCATAAAAATTAAACTACTAGAAGGTGAAGGTGGGGAGAAGGTAAGTTAAAAACTACCTGTCAGGTATTATGCTCACTACCTGGGTGACGGGATCCATACTTCTTCTATGACAGAAGCAGACTAATGTAATCAACATACCACCAAGTAATTGGCTAATCACCCTTGGGAATGGTGCCATTGGGGGGCTCAGCGTTGGTCTCTGCTGCTGGCAGACTGGGCACTCAAAGGTGGCAGTGGCCAGGTCAGCCCTGGTTAGTGGGAGTACATGCTGCTGAACCCATACATAACCTCCATCCCTGCCGCCATGGCCATTTTGTTCATGAGCCCATTGGGCGATGACAGTGGTGGCTGGGGAAAGAGACTCACTGGTATCCACAAAACGGGTCATCCTATCCACTTATTAAAACCTCCCCTTCTGAGGTCATGCTTTGGTGAGTATTTACATGGGACACAGATATCTTCATATCTTTGCCCATTCATAGAGGTCTATTCACATTGCTCTTCCCCAGGTATCTTTGTCATCAATTTTCCAATCATGTTGCTTCCAAATCCCTGATCACCCAGAATGTGTTTCCTCTAAAATCCAAATAGATGCACCAGGCATAGTGCCTCTCTCTTGGGTGTAAGAGGGGCCAGACACCTATCCTTCACCTTAAAAGGGCTATCTGGACAGGTCTCACACCACTGGACCCTATAAATTTCACGAGGAAGTATAAGTCCCTTGAATTTTAGCCAGATTTATTTGTACTTTTTGACACACAAATGTCCTACCAATGAGTTCAGACTCACTAGGTCTAATTGGCACAATGTTATCAATATAATGGACCAGTGTGGCATCTTGTGGAAGGACAAGTGGTCGAGAATTCTGTGAACTTGATTATGACATGGGGCTGCAGAATTGATATACTCCTGAGGTATGACAGTTAAGGTGTACTGCTGGCCCTGCCAGCTGAAAGCAAGCTGCTTCTGGTGGGCATTACAGACAGGGATGGAGAAAAAGTCATTTGCCAGATCAATAGCTACACACCAGGTACCAGGAAATGTTAATTTGCTCAAGCAGTGAAACCACATCTGGTACAGCAGCTGCAATTGGAGTCACTGCTTGGTGAAGCTTATGATAATCCACTGTCATTCTCCAGGATCCATCTATCTTCTGCACAGGCCAAATAGGAAAGTTAAGCAGGGATGTGGTGGGGATCACCACCCCTGCATCTTTTAAGTCCTTGATGGTGGCACGAATCTCTGCAATTTCTCCAATGATACAACACTACTTTTCATTTACTATTTCCCTAGGTAGAGGCAGCTCTAATGGCTTCCATTTGGCCTTTCCCATCATAATACCCCCCCACTCCACAAGTCAGGAAACAAATGTGGGGATTCTACCAGGTGCTAAGTATGCCTATTCTAATTATGCATATTAGAATTGGAGAAATAACCACAGTTGCACTGGGGACATAACCACAGTTAGAATTGAGGAAATAACCACAAGATGGGTTTTGGGATCGAGTGGACACACCGTAAGTTGGATCTGAGCTAAAATTTCATTAATCACATGACCCCCATAATTGCCTACTCTAACTAGAGGGCAACAGTGATGTTTCGTGTCTCCTGGAATCAACATCAGTTGAGAGCCAGTGTCCAGTAGTCCCCAAAAGATCAGATCATTTCCCTTTTCCCAATGCACAGTTACCTTGGGAAATGACAGGAGGCATCACACTACCTGACTTCAAAACATACTATAAAGCTATAGTAACTGAAACAGCATGGTCATAAATACAGACATATGGATAATGAAACAGAATAGACAACCCAAAAATAAATCATGTATCTATAGCCAACTGATTTTTGACAAAGGTGTGAAGAATACACATTGGGAAAAGCACAGTTTCTTCAATATATGATGTTATAAAAACTGAATATGTGTATGCAAAAGAATAACTAGATCTCTATCTCTTACCACATACAAAACTCTGCTCAAAAGAAATTAACAACTTGACTGTAAGACCTGAAACTATGAAAATACTAGACAAAGCCATAGGGGAAATGCTTTATGACATTGATCTGGCTAAAGATTAATTGGATAAGACCTTAAAAGCATAGACAACAAAAGCAAAAATAGACAAATGGATTTACATAAAACTAAATTGCATCTGCGCAGCAGAGGAAACAATCAACAGAGCAAAGAGACAACCTACAGGATGGGAGAAAATATTTGCAAACTATGCATCTGTCAAGAGGTTAATATGTGGAATATATAAGAAACTCAAATGTCTCGATAACAACAAAAAAACAAATAAATGATTTTAAAAATGGAGAAAAGACCTAAATAGATATTTCTTAAAAGAAGACATCTATATGGTCAACAAGCTTATGGAAAAATGCTCAGTATCACTAATCATTAGGGAAATGCAAATCAAAATCACAATGAAATATACAATAAATTATTGTTAACTATACTATGATGTATCCATAAAATTTAAAAATAAAAACAAACTTTTTAAAAACACAATGAGATATCACCTCATCCCAGTTAGAATGGCTATTATCAAAGAGACAAAAAAAAAAATAACAAATGCTAGTGAGGATGTGGAGAAAGGGGAGCACTTATACACTGTTGGTGAGAATATAAATTAGTACATCCATTATGGTCAACAGTGTCAAGATTCCTCAAAAAATTAAAATATATCTACCATATGATCCAGTAGTCCCACTACTGGTTATATATCCAAAGGAAAAGAAATAAGTACGTCAAAGAGTCATCTGCACCCTCAAGTTTATTACAGCACTATTTACAACAGCCAAGATATGGAATCAACCAAAATGTCCATCAGTGGATACACGGATTTTTTTAAGTGCTATATGTGCACAATGGAACACCATGCAGCCATAAAACGAATAAAATCATTTTTATTCTTTTGTGGCAGCATGGATGAACCTAGTCGACATTATGTTAAATAAAATAAGCTAGGCACAGAAGGACCAATACCCATATTCTCACTTATTTGTGGGATTTTTAAAAAGTTGAATTCAGAAAACAACCAAAACAGCATGCGAACCCTGCAACGGCAACCAAGGTATCCAGGTGCTGTCACCAGGACTGACTAGGCAGTTGGTATGACACACGGAGAGGAAGGAAGTGCAGTGTGGTGTGGCAGCCCACCTGAGAGCCACACAGGGCAGGGGAGTCCCCACCCACCAGCCAAGGGAGGTGGTGAGTGAGCGTGCTACCCAGCCTGGGAAACCATGCTTTTTCCACAGAACTGTGCAACCCACAGATCAGAAGATCCCACTTGAGAGCCCCTGCCACCAGGGCCTAGGGTCCCAACAACAGAGCTACGCAGATTCTCAATAGCCACTCAGCTAGAATCTGCTTAAGCCTGCTGACTTCCTGGGAGGAGTTGCAGCCATCACCACAGCTGCAACTGCCTGCTGCCTAAGCTGTCTAAGCTCCCTGCGGGAGGGGCAGCAGCCAACACTGGGACTGCTAGCTGCCTAACACACTAAGCTCCCATGGCGGGGGAAGGGCGGCAGCCATCTCTATAGCTCCAGGTCACTATTTTCCCCTGCCGAGCCAGGGAGACTTGGTGGCAAGAAATATTCCCCACAGCCAAACACACCGGCTGTGGCAGACTGCAGCCAGAGTGCCTCTTCAGGCAAGACCCTGACCCATCCCTCCTCACTGGGAGGGCCTCCCTGCAGGAACTCCAACAACTCCCGCCAGGGGCTCAAGGACAGAACTCTCATCTCCCTGGGCCTGAGCCCCTAGTAGAAGGGGTGGCCATAGTCTCCACGGACCAGCAGACTTAGTTTTTCCTACTGCTAGTTCTGAGGAATCTGGGCAGCCCAGATGAGTAAGTTTCCCTCCAGCACAGCATACCCCCTCCACCAAGGGACAGCCAAAGTGCTTCATTAAATGGGTCCTGCTCCCAGTGCCACCAACTGGGTGAGACCCTGCAACAGGGGTTGTCAGACATTTTATACAGAAGCATTCCTGCTGGCATTAGGTCGGTGCCCCTCAAGGTCAGCGATACCAATGGAAGGAGCAGGCACCCATCTTTACTGTTCTCCAGCTTCCCCCAGTGACATCTCCAGGTGCAGGAGTGAACCAGATGAATAAGGCCTGAAATGAACCCCCAGCAAACCACAGCAGCCCTACAGAAGAGGGACCTGACCACTGAAAGAAAAACAAACAGAAAACAACAACAGCATGAACAAAAAACGTCCCCACAAAAACCTCATCCAAGGGTCAGCAGCCTCAAAGATGGAAACTAGACAAACTCATGAAGATGAGAAAGAATCAACGAAAAAACGCTGAAAATCCAAAAGGCCAGAGTGCCTTTTCTCCTCCAAATGATCACAACACCTCTCCAGCAAGGGCGTGAACTGGATGGAGGATGAAATAGATGAACTGACAGAGGCAGGCTTCAGAAGGTGGGTAATAACAAACTCTGCTGAGCTAAAGGGGCATGTTCTAACCCAATGCAAAGAAGCTAAGGACCTTGATAAAGGCTTACATGAGCTGCTAACTAGAACAATCAGGAACATAAATGATGGAATGGAACATAAATGATGTGATGGAGCTGAAAAACACAGCACAAGAACTTCATGAAGCATACGCAAGTATCAATAGCTAAATCGATCAAACAGAAGAAAGAATATCAGAGTTTGAAGACCATCATGCTGAAATAAGGCAGGCAGACAAGATTAAAGGAAAAAGAATGAAAAGGGATGAGCAAAACCTCTGAGAAATATGGGACTATGTAAAAAGGCAGAACCTATGATTGATTGGAGTACCTGAAAGAGATGGGAAGAATGGAACCAAGATGGAAAACACACTTCAGGATATTATCTAGGAGAATTCCCCAACCTAGCAAGACAGACCAACATTCAAATTCAGGAAATACAGAGAACTCCACTAAGATACTCCATGAGAAGATCAACCCCAAGACACATAATCATCAAATTCTCCAAGGTCGAAATGAAGGAAAAAATGTTAAGGGCAGCCAGACAGAAAGGCTTGGTCACCTACAAAGGGAAACCCATCAGACTAAGAGAGGATCTCTCAGCAGAAACCCTACATGCCAGAAGAGAGTGGGGGTCAATATTCAACATTCTTAAAGAGAAGAATTTTCAACGCAGAATTTCATATCCAGCCAAACTAAGCTTCATAAGTAAATGAGAAATAAAATCCTTTCCAGACAAACAAATGCTGAGGGATTTTGTCACCACCAGGCCTGCCTTGCAAGAGCTCCTGAAGGAAGCACTAAATATGGAAAGGAAACACCGGTACCAGCCACTGCAAAAACACCAAAATATAAAGACCAACGATACTATGAAGAAATTGCATCAATTAGTGTGCAAAATAACCAGCTAGCATCATGATGACAGGATCAAATTCACACATAGCAATATTAACCTTAAATGTAAACGGGCTAAATGCTGCGATTAAAAGACACAGACTGGCAAACTGGATAAAGAGTCAAGACCTATTGGTGTGCTATATTCAGGAGATCCATCTCACGTGCAAAGAAACAAATAGGCTCAAAATAAAAGGACAGGAGAAAATTTACCAAGCAAATGGAAAGCAAAAAAAAAGAGGGGTTGTGATCCTAGTCTCTGACAAAACAGATTTTAAACCAACAAAAATAAAAAAAGACAAACAAGGGCATTATATAATGGTAAAAGGAACAATGCAACAGGAAGAGCTAACTATCTTAAATATATTTGCACCCAATACAGGAGCACCAGACTCATAAAGCAAGTTCTTAGAGACCTACAAAGAGACTTAGACACCTACACAATAATAGTGGGAGACTTTAACACCCCACTGTCAATATTAGACTGATCAATGAGACAGAAAATTAACAAGGATATTCAGGACTTGAACTCAGCTCTGGATCAAGTAGACCTAATAAACGTCGACAGAACTCAGAACTCTCCACCCCAAATCAACAGAATATACATTCTTCTCAGTGCCACATGGCACTTATTCTAAAATTGACCACATCACTGGAAGCAAAAAACTCCCCAGCAAATGCAAAAGAACTGAAAAATAACAAACAGTCTCTCAGACCACAGTGAAATCAAATTAGAACTCAAGATTAAAAAACATTCAAAAACACACAACTACATGGAAACTGAACAACCTACTCCTGAATGACTACTGGGTAAATAATGCAATTAAGGCAGAAATCAAGAAGTTCTTTGTATTCAATTAAAACAAAGAGACAACGTACCAGAATCTCTGGGACACAGCTAAAGCAGTGTTAAGAGGGAAATTTATAGCACTAAATGCCCACAAGAGAAAGCAGGAAAGATCTAAAATTGACACTCTAGATGACCAGTTGATAGTTGCAACAAACCACTATGGCACACATATACCTGTGTAACAAACCTGCACATTCTGCACATGTATCCTAGAACTTAAAGTAAAATAAAAAAAAATAAAAATAAATATTACATATAGAAAAAACAACAACAAAAAAAGTTGATTTCATAGAAGTAGAGAGTAAAATAGTGGTTACTACAAGCTGAAGATTTAGGAGGAGTGGGGAACAGGGATAGGTTAGTCAACAGATCTATGTTATACTTAGACAGGATTAACAAGCTCTGGTGTTCTATTGTACAAAAGCATGAATATAGTTAACAATAATGTATTGTAATTTCAACATAGCCAGAAGAGAGGATTGTGAATGTTCTCACCTCAAAGAAATGACAGATGTTGAGATGACGGATATGTGAATTATCCTAGTTTGATTATTACACAATGTATACAGGTATCGAAATATCACCCTGTACCTTATAAATATGTATAATCATTGTGTCAATTAAGGATAAAATAAAAATTTTAAAAAGATATGAAACTTCCACATTATAAGGGAAAGAATGAAACAAAGACAAGAAGAGAAAATTAAAAGAAATAATTTTAAAAGCATGATATATAGGAACAAAGAAAAAGGAAATGGAATATCAAAATCAACTACAAATATATTAATAATTACATGAATCTTAAAGGACAAATTTGTATGAAAAAAGCCCAGGGATTCTTAGAGTGTATTTATACATATATCCATCTATTATAAAGTTTTTGGTAATGGCAAACCTAATAATTTGGACCAACCTTCCCAATGGGAAAACTAATAAAACTCAGATGAAATATTTTAAATATGTTCTTGAAGGCATCACAAACATAAAATAATAAGAAATTACTTAGAAAAGTTCTAACTGCAGAAAGTATGAAGTCAAATAGACAGGTTCAGCACTCAAAGCCACTTTAGCCCAGAAAGCATTTGTCAAACCTTTAAACAAACAAACAAAAAAGGAACTGAGCTATGGTTTACAGAGAAGTAAATACCCTCAAACTATCCAAAAGGTGAGAGATAAAACACCAGTTGAATTTAACCTTCTTTTGCAAAAAAAAAAAAAAAAAAAAAAAAAAAGCAAAATCCAAAATAAATAATCTAAGCTTCCCCACTAGGAAACTAAATCCAAAGTAAGCACAAGAAAAAAACAATAAAAATTAAAACAGAAATCAATGAAATTGAAAATAGGACAATAGGACATTATTAAAGAAAATCAACAAAACCAAAAGCTAGTTCTTTGAAAAGATCAATAAAATTGATATACCATTAATAAGTCTAACTAAGGAAAATAAAAGAAAGAAGACACAAGTTACTAATATCAGAAATGAATAAAAAAATCACTACAAATCCCATGAACATTGAAAGGATAATAAAGGAATACCATGAACAAATCTGTGCCCACAAACATGATAACTTAAATGAAATGGACCAATTCTTGGAAAGCCACAATCCACTAAAACCCATACAAGAAGAAATGAACATTAACAGGCCTATTTCTATTAAAGAAATTAACTCAATAGTTAATAACTTTCCCAAACAGAAAGTACCAGGCCTAGATGGGATCACTGGTGAATTGTATCAAACATTTAAGGAAGAATGTATGCCAATTCTCTGCAATCTCTTCTAGAAGATGGAAATAGAGTAAGAAAGAACTTTTAGCTCATTCTATGAGGCCAGCAATACTCTAATACCAAAAGTAGATAAGGTAATTACAAGAAAAGAAAACTACATACCAATATCTCTCATGAATATGGATGTAAAAATCCTTAATAAAGTACTTAGCAAATAGAATCCAAGAATGTACAAAAAGAATTATACACCATATCCAAGTGGGATTTATCTCAGGAATGCAGGGCTACTCTAACACTTAAAAATCAATTAATTTAGTTGATCACATCAATAGACTAAAGAACAACTACATAATAATATAAATAGATGCAGAAAAAGCACTTCACAAAAATCCAACACTCATTTATGATTAAAAACTCTGAGAAAACTAGGAATAGAGAGATAAAGGATATCTATTTTAAAAACTACAGTTAATATCATACTTAATGATGAGAAACTAAAAGCTCTGCACTAAGATCAGGAACAAGGCAAAAAAATGTCCCCCCTCATTACTGCTTTTGAATATCATACTGAAAGTCCTAGTAATGCATAAGACAAGAAAATGAAAAGTATACAGATTCAGAAGGAATAAATAAAACTGTCTTTATTTTCAGATGACATGATTTTTACAGAAAATCCAAAATATCCAAAAATCTCTTCTGGAACTAAAAGAATTATAGCAAGGTTTCGGGATACAGGGTTAATATACAAAAGCCAGTTGCTCTCTTACATAGCAGCAATGAACAAATGGAATTTGAAATTAAAAACACAACACCATTTACACTAGCAGCCCCCAATTTGTTAGATATAAATCTATATACAAGATTAATATGAGAAAAACTGCAGAACTGATAGGAGAAATCAAATAAGAACTAAATAAATGAAGAGATATTCCATGTTCATGTATAGGAAAACTCAATGTTATCATGGTGTCATTCTTCCCAACTTGATTAATAGATTCAACATAGCCTCAATCAAAACCCCAGCAAGTTACTTTGTGGATATCAACAAAATGCAGAGAGGCAAAAGACTCAGAATAGCTAACACATTATGGAAGAACAAGTTTGGAGGACTGACACTACTTACTTTTTTTTTCTTTTAAATTTAAGTTCTGGGATACATGTGCAGAATGTGTAGGTTTGTTACATAGGTATACATGTGCCATGGTGGTTTGCTGCACCTTTCAACCTGTCATCTAGGCTTTAAGCCCCGCATGCATTAGTTATTTGTCCTAATGCTCTCCCTCCCCTTGTCCCCTAACCCCCAACAGGCCCCGGTGGACACTACTTACTGTAAGCCTGCAGTAATTAAGATAGTGTGGCATTGACAAAAGAACAGAAAAATAGATCAATATAACAGAATAAAGAGCCCAGAAATAGACCCACATAAGTAGAGTCAACTGATTTTTGACAAAGGATGAAAGACAATGCAATGGAGAAAACAGTCTCTTCAACAAATAGTGCTGAAACAACTAGACATCCACATGAAAAAAAAAAAAGAATCTAGACACAGACATTACACCTTTCCCTGAATATTGCATACAATGAAATATTACTCAGTCTCAGAAAGAAATGAACTATCAAGCTATGAAAAGACATGGAGAAATCTTAAACACACTCTAAGTGAAAGAAGCCAATCTGAAAAGGCAATATACTGTATGATTCCAACTACATAACATTCTGGGAAAAGGTAAAACTATGGAGACAGTAAAAAGATCAGTGGTTACCACAGGGTTATGGGGAGAGGGGAATAACTAGATGAAGCACAGAGGATTTGTAGGGCAGTGAAACTATTCTGTATGATACTATAATGATGAATACATGCTATTAAGCATTTGTCAAAACCCACAGAATGCACAACACCAAGAATGAACTCCAATGTAAACTATAGACTTTGGGTGATGATGTGTCAGTGGAGGCTAATGGATTGTAATAAATGTACCACTCTGGTGAGGATTAGTTCGGGAGATTGTGCGTGTGTTGGGGCATAAAGTATATGGGAACTTTCTGCTCAATTTTTCTATAAACCAAAAACAGCTCTAAAAGAGTAAAGTCTATATATTTAAAAAAGATTGCAATGTTCATGCCTGCCTGAGTTTCCAGCCTGCCCTACAAATTTCAAACTTGCTACCCTCTACAACTGCATGAGCCAATTCCTTGAGGTAGATATCTTTATATATAAATAGACTGTAAATGGCATGGTGTAGCTGGGTGACTGGAGGGCAAAGGTGGGGATCTTAGAGGTCAGAAATTAGTTCCCAAAGAGGAGAGATATTATTCACAAACACAAAACTTGCCTTTCCCAACCTTTGCCTTGGCACTAGAAATTGCAGCCGCAGATTGCTATGGTCAGGGCCAAGTCACCTAATTCAAGGCTAAGATGGTCTTGTCTGGTTTCCTTAGTTGTCTCATTATTCCTCTCTTCTATCCAAAGAGAAGGGACAGAAGGAGAGAGGTAGAATGACCAAAGAGCAATGCATGCTAGTGCCTGATCTTCCTTAAAGGAAGATCCTTAAGCAATATTTATTGTACAACACCAAAAGGGCATACCTTCCTTTATTAAAAAATTTGGCCCCGGATGAACTTGATCTCAGAGATCTGTTTCAGTGCTTCTTTTTCTCTGTGAGTTATCACTGCAACATTTTTTTGTGCCAACCCTCAAATTTCATTTCCTTTTTTGAAAAATATCTACATGTTTCAAAACATGTAGCTATAAAGAAGAAATTGATAACCTAGAATTTCATTGCAAAAAGAAAACCATTGTTAAGCTTTGTGACTTCTCATAATATCAGTTTCCACCAGATTGCTTTGCATCAAATTATTGCCCTAAAAATTTCCAGCATGCTTGATTTATCATTTTTGATTCTAGAATATTTTATGAAAGAATTCAGAGAACGGATGGTGTAGTTAGTACAAATCTGGCACTAGTAGGTGTACAACAAATATTGATTACTTTTAATCTATTTACTACAACAGAAGAGTGCTTTTAAGTTAAAGAAATGAAATAGTAAGGAATACCATAACATATATTAATTCTTTTTCTCCTATTGTTATCATTCAATATTAACCTTAGATGTACACTCACACCTTCCTTGTCATGATCCTCACAAAGTGGTAAAATAGAAAGGGAGTCGATAGGCATAAATTGACTTGTTAAGTTATTTAGCATCCTAATTCACAGTTTTCACAATTCTACCTAAAGTAACTGATGTAAGGAATAATGAGGAACATTGTGGATAGTCAATAAATGTTTCTATTCTCCTTCCTTCACCTCATCCCATGCCTGCCTTGCTGGGGTAGAATTGCTCAGCTCCAGAGCCTCATAACAAATGCCTTGTTCACTATGGCTAATATGCTGGTTTTAGAGATGTGAGGAGGAATAGTAGTTTTGCTGTTAGTAATGGTTGCCTCACTGGGGTCAGGAAAGAGGCTGAGACAGAACATCTCATTCCACAGCCTAATAAAAGAATGAAACACTCTTTTTTTTTTTTTTACATCCCTAACTCAGAGTCAACGGATAACCTTCCCCTAATATCAACATGACAGTAGTAGAATTACTGAAGTGATGGAAGACAGGGAGGGGTTGATCAAGATTAGACATCACCGTCTAGATGTCTAATCATAAAAAGAATGTTTTTCCACTGACAAAAAGTTTACCCAAAGCCTCCTTCATGTCTCTGTTCCTCAAGCTATAAATGAATGGGTTTAGCGTGGGAATAATCACCATATAGAGAACAGCAGCCCTACTTTCCCTCTCTGTAGAGTAAGTTGATGGAGGAAGTAAATACACACCCATAAGAGACCCATAGAAGAGCAGAACCACCGTGAGATGAGAACCACAGGTAGAGAAGGCCTTCCATCTCCCTCCAGGAGATGAGATGACAAACACAGCCCAGAAAATGCGGACATAGGAGAAGACGATCAGCAGGAGGGGAACAGTGAGGAACAGCAAGCCCATGGTGATGATCATCAGCTCGTTTACATGGGTATCTGAGCAGGCAAGCTTCAGGAGAGCACTAGGATCACAATAGAAATGAGGGATGGCTTTCTGGGCACAGAAAGCCACGCGGGTCAGCAACAGTGTGTGCATCAGGGCAGGACAGTTGGTTAGCACCCAGCACACACCCAGCATTAGTGCACAGAGCTGGGGACTCATAGATGTGCTGTAATGGAGTGGTTGGCAGATGGCCACATAGCGGTCATATGCCATCACAGCCAGCAGGCAGTTGTCAAGGCCACCAAACATAAGGAGGAAATATAGCTGTGCAAGACACCCAGAATACGAGATGATCTGACTCTGGGTATGAATGTTGGCCAGCATTTTGGGGATGGAGGCAGAAGTGAAACAGGCATCAGTTAATGACAGGTTGGCCAGAAAGAAGTACATGGGAGTATGGAGGTGTGGGTCAGAGCTGATGGCCAGGATAATGAGCAGGTTCCCCACCATGGTGACCAGGTACATGCCAAGGAAGATGCCAAACAGAAGAGGCTGCTCCTCTGGCCACTCAGAGAGTCCTAGAAGGAGGAAGTCTGAAACAGTGGTTTGGTTCACTCTGCCTGGTTTTCCCATCCCTTGTAGTTCGTGTGATCTGCGCAGATAAAAACCTTCCATGTGTCAGTATTTATTTATTAGATCAATTTACAGATATGCATCTGTGTGGCCAGAACTGTGCTGGGAGAAAAAGAAAAGAAAAATAAATGGTCTTTGCCAATAAGAATCTCTGAATCTCACTGGGAATGCAAGGAAATACCCAAGAGACATTTAGAGAACAGTTAAGATAATATCCATTCAAATCTCAATTGTGCTTTGTATGCTATAGCAGAATCCAAAGAAAAGAGATTTGTTTGACCAGAGAAATTGGCATGGGCTATTTAGAGGAAGTGAGAATTGAGAATAGCTTGATGGCAAGATTAGAAAAGCCATTTGTTATTGTCAATTGGAAAGAAGATGCATGATCTCCATCAAACTCCTACCCCTCCTCCAACACACACACACACACACACACACACACACACACACACACACACACACTCAAGCCCTCTTTGTGGGGGCTGAAATTGACTTTTAAGACAAGATAGCTTCCTCCCCACTTGCCTTTCAGTGCTGAGAATTTGACCTCACCCATTCAAACCAGTCCTGTACTCTTTCCTAACTAGCGGCAAAGGATATGTGAGCTGAGGGCAGTAGGTGTCTGGTGTCGTACTCCCCCATCCACTGTTAGGATGTTCCCTCCCACACACACGCATACAAATAGGACAGGGAGCCACTCTCTCCCTTCCATCACTTCCTCTCCTTTATCCCTGTCCTCTTCCCTTTTTTGCTGCTATGCATCTCTATCTGCTCTGGGAACTGATATTTTAGTTCACCTGTGCCTTCACCCCTACATTTGTACTACATTTATCTAATATTTACTTTTAACCAGAGGGAGGGAAGGTGAAAGGTATCGCCCTGACTTTTTGGTTTGAAAATAACCAGTCTGTTTTTTTGCTGCCCTAGTGAGCTGGTAGGAGAAACCATTTCATATTGATCTTGTAGAAGTTTGGCCTTAGAAGCTTTTGTAACTATTTTAGTCCTCCATTTGTTCTTTGGTTCATAGAGAAGCTTCTGACCTTAGGCAGAGACTCAGCACTTTCCCAGGAAACTTTTGCCTGGTCACCTGATCATCGAACTGGGAAGGAAGGTGTATATGTGTGTGTGTGTGAGAGAGAGAGAGAGAGAGAGAGTGTATGTGTGTGTGTGTGTGTATGTGTCCTACCCCTTCCAAATCCTCACCTGTCAGATTATGGATCAGTTTTAGGCATCTTCAAATTCTCCAATTCTCTTCCTTGGATGGATAATTCATAATAAAAAACTCTGAGACCTTTCTGACTCAGAGGCAATAAAGTCGGGGTCTATTGAGTCCAGAGTTTATTAGAAATACCTGAAGTGTATGGCTCGATTTCAGCTTCCCCGGGCATAAGAAGACAGGAATATCTCTTAAGGTTATAAAGGCTCCTAGAACACCATCTCCCAATGTGCTCGTTAAGGTCGACCTCGGTGTCATTGTGCAGCCTGTTCTCCAGCCAACTCTGGCTGGATCCTAGGGGAGCTGAGGACCTCTCTTTCCCAGGGGTTAAGATCTCAAATGTGGGTCTCGGGAATGTGATTCTGAAGCCTCTTGCTGGCAATGCAGTGTACTTCAGCCTGACTAGCAGGTCACCTGGGAACTCCTGCCTATATGCATTAGGCAAGTCAGCACTTGTCCCATGTCCTAGGTAAAACTGCATTGAAGAAGAAATCAGGAGTATAAACTAAAACACAACTATTTCTGCTGGCGATTTCCTTAAAGAGAATAATCCTGATGGAAACAATACCCTCAAAAACTCCAAAACTCAATTAATGAGGCAACCTAAATAAAGCACACCAGCCATAGTGCCTCATACAAAGCAGCTGCTCAAAAAAAGCTACTTATATCTACTGTATTTTAATTAATTCTATTAAGTGGAGAGAGTGGAATCCCCACCTAGGTCTGTAATGACTCTGGAGTACATGCTATTATCCACTATGCTTTGTTCTAGTATCATTGTTGGTTTCAATCATAAGCAATTTCATAGGTCTAAAATAATCCAACTTTTTGTAGCTATTGTAAATGGGATTGAGGTCTTGATTTGGTTCTCAGCTTGATTGTTATTAGTGTGTAGAAATGCTACTGATTTTTGTACATTAATTTTGCATCATGAAACTTTACTCAATTCATTTATCAAATCTAGGAGTCTTCTGGAGGAATCTTTAAGGTATTCTAGGTATTAGATCATATCATCAGCAAACAAAGATACTTTGACTTCCTTTTTCCAATTTGGATGTCTTTTTTTTTTTTCCCTGATTGTTCTGGTTAAGGACTTCCAGTTAAGACTTCCAGTATCATGTTGAATAGGAGTGATGAAAGTGGTCATCTTCGTCTTTCTCTAGTTCTTAGGGGGAATGCGTTCAGCTTTCCCCCATTCAGTATTATGCTGGCTATGGGTTTGTCACATATGGCTTTTATTATATTTAGGTATATTCCTTCTAGGCCTAGTTTGTTGAGCATTTTTATCATGAAGGGATATGGAATTTTATCAGTTGCTTTTTCTATATCTATTGAGATGATTATAAGGTTTTTATTTTAAATTCTGTTTATGTGGTGAATCACATTTATTGATTTGTATATATTTCACTATCCTTGTATTCCTCAAAAAAAAAACCCACTTGATCATGGTGTATTATCTTTTTGATGTGCTGTTGGATTCAGTTTGCTAGTATTTTATGGAGAATTTTTGCATCTATTGTCACCACAAATATTGGTCTGTAGTTTTCTTTTTTGTGTGTCCTTATCTAGCTTTGATATCCAGGTGATACCTGCTTTGTAGAATGAATTAGGGAGGATTCTTTCCTCATTGATTTTTTGGAAGAGTTTCAGGAAGACTGGTACCAGTTCTTTGTATGTTTGGTGAAATTCAGCTGTGAATTAAACTGATCCTGGGCTTTTTGTTGTTGTTGTTGGGAGATTGTATGATTCAATCTCACTACTCAGTATTGGTTTATTTAGCATTTCTACTTGTTCCTGGCACAATCTTCGGAGATTTTATATTTCAAGAATTTATCCATTTCCTCAAGGTTTTCTCATTTGTGAATTCATAGTTGTTTATAGTAGTCTCTGATGATACCTAGGATTATATGTAACCAAGGAGGTAAAAAATGTCTACAAGAAAAACTACAAAACACTGAAGAAAGAAATTTTAGATGACACGAATAAATGGAAAAACATCCCATGATCATGGATTGGAAGAATCAATATTGTTAAAATTACCATGCTGCCCAAAGCAATCTATAGATTCAATGCAATTCCTATCAAAATACCAACACCATTTTTCATAGAATTAGAAAAAAATCCTAAAATTCATATGGAACCAAAAAAGATCACAAATAGCCAAAGAAATCCTAAGCAAAAAGAACAAAGCTGAAGGCATTACATCACCTGACTTCAAATTATACTAAAAAGTTATAGTAACCAAAACAACATGGTACTAGTATAAAAACAGACACATAGATCAATGGAAAGAATAGAGAACCTGGAAATAAAGCCACATACTTACAGCCAACTGATATTTGACAAAGTTAACAAAAACATACACTGGGGAAAAGACACCCTATTCAACAAACAGTTCTAGGAAAATTGGATTGCTATATGCGGAAAAATGAAACTGGACCCATATTTCTCACCATATACAAAAATTAACTCAAGATGGATTAAAGACTTAACTGTAAGACCTGAAACTATACAAATCCTAGAAGAAAACTGAGGAAAAACTCCCCTAGACATTTGTGTGAGTCCATTTGCATTGCTACAAAGGAAAATCTGAGGGTGGGTAATTTATAAGGAAAAGAGGTTTATTTGGCCCATGGTTCTGCAGGCTGTACACAAAGGATAGTGCCAGCATCTGCTTCTGGTGAGGCCTCAAGAAGCTTCCAATCATGGTGGAAGGTGAAGGGGAGCCAGCATATCATATGGCAAGAGAGGTAACAAGAGGGATGCCATGCTGTCTTAAACAACCAGCTTTCACATGGACTCATTACTGCGGGGAGAGCACCAAGCCATTCATGAGGGATCCGCCCTCATGACCCAAACATCTCTCACTAGGCCCCACATCCAACATTGGGGATCTCACTTCAACATGAGGTTTGGAGAGGGCAAACATCCAAATCATATCAACATTGATCTAAGCAAATAATTCATGACTAACACCTCAAAAGCACAGGCAACAAAGACAGAAATAGACAAATGGAACTAAATTAAACCAAAAAGCTTCTGCACAGCAAAAGAAATAATCAACAGAGTAAACAAACCACCTGAAGAATGGGAGAAAATATTTGCCAACTATGCATCTGACAGAAGACTAATGTTCAGAATCTACAAGGAAGTCAAACAGCTCAACAACAACAACAACAACAACAACAACAAAACACACAGGAAGGGGAACATCACACACCGGGGCCTGTTGTGGGGTGGGGGTAGAGGGGAGGGGGGAGGGATAGCATTAGGAGATATACCTAATGTAAATGACCGGTTAATGGGTGCAGCACACCAACATGGGACATGCATACATATGTAACAAACCTGCACGTTGTGCACACATACCCTAGAACTTAAAGTATAATAAAAATATATATATATAAAAATTTTAAAAAATTGGACAAAAGATATGAACAGACATTTTTCAAAAGAAAACATATAACCATCTCCTAATGAGTCACTTTGGCATAATGACTATTTTGAGTTGAAGGCACTTGAAAAACAGCAGGTGCAAGAAGATTGCTCTGGCCTGTTTTCTGTTTCTTAAAAACAAGAGATGACATTTCCTTGTGGAAAATTTCCTCCCTGTACTAGAGGAAACTATCATTTTTATTATCAAGGACAGAACTTGAGATTAAGGGAAATGTATATAAAGAAACCTTGTTAGACTAATCCTTATCTTTCTAGTCAATTCCACCCAATTAACTACCCCAGCCCAAACCCCTTTGCCTTGTCACATTTTCACAATTTACTATTCCTCATTTAATTCAGTATGTAAGTGTTCAAACTCTAACTGCATCCTTGGATCTTCATTTCCTTAAGGCTCTGTATCATGTAAAACTTGTATTAAATAAATTTGTATACTTCTGCTTTGAGCAAAACAAAACATACAAATGGTTAATAAGCATATGAGGAAAATGCTCAACATCACTAACCATCAGAGAAATGAAAATTAAAACCACAATGAGATATCATCTTGCACCGGTCAGAATGGCTATTGTAAAAGTCAAAAAATAATAGATGTTGGTGGGGATACAGAGAAAATTGAATACTTAACGCAATGTTGGTAGGAATGTAAATTAATACAGCCTCTATGGAAAACAGTATGATTTCTCAAAGAACTGAGAATAGAACTATCATTTGATCCAGCAATTTCACTACTAGGTATATACTCAAAGGAAAAGAAATTGCTATATCAAAAAGATACCTGCACCTGTATGTTTATTGTAGCACTATCCACAATAGCAAAGATATGGAATCAAACTAAGTGTTCATCAACGAATGACTGGATAAAGAAAATGTAGTGTGTATGTACACACACACACACACACACACACACACACACACACACTGAACTACTACTCAGCCATAAAAAATGAAATCAAGTTGGGCATAGAAGTGGAATAATAGACATTGGAGACTCAGGAGGATGGGAAGGTGGGAGGGGGCTGAGGGATGAGAAATTGCTTAATGAGTACAATGTACCATATTCTGGTGATAGTTACACTAAAAGCCCAGAGTTCACCACCATGCAATATTTACAGGTAACAAAACTGCACTTGTATCCTCTAAGTTTATACAAATAAAATAAACAGTATATAACAAATAAAATAAAACAATCAAATTGTTTTTAAAACTTGCATTTCCTTTGTTACTAGTAAGACTGAATGGTTGTTTCATCTGATTTTTAACCTCAGAATGTCCTGTTAATATATTTGCCCTTTTCGCTGGGGTGTTCATGCCTTTTTAAATGGTTATCAAAGACAATAAAACAAAGTAAAGTATTTTATTATGGGTACTTTTTTTCTTTACTAGTCATTCCATTATGTATTTTTTAAATTATTATTTTTTTATGTGGCTCACTGCTTATTCTTTATTAATATTCTTTTTAAAAAAATTATTTTTGATTACAGCTAATAGCAGGATAAGTTCTAGTGTTCTATACCACTGTAGGATGACTATAGTTAACAATAATACATTACATAGTTTCAAGTAGCTAGAAGGAGGATACTGAGCATTCCCAACAGAAAGAAATGATAAATGTTCGAGATGATGGATATCCTAATTACCGTGATCTGATCACTATATATGTATCAAAACATCACTATGTACCCCCCGAATACATACAATTATTATTTGTCCATTAAAAAATAGGTTTAAAATAATTTTTGTTTTCAAAATTGACAGATATTTTGCTTTGCGTTATTCTTCCATTATTCTTACACACAAAAGTACTTTCCAGGCGTAAATGAGGAAAATTTCATGTAGTTATTTCTTCTAAATTCTAAGTACTACATTTAAATCTCTAATTTACCTGCCATTTATATTGTGGTAAAGTGAAAGAAGAGGATCTGCTTTTACTTTTAATTTTTTTAACAAATAGCCTAGTTGTATCCGTAGCATTTTTTGAAATAAATCCTGCATTCTCCGTTTGTTTGTTAGGTCTGAACACCTGTAGGTGGTCATCACTTGGACAGCTCACAGCAAGGCAGCAGGTTCTGAAAGCAAGCACCGTGCGAGCAAACGTTCTAAGAGACCAAGGCGGAAGCTGCTTTACTTCATAAGCTTCCCAAACTAGCCTATGAAAATCCCAGAATCTCACTTTCACTGCCTTCTATTGGTCAAACAAGTCACTAAGGGAAGAAAATTAAGCTCTGTCTCTCAATAGGAAGAGTGGCAAAAAATTGTTGGTCGTCTTTAATTTGCCACAGCCTGCACACTTGCCACAAATTATTTACTTTCCTCCCACATTCAAAATAGACTCGGCCCCTCCCAAGAGCCTGAGAATCTCATCCCTTTGCCACATCATGTTAATGTCCACGATCTTATCATCTAAATGAGGTCCAGGTAAAAATGAGTTTTCTCAGATGCAGTTCCCTGTGTACGGTTCCTCTCAATCTGAAGACCTGAGAATGTAAGCGACAAGTTTATCCACCCCCCAACACACACGTGCCTAACATAATGGTGATATAGACATGGAATAACTATAATAGACACTCCCAATTCTCAGGACAGGGAGGAGGGCAGGAAGCACAGAGCTATGTTTTTTTTTCATTCTTTTGCTGCTAATTCTCCACTGATAAATATACCACAATTCATCTATTATATTAATATTATTCATAGGTATTTAGATAATTCCCAGTCTGGTATTTTACAAATAGTAGTGACATAAACATTCTAGTACATGACTTTGGAGAGTATACATACATATTTTGGTTGAATATAGAAGTAGAATTCTGGGGTCCCAGTTTCTGCATATGTTCAGCATTAGTTTTTCAGAGTGATTTTTCACACAGTGGTAAGAAATAACACAAAAATACTAAGTATAAGAAAGCTGGAGTGTCTATGTTAAAATTAGACAATATAGACTTCAAGACAAAGAGTACTACCAGAGATAAAGGAAGATGTTTCATAATAATAATATGATCGACTCATCCTGAAGATACAATAATAAATGTGGTTGCATCTTATGAAAGAGTTTCAAAACACATGCATCAAAAACTAAAAGAATTAAAGGGAGAAATGGGAAATTACACAATTATATCTAGATATTTTAACATTTTTTCCCAAAAGCTGGTAGAACAAGTAGATAGAATGATTAATCAATATATAAAATATTTGAATAATACTTTCTTTACCTAATTGATACTTACGGAATACCATAAACAACCACTTATAAAATGCACATTCTTTCAAATCATATGGTCAACTCACCAACATAAACCATAGAGAGGGCCATAAAATAAATGTTAATAAATTAAAAGGATTGTAATCATACATAATATTATATCCAACTAAGATGAAATTATAAATCAATAACACCAATAAATTTAAAAATCAAGATATTTGAAAATTAAGCAATACAAATAGAAAGTCTATGAGTCAAAGAATAAATTTAAGGGACATTAGAAAATATTTTGAGATGAATTATATTAAAAATGTAACACCAAAATGTTGGAAACGCAGCTAAAGTTGTGCTTAGAGGGAAATTTATTGCTTTAAATGCTTGAATTAAGGAAAAAAGGTCTACAGTTAATAACAATGTTCTAAATTTAAAAGCTAGAAGAAAAAAAGCAAAGTAAACCCTAAGAAAGTAAAAAGAAAGAAATAAAAACAATGAAATAAAAAACAAACACTAGAGAAAGGTAACAAAGCCAAAGTTGGCCTTTTGAAGAAAATGAACAAAATTGATTAACCCCTAGCCAGATGGATCAAGAGAAAAGAAAGAGAAAGCAAGGTTGTCCATACAGGTTTCACAGGCATCACAAGGATAAGAAGAGGATATTTTGCTTTGGGAGGCCGAGGAGGGCAGATCCCTGAGGTCAGAAGTTCGAGACCAGTCTGACTAACATGGAGAAACCCTGTCTTTACTAAAAATACAAAATTAGCCAGGCATAGTGGCACATGCCTGTAATCCCAGCTACTAGGGAGGGTGAGGCAGAAGAATCACTTGAACCTGGGAGGCGGAGGGTGCGGTGAGCTGAGATTGTGCCATTGCACTCCAGCCTTGGCAACAAGAGTGAAACTCCATCTCAAAAAAAAAAAAAAAAAAAAAAGAAAAAAGAGGCTATTTTGAAAAATATGTTTACTAACAAATTTGATAACAAAATTCTTGAAAAATAGAGCTTTTAAAACCTAGTGCAGATATTGTAATTTGAGACAGAAAGCTGAATATTCCTATATTTATTAACGAAATCAATATCAACAACTAACCACAAAGAAAAATTCAAGGTTAGATGGTTTCACTGTTTAATTCCCTCATCATTTAAAAAAAATTAAATTTAAAAAAATTTTAATCTAAGTAAAATTTTAATTTATTCATTATTTTTAATTGACAACTTTATATATTTATGAGCTACAATGTAATGTTTTGATCTATGCATACATTGTAGAAAGATTCCATTTAATCTTACACAAATTCTACAGACAGTAAACAAAAAGGAAATAGCTGCCACCTCATTTTATGAGGCTAACAAAAGTTGAAAAAAGAAAATTATGATTATGATAACCAAAATCGGTACCAGTTACCTGTGGTTGTGTAACAAACCACTCCAAAACTTAATGGCTTTAAATAACAACTGCATTTATTTTACTCACTTTCAGTTTGGGCAGAACTGGTTTGGATACCTCATCTCTACTCCATGTGATGTCTCCTCGACGGCTAAGAGGATGGAGACTGAACCATCTGTTCTCTTGTTTAATCAGATCTCTGGTTGTTGATGTTGAGTGTTAGACCTTATGGGTAGGAAGTTAGCTGGGACAGTCAACTAGAATACTTTCCCATGGCCTCTCCCTGTAGCCTAGGCCTTCTCACAACATGACAACTGGGTTCCAATGGCAAGTTTCCAGGTACTCAACATCATCAGTCATCAGAACAATGCAAATTAAAACTACAGTGTAATATTACAATTTACCTCCTAAAATAAAAAGACTGGCAATACCAAGTGCTAACAAGAATATGAGCATCTGGGCCAGGCACAGTGGCTCACGCCTCTAATCTCAGCACTTTGGGAGGCTGAGACAGGCAGATCACTTGAGCACAGGAGTTCAAGACCAGCCTGGGCAACATGGCAAAACCCCATCTCTACAAAAAATACAAAAATTAGCTGGGCGTGGTAGCACATGCCTATGGTCCCAGCTACTTGGGAGACTGAATTGGGAAGGTTGCTTGAGCCCAGAAGGTCGAGGCTGCAGTAAGCTGAGATCATTGCACCACTGCACTCCAGCCTGGGTGACAGAACAAGACCCTGTCTAAACAATAACAAAAATATGAGCAACGGAATCCCCATATAGTGCTGGTAGAAATGTAAAGTGGCACAACTGCTTTGGAAAATGAATTTTTTTACAATACTGAACATACAGTTATCATATGAAATATGTCCACCCAAAAGTTTGTACATAGGTATTTATAGCTCAATTATTCATAATGATCAGAAATAGTTACAGCCAAAATGCTCATCAGCTATAAAAGGCATAAACAAATTGTGGTATACAATAGAATACTACTGGGTAATGAAAACATACGTTACTGACATACACCACAACGTGGATAAATCTCAAACACTTTGTTGAGCCAAAGAAACCAGACATAAGTGTGCATACTGTAAGATTCTATTAATTTGACTCTGGGAAAAGCAAACTTAATCTACAATGACAGAATTCAGATGGCTGGCCGCATGGGACTTGGAGTGAAGTCCGTATCTTGACTGTGGTAGTTTGCACAGGTATATAAAGTTGTCAAAACTTCTTAAAATGTGCACCTAAAATAGGTACATTTTATGTAAATAATACCCCAATAAAGTTGATTTTAAAATAAAGTAGAATGAAGGATGAATAAATGGATGTGTGGAAGCAAGTATAATAAAGTTTTAAAGGTTAAATCTAGGTGGGCGGTATAGGAATGTTTACTGTAAAATTCTTTCACCTTGCTGTGTATTTTTAAAATTTTCTAATACAATGTTGGGAAAGAAGACTGAAACTACTAGTTCTGTTGAAAATACAGGGCAACTGGAACTCTCAATGATTTGGATGAGAGTATGCATTTATATAAATATTTTGGAAAACAGTTTGTCTACATCTACTAAAGCTAAATATTACTTACCCTATTGCCCAGAAATATTACTGCTATTCTAGGTGTACACTCTAAGCGAAATGTCCCACAAAATGTTTGAGCATATTTCTGTCAGCTTTACTCATAATAGCCAAAATATTGGAAGCAATCCATTTGCCCACCATTATTCAACAGAGAATTGAATAAACTATGGGTTATTTGTATAATAAAATGTTACACAGCAATAAAAAGAACAAACTTCTGGTATATGCAACAAACATGATTGAGTCTGACAGATGTAATGTTGAGCTAAAGAAGCCAAATACAAGAGTTCTGCAGTGTAATTCCTTTTACCTGAACTTCAAAAACAGACAAAACTAATCTTATAGTGATATGAATCACAAAGCAATTACCTCTGAGAGGACAGTGCCTCAGAAGGGGCAAGAGGGAGTGTTCTGGCTTTATGGAAGTGTTATGTATATTGATCTGTGGGGTGTTTACATTGGTGTATACATATGAAAAAATTATTGAGCTGTGCTCTTCAGATTCATGGACTTTGCTGATATATGCCGTAACCAAATAACATTTGTGGAAACTGATGGGAAGCTCTGTGCTTGTAGATGGAGCTGTCTTCTTTGAGTTTCACCACAGGGTGATCTGGCTGGGAAGCACAATTTGGGGAAGAAACCCCTCAATGTCAGTATCTTTAGTTCTTTTCTCTTGGGCTAGCCAAACTCCAAGAAAATTCTTTTAATATTCTGTATTTAAGGTGGAGGCTTGGCAGCTTAATGTAGATAAAGGGCTGTGCATTTCAGCATTCAGCATTTGGTATGCATACGTTGTTATGTAATTCTCTTATTTTTGATATGATTCACTAATCTTAGCTGTATATGG
This sequence comes from Homo sapiens, assembly GCF_000001405.40. Classification (NCBI taxonomy): domain Eukaryota; kingdom Metazoa; phylum Chordata; class Mammalia; order Primates; family Hominidae; genus Homo; species Homo sapiens. The sequence goes on along the minus strand of NC_000009.12, from coordinate 122,541,527 downwards.
CCACCCCAAGACCCAAACTTATTCAGAAAGTAAATCTCCCAACTTCCGTTGGGATAGGAGAGGGACAATATTTGAGCAGTGTGCAGTGAAAAGGGGGAAATTAGGGATCCAAATTCTTCTGAAATAGCTATCATCTCTTTCTTCTTAGTTTATTTCCCTTTCACTCTCAAGTCGAGAGGCACCAAAGGATGCCGGTTTCTGGGCCTTTTGAGGATTTTTTGGTGTTGATCAGATTGTTTCCTCTATTTTATCTACTGCCAGCTTAGGATTTAGTTTTCATGCATCTGCTAACTCAGTGAACTGTCAAAGAAAAATTGCCCTGCACAGAGTTGAACAGGCAAGGAAGACTTTATTTAACATGATTTCCGTAGGAGTCAAGATTACTGTAATAGGGGAGACAGAGTAAACTCAACTCTGCTGAATCAAAAGGCAGGAGGACTTTTAAGAGCTGGGGTGAGCTAGTAGAAAACTACTGGAGGGTGTTAGCAGGGAGGTTGGTCAATGTGATTAGGCCATCTGTGTTTGCTTTCCATAGGCAACTTCAGCAAAGTCTCAGGATACAAAATCAATGTGCAAAAATCACAAGCATTCCTATACACCAATAACAGACAAACAGAGAGCCAAATCATGAGTGAACTCCCATTCACAATTGCTTCAAAGAGAATAAAATACCTAGGAATCCAACTTACAAGGGATGTGAAGGACCTCTTCAAGGAGAGCTACAAACCACTGTTCAAGGAAATAAAAGAGGATACAAACAAATGGAAGAACCTTCCATGCTCATGGGTAGGAAGAATCAATATCGTGAAAATGGCCATACTGCCCAAGGTAATTTATAGATTCAATGCCATCCCCATCAAGCTACCAGTGACTTTCTGCACAGAATTGGAAAAAACTACTTTAAAGTTCATATGGAACCAAAAAAGAGCCCGCATCGCCAAGTCAATCCTAAGCCAAAAGAACAAAGCTGGAGGCATCACGCTACCTGACTTCAAACTATACTACAAGGCTACAGTAACCAAAACAGCATGGTACTGGTACCAAAACAGAGATATAGACCAATGGAACAGAACAGAGCCCTCAGAAATAATGCCGCATATCTACAACTATCTGATCTTTGACAAACGTGACAAAAACAAGAAGTGGGGAAAGGACTCCCTATTTAATAAATGGTGCTGGGAAAACTGGCTAGCCATATGTAGAAAGCTGAAACTGGATCCCTTCCTTACACCTTATACAAAAATTAATTCAAGAAGGATTAAAGACTTAAATGTTAGACCTAAAACCATAAAAACCCCAGAAGAAAACCTAGGCAATACCATTCAGGACACAGGCATGGGCAAGGACTTCATGTCTAAAACACCAAAAGCAATGGCAACAAAAGCCAAAATTGACAAATGGGATCTAATTAAACTAAAGAGTTTCTGCACAGCAAAAGAAACTACCATCAGAGTGAACAGGCAACCTACAAAATGGGAGAAAATTTTTGCAATCTACTCATCTGACAGAGGGCTAATATCCAGAATCTACAATGAACTCAAACAAATTTACAAGAAAAAAACAAACAACCCCATCAAAAAGTGGGTGAAGGATATGAACAGACACTTCTCAAAAGAAGACATTTATGCAGCCAAAAGACACATGAAAAAATGCTCATCATCACTGGCCATCAGAGAAATGCAAATCAAAACCACAGTGAGATACCATCTCATACCAATTAGAATGGCGATCATTAAAAAGTCAGGAAACAACAGGTGCTGGAGAGGATGTGGAGAAATAAGAACACTCTTACACTGTTGGTGGGACTGTAAACTAGTTCAACCATTGTGGAAGTCAGTGTGGCGATTCCTCAGGGATCTAGAACTAGAAATACCATTTGACCCAGCCATCCCATTACTGGGTATATACCCAAAGGATTACAAATCATGCTGCTATAAAGACACATGCACACGTATGTTTATTGCGGCACTATTCACAATAGCAAAGACTTGGAACCAACCCAAATGTCCAACAATGATAGACTAGATCAAGAAAATGTGGCACCTATACACCATGGAATACTATGCAGCCATAAAAAATGATGAGTTCATGTCCTTTGTAGGGACATGGGTGAAGCTGGAAACCATCATTCTCAGCAAACTATCACAAGGACAAAAAACCAAACACCGCATGTTCTCACTCATAGGTGGGAATTGAACAATGAGAACACATGGACACAGGAAGGGGAACATCACACACCAGGGCATGTTGTGGGGTGGGGGTGGGAAGGATAGCATTAGGAGATATACCTAATGTTAAATGACGAGTTAATGGGTGCAGTACACCAACATGACACATGTATACATATGTAACAAACCTGCACATTGTGCACATGTACCCTAAAACTTAAAGTATAATTAAAAAATAGATAAATAAATAAAAACAAAAGGGACGCTTTTGAAAGTCAGGCCCCTACCTTCCCACAGAGACCGAGAGATAGGTGTACTATCTTTGTATTTTTTTTAACTTTAGATTCAGGGGGTACATGTGCAGGTTTGTCACATGGGTATATTGCACAATGTTGAACTTTGGGCTTCTAGTGAACTGGTCATCCAAATAGTGAACATTGTACCCTATAGGTAGTTTTTCAACTCTTGTCTCCCTGCTTTTGGAGTCTCCAGTGTCTGTTATTTCCATCTCTATGCTCATGTATACCCATTGTTTAGGTCCTACTTATAAGTGAGAATATGTGGTATTTGATTTTCTGTATCTGAATTATGTCACTTAGGATCCATCCATGTTGCTGCAAAGGACATGATTTCATTCTTTTCTATGGCTGCATAATATGACAAAGATGTCTTTTCTCACCACTCCTATTCAACATAGTAGTAGAAGTCCTAGCCAGAGCAATCAGGCAAGAAAAATTAACAAAAGGTATCCAAATTGGAAAGGAAGAAGTCATATTATCTCTGTTCACTGATGACATGATCTTACACCTAGAAAACCTAAACATTACTCCAAAAGACTCACCGATCTGATAAGCGACTTCAGTAAAGTTTCAGGATACAAAATTAAAGCACAAAAAATCAGTTGCATCTCTATACACCAACAACACTGTAGCTGAGAACAAAATCAAGAACCCAATTCCATTTACAATAGCCACAAACACACACAAAGTAAGATACCTAGAAATACATTTAACCAAGGAAGTGAAAGACTTCTATAAGGACAACTACAAAACACTTATGAAAGAAATCATAGATGATGAGAGAGAAGAAAGGAAGAAACCCAGTCAGGCAGGCAGTCAGGGTGGGTCCTCGGTTGAATTATTTCAAACTAAAGAACAGCCTGCAGGCACAGATAAGGGAACTTGTACCAGGCAGGGGCAGGGGGACTGGGGGGCTGTTGGGGGTGGGCTTGCCTGAGACATGCCCACAGCTGCACAGATAAGAAAGGCTACACAGGTGACTTGCATAGACATGCCCACAATGGAAAATTCCATCCCCCGACACATGCACAGTAAGAGGTACAAAGCAATATGGAGTAACTCAAGCTAAGGGCCCACATGGACATTAGGAGGACAGGGTGGAGCTACCAGAAATTCGCACCTTATGCAAATGAGATGCCCAGCCCTCATCACTTTCTTATAAAAGCCTTTGCATTCAACTGTAAAAATGGCAACCCTTTCCAGGACCCTTCTCTGCTGCAGAGAGCTGTTCTCTTCCTTTTGCCTATTAACCTTGTGCTTCTGCTCTGACCTTATCCTTGGTGTGTCCGCATCTTTGATTTCCTCAGCCATGATTCCAAGAATTTCAGATGCCAGCCCAGGAAATGAGGCCATTTCAATGACACAAACCAATGGAAAAACATCCTGTGCTCATGGATAGGAAGAACCAATAACATTAAAATGAATATACTGCCCAAAGCAATCTACAGATTTGATGCAGTTCCTATCAAATTACCATCATTTTTCACAAAATTAGAAAAAAACTTCTAAAATTCATATAGAACCAAAAAAGAGCCCAAATAGCCAAGGTAACCTGAAGCAAAAGAGTAAGGCTGGAAGTGAGGGAAGAGAGAGACCCTCTCATATTGTTTTATATTGTTTTATACTCAGTACCTGTTTTAAGAAAAAACAGCAAGAAAGTTAACCCAAAGACAGGCAGCTCGGCACCAGGCCCGAAACCAGGCCTGGGCCTGCCTGGCCTAAACCCAGTAGTTAAAAATCAACTCATGACTTAGAACCTGATGTTATTCATAGATTCCAGACATTGTATAGCAGAACATTGTGAAACTCCCTGCCCTGTTCTGTTTCTCTCTGACCACCGGTGCATGCAGCCCCTGTGACGTACCACCTGATTGCTTAAATCAATCACGATCCTTTCATGTGAAATGTTTAGTGTTGTGAGCCCTTAAAAGGGACAGAAATTGCGCATTTGGGGAGCTCGGATTTTAAGGCAGTAGCTTGCTGATGCTCCCAGCTGAATAAAGCCCTTCCTTCTACAACTTGGTGTCTGAGAGGTTTTATCTGTGGCTTGTCCTGCTACAGAAGCATCACATTACCTGACTTCAAACTATACTATGAGATTATAGTAATGAAAACAGCATGGTACTATTACAAAAATAGACATATAGATCAGTGGAACAGAATAGAGAACCCGGAAATAAAGCCACATACTTAACAACCAACTGATCTTTGACAAAGTCAACAAAAATAAATGGGGAAAGGATACCCTATTCAATAAATGGTGCTGGCAAAACTGGCTATCCACACACAGAAGAATGAAACTGGAACCTATCTAATCTTTCTTGATCACATTTCCAAGAGATAGCTCCCAGGTCCTTGAGAAAGACATTCCTGGGCTATAAAACTATCAAGAGTCTGGGAGAATATTTACATCTCAAAAGAGCCCAGAAAAAAATTACAATTGTCAGTTCTCGAATGCAAATGTAAAGAAAAGGGAAGCCAGGGGCCTATAGTCGGGAAGATATCTATCTAAAGTTTGGTCAAGCTGAGGGCAGTGTTGGTCATCGCTGGTGCATCCATCTGGTTTCCAGTTTCCAAACTTTGTTGTTATTATTTGTTTGCCTCTCTTCTCTGTCCTTTTGGGTTTTATGTCTTTTTTATTTTAGTAGAGTTTATGGAGGGAGTGAAATTAGATGCATGAGTTTAGTATGACATCATTAACCAGAAGCATAAGAATTCTTTAAAGATAAGTCATATGCCATTGAACTGTTTTTAAAGGTGGATATTGGCAGCTTGTGAGTTTTTTGTTTGTTTGTTTTGTTTTTAGAGGAAGTTAGGAGCAGGAACCTTGTTGTAAGGGGGCAGCAAGGAGATGCATTTACACAGAAAGTTCATTTTTGCCATTGACTGTGGTTACAAATCAATACTAATACTGTCAGGCCTCTGAGCCCAAGCTAAGCCATCATATCCCCTGTGACCTGCACGTACACATCCAGATGGCTGGTTCCTGCCTTAACTGATGACATTCCACCACAAAAGAAGTGAAAATGGCCTGTTCCTGCCTTCACTGATGACATTATCTTGTGAAATTCCTTCTCCTGGCTCATCCTGGCTCAAAAGCTCCCCTACTGAGCACCTTGTGACCCCCACTCCTGCCCGCCAGAGAACAACACCCCTTTTTCCTTTACCTACCCAAATCTTATAAAAACGGCCCCACCCCTATCTCCCTTTGCTGACTCCCTTTTCCGACTCAGCCCACCTGCACCCAGGTGAAATAAACAGCCTTGTTGCTCACATGAAGCCTGTTTGGTGGTCTCTTCACACGGACGCACATGAAATTTGGTGCCATGACTCGGATCAGGGGACCTCCCTTGGGAGATCCCCTGTCCTCCTGCTTTTTGCTCCGTGAGAAAGATCCACCTACGACCTCAGGTCCTCAGACCCAGCAGCCCAAGAAACATCTCACCAATTTCAAATCCGGTAAGCGGCCTCTTTTTACTCTCTTCTCCAACCTCACTCACTATCCCTTAACCTCTTTCTCCTTTCAATCTTGGCGCCACACTTCAATCTCTCCCTTCTCTTAATTTCAATTCCTTTCATTTTCTGGTAGAAACAAAGGAGACATGTTTTATCCGTGGACCCAAAACTCCGGTGCCTGTCACAGACTAGGGAAGGCAGCCTTCCCTTGGTGTTTAATCATTGCAGGGACACCTCTCTGATTATTCACCCAGGTTTCAGAGGTGTCAGACCACGCAGGGACGCCGGCCTTGGTCCTTTACCCTTAGTGGCAAGTCCTGCTTTTCTGGGGGAGGGGCAGGAACCCCAACCTCTTATCTCTGCACCCCGATCCCTTATTTCCATGCCCCGACCTCTTATTTCTGCACCCCGACCCTTTATTTCCATGCCCCAACCCCTTTCCTGCTTTTCTGGAGGGCAAGAACCCCCCATCCCTTCTCTCCATGTCTCTACTCTCTCTTTTCTCTAGGCTTGCCTCCTTCACTATGGGCAAGCTTCCACCCTCCATTCCCCCTTCTTCTCCCTTAGCCTGTGTTCTTAAAAACCTAAAACCTCTTCAACTCACACCTGACCTAAAACCTAAATGCCTTATTTTATTCTACAATGCCGCTTGACCCCAATACAAACTCGACAGTGGTTCCAAATAGCCAGAAAATGGCACTTTCACTTTTTCCATCCTACAAGATCTAAATAATTCTTGTCATAAAATGGGCAAATGGTCTGAGGTGCCTGACGTCCAGGCATTCTTTTACACATCAGTTCCTCCCTAGTCTCTGTTCCCAATGCAAATCGTCCGAAATCTTCCTTCTTTCCCTCCCACCTGTCCCCTCAGTCCCAACCCCAAGCATCGCTGAGTCCTTCTAATCTTCCTTTTCTACAGACCCATCTGACCTCTCCCCTCCTCGCCAGGCCGAGCTAGGTCCCAATTATTCCTCAGCCTCCGCTCCTCCACCCTATAATCCTTTTATCACCTCCCCTCCTCACACCCAGTCCGGCTTACAGTTTCGTTCGGTGACTAGCCCTCCCCCACCTGCCCAGCAATATCCTCTTAAAAAGGTGGCTGGAGCTAAAGGCATAGTCAAGGTTAATGCTCTTTTTCTTTATCCCAAATCAGATAGCATTTAGGCTCTTTTTCATCAAATATTAATACCCAGTCCAGTTCATGACTCGTTTGGTTGCAACACTGAGACGCTTTACAGTCCTAGACCCTAAAAAGTCAAAAAACCATCTTATTCTCAATATACATTTTACTACCCAATCTGCTCCTGACATTAAATAAAACTCCAAAAATTAAATTCCAGCCCTCAAACCCCACAACAGGACTTAATTAACCTCCCCTTCAAGGTATACAATTCCTTGCCTCCACTGTGAGACAAACCCCAGCCACATCTCCAGCACACAAGAACTTCCAAACGCCTAAACCGCAGGGCACAGGTGTTCCTCCAGGCCCGCCTCCCCCAGGAGCTTGCTACAAGTGCCAGAAATCTGGCCACCAGGCCACGGAATACCGGCAGCCCATGATTCCTCCTAAGCTGCATCCCATCTGTGCTGGACCCCACTGAAAATCAGACTGTTCAACTCACCTGGCAGCCACTCCCAGAGCCCCTGGAACTCTGGCCCAAGGCTCTCTGATTGACTCCTTCCCAGATCTTCTCGGCTTAGCGGCTGAACACTGACGCTGCCTGATCGCCTCAGAAGCCCTGTAGACCATCACAGACACTGAGCTTCAGGTAACTCTCAGAGTGGAGGGTAAGTCCGTCCCCTTCTTAATACGGAGGCTACCCACTCCACATTACCTTCTTTTCAAGGGCCTGTTTCCCTTGCCTCTGTAACTGTTGTGGGTATTGACGACCAGGCTTCTAAACCCCTTAAAACTCCCCAACTCTGGTGCCAACTTAGAAAACATTCTTTTATGCACTCTTTTTTAATTATCCCCACCTGCCCAGTTCCCTTATTAGGCTGAGACACTTTAACTAAATTATCTGTTCCTTGACTACACCTGGGCTACAGCCACACCTCATTGCCGCCTTCTCCCCCAGTTCAAAGCCTCCTTCACTTCCTCCCCTTCTATCTCCCCACCTTAACCCACAAGTGTAAGACACCTCTACTCCCTCCTTAGCAACCGATCATGCACCACTTACCATCCCATTAAAACCTAATCACTCTTACCCCACTCAATGCCAATATCCCATCTCACAGCATGCTTTAAAAGGATTAGAGCCTGTTATCATTCGCCTGTTACAGCATGGCCTTTTAAAGCCTATAAACTCTCCTTAAAATTCCCCCATTTTACCTGTCCTAAAACCAGACAAGACTTACAGGTTAGTTCAGGATCTGCACCTTATCAACCAAATTGTTTTGCCTATCCACCCTGTGGTGCCAAACCCATATACTCTCCTATCCTCAATACCTCCCTCTACAACCCATTATTCTGTTCTGGATCTCGAACATGCTTTCTTTACTATTCCTTTGCACCCTTCATCCCGGCCTCTCTTCGCTTTCACTTGGACTGACCCTGACACCCATTAGGCTCAGCAAATTACCTGGGCTGTACTGCCGCAAGCCTTCACAGACAGCCCCCTTTACTTCAGTCAAGCCCAAATTTCATCCTCATCTGTTACCTATCTCGGCATAATTCTCATAAAAACACACGTGCTCTCCCTGCTGATCGTGTCCGACTAATCTCCCAAACCTCAATCCCTTACAAAACAACTCCTTTCCTTCCTAGGCATGGTTAGTGCGGTCAGAATTATTACAAAAGAGCCGGGACCGCACCCTGTAGCCTTTCTGTCCAAACAACTTGACCTTACTGTTTTAGGCTGACCATCATGTCTCCGTGCAGCGGCTGCTGCCGCCCTAATACTTTTAGAGGCCCTTAAAATCACAAACTATGCTCAACTCACTCTCTACAGCTCTCATAATTTCCAAAATCTATTTTCTTCCTCACACCTGATGCATATACAGTCTGCTCCGCAGCTCCTTCAGCTGTATTCACTCTTTGTTGAGTCTCCCACAATTACCATTGTTCCTGGCCCGGACTTCAATCCGGCCTCCCACATTATTCCTGATACCACATCTGACCCTCATGACTGCATCTCTCTGATCCACCTGACGTTCACCCCATTTCCCCACATTTCCTTCTTCCCTGTTTCTCACCCTGATCACACTTGGTTTATTGATGGCGGTTCCACCAGGCCTAATCGCCACACACCAGCAAAGGCAGGCTATGCTATAGCACAAGCCACTAGCCCGCCTGTTAGAACCTCTCATTTCCTTTCCATCGTGGAAATCTATCCTCAAGGAAATAACTTCTCAGTGTTCCATCTGCTATTCTACTACTCCTCAGGGATTATTCAGGCCCCTTCCCTTCCCTACACATCAAGCTCAGGGATTTGCTCCCGCCCAGGACTGGCAAATTTGCTATTCTACTACTTCCCAGGGATTATTCAGGCCCCCTGCCTTCCCTACACATCAAGCTCAGGGATTTGCTCCCACCCAGGACTGGCAAATTTGCTATTCTACTACTTCCCAGGGATTATTCAGGCCCCCTGCCTTCCCTACACATCAAGCTCAGGGATTTGCCTCCGCCCAGGACTGGCAAATTAGCTTTACTCAACATGCCCCGAGTCAGGAAACTAAAATACCTCTTGGTCTAGGTAGACACTTTCACTGGATAGGTAGAGGCCTTTCCCACAGGTTCTAAGAAGGCCACCATGGTCATTTCTTCCCTTCTGTCAGACATAATTCCTCGGTTTGGCCTTCCCACCTCTATACAGTCTGATAACAAACCAGCCTTTATCAGTCAAATCAGCCAAGCAGTTTTTCAGGCTCTTGGTATTCAGTGAAACCTTTATATCCCTTACGGTCCTCAGTCTTCAGGAAAGGTAGAACAGACTAATGGTCTTTTAAAAACACACCTTATCAAGCTCAGCCACCAACTTAAAAAGGACTGGACAATACTTTTACCACTTTCCCTTCTCAGAATTCAGGCCTGTTCTTGGAATGCTACAAGGTACAGCCCATTTGAGCTCCTGTATAGACGCTCCTTTTTATTAGGCCCCAGTCTCATTCCAGACACCAGACCAACCTGGACTGTACCCCAAAAAACCTGCCATCCCTACTATCTTCTGTCTAGTCATACTCCTATTCACCGTTCTCAACTACTCATACACGCCCTGCTCTTGTTTACACTGCCAGTTTACACTGTTTCTCCAAACCATCACAGCTGATATCTCCTGGTGCTATCCCCAAACCGCCACTCTTAACTCTTAAAGTAAATAAACAATCTTTGCTGGCAAGGCTATGCTGAACCTCCTTCCAATAATTCTAAATGACAAATGTTTCTTCTAACAACCCCACAATATCACCCCTTACCACAAAATCTTCCTTCAGCTTAATCTCTCCCACTCTAGGTTCCCACGCTCACCCCTAATCCGGCTTGAAGCAGACCTGAGAAACATCGCCCATTATCTCTCCATACCACCCCCAAAAAATTTTCACCATCCCAACATTTTACCACTATTTCATTTTATTTTTCTTATTAATATAAGAAGACAGGAATGTCAGGCCTCTGAGCCTAAGCTAAGCCATCATATCCCCTGTGACCTGCGCGTACACATCCGGATGGCCAGTTCCTGCCTTAACTGATGATATTCCACCACAAAAGAAGTGAAAATGACCTGTTCCTGCCTTCACTGATGACATTATCTTGTGAAATTCCTTCTGGCTCATCCTGGCTCAAAAGCTCCCCTATTGAGCACCTTGTGGCCCCCACTCCTGCCCGCCAGAGAACAACACCCCTTTTTCCTTTACCTACCCAAATCTTATAAAACGGCCCCACTCCTATCTCCCTTCGCTGACTCTCTTTTCGGACTCAGCCCGCCTGCACCCAGGTGAAATAAACAGCCTTGTTGCTCACACAAAGCCTGTTTGGTGGTCTCTTCACACAGACGTGCATGAAAAATACCATAGCATCCTAACACTACCACTTTTCATAGAGAAAAAAGTAAAGCTTCCCAATTTTTAAATAAAGCCAGCACTGTACTAATTTGATCTAAGAAAAGCAGAGAGAAAATTGGGCAATTATGAGAGTTAACACTAACAGGGCACTAGGGAACTCTGTCCCATGACTCCCTGTATCTGTAGATGCCCCAAGTGTAGTACGTTTAGCCTCCTCCTGGCAGTAGCCTGATGAGCCAGCAGCTCTCTGTTTCTGAGTTTATTGGTTCAGGATTCAAAATGTAAACATAAAAAACTTCAAAAGTCCCAGAGATCTTGGTTAGGTGGGATCACAGTGCAATGTGTCCCAGGTCATCTCAAATACTCCTCCTTCTGATTTTTTCTGTTCCAGCTGATGAACGTAACTGCCACTGCTCCAGCCTCCCCTACTGATCTGGCCTTAACTTGGCTTTACAGTCCTTTATTCATCTCATGGATTTCTTATCTACAATCTTAGTCTCTCCATCCCTCCCTTAACCCCCTTAAATATATTTTTAATCTTGGTTTATCAACCTGACTTCTGCTTCCAGCTGTTTGCCATTTGTATTCATTATTCTTGATCCTGTACCCTCATTTCAGTTAATGTCATCACAAAGATTGTCAGGAAGAATCTGAGCTCTTCCCCTCAAATTAAGAACATCTACTTTGCCTTCTTCTCTGTTACCAGGGTAGTGGTAAGCAGAGTCACTTGAGACAAACAGTCGCAGGTGGGCATGTCCTATGTTTGGAATACTCTGTCCATCATGTTCCAGCCAGCTCTTACCTGTTGGCTGACACAGTAGACGAAGAGGCAGTTGGAGGTAAGTAAAGAGACCTCATCACCCTCGGATGACAGAGGGAAGGATTGCCCCAAGTTTCTGGAAGAACCCCATTGATATCTCAAGGATCTACAGAGTTTTATGAGGCCATAGATAGGATGAAGGATGAGAAACCCTTTTAGGGAAAGAGAAAAACCAAAAATAGAGCAAGAGATGGTGCAGAGTGCTTGAGTAGAGACCAAAAAATACGACAGAAGGTAAAAAGCTAGGCTGCTTTGGACCCTTTTTTGAGGATTTGGGGAGTTTTCTGATGTTAAGCAGTTGGTGCCCTAGATCAAAGAACCTCCATAGAAATAGCCTGATTAAGGCAGTATATGCCAACACAAATGATCAAAAAGATGCTGCTCTTCCCTAAAATAACTTACTGTCCCTTTGAAAACCTCAATGAAAGGACTTGCTTGCTGAAGGCAGGGTCTGCATGCTAGGAAAATATGGCATTGTCTGCCACTGTGTAGCCCTTCTTTTGATGAGACAAACAATCAGCTGAATCATAAGAGGATCTCTTACCCTTCTGGACATGGCTATTAGAATGTGCCCTGTCAGAGGGTGCCTTATCAAGTGCTGAAGTAGGGGAGAAAATAACTTGGACTGTAGCCTCAGATCCCTCAGAAAAGTTGTAAAACCCTGAGATGTTCTTCAGTCAGTGTAGGGTTCAGGGATAGATACATACGCAATAGTTCTCAGATGTTGCTATCCACTTCAGAATACAAACAGTGCTTTAGTAAAGCTATCAATTTGAAGATAACTTTTTATTCAGGTATAGACTCTAAATATAAATCAGGACAAAGAAACACATCTAGATCTGTAAGATATTAATGACAAAGAATTCTAAAAATGAAAAGATAGCTGATTTTTAAAAAGAACACCTGTCTGAGAGCATTGATACCCTGGTTTTCATACCGTATCTTCCTCCAAGACATAGTGTAAACTTTTTCAATCACTTTGGTCTTTTGAACTTTAGCTTATTTATCTGAATCAAAGGGAGGAGTTGGACTAAGCAAAATTTTCTTAATCCTCACTGAGCATCAAAATACCTGAGAAGCCTTCAGTTTTAGTTTTTAAATACAGGTACCTAAATTGTATCCTAGAAATTTAAATTTGACAGGTCTGAGGTAGGGATTATTATTTTTATCTTTATTTATTTATTTATTTTAGACGGAGTCTTGCTCTATTGCCCAGGCTGGAGTGCAATGGCATGATCTCGGCTCACTGCAACCTCCAACTCCCAGGCTCAAGTGCTTCTCCGGCCTCAGCCTACCAAGTAGCTGGGATTACAGGCACATGCCACCACACCCGGCTAATTTTTGTATTTTTAATAGAGATGGGGTTTTGTCATGTTGGTCAGGCTGGTCTTGAACTACTGACCTCAGGTAGATCCGCCTGCCTCGGTCTCCCAAAGTGCTGGGATTACAGGCATGAGCCACTGTGCCCAGCCGGGATCAGGATTTTAAATAAGCATCTCACTTGATTATGATAAACTGGTCTACAGACCAATGCTTGAGACCTCTGGGCCAGGTGATCTTTCAGGTTCTATCTAGTTCTTAAATTTCGTTGTTCTTCTGTAAAACACACATATAAAAGATAGTAAAGGCAAGTGAGACTAAATACGTTAAACTAAGAATACTGAGGGATTAAATATAAATGTGGTCCTAGAAAGTTACTTTCTATCTATATTGACTGATGGTACAGTCTCTGGAAACCATTGCTGTGGGTTTGAATTCTGTCTCAAATATTTATGAGCTCTGGGTCCTTGTACAATTTACTTAAACATCCTTAGACTCAGTTTTCTTATATAAGGGTAAGAATAACAATCTCTGCATCCTAGTGTTGTTTAAGGATTAAAGGAAACAATCTTCATAAAGTACTTAGTAGAGTACCTGTCATATATGTGGCTAACATGTAATATGCGTTAGCTACAGGATGATGATGATGCCAATGACAAAAACTCAAATGCAGGGAGAAATGCAGGACTTCGTATTTTCTTTTTCAAAAGAAATAATGAAAAAATAAAGAGGCATGAGTCCTTCATATGCCCTTCACTCTAAAATGAATGAGGATGTGTCAAAATTAAGAATTTTGTGTGGGTTTTTTGGCTACCTCCCAAAAGAATGTAAAATTTAGCTGACCTCAGTCTACTCACATAGACAGCCTACTGCAAAAATGAAACTAACATGAGGCTATAGACTAGTCTAAGGCATGGTCATGCCAAGGGAGAATATGCCCTGACCTTATTGGAAGGGGACTCTATGTGTAAAAGATTAAATAGTGGTAAAGAGAGGAGAAAGGGGGAAAATGAGACTCTGATGAAGAGAGAAAAGAAGCAGGATCAGAATGAAGATAAAGTCAGGATTAGGAATATAATGAACTTAAAGGGAGATTTGGGAGTCAGCCCACACAGTTGTAGATGAAATCTAGCATTCTAACTGTCTTCCCTCAGCTCCAGATGCTGCAGAGTCATGGAAAACCAATCCAGCATTTCTGAATTTTTCCTCCGAGGAATATCAGCGCCTCCAGAGCAACAGCAGTCCCTCTTCGGAATTTTCCTGTGTATGTATCTTGTCACCTTGACTGGGAACCTGCTCATCATCCTGGCCATTGGCTCTGACCTGCACCTCCACACCCCCATGTACTTTTTCTTGGCCAACCTGTCTTTTGTTGACATGGGTTTAACGTCCTCCACAGTTACCAAGATGCTGGTGAATATACAGACTCGGCATCACACCATCTCCTATACGGGTTGCCTCACGCAAATGTATTTCTTTCTGATGTTTGGTGATCTAGACAGCTTCTTCCTGGCTGCCATGGCGTATGACCGCTATGTGGCCATTTGCCACCCCCTCTGCTACTCCACAGTCATGAGGCCCCAAGTCTGTGCCCTAATGCTTGCATTGTGCTGGGTCCTCACCAATATCGTTGCCCTGACTCACACGTTCCTCATGGCTCGGTTGTCCTTCTGTGTGACTGGGGAAATTGCTCACTTTTTCTGTGACATCACTCCTGTCCTGAAGCTGTCATGTTCTGACACCCACATCAACGAGATGATGGTTTTTGTCTTGGGAGGCACCGTACTCATCGTCCCCTTTTTATGCATTGTCACCTCCTACATCCACATTGTGCCAGCTATCCTGAGGGTCCGAACCCGTGGTGGGGTGGGCAAGGCCTTTTCCACCTGCAGTTCCCACCTCTGCGTTGTTTGTGTGTTCTATGGGACCCTCTTCAGTGCCTACCTGTGTCCTCCCTCCATTGCCTCTGAAGAGAAGGACATTGCAGCAGCTGCAATGTACACCATAGTGACTCCCATGTTGAACCCCTTTATCTATAGCCTAAGGAACAAGGACATGAAGGGGGCCCTAAAGAGGCTCTTCAGTCACAGGAGTATTGTTTCCTCTTAGATGTGGTGACAGCAACATTTAATGAAAAGACATAGGCTTGGAGTCAGACAAACGGGCTTCATTTTGGGGTCTACCACACACTAGCCATAAGATTGTAGTCTGGTTACTTAGCCTCTCTGAGCCTTGGTTTTCTCATTTATAAAATGGAGATAACAGTTTCTATCTAATAATGTAACTTGGAGGATTAACTGAAATAAACTATGAAATGCATTCAGTATAGTAGTGAATAACAGTAGGTGTTCAATAAGGGATAGCTATTATTATTACTATTAGTATTCTTCATTCCTCCCCCAACTCAGAAGTCAAAAAATCTTTTCTCTGAGATATATTTGTTCAATAAATATTTACTATCTATGGTGTGTTGGAAGTTATTGTAAGTGCTAGGGTTATGACACTGAGCAAGACAAAGTCCCTGCTTTCATGACACTTTCATTCTAGGTTATTAATTTGTCGATCATTAAAATTTTGGGGGCACTTGTTTTGTTTGTGGCATTAAGTGGGGAGTAAGACAAAAGAAATAAAGATGGAGGCTGCATTCCATGTGCTGCAGAATAGCTAAAGAGATCCCCATCAAAAGGTTCAAATTCAATGTTTAGGTTTCCATGCGGGTTGCCCACCCCACGGTTGGCTAATGTTTCACTAGGAAGGGGGTTAAAGCTCCTTGTGCTACCTCTGCCCCATGCTGGTCAGAAACGTGCAATGCCACCATCCTTTTAGTGACTATTAGATGAGAGGAACGTGGAAATCCTCTCTCCTTATTTGACTGCAGGTTTGCGTCCACATCTAAAAGGGGCACCAGCAGCTTAAATTAGTTGCAGAGATGGAAAAAATGATGTTTGAAGGTAAATGGCATTCTATCTGTCTCCAAGAATCTTAGAAATATTAAAAATATTATTTTAAATATAAGGGCTATATAGTTTTGATTTCTTACATCTGGTATCACCAGGTGTCCACTGGCTACCTAAACTCCTTCCTCATTTAAGTTTGTTTCTCAGACCTAACCTATTCTAAAATGTTTTATGATTGCTGCACTTTTTCAATGAATACTTATGGAGCATCTTTCATGGAATCAAACTGTTCCAGGCTTCAGCTATTAGTAAGTACAAATGTGAATCATTTAGATGCCACATCTTAGTACGCGAGGATTCCATTTATTTCATGACCTGGAACTGGAAGTCTGTTCTTCTCTCTAGAACTCCTTTCCAGATGTTCCCTCAGAGAGTCCTTGAATGGGATGAGCAGGGCATCGTCATGTAACCAGAGCTGGAGATGGTTGCAAACTTGGAGTTCTCCTGCCCTCATCTCCTTAGTCTACAACTCTCCTTCCATTCTGTTGACATCTATCGCTCCACTGACCAAAGACCACTGACAGTCTCCTCCAAGCCATTGACCTCTAGCTTTCTTCTATCATTTGAACTGGCAATGGACTATCCTCCACTTCTCATGATCAGCTCTTTCAGAAGAGGGTCTCCTAGGAGAGCTCTAAGGCCCCTGATGACACAGCTAGTGGACATGAGGAAGCCTGAGGTGTGAGATCACCAGATACAGCCTCACACTATATCTGAAACCTATGTCCACCCTGATACCCTAAATCTGCTGCTCAGATTCACCCAATCAACTTTACCTTCTTTACTCATGGTGTCTATGTCGCCTTCTGGTTTCATTCACCATTCTGATCCTCAGGGACCCTCAATCCACTCACTGATAGTGCGGTAAATTTATGAATCCTGTTTGGGTATGGTTTAAGTTCTTTCTCACAGGCCCCAAGCAAACTAGAAGATGTGACTGGGTGTCCACTTCAGTTTACTTAATATAATTCTGTGGCCGTTAGGAGTTAGGTCAGCACTCAGCATACAAAGATTCATCAACGGACACTGTTGCCTATCACTGTTCAATAGTCTAACATTCCTCGATTCCAGCCAGCCAAGAGTTATCAATGTATTCAAAGTTCCAAACTTATTCCTCCTTTGATATACAGTCATACATTACTTAACTATGTGCATATGTTCTGAGAAATGTTTCACTGGGCAATTTTGTCATTGTGCAAACATCATAAAGTACACTTACACAAACCTAGATGGGATGGCCTACTATACAGCTAAGCTATATGGTATAACTAATGCTCCCAGGCTACAAACCTGTACAGCTTGTTAATGTACTAAATGCTGTAGGCAACTGTAACACTATGGTAAGTATTTCTGTGATAGGATTTATTCAGTTCCATTATGAGCTTGAAACCACTGTGGCATATGGAGTCTATTGTTGACCAAAACATCATTATGAGGCACATGACTATCTTATCACACCCATCCCCAAAACATAAGCTCAAATTTCTATTCCTTTAAGGTCATCTATGTCAAAGAGAATTAATGTGATGTTAGCATTAAAATAATTCCTGCTGACATACAGGTGACTTATAAATCTTTGCACCTTGGTAGGGTAATGAGCAGGGCATGCTTTGAATCAGAGGTGGGGTAATGGAGAGAGGTAGCATGATAGAAAGCTTCCCAGTGCCCCTTGCCTATTTAGGGGTTTTGCTTTCTTCTTGCTCAGAACCCATTTTTAAGAAGCAAATGGTCTTCAGTTTGTTTCCTCACTTCCTTAAGACTGTTAAACCTAATCAAAATTATTTAAGGTGCCTAGTCTTCCATTTTGTTCTTAAATATCAGTCCACAGAACCATAAATCAAGAGCAATCCTTCATTCTATCACCTACTTCCCATCAATTACCAATACCGTCTAGTCTACCTTCAAGAGTATTCTCTTCTCTATCTATATGCCATTGTCTTCATCCAGGCACACATTATCTGTTACCTGAATGTACAATGACCTTCTAATTAAGCATCTTGATTCAAGGCACTCCGATCCATTGCCAAACCATCTCACACGTTGGTTACCCGAGTAATCTTTAGAAAACACAAACATAACCTTCCCTGAGACTAATCCCAATTCCACCCCACCCCAGCCAATGGTGCCCATCACTTGCAAGGCAATGTCTAAACCTCTTAACAGGACAATCTACCCCCCTCACAATATAGTCTTTGTCTCCCTGTCTAGACTCACCTCTTGATGCTTCCTTGACTCATACACACCTATGTATAGCAACATCATTTTTCTTACATTTCCCTGAACATACCATGCAAATTCAGTGCCCTGGCCCACTCTGTCCACTCTACCTAGACTCATTTGTTCCATTATGTATCAATCCTGAGCATCCTTCAACCCCCAACTGAAGAATTACTTCCCCTGTAAAGCTTTTGCTGATATCCAGGCAGCATTAACTATACGCCCTTGTGTTACTACCATGTAAGTATTTCATCGTCTCTAAGCCTCAATTTTCCCAGCTGTAAAATATAGATAGTAACAGTGTATATATGTAGAATTATTATGAGGATTAAATGACATAATACAGGTACAGCTTTTAATACAATGCCTGACACACAGTAGCCATGCAAAATAAGCACAACTATTCGTGGTGTTATTACGTTAAGGCACTTTTTGTACTCTTGCATATTTCTTAGTTTACCTGTTGCTACACTATCAGAATATGAGCTTCTTTTGCCTGGAGGCTTTCTCTTTATCCAGATCTGTTTGACCAAGAATAGGCACACTGCCTGGCACAGACAGGTAACTTGCTGAATGGCTACTGAGGGGCACAATCTATAAAATAAAGAATGTTTTACTATTTTTAGTATTAATTCCAACATTTGTCCTTAATTACAAACAAATTAAATTGTATGTATATGTGAGTTACACACACACACACACACACACATGCACACAGTTCTTGGATTCAAATAATATAACCATCACAACATTAATGGGTTTATTTTTTCCTTCAAAAGCTAAGTGAACTTAATTCTTTAGCAAATTCCCCTTCCACTTTCCATCTGTGACAAAATAGAATAATTTTTGTTTACTCTTAAAATTTCCATGTCAGAATTGTGTGTTACATATGTGCTAAAATCAAGTGCTGGAGTTCCTGGTTCTAGGATGTTTTGATTCCTCCCCTCTGAGGAAGATTGTTCTATTGTCACACTGTGAAAGAATTAGTGTTAACTTTTGAGAAGGAAGTACACTGGTCACTTGAAACGTCCATAATTGCCAATTTTCAGAACTATTTGTTAACTTGTGAAAAAAAATCACACATTCATGGATTTCAAAAATGCAGCAAGCTTTGTTCTAAACTCAATGAGGTGCTTCACTGGAAAAGGTCACGAATCCTAGCCCTGGCATGGCTAGAGGGAAATGCACTCATATAAAGTGCACACTTCCAATGTGATTGATGTTCAGTTCTATTTGCATATTCAAATCAATACGGTGCACCCCAGTGTGCTTTGGGCTGTCCAAAACCAAGACAAACTGATCTGGGAGATGAGGTGGACTGGTAAGACAGATAGTGATGAAACACTTCCCAACAGACAAGTGAGCTTGCCATTTCTTGAGGAAAAGTCATTCAGAGAAGTGTCACCAGCCTGTGGCTAAAACATAAATGACAATATTGGTCTCTCTGGAGGATGGGCCTGACAAGACTAGGCAGATCTTCAGGGATCTGAACAACAGAACTGGGGTGCCGGCAGGGAAACTGAGTCAGGCACTTAGTTCTACAGATCACATCACTATAGCAGAGATGAGAGTGTACAGCAGGTCATGATTGTGCTGAGGCTATCAAGGCATGCTTTACCTAGACCAACAATAAACCAACAATAAAGATTCTATCCCTGTTCAGGTTTTGGCTCTGGAAAAGGTCGGGGCTAAGCCTGTAAACAAAGTGACCCTGTGCTTGCAGCAAGGAGTGGGGGTGGCACTCTTTCTTGTTCTACAAAGGACTGGATGCCAAAAGGCAGCTACATGAGCCCCCGATGAAGGATCACTCTTTGAGTCAATATCAAACAAGTGAAGAGTAAGGTCTTTTTCTGATCTGTCTTTCCTTACCTACCCACACATGAACTCACTTGTTCATTGCCCTTTAGTTATTTGGTTCTAGCTCAAGCCAGAACAGATATGTTGCTGTGTCCTAGGGCAGGTTATTGCTTTTGAATTGGGAATATAACCAACATGACAAGCTGCCCATGGTCACCATAATTCAGGAGTGTCTGCACAAGTTCTGCTTCAAAACTCATCTCTGATGGAGAAGGTAGAGAAAATTCACATTCATTATTCTTGGTCAGCTGTAGTGTTAAGCCCAATTTATTACTGCATTTACTTCAAATAAAATATGTTAGGTGTTGCAGAACTTTTTTCACCTATACAGAAGAAGAAATTGAGGTTCAAAGGAATTGGGTGAATTGTCTGAGGCCACGCAGCCACCACCCTGGTATATAGAGATTACAAATGAGATCTAGCTTTCCAAATATTCTTCTCTTGCAGCTACACATTGCTGCTTCTCAGAAGCATTTGTAGTTCTGTTTATCTTTAAGTAGAGGAATGAAAAAAGAGACCTATATGCCCTTCACTGGATGGCGGAGACCATAGAAGATAGAAGAAAAAGATAAAAGATGACTTGGGCATATAATACAAACTAGGGGCCATTAAGCTGAGTAGAAATGCTTTTCAATAAGAAAGACAACGAAGACACTGAATGGGAAAAGGATCAAATTTAGTGACGGCAACAGAAGGCTCCTGACTGTGAAGACTTTTTTGTTCTTCTCATTCATTACCTGGAGTAAGTCTGCGGCGTGATTGAAGCTCACATGTGTAGTCAGAAAGCTTCATAAACATTGGTCTGAAAGTGAACTGTTGAATGAAAGTTATTGTAGTCTAGAAGAGGAACCTCAAGTTCTGAAGTGGAACAGCTGAACTTATGACAGTGAATAGCTTTTTGGATCTGTAAAGGGTACTATATAGTTTCTTCTCCTTACCCACCACCATCAGCAACAACAATAAAAAATGTGAGAAGAGAACTGAATGGGAAGAAAGAAAGGGAAATGCCTTTACAAGTACCCAATCCTTCAACTTTTCTATGGCAAGGGAATCCTGTTAGTCAACATATTTAAACAATTCCTAAGAACAAATAAATTTCCAGGAAATAAAATGAAGGATTTAAGTTCTGTTAACTATGTAATTTCTGAATCTAATAGGCAAGATAAATAAACAATTATGTAAACTCAGAATTCACAATTTGCACTAAAGAGGAAAAGGGAGAATAACTGTAACAGGATGCAATTCAAGTCATCAGAGAGTTACTGAGCACTTATCCCTTGCTGGGATCAGAAGTAAGGATCTATGATCTGGAAATAGGTCAGTACATATGTCTGTTATAAAGAAGAGTAAATGTCATTGAGATAAGACTGTTGCCCTGTTGAAGAGTCTCTCCAGGGCTCCCTTTATGTCCCTGTTCCTTAGGCTATAAATGAAGGGATTCAGCAATGGGGTGATCACCGTGTACATCACAGAGGCAATTACGTCCTTGTCACTGGAGGCACTGGATGAGGGGAGAAAATACAGTCCAATAATTGTGCCATAATACAGAGACACCACAGAGAGGTGAGAGCCACAGGTGGACAAAGCTTTGAAGATGCCCTTAGTAGATGGAGCCTTGAGGATGGTGACCCCAATGTGGCCATAAGAGATCAAGATGCATATTAGTGGTAGAGTAATGACTGCCTGTCCCACTGTGAAAATGACCAGCTCATTGAGGGAGATGTCTGAGCATGAGAGCTTGAGTAGGGCAACAAGATCACAGAAGAAATGGGGGATGGTGTTGTCAGCACAAAAGGACAGCTGGGCCAGGAGGAGAGTGTGAGACAGGGCATTGGTACAGGAGAGGATCCAGGACACAGTGACTAGTAAGTTACACAGTCCCTCTTTCATGATAGTGGTGTAGCGGAGGGGGTGACAGATGGCCACATACCGATCGTATGCCATTGAAGTGAGAAGGAAATTGTCTAGATCAGTGAAAAATATGAAAAAATACATCTGAGTTACACACCCTGCATAAAGAATGGATTGATCCTGAGTTTGCATGCTTAATAACATCTTTGGGACAGTGACAGATGAAAGGGAGATGTCAGTGAGAGCCAAGTGGCTGAGGAAGAAGAACATGGGGGTGTGAAGGTGAGAGTCCAGCCGGATGAGCAGGATGATGAGCAGGTTCCCCAGCACCGTGATCAGGTACATGCCCAAGAACAGGGTGAAGAACACAGCCTGCTGCTCTGGCCAGATGGGGAGGTCCAGGAGGAGGAACTCAGACACACTGCTCTGATTCTCCCTCTTCATGCTGACAGTCTTCTCTCTGCTGGAAATAGAGGGACATTGAAAAAGGCAGAAACAAACAAATGTTGATTTACAGCAGCAGATAAGAATAAGATCCTTGCTACTGATGAATATGCCAATGTCTGTCTACATTGCTATGTCCCTACAAAAAATCATTTCAAGTAGATGGTTTTATCACTCAAAATGGGATAATTCGCCAAGAGAGTAGAGGGTTTGAAATAGAAGAGAAGACCAGCCATGTCTAGTCAGTAAAGAGAAAGCTTCACACCGTATTAGCAGATGGATCGTAAGATAACGTCTTTCCAATTTCCATTGTTTATGTACTTTTAAAAACAATCATCAGGCTAGTCATGAGCCTTCATGTTGTAACATATTGAACTTTTTAAAATTTGACTTCAAAATCTATTAGTAAGCAACATATAGGGATGAAGTTTCCATAACACATATCCAAAAGAAATTGGATCAAAGATAAACAGCCAAAGTTTTCATTATGTATAAAGTTGATGAGAAAAAAAACTTGTCTATTGATTACAATATCACTGCCATAAAAAAAGTAAATCTTACACAAAATATTTAAAGGTGAGAGCTTCAGGAGGTAATTAGGTCATGAGGGTAGAACCCCATGAATGGGATTATTGCCCTTATAAGAAGAAACACAAGAGTGTCTCTGGCATTGCCATGTGAGGACTCAGCAGGAAGGCAGCCATCTGCTAACCAGAAAGTGGACCCGCACCAGAAACCAAATCTGCTGGTACCTTGATCTGGGGCTTCCCAGGCTCCAGAACTGTAACAAATAAATGTCTGCTGTTTAAAGTCACCCAGCTATAGCAGCCCAACCGACTAAGACACTCAGTAAACTAAATAATACAGTAAACACCATACCTAGTGGAGACATTTTAAAGCATTTCCATTAAAATCAGGAATGAGAAAAATATGCCAGCTTCCTCCACAGCCACTATCTACCCATTAAAATATTCTAAAGCCATGGCATATATGTGCCACATTTTCTTTATCCAGTCTATCATTGATGGACATTTGAGTTGATTCCATGTCTTTGCTATTGGGAATAGTGCTGCAATGAACATACATAAAAAGGAATGAGACCATGTCCTATGCAGGGACATGGATGGAGCTGGAAGCCATTATCCTCAGCAAACTAATGCAGGAACAGAAAACCAAACAACACATGTTCTCACTTATAAGTGAGAGCTGAACAATGAGAACACAGGGAGGAGAACAATACACACTGGGACCTGTCTAGGGAGCTTGAGGGGGTGAGAGCATCAGGAAAAAGAGCTAACGAATGCCAGGCTTAATACCTAGGTGATGGGGTTGATAGGTGCAGCAAACCACCATGGCACACGTTTACCTGTGTAACGAACCTGCACATCCTGCACATGTACCCTGGAACATAAGAAAAAAAAAACACCTCAAAAAGATATTCTAAACCTAAGTTACCAAATCCTGCAAGGCCAGTAGGAATGAGTTTATAGTGCCACTGTGTCTTAATTGAAAAGTTCCCTTTAAGTCAAAAAGCAATGCCAAATGCCTAATATATATACCAACGTATACTAAGTAAATAGAAAATGTGAGGATTTCATTATAACAGTTCTTAATTGGGAGAAAAATTCAGAAGAGCTTTGTACAGGTTAAGGATAGGCTTAAAATTCTTTGCTTCTTTAAGCTGGTGAGTTGAGCATACTCCTATTTCATATGAGAATACCATCCTTCCTTTGAAACTTACCAAAAGGCAGCCAACATAACAGAGTTCCGAATGGACCCATAGAGAAAAGGGGCAAGAATGCCTGGCCCAGGTTCCCCGGCTGCACCTGCTCACTCCAGCATTTTAAGGCTCCCTGGGGCTGTGACCTTAAGGATAGAGCCTAGTGTCTGAGGGTAGTATGTTGTACTGACAAAAGCATTGCAATTAGCCCTAGATTCAAGTCCTGGCAACATCACTTCATATCTTCATATTTGTGAGTTCTGGAGAAGTGATCCAGTTGGCCTGAGCTTCAGTTTTCTCATCTCTAATCTGGAGATGAGACTATGAGCCTAAGTCATGAGAATATTGTGAATATTAATAAGAAAACATTTGTGAAGAATGACTGCATACAATCTGAACCAATTTATATCAGTTTCTCACCTGCCATTTCCTGAGTCTCCTTTATTTCTCCCTCCTGATTGCCCACTCCTTTCAACAGGCAGATACTGGCAGAGTTCAGGTGCCACAAGGCCACTTCATCATGAGATCGTGACCTGATGCAGGCAAAGGCCAGAAACAGCAATAATGAAGTTGGGCAGAAAGGCAGCATCCAACCACACCCTAGAGAATGATGGCTCAGATATCTCACTATTCTGGACTTCTCCCCCTCCTTCTCCATTCTCTTCTGGTTTCTCTCATGCTATATCAATTAGATGACTCCTTCCTGAACTTGTAAATCTATTTAATCCATGGGATTTAGGATTTTGATAAAGCCCCCTGAATCCAATTCAGCCATGCCTATTTCTATCTGCATAAATTCTATGTAAAGACCATGTATGGGCCGGGCGCGGTGGCTCACGCCTGTAATCCCAGCACTTTGGGAGGCCGAGGCGGGCGGATCACGAGGTCAGGAAATCGAGACCATCCCGGCTAAAACGGTGAAACCCCGTCTCTACTAAAAATACAAAAAATTAGCCGGGCGTAGTGGCGGGCGCCTGTAGTCCCAGCTACTTGGGAGGCTGAGGCAGGAGAAGGGCGTGAACCCGGGAGGCGGAGCTTGCAGTGAGCCGAGATCCCGCCACTGCACTCCAGCCTGGGCGACAGAGCGAGACTCCGTCTCAAAAAAAAAAAAAAAAAAAAAGACCATGTATGGACTCCACCCCACCACATTCAGCCTCTTGATCACTAAAACCTCAACTACTGCTTGCTGATAACTGATATTTCCTTTACAGTGAGGTTGTGTATTATAGTAGAAGACAAAGCACAGGTTTTGAAGTCAGACAGAAGGGATTCAAATCAAAGTTGTATGTCTTTGGGCAAGGTAGTGCACATCTTAGGAGCCTCAGCTTTTCCTCTCTAGAATTGTGAACATAATCCCTGAATTACAGTAAAAATTAAATAAGGTAAGGTCTATAAAAACACCTCATCCATAGAAGGTGTCGTATATGAGATGACATTGTTTCCATTAAAATAAAGTGCAAAGACCTCTAGGGAACAAACTCAGTGTCTTATATTCAGTGCAAACCAGGCAAAAATTACTGGGGTAGTAGATGTTGCCTGGGCTCAAAGTTTGCTGCCTCTGATGAAGGTTTAAGAATACACTACAGATTACAGGCAGGAAATTATCAAGCAGATTGTAATAAGAAGATGCAGTATGGATGCTACACAAAAGAAGAAAGGACCCAAAGCTCTCTAGCTAAACATGTCCTTCAAATATACTTTCAGAAAGTAGCTGTGCTGTCTAAAGGGAAGGAAATGATCAGGGACTTTGGAAAGAAATATTAGAGAGGGCTCTCTAACACTGTATGCAGTAAATAAGCCCACATTCTAATATCTAGAACATGAATGATGAGATGAGACCCCTAGCTTGGATTTTGAGGATATGCCCACCAATTTATGTAACCAGCTGGCCCTATCCCTCATCTCCCCACAACGTGGGGTTAAAGACATGAGAGTCATTGGCCGGTGGTGATTGTTGCATCCCTGTCTTTAGGAACTGGGAATAAAAAATGACTCCAGAAGAGCACAGAGAAATGCTGAGCACCCGTATACACACACACACACACACACACACACACACACACACACAACCTGCTCCTGGAGAAGGATACCCAGTCCTGATCTGAACTTTATGCTCAAGTCATTCCTGGGAGTATGGACTGGTTTCTCAGCTTCTTTCTAGGAGACCAAGGGACCAGAGTTAGCCTCCGAATTCTGTGGTCCTAAACCTCACTGACATCGGAGAAAGAAGTCATGAACCTGGAGCTTACTCTTCTCAATTTACAGGCTTCAGAAATGGAGAGGTAACAAGTCTATTCTACCCACCAGGGAGAGGACACAAGGGGACAGGGCACAAAGCTCACGGTTAGAGACTTGCATTAAATAAACATGCATTAATTGCTCAGTTTTCCTCCTACTCTCCCCAGGAGAGATGCCCTCGGGCAGTGGTCTCTAAACTTCGATGTTCATCAAAATCACCTGGGGAGCTTGTTAAAGATCAGGTCCCAGCTCCACCTGCGGAGATATTCATTCATGAGATCTGGGGCCAGAAAATTCTGAGGCAAGTGGCTCTAAGGGCAGACTGCAAGGAATCTCTGTCCTTAGGAAGAGTGTCAGGCCCTGTGAATTTAAGTCCAAAAAGAGATGGGGAAAGACCTCCCCTGCCAGATTCTGGTTTCCCCTGGTTAGGTGTTAGGTTGAGATGTCTATAGAGATTTTTCTCTCAAATGAAAATTCTTTTTTGGTTTGCTGCTTATAAAACTAATTCCTCTTTATGATGGAAATACAAATAATATAAACATGAAAACAAAGGAGAAAGTCAAAGTATCTCACCCTTTCATGATTCATTTTTTATCCGTCTAAGAGGGCATTTTCACTCTTCACAATAGCAAAGACATGGAATCAACTTAGATGTTTATCAATGGTGCACTGGATAAAGAAAATGTAGTACACCATGGAATACTACGAAGGCATCAAAAAGAATGAAATCATGTCCTTTGCAGCAACATGGATGTAACTGGAGGCCATCATCCTAAGCAAATTAACACAGAAACAGAAAACCAAATACTGCATGTTCTCACTTATAAGTGGGAGCTAAACATTAGGTACACGTGGACATAAAGATGGGAGCAATAGACACTGAAGACTACTAGAGAAAGGTTGAAAAACCAACTATTGGGTACTACGCTCACTATCTGGGTGATGATATATCATTTGTAGCCCAAACCTCAGCATCATGCAATATACCCATGTAACAAACCTGGACATGCACCCCACGAATGTCAAACAAAAGTTGAAATTAAAAAATAATAATAAAATGAAAAATGACTTATTCATAAACATGTCTGTTTACATAATGGGATTTATTTTATAGTACTTTATAGCTTTCATTTTCTGTGATAATTTATTGTCACCATGTTTGCATTTCTATGTCTATGCACATCTATACATACATATCTACTTAAGATGTTTTATTTTATTCACTGTGAAATTTTATTAAAGACTATGAAATGCCTTAAAATCATCTCTTTTGTGAGCTGTCGGATCAAGGCTACTTTAATATCTTCAAAAGCATCATTTTTAATGTGCTGCATTGTCTTAATTCCTTAGTGTCTGCGGCTTGCCCTTTTGAAAAGAGGAGAAACAACTGTGAAAATGCTTGTGAATCATAAGTGGGAGTTGAATGATGAGAGCACATGGACCCAGGGAGGGGAACATCACACACCAGGGCCTGTCGGGGGGTGGGGAGCAAGGGGAGGGACAGCATTAGGACAAATACCTAATATATGCAGGGCTTAAAACCAAATGACCGGTTGATACATGCAGCAAACCACCATGGTACACGTATACCTATGTAACAAACCTGCACATTCAGCACATGTATCCCAGAACTTAAAGTAAAATAAAAAAAAAAAATGCTTGTGAAAATACATGAACAATGGAAGTTCAGGTTGAACTCTGCGGAAACACAGGCAACAATGCCAGACTGTTTTCACCCGCCCAAAGCCTAGGTGAAAGGTTATGGAATGAAATTAGCTGAATAACAGGGAAGTTGCTACTGCAATATTCCACACATAGATCAAATATCAAACTCCTTCAAAATGCACAAGTATTTCTATCCTCGCATCTCAGACTCCAGTTTAAGCCATCACCAATGCCATCCCAGTTACTGCTTACATAGTAATTAGCCTTATCTTTATGTATAAAATTGAGTAAACATATTGCATTTTGCATACAGCCAATGTGACAAAAAGAGTGGATATAAAGACTGGGGTAAAAATAACAATAACATGGATTGGATCCACAAAAATGCTATTTTATGGGATATGTCAAAAAACATGGCAAATGAAGTGAGCCATTTATAAATGAATGACACCATTTAACATAAAATTGTTCAATATTCTGCCAAGAACTTGTGTCCCTTTGTGGGGTTATAGTTTTTCTGAAATCATCTAGTGTTTTCTAACCAATACACAATTTAATGTGCATCGTATGTGAAATAATTGTTTCAGTTCAGAAATATGAAAATATGTTGTTAGAGTTATTATAGCTCACGTGAACCTGCCCCAATCTTTCAAGGAAAATCAGAGCATTTTGAGTGACATTAGAAAAGTTACATGGCACACTGAAATTCCACGAGGCTTAATGGAAACAAGAAGTCACAGATGGACACTGGATGTTAATTTTTTTCCAAACTTTGGCTTCATTTTCATTACATATATAGGTTGGCGTGATGATACAAACCATGATATGGAGTAGCTGGGTATTTCTATATTATATACAAATGAGATAATTTAGAGACTGGGGAGAGGAATTTACCACAGCTAGAGTTAATCCAAAAATATCAACATGAATCACTGATTTCTCTATTACTGAAATAACTTAAGGTGTCTCTTGTTTCATCCCATCTACTACCAGAATTCAGATGAGGTGTTATAAATGTGTGTCCCACAACTTCCAAGATTTAGTAAACATTCTACAGCATTGTTGCATGTGGCAGCTTGTTAGGAATGCAAATTCTTAGACCTCACCCAAAATTCTACTAAATCATAATTTGTAGTGGTAGATCAAAGGAATCTGAGTTTTGACAATCTTTCCAGAAATTCTCATGTACCCTAACATTTGAGAAGTGTTACTTTTCATTCTTCATTTGGAAGACAGGACTATCCTTCATGAAAGACAGTCAGTGCTGAATCTGGAGTGGCACCTTTAGGAAAATGATACTTTCCAAGAGTTAGCACTTGAATTTGGTTATATTTCCAAGGAGACTGGTATGAAGCACTACTTCACTAATGATACCACTCAGTCTACATTAGAGAGAATAGTAAAATAATACAGCTAATTCTTTCAATTCTATGTTGTGTTAAAGCCTGGGATTATAGGCCAAAAATATATATGTCTCCAAACATCTCCTCAAATAAGGGATAAGAAAACTGTATATTATTGCATTATTATGTCCCTTCTCCAAGTTGCAGAAATAAATAACAAAATTTGGCATTCACTGACCAAAAACTATAAAGAATAACATTGTTAATAAGAGAATGGAATTCTGGCCAACAAATATTTACCAATTACATTCAACATGTTAACATTTGTCTTAGGGCTTCAGGACATAACATGTTTTGAGACATATTCAAATGGAAAATCAAATACATGAGATAAACCAAAATGAGATTCTAATTTTTTAAAAAGTCAGATGTCACCAAGAGAAAAATGTTGCTCTACTGAAGAGTTTCCCAAGGGCCTCTTTCATGTCCCTGTTCCTAAGGCTGTAGATAAAGGGGTTCAACATGGGTGTGACCACCGTGTACATGAGAGCCACAATGACATCCTTGTCAATAGAACTGCTTACAGTCGGGAAAAGGTACTGGCCAAATATTGACCCATAATAGAGAGACACCACAGAGAGATGGGAGCCACATGTGGACAATGCTTTGTGGATCCCTTTGGTTGAAGGGACCCTCAGGATGGTGGCCCCAATGTAGCCATATGATACCAGGATACACATGAATGGCAGGGTAATGACCACCACCCCTACTGTGAACATGACCAGCTCATTGAGGAAGATATCTGAGCAGGACAGCTTGAGCAGGGCAGCAAGGTCACAGAAGACATGGGGGATGGTGTTCGCAGCACAGAAAGACAGCCGGGTCAGGAGAAGGGTGTGAGAGAGGGAGCTGGCACAAGACAGAATCCAAGATACAGCCACTAAGAAGACACAGAGCTCTTCCCTCATGATGACAGTGTAGTGGAGAGGGTGACATATGGCAACATATCGGTCATATGCCATTGATGTAATAAGGAAGCTGTCCAGGTCAGTAAAAAATATAAAAAAATACATCTGAGAAATGCATTCCTCATAGAGGATCGATTTGTACTTAGTCCGCATGTCCATCAGCATCTTAGGGACAGTGACAGATGAAAAGGAGATGTCAGTGAGAGCCAAGTGGCTGAGGAAGAAGTACATGGGGGTGTGAAGGTGAGAGTCCAGCTGGATGAGCAGCATGATGAGCAGGTTCCCCAGCACCGTGGTCAGGTACATGCCCAGGAACAGGGTGAAGAACACAGCCTGCTGCTCTGGCCGGATGGGGAGGCCCAGAAGGAGGAACTCGGACACGCTGCTCTGGTTCTCAGGGCTCATACTCCTTTGCCCTCTGATGGAGATGAAGAATGCTTGAGAATATTAGAGGCTCTGAAATTATCATTTTTAGCAGTCATATTAAAAGATGTACGTTTTAACATAGACACAGGGAGAGGAACAACACACACTGGGGCCTATCGGGGGTCTGTGGGGAGGAAGAGCATCAGAAAAAATATATAATGCATTCTGGGCTTAATGCCTAGACGATGGGATGATAGGTACAGCAAACCACCATGGCACAGGTTTACCTATGTAACAAACCTGCACATCCTGCACATGTACCCCAGAACTTAAAAATACATATATATATATGTTTTATTTCAGAAAGTGCAAAATTTAACCTGCTTCTCATATTTTTCCTTATATGTTATGTAAGAAAACTAGAAAAAAGCATTGAGGCAAATGTTACTGAGAGTCAGTATTTCTTGGTTCGATAACAAAACATAAATCTTGCACCTGTGGGACTGAGGACTAGGCTGTGGAGAAAGGTGTTTCAGCCAAGTTACTGCTCCCAAAAGTTAATGTGGCGAGTATTCCAAGCCATCAGTCATGGTACAGCAACCATTAGAAGATCTGACTTCACCAGCCATGGTTAAATTTCAGATGAGAGGTGGCCTTTTCAAATAAAAGTATGTAAAGAATAGTATTCCTAATTTAAGTTCTGGGGTACATGTGCAGGACGTGCAGGTTTGTTACACAGGTAAACGTGTGCCATGGTGGTTTGCTGCATCTATCAACCCATCACCTAGGTATTAAGCCCCACATGCATTAGCTATTTGTCCTGATGCTCTTCCTCCCGCACCCCCCGACAGGCCCCAGTGTGTGTTGTTCCCCTCCCTGTGTCCATGTGTTCTCATTAGAACAGTTATCATTATGCATACATTTTTATTTGTTTCAATTATGTAGAGGGTTCCTAAGAAATTAGGGATTGTATCAATTCATTTTCTCTACTTCAGTCTTGGAGATCTTTTTTTAAACTACCTTTCAACATGACTT
Source organism: Homo sapiens (assembly GCF_000001405.40). NCBI lineage: Eukaryota > Metazoa > Chordata > Mammalia > Primates > Hominidae > Homo > Homo sapiens. The sequence continues at coordinate 122,509,805 of NC_000009.12, read as the reverse complement.
CCCTGTCTAAAAATTCTCAAAGGATTCCCATTGACCTTTAAGATTAGAGTGTAACAACCTTAATATGGCTTAAAGGCCCTGCAAAACCTGCATCTCTCCTACATTTCCCATTTCTTTCTTGCCCTCCCTTTCCCCTCACCCTTGCCAACCTCTCTGTTCCAACCTTGTGGGAAGGCACATTTCCATTTAACGTCATTTAGACTTCTTCCCCTTGGTGGTTGTGGATTTCTTGTGATTCCCTGGCATGTTGAGAAAGTAAAGATCAGACTGGCTATGAGAAAATACTTTAGGGAAATTTATTTACGCTTTATTGTTTACTGTCAACACAAAGCAGTTTAAGTGACATTATCTTAAATTATATTCAAAGTGTGCATTTTCTAGTTCTTTTGCAATCCAGTCTCCCTTTCCTCCCTAGGCAATAACACTCATCCCATAACAAACTGTGAAGGCTATTATCAAAAGATGGCAAAAGAAGTGAGATTTTAAGTGTACTCCAAGTTTTCAGCTCCCTCTTGGGTACTCCTGTCATCTTAAAACACAACACCTCCTAGTCAGCTGTGGTAAGCAGAATAAGAACCCCCAAAGATGTCCACATCCTAATCTCCAGAACCTGTAAATCTGCTGTGGTGCATTCCAAGGTGGGATTAAGGTTGTAGATGGAATTAAGGTTGCTAATCAGCTGACTTTAAAATGGGGAGCTTATCCTGGATTATCTGGGTTGGCCCAGTGTGATAATGAGTGCCTTAAATGTGGAAGAAGACATAGAAGAGTCTGAATCAGAGACGTATTCGAAGATGTTATGTTGTTGGCTCAGAGGACGAAGGAAGGGGCCATGAGATAAGGAATGCAAGTGGGCTCTACAAGCTAGAAAAAAGCAAGAAAACAAGATTATGCTCTAGAACCTCTCGAAGAAATGCCAACCTCTTCAGTTTTAACCCACTGATACCCATTTTAGACTTCTGACCTCCAGAACTGTGATATAATAACATTTGTGAGGTTTTTCTAAAGCACTAAGCTTGTGGTAATTTGTTAAAGCAGTAATAGAAAACTGATACATCAGCACTGGAAAGACTTCAGGTATATCCAAATATTCTGGTTATCTAGGGACCAGAATGCAACAAAATCCATGTGTCCTTCCCCAGCTTCCATCTTGCATCCAACAAAACAAAGCAATCACTCAGCAGAGCTAATCCTTACCTAACCAGCAGGGAAATAAGGCTGCTATCTCATTGGAAGCATTTGTCACTAATCATAAATGAGACTCTATGCCATCCCTCTCCTACAAATTTCAATATTCCTTTAATAAGGAATATTCCTTTAATAAAATTTCCTTTAATAAGAAAAGGCAGAGAGTTAGAGAGGGCTCTTATCCATCCAATGAGCTTCTGGCCTAGAGCAAAAATTCAGCAGAAGACAAGTCGGTGGCAGGTTTCAAATCTTTCAGTTTTTAAATCTAGCTATATATAGACCTCAACCTAACTCCTTAAAGACATCCCCACCCTAACATACATATTGAGGTCAGTAAACACAGTGTTCCAAGTGTGCTAGGCTCAAGCATCTTCCTTTTCCTAATCTTCTCCTTTTCCTCCTCCTCCTCCTTCTCCTCCTTCTTCTTCTTCTTCCCCTTCTCCTTCTTCTCCTTCTCCTTTCTCTCTCTCTCTCTCCCTCTCTCTCTCTCCCCCCCTCACTCTCCCTCCTTCCCTCCCTCTCTGTCCTCTACTCCCACTTTGAAGGCAATGTGAGACTAGAGAAAAAGCCACAGATTTTGGAATAAGATAGGCTTGGTCATCATAAAACTTTGGTTGTGGCATTTTTGTCCATAGCAGGTCTCTTAACTCTTGCGAATCTCAGAAAGATGAAGATCTTTAAACAGGATGCAATTATACCCCATAAGGTTTTTGTAAGATGAAGTGAGATGACATATTTGAAACCCCTAGTACATTTGCTTGCATAGTGCTCAGCAAATATTGGTTTCCCTCCTGCCACAATTAAAGACAAAATGCAAATCTACCCAGAGAGGAGCCAGAGGAATTTACGTCCTTTTACACGCAGGAGAAAATTATTCATATTAATTCCTTTGCTGGACTCTGGGTGTGGATTCCTTAGACAAAGTTGTGGAATTGAGTATACAAACTGCTGGCAAACCAAGAGCACAAACATAGAACACATATGAGCACAGGGGGAAAATGATCATTCTACTGCTGGAGTTCTCATTCAGACAAGTGAGAAACAGGCACTACTTACCAGGGAGGGAAAACAAAAGGGAAATTCAGGAGAGAGGCTCGTTCTCACATAAGTAGCTTATATTCTGATGCCTAGCAGCTGAATGCAATGCCTTGGTGTAGACTGTATTTGGGGATAAGCTGGATAATTTATAAGGCAGCCAAGTGCCAGTCCTTCAGCAGCCTACCAAGACTCAAAGCCAATGGCAAGAGGATAACTGAGTGTTCAGCAAGATATAAAGAGATGACTTTGTTTACCCTAATCCCAGCCTCCTAAGTATTTTCCCCTTTAATGACCCTTTTTAACTCCATTCTTCTTTTCATCTTCAGGTGCCCTCTGATTGCTTCAAAGGTCACGACTTATCTGACAGTTCTGACACAAGCAAACATCAGGAACTAAACAAGTGACTCCTTTGGAGAGACGTTTGTCCTTATAAGGCACATGCATTCATTCAACAAACAGACCCTTGAAACCTACCACAGATAAGGCACCATATTTGTGTTGTCCTGAGTAAACAGAGAGGAATATGCTTGTCATCAAAGAAAAATTATCCCAAATGTTGGCAGTTGAATAATTTTTATAGCCAATGAAGGACACATTTTGGAAGTGTAGGAGGCCTTCCCAAAATTCCTGATTTAAACACCAAAACAACTTTGGAATGCTTGGATTCTTTGCTGTTCAGATCTGGTTTTCTATGTCAGGATCCAAGGCAGAAAAATATTCCTCCAGTATGTCAGTCTCTCTCTTCGTTCATCTTTTTCTCCTTTTGCCCCTTTCTCTCATCCTGTCTATGTCTGCCACTCAATATCTCTCTGTTCCTTCCTTCTCTCTCTTCCTCTGTCTCTCTGTGTGTGTCTTTTTACATTCTATCTCTTCTCCCCATGCCAACTGCTGCCTTCTGTTTCTTCCTCGTCTATATGCACTTATAAACTCATCTATTGCTGAGAGGGAAAAAATACCCATTCCATCTCCAGTGCTTACCTTCCCTGCATTTATGATCCAATGTTTGGTGGATAAGTGTTCCTAAGGTTCTCATTATGGGATCTAAAAACCAGCTTCCAAGATTCTAGACATTTCTCAGACACCAAGAATAAAAGCTACAAGTACAAACTCATTCCTGTTTACAGCCCCAGAGCTGTGAATCGAAGAGCTTAACTAAGGAGAAAACTCTAGGGAGTAGGAGATTGAACTGGTAATCTCCAGTTAAAGATATCCATAAAACATGGATTAATTGTCCAATTTTCCCCTTGATTCCACTGGGAAAGGTATTCTGTGGGAGGATATTTGTCCTGGGAACGTTAGAGGGTGAGTACACAAAGAAAATATCTCAAAGTACCCTCAGTCTCTCTTCTGTTCTACCCTCTGTTTTTCTAGTCTTAATCACACTTTGGATAAATCCTAGGGAGGTTAAAAAAAATACTGACTCCAATCATGTTTAAATAGAAGAAATCCATATGACTGCTGGGCTCTGAGAATTTAGGTAGAACCATATCCCACTCCAAGGGATCTTACTGAGTCCTACTCATCAGGTAGCCCAAAGGAAGTGACTTGTGTTTCTTCTCTCCGGTGAACATGAGGAAATACAGAAGGAGAAAGAGGCAGAGATCATCATCTTTTTCGAGGTTTTATTGTTTCATTGACAAACTTAGGTATGGTTATATCAAATAAAAATAGTTTTCAAGGAAGAAATGAAAAAAGGAGAGAAGGAAGAGAAGGGAAAGAAAACTAAATGAACAAAAACAAAAGAAAACAAACTTGCAAATAGAAAAAAAAAACAAGTTGACACGCAAAATCTAGAAAAAATGACTCAAAATTGAAAAGCTTCAGGTTCTCTGAAATTGATCTTTTGAGGAAAATGGTCATTTATCATGCCAATCGTGATTCTTAGGGGTGAAATATATAGGGATATAGGACAAATAAAGAAGTATTTATAGCTTGAGATAATAATGTTTGAGGATTTATTTTGGCCTTTTTCATATCTAGGTCTAAGACATCATAGATAAAGCAAAGTTTATGCTATGGTTTGAATGTCTGTCCCCTTCAAAACTCATGTTAAAACTTAATCCCCAATGTGTCAGTGTTGAGAGGTGGGCCCTTTAAGAGGTGATTGGGTCTTGAGGGCTCTGCCCTTATGAATGGATTTATCCATTCATAGATTAATGGGTTAATTGATTAATAGGTTATCATGACAGCGAGACTGGTAGCTTTGTAAGAAGAGAAAGAGAAACCTGAGCTAACATACTCAGTCCCCTTATTATGTGATGCCCTGAACTGCCTCAAGACTCTGCAGAGTCCTCACCAGCAAGAAGGTCCTCACAAGATGCAGCCTCTTGACCTTAGACTTAGTCTCCAGAATTGCAAGAAATAAATTCTTTTTCTTTATAAATTACTTAGTCTCAGGTATTCAGTTATAACAACAGATAACAGACTGAGAGAGCTTATATGCGGGCAGCTTCTTTCTAGGTGTGATGACCCTGTATTTACTACCACAACTTTATATAACTTGGAGCAGAAGGACTTGGAGACTCTGTCAACTCAGTATCATTGAAGTCCAACAGCATTCTAGGCAAAACCCAGGGAAGACGGTTAAAAGAATATTGGCCAGTAGCAGCTTAGCAAACTCAAAGTGGGCTGTAAGATAGTTTAGCTATAGGAACTGGATGCTCTGGGAAGGACACGCCAGACACTTGGTGCACTGGGAAGGACAACTCCATTGTATGGCAAGTGGGCAGATTGAATAGACACAGTCAGATACAGGATGCAGGGAGCTCAGATGCCAGATACAGGAAGCTATGAAAGCAAGCAGTATAGACAGGGTAGACTGTAAAGCAAAGACAAAGGTACCTGTGGTGGGTTTGGACAGATTGAAATACAATAGATCAGATGGAGACACCTTGGACTAAAGTCTGACGCATTACAGACAGAGAAATGACATGTATGTGGTCACAAGGGGACTTAAAGTAGGACTGGTGAAAAACATGATTCTCACTGGAAAGCAAAGGACAAGTTATTATATCTCACACCTCTTACCACTGAGAAAAAAGCACAGCATTTGGTAGGCCTCTTCATATTTTGAAGACAGCACACATCACATTTATAATACTCCTCTGACCAATTTATCAAATGACTAGATAAACTTCCAGCTTTAAGTAAGCTCTAGAACAAGATAAGATTCTGCAGCTGGTTCAGACAGTGGTACAAGGGACCATGCTAATTGGATCATCTGAATGGGCAGAACTCATGGTGGTAGAGGTATCCATGGTAGATAGTGGCATTATATGGAGCCTCTGGTAAACTCCAATAGAAGAGTTGCAAAGCAGTGTTTCTGGAGCCAGGAACTGCTACGGAGCTACTGGGCTTTAGCAGAGCAGAGTGCCTAACCATGCGACATCCAGTGACAGAACCTGAGAATTGTCAGGCACAAAAAGTTGTAAGGTCAGATAGACACAGCAGCAAATTTGGCATGGGGCCTTAGTAGGTCTGGACAGCAACAGTAAACTTCAGAAACAGGTAGCCTGGGCCCCCAGATCATCTAACTACGTTGTATTGAAGTCTGTCCCTCAGCCCTTACCTATGGCCTCATGAGGATTTCCATACAACTAATTGAAAAAGAGACAAAAAGTCCTGGGCTTGGTTCATAGACGGATTGGCCATATATGTTTGTGGGAGCTAAAAATTGACTTCTGTTCCAGTTCAGACCTGATCAGGGTGGCTCTAAACAACTGTGATCAAGGGAAATACTCCCTGCTCAAAAAGTTATTGTGCAGTATACCTGGTCATATCTTGTGTAAATGGCCTGCGGTAAAGATATGCATGGATTCTTTGGTGTTGGTGAATGACTTAGTTGTTTGTCAGGGGCCTGGAGGGAGTAAGAGTGGAAGTTCAGAGATAGAGTATTTTTGAAAAATAAAGTGGATGAACCTATGAGACTGGACACAAAGTACATGGGTTTTTATATCTTATGTCAATGCCTACCAGAGAGCATCCACTTCAGAGAAGACACTGAACAAAAAGATTAATAATATTATTTATCCAGTGGTGGTTAACCACATTCTGTCCTTCACCAATGTGGTGTACAATGGATCCATCAGTAAAGTTCCTGTGGCCGTGGAGGTAGAGGCTATGCATGAGTCCAACAGCATGGACTTCCTCTCACCATGGATGAACTAGCTGCTGCCACTGCTGAATGTTTAACCTAATAGCAGCTCAGACAAATGCTGAGCCCTCAATATGTTGTTATTCTTCTGGGGGACCAAATGGTTACTGGGACAAGTTAATTACATTCAACACCTTTCAGACCTGAGTGCAATGATTCATGTTCACTGGGATTTTCAGATACTCTTGTTTTGGATTTTCCTTTCCCTCCGCCATGCCTTAGCCACTACCACTATTCAAGATCTCATTTATCATCATATCCCACATGACATCATCTCACATTGTGAAGGAGGTGGTACAATGCATATACAGCTATAAAGCTCTTTGCTCCTATCATATACCACATCACTTAAATTGGTTTGACAGAATATTGGAATGTCCTCTTAAAACATCAACTAAGGCAACCACCTGTAGATGATCTCCTGGAGGGTTGGAATACTATTCTTCAAGATGCAATATGTTCTTTGAACCAATGACCATTATAAGGTATTAGGTCCTCCATAAGAAGAATGCATTTAGACTAGGAACTGAAAAGTGGAAGGAGTGGCCCCTCTTACCATACTTCCTGATCACTGTCTTGGAGGCATTTATGTTTCTGGTATCTTGAACTTTTTGCTCTGCTGAACTGGAATTCCAGATCCTGGATACTCCTACCAGGAAACACAGTAAAGATTCCACTAAGCCTAAAGATATGGTTACTCCTTAATCATTTGAATTCCTTCTGTTAGTAGACCTGCAGAAAAAAAAAAAAAGTACTATGTTGGCAGGTTACTTGACCCTACTTAACAACTTATCATGAGAAGGTTCTGCTACATAATGAAGGCAGAGAAACGTCTGGAATTCTAGGGATTCACTGGAACACTTTTTGGTGTTTTCATGCCCATTGGCTGCTCTTGCAGCAACCATGATCTTCCAAGGCCTCAGCATCCTCAGAGATGAAGGTCTGCGTGATTCCTCCAGACAAGCATCCTGGAACAAGGTACGTGTTCTAATGAACAAAGTAAGGGGAATCAAGGATGGATGGTGGAGAAGTGAGATGGTGAATTTAAGTTGCAGCCTTGAGACCAACTGAAGCAGTATAAATTGCATTACACCCATCTAATTCTCTGGTGATTTTTTTTTAAAGAAAATTAGGTTGGCCACCATCTGCAAGAATCTGTAATAAGACATGAATGGATCTGAACAATGAAGGACGTGAATGTCACAGACTCTGAGAACTCCCCACTCATAACTATTTACCTTACTGCTTCAGTGCATTCTGTCCAGAGCTTCAACTATCAGAATTTTTATTTCCTTTCTTAAGGGTTTTCTCTGGCCACTGGAGCCCAGTTTGTTTACACAGATAGCAAGCTAGAAGTGCTGGAGAATTTGTTCTGTCTATCCACCACTACCATATCCATCAGTCCTCGGTTACAAACAGACAGGAGTTCATACATGAATCCCCCAGCTCACTCACCTGCAGGGTGGAAAAATCTGAGGTGTGTTGGAGTCTAGTGTTTTCTCAGTGGGATCAGCTTCAGTTACCAGGTGATAATTTTGTTGACCTCCTTTACTCCTCACTTTTCCCTGTCTTATTTTCCCACTCTCCTATTGCTGTTTCCTTTGATTCTCAAATAAACGACTTGCCCTTAATTCTTGGTTTAGAGTTGACTTCTGGAGCAATACAAACTAAACTTCTGTAACTTAATAATAATTTTTTATTATTGGCTATTTGTCAGGAAACAATGTTCTTTCATTCTCTGTAACTCAGTAAACATTTTTAAGTGGATCTCTATGTGCCCAACACTAAAGTCTAAAAATTCAGGAGTGAATGAAAAAAAAAATCTTACTTTCTTTTCTCTCGGCACGTATTAAGAAGGGCTAAGGCCTCATATAGCAGTAAGATATAAACTGTTTTATAGTAGGAATAAGCATGTGCTTGTTGGCTGAAGGTTATTTTGAGGAGAGGAACTGTTCCCTGAGGCTTCGGAAACTTGTCCATTGAAGGTTTTGTGCCTTGATTCTCAGGGTCCTATGTGAGGATGCTTAATGCCTGTGGTGGGTGGTGATTGGGAGAAGAGCAATCAGCACAAAGACCAAGAAGACACAGCAGTAGTGTCTACAGGGGCAGCTGCCTTCTTCTTCTTGAATTTTGTCAACCCTTGGACAAACTTTCTTCCTGGACCATAGTCTTTCCTATGAAATTCAACAACGGTTCACAAAACTGTCCAATGTCTTTATTACTTATAAAAGAAAAACATGATTATATAAATGTGATGGCAGACAAATATTTTTAAAATACACAAATGCCTCTAATCCCAACAGCAAAATATAGCTTTTATTAACATTTTGGAGCATGTGCAGGTTTTTAAAAAATAATAATCTGCCTTTCGCAAATAACTGTAAACCTGCCTATATATCATTTTTATTGTGTTCTTTCAAAAATTATGTTTTTCATAAACCTCATTTTAATGACTATGTAATATTACTTCCAATGAATATGTATAATAGTTCCCTTAACCTTTCCCTTATTCACGGAAACTAGTTTGTAACTAATTCTTATCTCTTAAAATTATGCTGTAATTAGACATCTTTCTGCATAAAGTTTTTTTCAGTATTGAGCAAAACTGTAGAAACTTTCAAAAGTCAAAGCCTATACCATCAACGATCAAACTTCAGTGACTCCTATTTTGTTACAGATGGTGGCACCTAGATCACAGTTGACTTCTCCCCTACAAATTAGCTATCAACTTGAGTGCCTTCAACATTTGCTTAAGTGAACCATTCACCGTCATAACAGCTTTAGTCTTTGACCTCATCTTCAATGACCTTGACCTCCCTTGCAGTTTAGTCATCTTTTCTCATGGCCATATCATGAAATCGGAAATTCCTTTACCTAAAAAATGTTAAATCTAGTGCCATAGCCACTTGGAAATAGCAAGATAGTACATAGAGATCAACTCTGTGCACTTTAATTCAAGAAGGAAAATGAGAATCCACCAGAATCATGAAGCACACCCCAGATCCCAGAGAGGGGAATGCTGGCAAATGGACCCTGTGACTGCATCCAGCTGCTAAAAGTGAGTAAAGCTCCAGTACGTGAGAGAGGCAGAGAGCCTCCCTCTGTGACTCCCCTATCCACTGGAGATCTGAGCAACCCAGGCTGAGAGAGACAATTTTGCTTCTCTCAAGCCCTGGAGTTAACTTGGGGAGAAGCTTGGAGACACTGTGAGGAAAACACACCAAAAAAACTGCAGACATTTTCCCAGACCCAGGACTGACAGCAGGATGCCATTTTTAATCCAAGTGCATACAAAGTCAGCTATTCTTTGACAGTGTGGCTGTGCAAGCATTTTAGTCTAAGGCCAGAAATTGGAGCACCTGCTCTAGAACACAGTAACGACCTCTACAGCCAGAACTATGGAAAGTGTTTCAGCAGTAGGTGCTATAATTGTGCTCCTGTTGCAAGCCTGCAGTGGGAGGAGAGCTGCTACAGCTGTGGCTTCTCCTGGGCAGCAACACTTGCAGCCAAGGCCAGCTTGGTGCCCTGAAACTGATCTATGTGTGCCATTGATGGGTGCCCCACCCTGCTCCCCTGAGATCGTGGTGCAGCAGGGCCCTCTCTGCTCCACTTCCAGGCAGAAAACAAAGCATTTGGGGTCCCTGTTTGTCCAGACTAGCAGCATGAGCTGCCCAACCCTTCCTGGACATAGATCTTGGTGCAGCGAGGCTCTTCCCTTCTCCACAGCCAGGCAGATCTTCAGGCATTCAGAGCACCTGTTCACCTGGATCAGCAGCCTGACCCACCCTATTCTTCCTGTGCAGAGATCCTGGTGCAGGGAGACCCCACTGCTACATGCCCAGGCAGATCTCCAGGCAGTCAGAACACCTTCTTGCTTCATCCAGCAACCTGAGTTGCCTCCACCCCTCCTGTGCAGAGATCTTGGTGCACAGGGGCTCTCTCTGATCCATGCCCAGGCAGATCTCCAGGCATTCAAAGCACCTGTTTGCCTGGTTCAGCGGCCTGAGATGCCACATCCCTCCTGTGCAGAGATATTGGTTTAGGGGGTTCCCCTCTGCTTCATGCCAGGCAAATCTCCAGGGATCTGAGCCCTTACTCTCCTGGATTAAAAGCTTAGGCAGCCCCCTGTCCCCATGCAGAGAACCTGGAACTAAGGAGGTTTCCCTGCTCCACACCTAGACACACCTCTGGGATCCTGGTGGCCACCCACTGGATTCTCCATTGGCATTGGTTCTTACGCCTGCCATCAAGGGACCCGCAGGTAAACCTGCCCAGTCCAGCCCTGTCCTTCATGGCTCAACCCACAGGCCTGGGCAGGGAGCTCAGACTACTGTGCATTCCTCAAATCAGATCATTGCCTGAGGCAAGAGGGAGCTTCTGCCAGTAAACAAGGATTAAGTACAGACCCAACCTTGTTGGCTGCAGCCAGCTGTTACCTATAGTGCCATCTATAGGCTTGTGGGATGAACTGCACAGCCCAATATAAAATCTGCCAAAAGAAGCACATGGAGCTACAGAAGCAATGCCAAAATACCCTACCCCCCAGTATTCTCTACAGTTACACCTCATGGGGAGAGGAGAAAAGGGAAATAATAAATAATAACATTAACGGGAAAGAAAGAAAAGGAAAAAATCCTATCTGCACAAAAATAATCACAAAAATTAGAAGTGCCAGCATCTCCAGATGAAAAGGAACCAGTGCAAGAATTCTGGCACCATGAAAAATCTGAATGTAGTGACACCACCAAAGGATTGCACTAGATCTCCAGCAGAGGTCCCTAGCCAAAATGGAATCTCAGAAATGACAGATAAAATATTCAAAGATGGATTTCAAAAAAGTTTAATGAGATTCAAGGCAAGGTTGAAAATCAACACAAAAAATCTTCTAAAGCTATCCAGGAAATGAAAGAAGAGATAAACCCCTTAGAAAGAAATCAGTCGGAGTTTCTGGAGTTGAAAAACTCACTTAAAGAATTTCAAAACATAAGTGAAAGCTTCATCAATAGACTGGACCAAGCAGAATAAAGATTTTAGAGCTTGAAGATCAGGTTTTTGAATCAACCTAGTCTAATAAAAATGAAGAAAAAATAATTTTTAAAAATTTGTTTTAATGAGCAAAGTCCTTGGGATTACATAAAGTGACCAAACCTATGGATTATTGGCATCCTTGAGGAAGAAGGAAAAAAACAAACAAACAACCTGGAAAATATATTTGAGGGAATAATTCAAGAAAACTTTTCTAATATTGCTAGAGAGGTATACATCAACCACAGAATATACATTCTTCTCATTTGCACATAGAACCTACTCCAAGATTGACCACACGCTTGGCTGTAAAGCACATCTCAATAATAAAAAAAAAAAAACCCAAATCATGCCAATCATATGCTCAAACCATCATGGAATAAAAATAGAAATTAATACCAAGAAGATTTCTCAAAGCCACACAATTACATGAGAGTTAAATTACTTGCTCCTGAATAACTTTTTGGTAAACAATGAAGTCAAGGCAGAAATAAAAAAATTCTTTGAAATAAATGAAAATAGAGACACAACATACCAAAATCTCTGGAAAGCCACAAACACTGCAGCAAAAGCAGTATTAACAGGAAAGTTTATAGCGCTAAATGCCTACCTCAAAAAGTTAGAAAGACCTCAAATTAATGACCTAACATCACACTTAGAGGAACTAGAAAAACAAGAACAAACTAACCCTAAAGATGGCAGAAGAAAACAAATAAGCAAAATCAGAGCAAAACTGAATGAAACTGAGACCCAAAAATGCATACAAATAATAAATGAAACCAAAAGTTGGTTCTTTGAAAGAATAAAAAATACCAATAGACCACTAGCTAGATTAACAAAAAAAAGAGAAGATCCAAATAAGCACAATAAAAAATGACAAAGGTGACATTACAACTAATCCCACATAAATACAAAAGATCCTCAGGGACTATTACGAATACCTCTACACACACAAACTAGAAAATCTAGAGGAAATAGATAAATTCCTGAAACTATGCAATCTCCCAAGATTGAATCAGGAAGAAATTGAAACACTGAATAGGCCAATATCGGGAGGAAGATGGTAGATAGGAGGCAGGACTAACTTGCAGCTCCCACTCTGATGGACAGAGAAGCACGTGGGGACTCACATCCTGAAATTTTGTTCCAAGAACTATCTACAAGAACATACCAGGAAAGTCAAGAGAATCCACAGACCCTTTGAAGGAACTGGATCACTGCTGCAGGCTCCCTGAGATGCCAAAAAACTGTGAGTCTGCTTGCTTTCTCAACAGGAAGGCTTGTGGTCTGGGAAAGTTCTTAGCCCTGGTCACCTGCTGCTTGGAAATAGACTCAGTGCTGTCGGGATGTACAGGGGGGAAGGAGACATGGTGTGAGTAAGACTGGCCTTTAGGATGCATGCTGCGTGGGAGCAGGGTGAGTCTTTCTCACCTGCCGGCTTTCCCCCACTTCTCTGGTGACCTGTGTGAAAGGAAAATAAATCCTGTGGCCCCAAAATCACTAAGCTAAAGGGAATAGTCAAGCTGGAAACTACTTAAGGCAAACCTGCCTATCATTTTATTCAAAGTCACCCCTCTGCTCACTGAGATAAATGCATGCCTGATTGCCTCCTTTGGAGAGGCTAATAAGAAACTCAAAAAATGCAACCATTTGTCTCTTATCTACTATGACCTGGAAGCCCCCTCCCTGCTTTGAGTTGTCCCACCTTTCCAGACCAAACCAATGTTCATCTTACATATGTTACTTGATGTCTCATGTCTCCCTAAAATGTATAAAACCAAACTGTGCTCTGACCACCTTGGGCACGTGTCATCAGAACTACCTGAGGCTGTGTCTCAGGCACATGTCCTCAACCTTAGCAAAATAAATGTTCTAAATTAACTGAGACCGTCTCAGATATTTGGGATTCATACCTGTATGACATAGCAGAAGCAGCCATAATCCCCCTGGGAATATAACTCCATTGGCCTAGGAACCACCTGCGACTCCCACAGAAGCCGCGGCAAGCCTCACCCAAGGACAGTCTAAGCTCAGACACTTCCATCCTGCCCCCACCTGGTGGTCTTTCTCAACCCACCCTGTAGCTGAAGACAAAGGTCATAATCTCTTGGTAGCTCTATGGCCCTGCCCACCTGAGAAACCTGAATGCTTAACTAGGTGTCCCTAGGGCAAGTTTGCATCCTCCCCATAGGACTGCAGCTGATGTGCTCTTGAAAGCACCACCTACTTGCTGGAGTTCAACCAACACAAAACCAACACACTAAATAAAAACACAACCAAGGACCCTCACACAGTCAACTTCATTCCCTGCTACTACCTCCACCAGAGCAGGTGCTGGTACCCACGTTGCAAGACTTGAAGACAGATCAAATCACAGTACTCTTTGTAGATACTCCCCAGTACCATCCCAGGGCCTGGTAGCTCCACTGCATGGCTAAACCTAGAAGAGGAAAAACAATCACTACAGTTTGGCTTCAGGAAGCCCCATTCCTAGGGGAAGGGGGAGAGCACCACATCAAGGGAGCACCCGGTAGGACAAAGGAATCTGAACAGCAGCCCTTGAATCCCAGATCTTCCTTCTGACATAGTCTACCCAAACAAGAAGGAACCAGAAAAAAATGCTGGTAATACAACAAAACAAGGTTCTTTAACACCCCCAAAAGATCATACCAGCTCACCAGCAATGGATCCAAACCAAGATGAAATCTCTGAATTGCCAGAAAAAGAATTCAGGAGTTCGATTATTAAGCTAATCAAGGAGGCATCAGAGAAAGGTGAAGTGCAACTTAAAGAAATCAAAAACATGATACAGGATACGAAAGGAAAATTCTTCAGTGAAATAGATGGCATACATTTTAAAAAAAAACTTCTGGAAATCAAGGACACACATAGAGAAATGCAAAATACACTGGAAAGTCTCAACAATAGAATCAAACAAGCAGAAGAAAGAACTTCAGGGCTCAAAGACAAGGCTTTTGAATTAACTCAATCTGTCTAAGACAAGGAAAAAATAATTTTTAAAAAATGAACAAAGCCTCTAAGAAGTCTGGGACTATGTTAAATGTCCAAACCTAAGAATAATTGGTGTTCCCAAGGAAGAAGAGAAATCTAAAATTTTGGGAAACATATTTGAAGGAATAATCAAGGAAAACTTCCCCAGCCTTGGTAGAGATCTAGACATCCAAATATAAGAAGTTCAAAGAATACCTGGGAAACTGATTGTAAAAAGATCATCACCTAGGCACATAGTCTTCAGGTTATATAAAGCCAACATGAAGAAAAAAATCTTAAGAGCTGTGAGGCAACAGCATCAGGTAACCTATAAATGAAAACCTATCAGATTAACAGCAGATTTCTCAACAGAAACCCTACAAACTAGAAGGGATTAGGGTCCTATTTTTAGCCTCCTTAAACAAAACAATTATCAGCCAAGAATTTTGTATCCAGCAAAACTAGGCTTCATAAATGAAAGAAAGATACAATCTTTTCCAGGCAAACAAATGCTGAGCAAATTCACCACTACCAAGTCAGTACTACAAGATCTGTTAAAGGGAGCTCTAAATCTTGGAACAAATCCTTAAAATACACCAAAATAGAATCTCCTTAAAGGATAAATCTCACAGGACCTACGTAACAATAACACCATGAAAATAAAACCAAGTATTCAGCAACAAATAGCATGATGAACAGAATACTGCCTCATATCTCAATATTAACATTGAATGTAAATGGCCTAAATGCTCTACTTAAAAGATAGAGAACGGCAGAGTGGATAAGAACTCACCAACCAAGTTTCTGCTCTCTTCAGGAGACTCGCCTTGCACATAAGGACTCACATACACTTAAGGTAAAGGGGTAGAAAAGATATTCCATGCAAATGGACACCAAAAACAAGCAAGAATAGCTTTTCTTATATCAGAAAAAACAAACTTTAAAGAAACAGCAGTTAAAAAAGACAAAGAGGGACATTATATAATGATAAAGGGACTAGTCCAACAAGAAAATATCACAATTTTAAATGTATATGTACCTAACGCTGGAGCTCCCAAGTTTATAAAACAATTACTACTATACTTAAGGAATGACATAGATGGCAACACAACAATAGTGGGGCACTTTAACACTCCACTGACAGCACTAGACAGGTTATCAAGACAGAAAGTCAACAAAGAAACAATAGACTTAAACTATACCGCAAAACAAATGGACTTAACAGATATTTATAGAACATTCTACCCAACAACTTCAGGATATACACTCTATTCATCAGCACATGGAGCATTCTCCCAATAGACCATACAATAGGCCACAAAACAAGTCTCAGTAAATTTAAGAAAATCGAAATTATAGCAAGTACTCTCTCAGACCACAGTGGAATAAAATTGGAAATCAACTCCAAAAGGAAACCTTAAAATCATGCAAATATATGGAAATTAAATAACCTGTTCCTGAATGATTGTTGTGTCAACAATGAAATTTTAAAAATTCTTTGAACTGAGTAATAGTGACGTGATCTATCAAAACCTCTGGGATACAGCAAAAGCAGTGCTAAGAGGAGAGTTCATAGCATTAAATGCCTACATCAAGAACTCTGAAAGAGCACAAATAGACAATCTAAGATCACACCTCATGGAACTGGAGAAACAAGAACAATCCAAACCCACAACCAGCAGAAGAAAAGAAATAACGAAGACCAAAGCAGAACTAAATGAAACAAACAAAAAACAATACAAAAGATAAAACAAAATGCTGGTTATTTGAAAAGATAAATAAAATTAATAGACCATTAGTGAGATTAACCAAGAAAAGAAGAGAGAAGATCCAAATAAGCTCAATTAGAAATGAAATGGGAGCTATTACCACTGATACCACAGCAATACAAAAGATCATTCAAGGATACTATGAACACCATTATGCTCATTTACTAGAAAACCTAGGAGATGAACAAATTCCTGGAAATATACAACCCTCCTAGGTTAAACCAGGAAGATATAGAGTCTCTGAATAGACCAATAACAAGTAGCAAGCTTGAAATGGTAATTTTTAAAAATGCCAACGAAGAAAAGTCCAAAACCAAATGGATTCACAGCTCAACTCTATCAGACATTCAAAGAAGAATTGGTGCCAATCCTACTGACATTATTCCAAAAAATAGAGAAAGGGGGAATCCTTCCTAACACATTCTGTGAAGCCAGTATCACCCTAATACCAAAACCAGGGAAAGATAACAAAAAAAGAAAACTATAGGCCAATATCCCTGATGAACATAGATGCAAAAATCCTCAACAAAATACTAGTGAACCAAAACCAAGAGCATAACAAAAGGATAATCCACCATGATCAAGTGGGTTTCATACCAGGATGCAGGGATGATTTAACATACGTAAGTCAATAAATGTAATACACCACTTAGAATTTAAAACAAAACTCACATGATGATCTCAATAGACACAGGAAAAGCATTTGACAAAATCCAGCATCCTTTTACGATTAAAACCTTCAGCAAAATTGGTGTATAAGGGACATACTTTAAGGTAATAAAAGCCATCTACAACAAGCCCACAGCCAACATTATACTGAAGGGGGAAAAGTTGAAAGCATTCCCCCTGAGAACTGGAACAAAACAAGGATGCCCACTTTCATCACTTCTATTCAACATAGTACTAGAAGTCCTAGCCAGAGCAATCAGACAAGAGAAACAAATAGTAAAATCAGTAAAGAGGAATGAAGTCAAAAACAATAAATGTCGGTGAGGCTGCAGAGAAAAGGGAATGTTTATACACTGTTAGTGGAAATGTTAATTAGTTCAGACACTGTGGAAAGCACTTTGTAGATTTCTCAAGGAACTCAAAACAGAACTACCATTTGACCTAGAAATCCTATTACTGGGTATATATCCAAAGGAAAACAAGTTGTTCTACCAAAAAGACAAATATACTTGCATATTCATCACAGTACTATTCACGATAGCAAAGACATGGAACCAACCCAGGTATTCATCAATGGTGGACTAAATAAAAAAATGTGGTACATATATACCATGGAATACTATGAAGCCATAAAAAGAATGAAATCATGTCCCTTGCAGGAATATGAATGCAGCTGGAGGTCATTATCCTAAGTGAACTAACTCAGGAAAAGAAAACCAAATACCACATGTTCTCACTTATAAGTGAGAGCTAAACATTGGGTAGTCAAGGACTTATGTGGCAATAATGGACACTGGGAACTGTTAAAGAAGGGAGGGAGGGAGGAGGCAACAGTTGAAAAACTGTTAGGTACTATGCTCAGTACCTGGGTGATGGGATAATTCATACCCCAAACCTCAGCATTATGCAATATGCCCAGGTAACACATTTGCACATGTACCCCCTGAATCTAAAACAAAAGTTAAAAAAGAAAAAATGTTAAATCTAAACATTCAATTCTTTTTTCTCTCTTTTTTATCCTACCCATTATATAGGATATTTGGCCTCATAAATCTATCCAGTCTCTGATCCTGTTCATTTTTCCCCAAAATTTGTTTTGCCTTCACTCTTACCTCTTCAGGATGAGCTGCGTGGTTTATAGTTCTCTTACCAATTTGCCTGTCTTTACCACAAGGTCCTTCCTTCCCACTCTTCCACCAAAGCTTCAATGTTGAATCAATCTAACCATCCACCATGTGTACATCCTGTTTATTATTCAATGCACTGTAATCTAGATTCCATTCCCACCTTTTATTTGCATTGCTCCTAGTCATGTCACCGAAATCCTCATTATTACTAAATCCAATGAATGGTTTCAGCACTTAACCTTGGCTCTACATTTTTATATTCTCCTTCTCCATCTCTGGTTGTTATTTGATGTCTTTTGGGGGCTTTATTTCTCTGCTACTATCTTAATTGTCAATGTTCCCTGTGGTCTGTCCTCAGCAACTATTCCCTTCCCTTTCCTTGCTTTTCTCCCTTCTCCTTTCCTCTTCTCTCCTCCCTTTCTCTCCCCTCCTTCTTCTTTTTCCTCAGCTTTTACTAACCTCATTTGTTTTCAGGCAATCTCATCCTCCTCTATGTTGACAGTCCATGAATTTCTATCTCTATCCAAAATATATCCACCTGCCTACTAAATTTGTCTCATGGATGACCTATAGGTACCTCATACTCTATGCAATACAACTTCTCAAATCTTTTTCTTCTATATTGCCTTCAGTGAATAGCACAACCATACACTCAGCTGTCCAAGCCATAAATTTAGAGAGGTTTTCAACTCCTTTGTTCTCCTTATTTTCTACATTCTTATCAAAATCAACTCACATCAAAATTACTATATCCATTAGATTCTGACTACGGAGACTTAAATCAATATAGTTCTAACATCATGGTCACTCTCTTATACACACTTTCATAATCTCTTACCTAAATGACTGTCATCTTCTCCTAATGAGTCTCTTTGCTTCTGGTCTTGCATTCCACTACCCCATGCCTGCTCTGCCAACATGTCCTCTGCCCACTGCAAACACATGCTCATTATCCACTCCTGAACTATACCAACTGTGTTTAGTATGATTGTCAATCTGCTGATCAAGTCCTTCCATGGCTCTTTCTTTCCTTTTGAGTAATATGCAAATTCTTCAATATGGCTTCTAAGGTCCTGCATGATTTATTCCTTCTAGTTTCTCTGGACTCATCCTGAACCTCTTCCCCTGTTCAAGTGTACATTTTAGCCACTCTAATTTTTCTGACAATTGTTTCCTAAATTTGCCATCCTTTCTCTTCTGTAGGTCTTTTCCTATTCCTCTGTTTCTCTCCCTTTCACTGCTCTGCCTCTATGTTGTTGACATCACCTTCTACTTGTTTTGATTTTCTTGAGTTTCTGCTTACTTGTAACTTTCTACAAGCCTACTTGCTGTTCTGTGTGGGAAACGCATGAGGGGAGAAGAAAAGACACACACAAAATACCTTTAAGGGTAAACAAGCTTTATCCCACGTAAATGGCAATGCAGATATAACAAGCCAATGATATAATAAGCAAATTGATATAATAAGCAAGTTGCAATGGGAAGGGGATAAAGGAAAAGAGATATATATATATTTACACTCACCACCCCACATTGGATGGGGAGATGCATTTGGGGATGGCCATTAATTCCATTCACCATCTGGGATAATATTCCCTCCCCAGTAATCTAGATGCTTACAAACATCACTGGTTATGAATGTGCCAGACTCCCTGATGATGGTACCCTATCACAGTATTCTCCCCTGCCACCAGTACAATCCTGCTTCAGCAACAAATTAAAATATTAAGCTTACATGTAGAAAAAGCTCTTAATGATAGTAGCACTGGACTTATGTTATCAGATGAATTTGCTCAGCCGTGCACTGTTGTGTTGCAAAATCGAGAGGCATTAGATATGCTTACCACAGCCCAAGGAGGGGTTTGTGCCTTACTGCATACTAAATGTTATGTGTCTATCCCTGACAATTCTCACAATATTACTCTCCTTGCAAAGCTATCGTAGGTGTGGTTTTTATTAATTGCGTTTTTAATTCTCCTGTGCTTACCATGTATCTGTAATCTATCAACTGTGCCTTCCCCATGTATCTGTAAGGGTATTTTCCTACAACTGAGTATCAAATTGAGGCCCAATGTGGAGAAAAAGTTAAATATTAAATTTGAACTCAATTGAACGTGGACACAAACAATGGTCACCAAGTCCGGGAACAGGTTGTGTGAGCCCCTTGAGGCATTCATCCAGCACTGTTTCGGAGAAATCTCTATTTCAATCTATTCCTATACATTGGTTATTGAAAAACAATAGATAATTGCAAAAACAAGTTGATCTTTTTGTGTTCCTTGAGCCCAGTCGCAAAGGGCCCTCGTCACTGGGCCTCATGCAAAACAACTTCTTACAAAAAGAGCTAGGGTCCCAGACCCTAGCACCGAAGCTTCATGAAACCTCTCCTTGTCTGTGCACGGACAAGTGGCCGACTCTGGAGCCCAGGCTGTTTCTTCCCAGTCTGGTGGTGAATCCTCCACAGTCTGGTGAGTTTTGTATCTGACTCTGGAACCCAGGCTGTTGCTTTCCAGTCTGGTGGTGAATCCTCCGTAGTCTGGCGAGTGTAAATATATATATATATATTTATATATGGAATAAAGGAATGGTGTGTGTGTCTTTTCTTCTCCCCTCATAAGTTTCCCACACAGAACACTTGCTTGATGCCTTTAATTTGGGTTTGATGCCCCCCTTTGTGTTCCCACAGCACTCGGCTCTTACCTTCATTACAGTGTCTGATGTGGACGGTTTTGTCGATCTCATTCAATGGATTGGGAACTCTTTGGGGACAGAAAATTGTGTTTTCCCATGGACACAGAGATGGGAACATCACACACCAGGGCCTGTCAATGGGTGGGGGGGTTAGGGGAGGGATAGCATTAAGAGAAATACCTAATGTAGACGATGGGTAATGGGTGCAGCAAACCACCATGACATGTGTATACCTATATAACAAACCTGCACATTCTGCACATGTACCCCAGAACTTAGAGTATAATAAATTTTAAAAAAAGAAACTTGTGTTTTCTTTACTTACAGTGCCTCACAAAATTCTTGCCACATCATATTTATACAATATTCTTCTGAATGAGTAAATGAATGCACAAATTATTCAAAGAAATAATGAAAAAAGCAATCTCCTCCACTTAATTCTCCGTCTCTTTTATATTTTTGCCAACCTGAATGTAGCAGGTTTCTGAAGATTCTCACACTCATTTTTATGGTCAAAGAATACTTTTTGAGCCCTGAGTCTGTTCCAACTATTATTATGTGTCATCACTAACCAAAAATAAATCCTGCATGTATTCAGGTGTTTCCCATGAGGAAAATAAATCTCTAGTCCTTGAAAAGTGTTCTTAATCCTCAGGGACTAGTAACACCTCTCCTTCCAGTTCCAAATTGAATGTGGGAAGGAGGAAGTCTGTATAGGCCAGGAGCGGTGGCTCACGCCTATAATCCAGGCACTCTGGGAGGCTGAGGCGGGCAGATCACCTGAGCTCAGGAGTTTGAGACCACCCTGGGCAACATGGCAAAACCCCATTTCTACTAAAAATACAAAAAATTAGCTGGACGTGGTGGCACACACCTGTAATTCCAGTTACTTGGGAGGCTGAGGCATGAGAATCACTTGAACCCAGGAGGCAGAGGTTGCAGTGAGCTGAGATCATGCCACTGCACTCCAGCCTGGGCAACAGAACTGTCTCAAAACAAAAATAAAACAAAAACAAAACAAACAAACAAAAAACCCAAAAGAATTATTTAAAATATAGAGCTCACTAATATAAGGGAGGCAACATGGAAGAAAGCCTAGAATGAAACCAGGCTTTAGGTTTGAAGTTAATGTGTTTATGTTTGAATACTCATTTAACCATTTACTTTTGAGACATTGTCAAACTCAATAAATGGGAAAAATACTATCTACATCAAATATTATTGTGATGCTTAAAAAATCTTATAGATGTGAAAGTTCTTTATAAATAAAAAAAATCTGTACATAATAAAAGTTCTTATTTATATTCCCATAGGAGTTGACTGTCCTTGGTGTCCGGCAAAGGCACATTTCAACTGGGAATATTAAGGGAAATACAGTAATTAGCCCCTAACTGTGTCTCACCACAGACTTCTGGCACCAGTCCCCTGGGTTCCCATCCAGGCAGGTAAAGGGAGATACTCTTGCTGTAGCCTTGTGGCTGGTGAAAAACAAAGAATGTGCCTCTTCTCCACTTCAGGGTTGAGCTCATGACTTTTCTCACTGTTCCAGCTCTAAGACTTTTGGAGAGAAAATGAATGATTGGTTCATACCAAGGAGCTGACAATATTTGAATTTATCACTGAACTAGGTAAGACCAATGCTTACAGACTCCATTAAGCAGTTTGTGTGTGTGTGTGTGTGTGTGTGTGTGTGTGTTAATCATCTCCTCCAAAATCTTGCAGATGAGTACACATGTGCCAGGTGGTTTATATAATTTTTGTATTACATCAAATAATTTAGGGTGGACATCATTATTATTATTCTCTGGTGTTTGTACTTTCCTCTTTAGGAAAATGTTCTCTCACAGTTTTGCTGAATATCTGGCCTGCATCCCAGCTATGAGCACATTCTTCAAGGTTTAAAAAATAATAATAATCTGCATTTTTATAAATAGTTATAAACATACCTACATGCAATTTCCTATTATGTCCTTTAAAAATTATATCATAAGCTTTTAATGAATTTATTTTATTGACTACATATTCTTTTCAATAATGTGTACCATAGTTGCCTTAACCTTTCCCTTACTGATGGAATATAGGTATCAACAACAACACTGGCCAGGGTCTTATTTGTTTTTTTCCTGGGACCCCGAGAAATTTACTTTCTGGGAAGCTGCCTTCGTAAATCCAGTAACTGATTTCCTGGTTTCTCTATTCTCTTCTGATCATCTGATTAAAGACTGAAGCAATACATCTATGCAAAGGCTTTTAAGAAATTACAGATTCCACCTCTTTAATGACAGGTGCATATCCAGATGTCTTTTCCATCAATGCTCTGCTGGAGGCAATACGACATGATGATTAGCAGCATGAGTTTGAAATCAGACAAACACAGGATTGAATGACCTCCCCATCATTTTCATGATGTAGAATTTTAGGCAAATTATTTATACTCTGTAAACCCTACTTTCCAATTGGTTAGATGAGAATAATGCCATTTTGTGATCCTGTTAGGCTGATATGATATAAATTGCATCACAGCAGCTGGCCTATATTATTATTCACACAATAAATATGTGATTAATGAATGATTGCTATTCTAATTTTTATTATCAGTATTACTGACATCACCATCATGGCACAAATCTTGAAACTATAGATTTTTATTCATCCTTAAACTCTCCAATTTACTTCATGAAATTCTTGAGTGCTCTCAGGCAGCAAATATTGTCCTATTTGAAGATATATTTAATAAGGGCTTTTAATAGAGTGGGAAGAATATAGTCTTTGAAGCCAGATGGACCTGCTATCAATTCCCAGGCTCACAATATACTAGTGCTATAATACTGGGCAAGTTTCATCACTGAATCCCAGTGTTCTCCTCTCCAAAGTGAGGATCAGAATGCCTACATTGGCTGGGCACAGCGGTTCATGCCTGTAATCCCAGCACTTTGGGAGGCCAAGGTGGGTGGATCACTTGATGTCAGGAGTTCAAGGCCAGCCTGGCAATATGGTGAAACCCCCTCTCAACTAAAAATACAAAAATTGGCCTGGCATGCTAGTGGGCACCTGTAATCCCAGCTACTCGGGAGGCTGAGACAGGAGAATTGCTTGAACCCGGGAGGCAGAGGTTGCAGTGAGTCGAGATGGTTCCACTGCACTGCACTCCAGCCTGAGTGACAGAGACTCCACCTCAAAAAAAAAAAAAAAAACTTATGTGGGAACAGGTGAATATTATTTGAAAATCACCTGGTACAAATTAAGCACTACATCAGATTTCTTAACAATTCAACTATTTCTACAGCCCAGCCTTACAGCAGTCATTGCAGCCAAACTGGAAAGATAGTAAATTTGTTCTCAGTGTCTGCAGCCTCTGCTTTCATTCTGCCTGTAATCTCCAACCTTGTCTCCTCACTTTGTCTGAGAAAGCCAGTGCAT
Source organism: Homo sapiens (assembly GCF_000001405.40). Lineage (NCBI taxonomy): Eukaryota > Metazoa > Chordata > Mammalia > Primates > Hominidae > Homo > Homo sapiens. The sequence continues at coordinate 122,485,734 of NC_000009.12, read as the reverse complement.
TTGTTCTGCCATCCAAACCTGGATCCCCAAATAAATTGCTCTCAGCCATTCTATCTGAGTTAGAGTGTTGGCCATAGGGCTCTCTCTCCCAGGAAAACTTAACTTGAAACCTAATCTCTAGTTGGAAACTTAAAGCCCTTTTTCTCTTGCTAAAAGAATTTCAGATATCAGCAAGCTATTGAGGGTGATGTCTTGGGTAGGGACAGGAAAGGCTCAATGTTGTTCTGAAAATCACATCACACTACATGTTCACTTAGAAAACAAAACTAACCCAGATAATCTGAAGAATGGTGAGAAACTTAGAGACATGGTTCTATCACTCATTTTCTACAATCTATGAAGATGTGGGGGTCAAGTTTGGGTCCAAAGTGCTGGAGTCTGTGCGGAAAGCCTTTAGCCTCTAAGACTAAGTAACAAACTAGCTTTCACGTGTTTCTGGGATTAATAGTAAAGCATTCATAAATATTCTAATTCTGCTGAAATTCTAATTCAATATTACATGGAGCCAGTTGTCTACTTTGCTGTAGTTACTGAAAGTTACCATTTGGCATGAATTTTCACCTACTAGATTAAGTTGGCTCATGTTTACACTCTTCCTGTCACTCGGTGGGGAAGAGGAACCAGGACTGGTAGGACATGGTTGCCTTTTGAATCCAGTTGAGAAAGTGATGGTGGGGCTTCTGCACACTGTTTTTTGTGTTTTTGAAACATGGTCTCACTCTGTCACCCAGGCTGGAGTGCAGTGGCAGAATCTCAACTCACAGCCTCGACCTCCCGAGCTCAAGCGACCCTCCCACCTCAGCCTCCTGAGTAGCTGGGACCACAGGCGCATACCACCATTCCTGGCTAATTTTTTGTATTTTTGGTAGACACAGGGTCTCACCATGTTGTCCAGGCTGGTCTCAAACTACTGAGCTCAAGCAATCCACTCTCCTCAGCCTCCCAAAGTGTTAGGATTACAGGTGTGAGCCAACGCACCTAGTCCTACACTCTGTCTTCTTGTCCTACTTTTTTTTTCTTTTTCTCTTGTTGGATAGCTCATGACTAAGTAGGAATGAACAGCAGAAATTTTTGCCCCTTCTTTAAATGGGAGAGAATTTTCAGAGCATGGATTCTGTGCTTCATAATAGTGTCTTTATGTTAAGAACCTCTTTAGATTTGACTACCTGGCCTAAGAGGAGATTTGTTCTTTACCATAGGCCAATAGGATAATCTGCCCATTGGCTGTGTAGACTGGCCAAAGTAGTTCCATTAAATTTAATAGTAAAAATTATTCGCCAGGCGCAGTGGCTCACACCTGCAATCCCAGCACTTTGGGAGGCCGAGGCAGGCAGGTCACAAGGTCAAGAGATCGAGACCATCCTGGCCAACATGGTGAAACTCCGTCTCTACTAAAAATACAAAAATTAGCTCGGCATGGTGGTGCGTGCCTATTGTCCCAGCTACTTGGGAGGCTGAGGCAGGAGAATCTCTTGAACCCAGGAGGTGGAGGTTGCAGTGAGCCGAGATCGCACCACCGCACTCCAGCCTGGCGACAGAGCGAGACTTTGTCTCAAAAAAACAAACAAAAAACCCCCAAAAATAGTAAAAATTATTGTAACTGCTGGTGGGAAAACATAGAAATAAGAGAACCTTGGAAATTGATGGAGAAAAACAGAGGAAGGCACAATGGGCTCCTAATATTGATTACTTCATGAAGCCATGCTTTTTAAGATATATATATTACTGATATATACAGTGCATTCACCAAACTAATAACTCTTATTATAAATTGGGTTTACCTGAGACAAATTTTTCCTGTCTGACCTTTCTGCTAATGAACAAACCTAATTCTCTACACTCTACCTCACCCTTTTCAACTAATAACATTTTTTAGAGAATGTGACCTTAGAAGCATTTATTTTTTATTTAGAGAAATACCTTAATTACTTAGTTCAAAAATAAAGAGAAGTAAAACATATGACCTAATGTACTTATCATTCAGATTTAACAAACATCGACATGTTGTCACATTTGTTTCTGACCTTTAAAACAAACAACACAGAATGTTATCAGCACAGCCAAAGGTGCATCCCACATATCCCCTTTGCTTTCTCCTTTTCTAGGGTTAACCACTACAAAGAAATTTTTAATACCTTTTTAAATACTTTTTATACTTGTTTTTGTGCTTTTACTGCATATATGTGCCCATAAATAATATATAGTGTTGTTCCACGTTTTAATTGATATATTACACGAGCATAGTTTGCATGTTAACCCTAAATTAATTTTTAAATATCTATCTATGTAGACACATATGGCATACAGTTTATTCCTTTTTTATTGCAGGATAGAATTACATAAATAAATTAACTTCTGTTTATCTAGTTATTGGCTATTGAACAATTAATTGTTTCAGTTCTTCATTATTACAAAGCTCTAAATAATAATGTGGCCTTTTTCCTTCTGGAGAATTGTGAGCAATTTTTTACAGCATCTATGGAGAAATACATCAAGAGAAGTAAATCTTCAATTTTATGAGAAATATTTAACAGATAAGCCAATTTAAACTGTTCAAATAGATGAACGATTTAAATCGATGAACCTTTTTATTTATGCTTAATTGACACAATAATTGTATATACTTATGGGGTACAGTGTGATGTTTTGATACATATATACATTGTATAATAAGTTGTATATCCATCACCTCATTCATTTATCATTTCTTAGTGAAGAAAACATTCAAAATCCTCTCTTCTAGCTCTTTTGAAATATACAATGTTGTTAACAATATTTACCCTACTGTACAATAGAGCATGACAACTTATTTCTCTTATCTAACTGTAACTTTGTAGCTGTTGACCAATTTCTTCCCATCTCTCATCCTGCTCACCCTCCCAGGCTCTGGTAACCACTATTCTACTCTCTGCTTTTTTGAGATCAACTTATTTAGATTCCACATATGAGTGAGATCATGCAGTAGTTGTTTTTCTGTGCCAGAACTTATTTCACTTAACGTAATGTCCTCCAGGTTCATCCATGTTGCCACACTGACAGGATTATATTCCTTTTTATGGCTTAATAGTATTCCATTGTGTATATATACATTTTCTTTATCCATTTATCCACTGATGGACATTTATGTTGATTCTACATCTTGGCTATTGTGAATAGTGCTGCAATAAACATGCAGATATCTCTCCAAGTTACTGACTGTATTTCCTTTGAATATATACTCAGTAGTGAGATTGCTGGATCATATGGTAGTTCTATTTAATTTTTTGAGAAATCTCCATAGTGTTTTACAAAATGACTATATAATTTATATTCCCACCAACCATGTATAAGTCTTCCCCTTTTTCCACATCCAGGCCAGTATTTGGTATTTTTTTGTCTTTTTGATAATAACCATTCTATTTGGGGTGAGGTCACAGCTCATGGAGGTTTTAATTTGCATTTCCTTAATAATTAGTTATATAAGTGGTTTTCCATATACCTATTGGCCATTTGTATGTCTTCTTTTGAGAAATACGTATTCAGGTATTTTGCACATTTTAAAATTTATTGTTTTTGTTTGTTTGTTTTTGCTATTGGGTTGTTTCAGTTCCTTATATATTCTGGATATTAACCCCTTGTCAGACACACAGTTCGAAAATATTTTCTTTCATTCTGTAGGTTGTCTTTTCACTCAGTTGGTTGTTTCTTTTCCTGTGCAGAAGCTTTTTAGTTTGATATAATCTTATTTGTCTATTTTTGCTTTTGTTACCTGTGCTTTTGAGCTCTTGTCAAAAAAATCCTTGTCTAAATTAATGTCATGAAGCATTTCCCCTATGTTTTCTTCTAATAGTTTTACTGTTTTGGATCTTATATTTAAGTCCTTAATCCTCTTACAGTTTATTTTTATATATGATAAAGGATAGGGGTCTAGCTTCATTGTTCTGCATGTGCATATCCAGTTTTTCCATCACCATTTATTGAAGAGACTATCCTTCCCAATTTAACCATCTTATAGCAATGTATCAGAGTTCCTTTTCTTCGTATACTTGCCAATTCATGGTGTCTTCATGTATATTTTTAAAATTTCATCAGTGCTATCTTACCATTGTTTTAACTTTTATTTACTTTATCACTTTGAAAGTGGACCCCTCACATGCTTAATATGTTTATTGGCCATTCGGACTTCATTTTCTGTGAGTTTCTAGTTTGTATTTTTTGCCATATTTTAATTGAGCTTGTCTTTTCCTTATTGAGCTTTTGTCTTTTCTTTATTGATTTATAGGAGTTCTCTATGTGTCCGGAATACTAGTGTTTTGTTGATTTGTGGCAGTATATATTCTCCCATCTGTGGCTTTGTGGTGTTGGTGGTTGCTGTCGTAATGAAACTTCATTTTAATGTTATCAAACTTAAAGGAAGATTCATTTATCCTGTGTGCTTTGGGGATCTTGATTAAGAAATGCGCTTTACCATGAAAAACGAATGAGATCATGTCCTTTGCAGGGACATGGATGAAGCCAAAGTCCATTATGCTTAGCAAACTAACACAGGAAAAGAAAACCAAATACTGCATGTTCTCACTTGTAAGTGGGAGCTAAATGATGAGAACACATGGACACATAGAGGGGAATAACTCACACTAGGGCCTTTTAGAGGGTGGATGGGGCCGGGCGCAGTGGCTCACGCCTGTAATCCCAGCATTTTGGGAGGCCGAGGCGGGCAGATCACAAGGTCAAGAGATCAAGACCATCCTGGCCAACATGGTGAAACCCCGTCTCTATTAAAAAGTACAAAAATTAGCTGGGCGTAGTGGTGCACACCTGTAATCCCAGCTACTCGGGAGGCTGAGGCAGGAGAATCACTTGAACCCGGGAGGCAGAGGTTGCAGTGAGCCGGGATTGTGCCACTGCACTCCAGCCTGGTGACAGAGCAAGACTCCATCTCAACAAAAAATAAAAAATAAAATAAAATAAAAAATAGAGGGTGGATGGTGGGAGGAGGGAGAGATCAGGAAAAATAACGAATGGGTACTAAGCTTAATACCTGGGTGATGATGTATACATATGTAACAAACCTGCATGTTGTGCACATGTACCCTAGAACTTAAAGTATAATAATAAAAAAAAGAAGCAAATACATTTTCTTTCTAATAAAATTTGTTTTTAGATCCTTCAAAAGGATTCAACAGCCAAAAAAAAAAAAGAAATACCTGGGTGATGAAATAATCTGTACAACAAACCCCCATGACACAAGTTTACCTACGTAACAAACCTGCACTTATACCCTTGAACATAAAATACAAGTTAGAAAGAAATATGTTTTAACCTAAGGCCATAAACATAATCTATAAAGTTTTCTAATGATGTGAGGTAGGGATATAGTATTATTTTTCCTTTATTGATAGCCAACTTCCTCAGCACCACTTAATGAACAGTTCTTCCTTTTTACTACTTTATCACTGATTTATAATGCACTTTTGTCAATCTCATGGTCCTCATTATAAACATGTCTATTTCTAAGCTCTATATTTTTCTTCATTATTTTATTGGTTTATCCTTGCAAATATTTATTTGTTTTAATCACTTGCAAATATTTATTATTTGTAACAAGCTGTGATATGTTATAGTGAATCCCTGCCCTCTCTTTTTATTAAAAAAAAGAGTACTTTGATAAATATTGATGTGAGTTGAAAAATAAATCGCTTATAAGCTATTTCAGAGATGCTGAAAGAACAGAATTCCTGTTAAAATTACTTTTAGCTTTTAGATTGTATTTCTTTGAATGTGAGGCCATGTGGCAACTAAATAACATGGGGCCCCAGGATTGTTAGAGCAAAGCTGGTTCTTGAACTAAGCCCAGTAAAAGTTTTTTAATAAAGCTGTTATGATAAATTTAAATAGCTCTAACATTTTATTTGATCAACAAATTTATATAGAGTATGCATTAGTTGGTTATGATAGATTCTAGGTCTAATCTTTCAAGAAAAAGAGAAAGGAACATGGAAACATGAAAAAGAATAGACCAAAATAAGACATCCAGCTCATATCTTAACCTGAAGTATTATTTCCAAATATGTTGAGAAATTGTCTCGTCCTTCTGGTACTGGTATTTAGAATAGAGTAACAGCATCTGACAGCCTCGCTAATATCTGAATTTATTATGATGTGAAGTTTCCAAGTCTTTATGAATTTTTCGTAATTACACTATTAAATGTTTTAAAAGTGGTAGTGATTAAAGACTGAATTTAAGTTGTGTTTAATGCCTCATCAGTCAGTACCTTTGATATATTTCAAGATCAAGCAGGAATTTCTAATACAGCATCTGATGTCATATAGAAATGAGATACAAAACAATAAAACACAAAGGCCGAGAGACTGGAGGAGGAAATCCAAACTCATCAGCATTTTACTTACTCTGGCTTGACACAGTCAGTAAAATGCTTTGAAAGCCATCCTGGGGAAAAGACAAATTCTGAGTGGAACAATGAGATTTCAGTAGCATGGAGAAATTGATGAGATGGCTGAAATCCACTGAATGTGAAATCTCACTGAGCCAATGCTCCTTAGACATACTGTGAGAGGAATTCACCGCTGCGTCCCCAAGAGACATTGTCACATGTGTGGTTGAGCCTGGAGGAATATATATATGTTTTCGCGCTACACATTGATATTCAAACATAGAATTAAATATCTTACACTTATCTTAAACTTTAAAAAGATCAGAGCAATTAGGCTGGGTGCAGTGGCTCACACCTGTAACCCCAGCACTCTGGGAGGCTGAGGCGGGTGGATCATGAGGTCAGGAGTTCGAGACCAGCCTGACCAACATGGTGAAACTCCGTCTCTACTAAAAATAAAAAATTAGCTGGAAGAATCGCTTGAACCCAGGAGGCGGAGGTTACAGTGTGCCGAGATCTCACCACTGCACTCCAGCCTTGGCAACAGAGCGAGACTCTGTCTCAAACAAACAAACAAACAAAAAAAGATCAGAGCAATTATGTATGGATCTGAAACCATAAGAAAGATTTTCTATCTTGTTGCTTACTTCGTATTATGATTTATTTACCTGGACTTTCAACAGTACCACCCTCCCCACCTTCTAGAATAGTACATATATATCATGATAAAATATGTGGGTATGTCCTTTGAAAAATCACTCAAAATAACTTGTTTTGTTGTCTTTTGGAGTAATTGTTTACATGGAAGAGTTTTTTAATAAATAAAGTGTTATGTCTTAAAAAAAGATTAGGGGTCTATAAACAATGAATAAATTAGAAATAATCATGCACTGTGTAGACAAGCAGGGTATACAGAATTAAATAGGTCATTGCACACAAAATAAGGCAATGAGATTTCCAATGTCAAATAATTGCTTTGTTTCCACAGAAGAAACTATGGAGTCAAGATACTTCGGTCCAAATCCCAGCTTCTCCTCTTCCTATTGCTGTGACTATAAGACTGTCTGCCTTAGCTTTCACATCTAAAGAGTAGAAATAATAACAGTACCACCCAGCTCATATATTGAAGGCTATTGAATCACTTACAATACATCAGCTATTGGAACAGTGTATTAAAAAACATTTAGCAAACAACTTTTAGTACTATCATTTACAGAGACCAGATTCAGAAAGAAAGTAGCTATATCGACTAAACCTTCATTTCTTTTTCAGCACATTTGCAGCAAAATATGTGGCAAATGTAAGAAAATATGAAGACATTCTCTAAGTCAAAAGAACATCTCTATTATACTATGCCACAGTTATCATTTCTTATTCCAAGACATACCATTTTTTTCCTTCAAATTTCCCTAGTGCCCTCCAGCTGATATAAACATGAGCCCTGAGAACCAGAGCAGCGTGTCCGAGTTCCTCCTCCTGGGCCTCCCCATCCGGCCAGAGCAGCAGGCCGTGTTCTTCGCCCTGTTCCTGGGCATGTACCTGACCACGGTGCTGGGGAACCTGCTCATCATGCTGCTCATCCAGCTAGACTCTCACCTTCACACCCCCATGTACTTCTTCCTTAGCCACTTGGCCCTCACTGACATCTCCTTTTCATCTGTCACTGTCCCTAAGATGCTGATGAACATGCAGACTCAGCACCTAGCCGTCTTTTACAAGGGATGCATTTCACAGACATATTTTTTCATATTTTTTGCTGACTTAGACAGTTTCCTTATCACTTCAATGGCATATGACAGGTATGTGGCCATCTGTCATCCTCTACATTATGCCACCATCATGACTCAGAGCCAGTGTGTCATGCTGGTGGCTGGGTCCTGGGTCATCGCTTGTGCGTGTGCTCTTTTGCATACCCTCCTCCTGGCCCAGCTTTCCTTCTGTGCTGACCACATCATCCCTCACTACTTCTGTGACCTTGGTGCCCTGCTCAAGTTGTCCTGCTCAGACACCTCCCTCAATCAGTTAGCAATCTTTACAGCAGCATTGACAGCCATTATGCTTCCATTCCTGTGCATCCTGGTTTCTTATGGTCACATTGGGGTCACCATCCTCCAGATTCCCTCTACCAAGGGCATATGCAAAGCCTTGTCCACTTGTGGATCCCACCTCTCAGTGGTGACTATCTATTATCGGACAATTATTGGTCTCTATTTTCTTCCCCCATCCAGCAACACCAATGACAAGAACATAATTGCTTCAGTGATATACACAGCAGTCACTCCCATGTTGAACCCATTCATTTACAGTCTGAGAAATAAAGACATTAAGGGAGCCCTAAGAAAACTCTTGAGTAGGTCAGGCGCAGTGGCTCATGCCTGTAATCTCAACACTTTGGGAGGCTGAGGCAGACGGATCACCTGAGATCAGGAGTTCGAGACCAGCCTGGCCAACATGGCGAAACCCAGTCTCTACTAAAAATACAAAAAAATTAGCCGGGCATGGTGGTGCATGCCTATAGTCCCAGCTACTCGGGAGACTGAGGCAGAAGAATCACTTGAACCCAGGAGGCGGAGGTTGCAGTGAGCCAAGATCGTGCCACTGCACTCCAGCCTGGGTGACAGAGCAAGACTCTGTCAAAAAAAAGAAAAAAGAAAAAAAAATTATTGAGTAAAAAAAAACCATTATTCTAACTGATATTTACCTTTCTTTTAAAACATCCCATGTAATATTTTTCCTCAATAATACAGAAATACAAATTATTGAAAATATAGCTCACTTGTCTTTCTTCCACAGCTGTCACTCTGAAATGCTTTCCTGATATTATTATTGCATCTGTTTGAGGGAATAGTAAAATAGGATATGTTGTATAGGACTTTGTTTGCTCTTTTCTTGGGTAATGGAATTGGAAAATATTCTGAGCATGTTATGTCACTTTGGCTGGTATGAAAAGGAAGCCATCAGGGCTGACCTTTCCCAGATTTTAAATTTGTTATAAAATGTGTCTGGCCCTTCACACCTCTATTTCTTAGGAATTTTCCACTTTTGTGAAGATATGGCTCCTCTTTCGCCCAGGCACCAGATATCCAGGAAGCTGAAGCCCTTTCAGAAATTTTAAGAAAAACATATGACATTTCTCACTCCTTACATAATAATTAACACACTGCTGTCTTGTCCTTCCAGAATATAGCCCACACTTCCTTTCTCCCCAAACACATACAGATGTTCAGTGACAAAATAAATGTCACCTCAGTTCTCTCAGGGACTGATCTAAGAACTTAATATACCTTAAAATCATCTAACTTAATTCTGACAAAAACTCCAAAAGGTAAGTTTAAAAAACTCAGGCTCTAAAAGGGGAAGAATACCCCAAGATCATATAGTTCGTGAAAGGAAGACTTGAATCTTGGCATCTGATTCCAGAGTGACTCAGTGTAGCAAAGACTATAATAGTTTACATGGAACACTGTGTGGGTTTGAAGAGGAATAATTAGCTCAGTCTGATGGAAGAGGATATAAACAACTTCCCAAAGAAGGCGTTTCTTTACCTGAATCTTAACAGATGAGAACTATCCAGACACACAAGGTTTTATCTTGTTCTGATGATCACAGGAAGAGGGAGTAGTGTGTGTCAGGATGTTAAATTGGAAGTTTCAACTGAGGCACCAAGACCTGGGAGACAACAGATATTAAAGTGAATTGTGACACACAAAATGAAGATATTGATAGGAAATAATAATAATAATCAATATCGTAACACTTGAGCCTCTCAATCTAATGTGGATCTAAAAAGAGCTGAGAGCTGGAGGTAAGAGAGTGTCTTGTAAAGTTTTCTTTCAGAGAAAGCTGCATAGTGAACCCCAAATCCTCCTAACAGGGAGAGGGTTGTTTTTCTCCTTATCTCAAGCTTAATGGAAGAAGCTTCAATAGAACCACTTAGCAAGTTTCATATATATCCCCTGCTTTTGTGAGAGAAAGAGCAATAGAAAAGAAGAAATGTGGCGGGAGAGAGATAAAGACAATGATGAAATTATGTTTAGGGAATGCTTTCACTTCTTTTCATGGTGAGGCAATAAAATAACTGGGGATCCCAGTACCTGGTAGTGGACAGTGAGCCAGGAAGACCCCACCGTGGTGCTGTCCCCATGCCTAACCCTGCCCCTGGCCTCGCCCTCTAGCCCCTATCTCCTAGCGAGGCCCTGCCCCAACCTTCCCTGCCAAGCTGGATGGAGGAGGGTGTAGCCCAGGCTGCTCCTTGTCTGCCTGTTGTCCTGCCAAGTATTCACCTAGGAAAAAAAAAATTAGAGAAATGTCCAAATATGTTGAGTTTATTCAGGAATGAGAAATGAAAATTATAACCCAGGGTGCACAAAATGACAAGCCACCAGTGCATCTGGTGAGGGCAGGGTAAAGGGAAGCTCTCATTGGCAAGAAGGAAGAGGTTCGTGTCAGCTGCTTAGACACGGAGTCCACTGGCTCCAGAGGCTCAAAGCTAAAGTTGTCATCAGTTCATTGGTAGAGATGCTGTTACTGTGCAAATGACCATTTGAGAGCATGTTATCTGAATTACTGCAGTCCTGAAGAATGTCTAGTGATAAACCTTGCCATAGAAGCATATGTATATGTGTGAAACCTGCAAGCTGTACAAAGCAGATGAGTGAAAGATACAAAGAGATGTCTTCTGGAGCTCTTAGAAACTTCTTGGAAATAGTTCTTATCTCAGACACGTAAGCATGAGCCCCCTCTCCTTCATGCCTTCCCAGCCCTATTTTGTCTGGGTGTGACAAAAGTTATTTCATCCTGATACCTGCAACTTTCACATTTCCCTCTTTTGATAATGATTTTTCTCTAAAAATATCATTGATCAACTAGCCTGTAGCCAGGTTTGAATTGTCCTTTGGTGCTGGGATAGACCTGTTGTAGTTAGTTGATCTCATCCCACATCAGGCGGAAGTGATAAACAGCTGGAAGTCAGTCTCAAGACCCTTTTAGCCACATTTGAGCAAGAAGGAGGCCAGAAGGAGAAGCTCTTAGGCTTATCTCATCTGGATTTCATCATTAAATTTAATTTTGTCTGTTCCATAGGCATTGACTATCATCTCAAATTGCTGGGCCAACATTATTTTGTCAGGAGTTGTATTTCTGCAAAGATTTAACAGACAACAAGTATACAGTTTAAAAAGGAAAATACAGAGCAAAAATAGCCATAATATGACGAGTCCAGTTTGCATGATGCTTTTGAGCCATGAACAAAGGCAACCAACTAAATAGATAAAATGACCCCAGAGAAATGGGTGAGACTTGTAGCCAGATAGACTTGTTCTTTTAGTTTATGTAACTGAGTTTCAACTTACCTGGAGGAGTTAACCTGGGTACAACATGCAGTATTAGCAATCGCACAGATACCATCTTGCTCGGCTAATAGATAATCAAGAGCAATTCTGTCAACACTACCCTGGCAAGAGAAGCCAATGAATGCTATTGTATACTTGCAGTGAAGTCTGCAAGAATTCCTAGGGTAGCAAATAAATCTTTTACCATTTCTTCATTAGTGGCTATATCATACCATTATACAAAAGATCTGACAAAGGAAGCAATCCAGAGTCCCATGCCCACCTGGTAACTCATGTTTAACCCTTTGATATAGTAAGACGGGACTAGTCCAATGACAGTCCCGTGACCAGTTTCAGATCTATTATGCATTGACAACAGAGAAACAAAACATCCCAACACACATTAGCCTCCTGTTGTCCAAGTGTCTAAATATCTGGAGGCCCATATTGACATATCCCACCCACAAAAGTAAATATATCCAATAGGAAAACAAAGAATTCTTCCATCTGTAAATTTTCTGTGTCTGGCAGGATTAAACCAGGGGTCAGTTATATTACTATAAACTGCTAATGGCCCTTCCTCTTAAAATCAGTCCCAACAAGTTTTCTTACATATGGTAAAGAGACCCAAGGAATACTTTTAGAGAGATGATCCATTGCACGTCTCTAGGGCCCTACTAGGAGATCATTGTTTTGAGTAGATGAGACAGGAGACAGGAATAGAAGGTGAATGAGAAAGCTTAACCTTATAGGATGGTCCCATGATACACTTTGTACAGAGGGTTGGAGCTGAGATGTTTGTTACAGATTGTACTAAATTTGTTACAGATTGTACTAAAAGAAAACTAGAGTCATTAACAGGTCAGGATTTTTTATGACAGATCCAACAATCAGTAAGTTTTCCCCTGTACCAACAGACTGGGAAATGTGGACAGGAATATCGTCTTCCAGGGAAAAGAAATGGATAAGATAAAGTAAGAATTAGAAATAAGGAAAGGGTATATAGAAGTCATCCAAACATCTTGGGAGAAACAGATGCCACCTGCTTCAAATCTTAGAAATTTTTAGTTTTATAAACTAAGTTCAGTTCTTAGAAATTTTTAGTATTAATTCGTTGACAGGAGTGCAGATCCACTCAGGAGCTGATGTTTTCCTTAGATAAGATACATATATCCAAGAATCAATTCCTTTAAGGTTGGCAGCACAAAGGTTGGTTAACAGGACTGGAAATGGGCCTCTCAATGAGGTCAGAGGGAGTCTTTTTTTAAATGTCTTTTCAAATAGACAAAATCTCCTGATTGCAGATTATGGTGTTTTAGGTCTTCATCTCCTGGGAATGCACTGTGGAAAGATTGTTCTACCAGAGCATACTTTTTATCCATAGCCTTGATTATACCTTTATAATATTGAAGCATTTCACCTTTTATGAACTTTGGGTCTTTGAAGTTGGGGCCAAATGCATGGGGTACCCAGTAATAACTACAAATTGTGAGATCTTATGTATTCCAAAGGGAGACCTTTTAGCTCTGAAGCACTATAGGCAGGGCTTTTGGCCACGGCAAGTATAAGGTTTCTACAAAATTTGCCAGTTGGGTCTTAAGAGTACTATTGGTGCATTTCAACTAGTCCAGAGGGCTGGAGATGATAAGCACAATTAAAGTGCTGTAAGATTGGCCAGATGGCCCACATTTGTATTATAACTTGTCCTGTAAAATTAATTCCTCAGTTGCTGGGAGCTCAAGAGAGATGGCCCTGGTATGAATTATCTTTTCTAAAAGGACTTTAACTACTGTTAATGTGGTGGCTCATCTTCAGGGGAATGCTTCAATCCAGGGGGAGAACATACAGATCAAGACTAACACACATTTGTATCCATGCAAAGGAGGGAGCTCGATAAAATCCAACTTTGAAAGGCCCATTAGGGAGGTTAAAATGTTCAGGGTTATGCACCCTGCGTTCCCAGGATTGGATTTAGGGAATGTAGGGCAGGGTAAAATAAGTATTTTTGGCTGCTTTATTGATGGTACCTGACCAGTATTGTTTTATAGAAGTAATTGTATTTTATGTAGCCCAGTGGCTTAAGTTATGTACAGTAGTAAACAATGGAAATTTCATGGAGTCTAGCAGGACAGGTTTGTTTATTTGGCCCAAACCCAAGTATATCTTTACCAGTGAATCAGCATCCACTATTCTCCAGCTTATTTTTTTGGCCTCAGATGCCCAATTCTGTGCTTCTTTAGTAATTGTTTCAGAATTATTTGGGGGGAATTTTCTAGCTGGGCCATGATAGAAATTTGATCAATAGGATCTTTTAAGGACAGCATTCTTTGCTGCATTATCCGCAAAGTGATTTTCTCTAGATTCCACAGTGTCTAATTTTGAATGGCCAGAGACTTTGATCATGGTTAGGGCATCAGGTAACTGTATAGCATCTAATAATTCTTACGCATAAGGGTCATTCTTTATTTTGTCTCCATTGGAAGTGAGGAACCTCTTTACTTCCAAACCATACCAAAATTATGAACAACTCCAAAGGCTTACTGTATTAGTTCATTTTCATGCTGCTGGTAAAGACACTCCTGAGACTGGGAAGAAAAAGAGGCTTAATTGGACTTACAATTCCACATGGCTGAGGGGGCCTCAGAATCACAGTGGGAGGTAAAAGGCATTTCTTATATGGCAGCAGCAAGAGAAGACGAGGAAGATGAAAAAACAGAAAACCCTTATAAAACCATTAGATCTCATGAGACTTATTCACTACCATGAGAACAGTATGGGGGAACTGCCCCCGTGATTCAAATTATTTCCCACTGGGTCCCTCTCACAACACATGGGAATTATTGGAGATACAATTCAAGTTGAGATTTGGGTGGGGACACAGAGCCAAACCATATCATTCCACCCCTGGCCCCTCCAAATCTCATGTCCTCACATTTCAAAACCAATCATGTCTTCCCTACAGTCCCCCAAAGTTTAACTCTTTTCAGCATTAACCCAAAAGTCCAAAGTGTCATCTGAGACAAGGCAAGTCCCTTCCTCCTATGAGCCTGTAAAATCAAAAGCAAGCTAGTTACTTCCTAGATACAATGGGGGTACAGGTATTGGGTAGATATAGCCATTCCAAATGGGGGAAATTGGCCAAAACAAAGGGGCTACAGGCCCCATGCAAGTCTGAAATCAAGCAGGGCAGTCAAATCTTAAAGCTGCAAGATGATCTCCTTTGACTCCAGGTCTCACATCCAGGTCATGCTGATGCAAGAGGTGGGTTCCCATAGTCTTGGGCAGCTCCACCCCTGTGGCTTTGCAGGGTACAGCCTCCCTCCCCGCTGCATTCATGGGCTGGCATTGAGTGTCCATGGCTTTTCCAGGCACCTGGTGAAAGCTGTGGGTGGCTCTACAATTCTGGGGTCTGGAGAACAGTGGCCCTCTTCTCACAGCTCCACTAGGCCAATGTCAAAGCCATTCAACCACAGTGCCCCAGTAGGGACTCTGTGTGGGGGTTCCAACCCCACATTTCCCTTGCACCCTGCCCTAGCAAAGGTTCTCCATGAGAGCCCCACCCCTGCAGCAAACTTCTGCCTGGGCATCCATGCATTTCCATACATCTGAAATCTAGGCAGAGGTTCCCAACCTCAATTCTTGACTTCTGTGCACCCACAGGCTCAACACCACATGGAAGCTGCCAAGGCTTGAAGCTTGCACCATCTGAAGCCATGGCCTGAGCTCTATGTTGGCCCCTTTCAGCTACAGTGGGAGTGGCTGGGACACAGGGCACCAAGTCTCTATACTGCACACAGCATGGGGACCCTGGGCCCTGCCCACAAAACCATTTTTCCCTCCTAGACCTCCAGGTCTGTTATGACAGAGGCTGCCACAAAGGTCTCTGACATGCCCTGGAGACACTTCCCCCATTGTCTTGGAGATTAACATTCAGCTCCTCATTATTTATGCAAGTATCTGCAGCCAGCTTGAATTTCTCCTCAGAAAATAAGATTTTCTATCCTATGACATTGTCCGGCTGCAAATTTTTCCAAACTTTTATGCTCTGCTTCCTTTTTAAAACTGAATGCCTTTAGAAGCACCCCAGTCACCTCTTGAGTGCTTTGCTGCTTACAAATTTCTTCTGCCAGGTACCCTAAATCATCTCTCTCAAATTCAAAGCTCCACGGATCTCTAGGGCAGAGGCAAAATGCTGCCAGTCTCTTTGCTAAAACATAACAAGAGTCAACTTTGCTCCAGTTCCCAAAAAGTTACTCATCTCCATCTGAGACCACCTCAGCCTGGATTTCATTGTCCATATCATTAACAATACATTTGTCAAAGCCATTCAACAAGTCTCTAGGGAGTTCCAAACTTTCCCACATTTTCCTGTCTTCTTCTGAGCCCTCCAAACTGTTCTAACTTCTGCCTGTTACCCAGTTCTAAAGTCGCTTCCACATTTTCGGGTATCTTTTCAGCAGTGCCCCACTTCCAGTACCAATGTACTGTATTAGTCCATTTTCATGCAGCTGATAAACATATACCCAAGACTCGGAAGAAAAAGAAGTTTAATTACACTTACAGTTCCCCATGACTGGGGAGGCCTCAGAATCATAGTGGGAGGTGAAAGGCACTTCTTACATGGTGGTGGCAAGAGAAAATGAGGAAGACGCAAAAGTAGAAACCCCTGATAAAACGACAGATCTCATGAGACTTACTCACTACCATGAGAACGGTATGGGGGAAACTGCTCCCCATGATTCAAATTATCTACCACTGGGTCCCTCCCACAACACATGGGAATTATGGAACTACAATTCAAGATGAGATTTGGGTGGGGACACAGAGCCAAGCCATATCACTTACCTGCTGCTTACATAAACATTGTCTTTCCTGTAGCAAGGAGTCAGGCTCAAGCGAGGGCAAACAGATCTGCCTGCTGGGCTGAAGTAGTTAATAGTAAATGAGCTGCTTTCACAATCTCAAAGGAAGTCACGACTGCACAGCCTGCACAATACTTGCCAGACTCATTCTTTAAATGTGAGCCATCTGTAAACCAGGACAACTCAGCATTGTCCACAGGAATTGCTCCCAAGGAATTAAAAGCTGGTCTGTCAGAGTTAAGCAGCCATGTGGTGTTTCATCTGATGGAGAGGTCCAGAGAGCCACAGGGTTAAGGTTATTGCAGCATGATTGAATAATATGATGAATAGTAAGTAGAAGAGGTTCATAGGAGGTTAGTCCGCTAGCAGAAAAATGCCAAGTGTGATGAGTGTGTAAAACGGCTTCCATGGCATGAGGAAAAAACACAGTCAGGGAGGAATCCCATGACTATCTCCTCAGTCGCCTTGACTAACAAGGATGCAGCGGGGACTGCTCTTAGGCAGAGAGGGAATCCACAGGAGATGGGATCCAGTTGTCAACTGTAGTATCCTGGAGGATGGTGTGGACCTCCATGCTTTTGGGTTAAGATCCCTGAAGTATTTTCTTCCTTTTCACAGACAAAGAGAAAAAAAAAAGAGTTTATGATTAGAATTACCTAGAACTGGAGAATTTATCAATTTCTCCTTTAGCTTTTTAAAAACTTACCCTTATGATTTTGTCCAAGTAATGGGGTCAGGTTTGGTAAATTTATGTAAAGCACATAGGAGTTGGGCCAGAAAAGAAAAGTTGGGAATTCAGTTTCAAAAGTAGCCAGTGAGTCCAAGAAACCCACTCACAAAGTTGGCATTTCTTTTGGGCTGAGGAAATTGTAAAATGCCTTGAATCTGTTCTGGTTCTAAATGTAATTCATTCTCTGAAATTAAATGGCTTTATTATTTCACCTGAGTTTTTACTCACTGCAGTTTTTCTTTACAGGCATTATGACCTTAAGCAGCCACTTGCTTTAATAGGTATACACTGTCTTTTTCACAGGCTGCCTGTGAAGGACAGCAAAGAAGGAAGTCATCTACATATTGTAGTAAACAAGAGCCTTGGAGAAAAATTACATCCTCTAAGTCTGCCTTTAACATTTGAGAAAATAGGAAAAACTTTCAGTAAACCCCTGAGGCATTAATGTCCAGGTGAACTGTTGGCCTTCCCAGGTGAAGGCAAGAAGATATTGGTTGGCTTGATCCCCTGGAATAATGAATAATGTAATACACAGATCAGTGATGGTGAAGAATCTGCTATCAATGGGTATTGGATTTAATACAGTATGGGGATTTGGAACCACTGGGTGCTTTGTAATAATACTATGGTTTATAACTCAGAGAGAGTTCCTGAACAAACCTCCTCCCATGGTTGTTTGGTCTTTTAGTAGGTAGGATCAGGGTACTCCAAAGACTGGTACAGAGAATAATGAGACTGTTTTTTATATTCTTTTATAATAAGTTTAATACCTTGCAGTGCCATCTGGTTTAGTGGCTGTTTAATATTAAGCAAGGGTTTTAATAGGTTAATCTGGATTTTAATAAGAGGTACACTATGAATTTTGAAAATATCAGTGAATGATTTTGCCTTTAAAGAGACAGGTATTTGATTCAGCACTAAATGAGTGACATTATTTTTGTTTTCTGAACAGGGAATGACATAACAAATGACAGAATTGGGGGAGTCTGTTGAGTGAGGACAGTTTAGTTTATCAAATTCTAAAATTATTTCCCCCTCTTGGGAAAAAGAAATTTTAGCATGGTATTTTTCAAAAAAATCACATCCAAGGTGGTGGAGCGGGGCAGAATTAACAAGCAAAAGGTGTGGGTGTCTTGGAGAGAAGACCAAGATGGAAAGAAATGGGCTGTGAAACAAAAGTAGTCAGTGGCTTTTTGGAAACTCACCATTTGTAATCTTTTTATTACTCTGAGGCAGGGGCTGACTGAGGCTAGGGGGATTAAGGATGAAAAATATTGCTGTGGCATCAATGAGCACAGTTAAGACCACACTCCCAGCCGGATGTGGTGGCTCATGCCTGTAATCCCAGCACTTTGGGAGGCCAAGGCAGGTGGCTTATGAGGTCTGGAGTTCGAGACCAGTTGTTTGAAGCCCAACAAGGTGAAACCCCGTCTCTACTAAAAATACAAAAAAATTAGCTGGGCATGGTCGTGGGCACCTGTAATCCCAGCTACTCAGGAGGCTGAGCCAGGAGAATCGCTTGAACCCAGGAGGCAGAGGTTGCTGTGTGCCGAGATCGCACCACTGCACTCCAGCCTGGGAGATAAGAGAGAAACTCTGTCCCCCGCCAAAAAAAAAACACTCCTAATTTGAAGGATCATTTCACTCAGAAAATTAAGTGGGAGAAGTGGGAAAATCCCCCATAAGTCCTTGGAGCCCCTTCACTGAAAGTGGTCTCAGATGGGAGAAGAGATGGGGGAGTTGGGAATGAAATTCCCCCTTTCTCTTGCAGCAATCTCTCTTCCAGCCATCTGGAACGTTGGCACAGCCCAGGGAGTCTCTGCCTAGTGTTATGTCTGGGAGCCTCAGTTTGCTGTAATTGTAACATTACGAATGTTAGTGGTTTTTAGTACTGTCCTCAGGGGTGCAGGCAAGGTGATTTGCCAGATTAACCAAATCAGAAGTGGACATAGTTTTCCATTCCATGTGTACTCTTTTGACAAGCTGAGAAAGTTCTTGAGAAAGGCCATTTGCAAACTTAGAATTACAGCCTACTTGAGTAGATTCGGCATCCATAGGTAATCCAGAATTTTCTACAAATACAACCCGGAGCCAACTGTAATAGTCGTAATCTGGTTCATTAGGTTTTGGGTACAGTCTTGGATTTTATTCATCTCAGGTTTCAGGAAAAGCCTCAAGAATAGCCTCATGAAGTTTTGTTGTTTTTGTTTGTTTGTCTGCTTGCTTGCTCACTGTGCTTCAGGCTCTGTCATAGTCTTTTGGGGTATTCTTGCCTAAAGCCCTCTCAGGGTCACATCAAGGAGCCTGGGCCATTCAATATTGGGCCTGGCCTTCACAAAAAGTATATGAACCAACTGGCACAGGTAAGAAAAACCTGGATGATAAGTCGAAATTATAATACTGTGTTAATTTTATCAGCAAATTTGAAAGGTCTCCATGACCTTTGGGAATTCTGCGGCAATGGCTTAAAGTTCAGCCTTGCTCCAAGGAACAAAAGAAATTTAGGATTTAGAGGAATCATCAGTGAATTTAACTTTCAAGGGACAGGTTTTAACAGGACCAGGTTCAGGGGTAGTGGGAGCTGAGGAATCCAGAGGGAAAGGTAATTCACTCAAAGAAGAAATAGAGAGAAGGAACAGGGGAAAGAGAAGAGGAGGTCTCCTCCAACGAGGAACAAGTCTGGGATCCTCAAGCCTTGTCCTTCCTTAACTATTTGTTTGTCTCAGTTAATTTTGACATGGTATCTCATAAGGAGGCAATTGTAGAATCCTGAATGTACTTAGAAGCTTTGAGATACCAATTAAAGTATGTTTCCCATTCAGATTGCTTAATATTAGGACCACAGTCTTCTAATTTTGTTCTAACAAAACAAGTTTGGGGAGCTCAAATGCCCCCCAGTATGACCATTGAGGATCCAAATTAGTTTGGGTGTGCTATAGCTATTGATTTAAAATTGTACACAAGACAAAGGACCATAATTTTTAAAACATAGAGCCTGCAGGGGTCCCAGGAGGATTATAATTACGTGCTTTAGGATTTTGGGATCCCATTCTGCTTATTAATCTCTTGAGAGCAAAAGAAAAGCCCGAAGAGCAGAGCCCTGTCAGGGAATGATAGGCGTTTGGACTGGTGTTTTGTTTTACAGTGTGCCTGGCACCGGATTTTTGTTTTACTTGGCAAGCAATCTGCACTCTCATTGCCTGTCCCATGAGCAAGTTTTCCCCAGACGCGCAAAATTTTTCTTGAGACTGGCAGGCCCCCTAGTGGTAATTTGGCTGTTTGTGCACTAGTTTATCCTGACAAGAGATTTTTTTTCTTCGGATACTGACATCCCTCATAGAATGGTGGCAATTGCCCTAATGGCTTTTAAACGGCCAACTCGTGCCTACCTTTTGAGAAAGTAAATTTTTCTTTCAAAAGATGTTTAGAAATAGAGGAAGAAAAGAATCAAGCAGCAAATGAAAGTATAAGCATACACAAACAAGTCAGAACAAAACTGAAACCAAAAGTGCACTTACCAGGACCAGAAAGACAAACTGTCTTTCTAAAAGAAATAACTTTCCAAAAAAGACAAAAAGTCTTATATAGTCCCAAAAAGGATGCAAGGCATCTTAACCCAATCAGATCCTGAATAAGTCAATAGGGAGCTGCTACCAAAGGGAGGGAACGCAATCTGAGAGATGATTTACCTGGGCAGAAGAAAGATGATCCATGGAAGCTTAGATTGCCAAGGGCTCAATTGTGGTTACCTACCCAGTTCCTCACCCAGTTCCAAGAGTCACCAATCTTTTCCAAAGGTACTCTCACTTCAAGTGTACTTCCAATAGAGGGAAAATGGCGGATAGGAGGCAAAACTAACTTGCAGCCCCCACTAGGTCGGACAGAGTGGCATGTGTAGACACACACCATGAACTTTTGCTCTAAGAACTGCCACAAGAACATACCAGGAAAGCTGAAAGAATCCACAGACCCTTTGAGGGAGGTGGATTGCTGCTGCAGGCTCTGTGGGACAACTGAGGAACTGTGAGTTTGCTTGCTTTCTCAGCTGAGAGGCTTGGAGCCTGCAGAACATTCTCAGCCCTGCTCACCGGCTACCTAGAAATAAACTCGCTGCTGCTGGCGGGCGGTGGGGGCGGGGGAGCACCTTGGGAGTGAGACCAGCCTTTCAGGCTGTGGGCTGCATGGGATCTGGGTGAGACCTGTGACTGCCGGCTTTCCCCCACTTCCCTAGTGACCTGTGTGACACAGCAGAAGCAACCATAATTCCCCTGGGAACATAACTCCATTGGCCTGGGAACCACACTCCCAGCCCCCACAGCAGCCACAGCAAGCCTCACCAAAGGCGAGCCTGAGCTCAGACATGCCTAACCCTGCCCCTACCTGATGGTCTTTCTCTAGCTGACCTGGTAGCCAAAGACAAAGGACATAATCCCTTGAGAGCCCTATGGCCCCACCCCCTGCCTAATCTTCCCTATACTGATGTGCTGATGTGCTAATGTAGCTCATGTGCTCTTGAAAGCGCCACCTCCTGGCTGGAGGTCCACACAAAACCAGCACACTTAACAAAAATACAACCAAGGACCCTCACAGAGTCCACTTCACTCCCCTGCTACCTCCATTGGAGCAGGTGCTGGTTATCTGTGGCGGAGAGACCTGAAGAGGGATCACATCACAGGATTCTGCAGACACTCCCCTATACCAGCCCAGAGCCCAGTAGCTTCACTGGGTGGCTAGATTGAGAAGAGAAACAACAGTCACTGCAGTTTGGCTCTCAGGAGGCTCTATCTCAGGGGGAAAGGAGAGAGCACCACATCAAGGGAGCAACCCTGTGGGACAAAGGAATCTGAACAGCAGCCCTTGAGTTCCAAACTTCCCTCTGACATAGTCTACCCAAATGAGAAGGAACCAGAAAAACAGTGCTGGCAATATGACAAAACAAGGTTCTTTAACACCCCCAAAAGATCACACTAGCTCACCAGCAATGGATCCAAACCAAGGTGAAATCTCTGAAGTGCCAGAAAAAGAATTCAGAAGATCAGCTATTAAGCCAATCAGGGAGGCACCAGAGAAAGATGCAGTCCAACTTAAAGAAATCAAAAAAAGATACAGGATATGAATGGAAAAATCTCTAGTGAAATAGATAGCATAAATAAAAAATAATCATAACTTCTGAAAATGAAGGACACACTTAAGAGAAATGCAAAATGCACTGGAAATTCTCAGCAATACAATCAAATAAGTAGAAGAAAGAAAATCAGAGCTCAAAGACAAGGGTTTTGAATAAACCCACTCCTACAAAGACAAAGAAAAAAGAATTTAAAAAATGAACAAAGCCTCCAAGAAGTTTGGGGTTATGTTAAATAGCCAAAGCTAAGAATAATTGGTGTTCCCAAGACAGAAGAGAAATCTAAAAGTTTGGAAAATATATTTGAGAGAATAATTGAGGAAAAATTCCCCAGCTTTGCTAGAGATCTAGACATCTAAATACAAGAAGCTCAAAGAACACTGGGAAATGCATTGCAAAAAGATCATTGCCTTGGTACATAGTCATGAAGTTATCTAAGGTCAAGATGAAGGAAAGAATCTTAAGAGCTGCGAGGCAAAAGCATCATGTAATCTATAAAGGAAAACCTATCAGACAAACAGAGCAGATTTCTCAGAAGAAACCCTACAAGCTAGAAGAGTTTGGGGTCCTATTTTTAGCCTCCATAAACAAAACAATTATCAGCCAAGAATTTTGTATCCAGTGAAACTAAGATTCATAAATGAAGGAAAAATACAGTCTTTTTCAAACAAACAAATGCTAAGAGAATTCACCACTACCAAGCCAACACTACAAGAACTACTAAAAGTAGCTCAAATCTTAAAACAAATTATAAAAATACACCAGAATAGAATCTCCTTAAAGCATAAATCTCACAGGACCTATTAAACAACAAAACAATGAAAAACAAAAACAAGGATTTCATGCAACAAATAGAATGATGAATAGAATAGCATCTCACATCTCAATACTAATGTTGAATGTAAATAGTCTAAATGTTCCACTTAAAAGATACAGAATGGCAGAACGGATAGGAATTCACCAGCCAAGTATCTTCTGTCTTCAAGAGACTCATCCGTCACATAAGGACTCACATACACTTAAGGTCAAGGGATGGAAAAAGCTATTCCATGCAAATGGACACCAAAAGCAAGCAAGAGTAGTTATTTTTATGTCAAATAAAACAAACTTTAAAGCAACAACAGTTAAAAAGGCAAAGAAGGACATTATATAATGATAAAAGGACTAATCCAACAGGAAATATGACAATTCCACATATATATGCACCTAACACTAGAGCTCCCAAATGTATAAAACAATTACTACTAGACCTAAGGAATTAGATAGATGGCAACACAGTAATAGTGGGGGAATTTAACACTCTACTGGCAGCACTAGACAGGTCATCAAGACAGAAAGTTAGCAAAAAAACAATGGACTTAAACTATACCCTAGAACAAATGGACTTAACACATATTTACAGAACATTCTACCCAATAACTGCAGAATATATATTCTATTCATCAGCATATGGAACATTCTCCAAGAAAGACCATATGATAGACCACAAAACAAGTCTCAGTAGATTTAAGAAAACTGAAATTATAACAAGTACTCTCTCAAACCACAGTGGAATAAAATTGGAAATCAACTCCAAAAGAAATCCTCAAAACCATGCAAATACATGGTAATTAAATAACCCACTCCTGAATGATCATTGGGTCAACAATGAAATCAAGGTGGAAATTTAAAAATTCTTTGAACTAAATGATAATATGACAAAATCTATCAAACCCTCAGGGAAACAGCAAAGCAGTGACAAAAGGAGCGTTTATAGCATTAAATGCCTACATCAGAAAGTCTAAAAGAGCACAAATAGGCAATCTAAGGTCACACCTCATGTAACTGGAGAAACAATAACAATCCAAACCCAAACCCAGCAGAAGAAAAGAAATAACCAAGATCAGAGCAGAACTAAATGAAATTGAAACAAAAAAAAATACAAAAGATAGGATAATAACATGATTATCTCAATAGATGTACAAAAAGCATTTGACAAAAATCTAGTATCCCTTTATGATTAAAACCTCAGCAAAATCAAAACACAAGGGACATACCTTAAGGTAATAAAAGTCATCTAAGACAAACCCACAACCAACATTACACGGAATGGGGCAAAGCTGAAAGCATTCCACCTGAGAACTGGAACAAAACAAGGATGCCCACTTTCACCACTTCTATTCAACATAGTACTGGAAGTCCTAGCCAGAGCAATCAGACAAGAGAAAGAAATAAAGGGCATCCAAATCAGTAAAGAGGAAGTCAAACTATCACTGTTTGCTGATGATATGATTGTATACCTAGAAAACCCTAAAGACCCATCAAAAAAGCTCCTAGAACTGGTAAATAAATTTAGCAAAGTTTCAGGATGGAAAATTAATGTACATAAATCAGTAGCCCTGTTATACACCAAGAGGGACCAGCTGAGAATCAAATCAAGAACTCAACCTCTTTTACAATAGCTGCAAAATAAACAAATTAATAAAATACTTAGGAATATACCTAAGCAAGGACGTGAAAGACCTCTACAATGAAAACTACAAAACCCTGCTGAAAGAAATCATAGATGGCACAAATAAATGGAAACACATCCCATGTTCATGAGAATCAATATTGTGAAAATGACCATACCGCCCAAAGCAATCTACAAATTCAATGCAATTTCCATTAAAATAACACCATCATTCTTTACAGAACTAAATAAAACAATCCTAAAATTCATATGGAACCAAAAAAAGAGCACACATAGCCAAAGCAAAGCTAAGCAAAAAGAACAAATCTGGAGGCATTACATTACCTGACTTCAAACTATACTATAAGGCCATAGTCACCAAAACAGTATGGTACTGGTATAAAAACAGGCATATAGACCAAGGAAACAATAGAGAACCCAGAAATAAAGCCAAATATTTACAGTCAACCAATCTTTCACAAAGGAAACAAAAACATAAAGTGAGGAAAGGACACCCTATTCAACAAATCATGCTGGGATCATTGGCAAGCCACATGTAGAAAAATGAAGCTAGATCCTCATCTCTCACCTTATACAAAAATCAACTCAAGATGAATCAAGGACGTGAACACATATATACATCGAGGACTTAAATACCCATATAATATGTATATATGTGTGTGTGTGTGTATATATATATACACACACACACACACATATACATACCATGGAATACTGCTCAGCCATAAAAAGGAATGAAATAATGGCATTTGCAGCAACTTGGATGGAATTGGAGATCATTATTCTAACTGAAGTAACTTGGGAATGGAAAACCAAACATCGTATGTTGTCACTCATAAGTGGGAGCTAAGTTATGAGGATGCAAAGGCATAAGAATAATATTAGGTTGGTGCAAAAATAAGTATGGGTTTTACCATTATTTGCCATTAAAAGCGTCTTTTAATGGCAAAACCCGCAATTATTTTTGCACCAATCTAATTCAATAGACTTTGGAGACTCAAGGGAAAGGGTGGGAGGGGTGGAAGGGAGCAAAGACCACACATTGACTACAATGTACACTGTTCAGGTAATAGATGCATCAAAATCTCAGAAATCACCATTAAAGAAAATATTCATGTAACAAAACACCACCAATTCCCCCAAAAACTTATTGAAATTTTTTTAAAGAGTACTGACATCTCTCTGACATTAAAGAAATGTCCAACTACATTGAGTTCATTCAGAAATGAGAAATGAGGATTACAACCAGCGGTGCATGAACTGGTGCATCCAAAGAGGGAAGCATAAAGGGAAGCTTTTATTGGTTAAAAAGGGAAAGATTCATCTAAGCTGCTTAGAAACAGAGTTCACTGGTTTCAGAGGATCAAAGCTAGAGTCATCACTGGTTCATTGGTGAATATGCCATTACTGGGCAAGTGTCCTTTCAAGAGCATCTTATCGGAATTATTGCAATTCTATAGAATGTCTAGTAATAAACCTTGTTGTAGAAACATATGTAAATTCCTCAAAAAACTAAAAACTGAAATGTCATATGATCTAGCAATCTTATTGCTAGGTATCTATCCAAAATAAAAGAAATCAGGATGACAAAAAGATGTCTATCCTCCCATGTTTATTGCAGCACCACTCACAGTAGCCAAAATATGGAATCAATCTAAGTGTCCATCAACAGACAAATGGATAAAGAAAATTTGGAACATCATTTAGCCATAAAAAAGAATGAAATTCTGTCATTTGCAGCAACATGAATGAGCCTGGAGGATATTGTGTTAAGTGAAATAATCCAGGCACAGAAAGACAAATATTGCATGTTCTCACTCATATGGAGAAGTTTGAAAATTTGACCTCATGGAGGTAGAGTAGAATAGTGCAAAGGGTAGGGAGGATGAAAAGAGACAGATAAATTAAAGCATGGTTAGAAATAAGAATGAAAAATGAGAAAAAGAGCATATGAAATGTTGGAACATATTCAAAAGACAAAAAATATATGTAATTGAAGTTCAGAAAGAGAAAAGAAAAAAAAAAGCAGTTTAGGAGTAATATTTCATGAGACAATGGCTGACAGTTTTCCAAAAACTGACAAAAGCAACACCCCCCATGATATGGTTTGGCTGTGTACCCACCCAAATCTCATTTTGAATTGTAGCTCCCATAATTCCTACATGTCATGGGTGGGACCCAGTGGGAGGTAACAGAATTGGGGTGGGGAGTCTTTCCCATGCTGTTCTCGTGATAGTGAATAAGTCTCACGAGATACGATGGTTTTATAAAGGGCAATTCCCCTGCACATGCTCTCTTGCCTGCTGCCACGTACAACGTGCCTTGGCTTCTCCTTTGCCTTCCACCACGATTGTGAAGCCTCCCCAGCTATGTGGAACTGTGAGTCAATTAAACCTTTTTTTCTTTATAAATTACCCAGTCTTAGGTATGTCTTATTAGCACTGTGAGAATTAATACACCCCATAAAAAACTTTTTGAACCCATCAAAATAAATATACAGAAAACTAGACTTTAGCACACCACAATTCAACTAGTAAAAACCAAAGACAAAGAAAAATCATTAAAGTAGTTAAAAGAAAAACAAATTCCTTTCAAACATTCATTCCTGACAACTGACACGTTTCAACATGAATCCAAAAGACAAGGGAATAACATTTTAAGAGAATAAAAACTGTAACTACAAATTGTGGACACTAAAAGCACTGAAAATATCCTTCCAAATAAAGACAAATGAAGACATTTATTCAACACACCTATCCTAAAACAAATATTAAAGAAATTTCATCAGACAAAGGGGAAAATGTCCCAGCAGAAACAAGATCTAAAAAAATATGAAGAAAAACAAAAATATTAAACACAGCAAAAAATGAATGCTGACTGCACAATTATGGTTATCTATTGTACAGTCTTAAGTATAAGAAAAATTAAAAATGTATGAAAACAACAAAAATTACAGGAAAGGGTTTAATAGAGATAGAGTATTTTGTGGTTTTACAATTCTTTTTAAAGGGGTAGATGTTAGAAGTTGCATTAGACTAATAAGTCGCAAACAAAAAATGTACCATTTACCTATAATATAAAATTTCTATTTGGTGTTTTTTTCTAATTCCCATCCCTTTATTAATATTCTGTTTGGTAATGCATTGTTCTCATAGTTTCCTCTAGTTCTTTGTCCATGATTTCCTTAGTTCTTTGCCCATATTTTTTAAAGTTGATTTAAAATCTTTCACTAGTAAGTCCAATATCTGGGCTTCTTTCAGGACAATTCCTGTTGATTTTTTTCCCATGAATGGGCCATAGTTTCTTGTTTGAGAACTTTTTTTTTTTGCACACCTCGTAATTTTTATTTAAAACTGAATATTTTTCATATTATAATGTGCTAACTCTAGAAATCAAATTCTCCTCCATTTCCAGGGTTTATTGTTGCTGCTCATTGTCGGTAGTAGTAGTTTCTTTGATTAGTGATTTTTCTTTTTTTAATTTTGTCTTATTTTAAGTTCCAGGATACATGTGCAGGTTTGTTACATAGGCAAACGTGTGCCATGGTGGTTTGTTGCACCTATCAATCAGCCCATCACCTAGGTATTAAGCCTCATGTACGTTAGCTGTTTATCTTGATGCTCTCCCTTCCCCTGCCCCTGCCCTGAGAGGCCCCAGTGTGTGTTATTCCCTCCCTGTGTCCATGTATTCTCTTTGTTCAGCTCCCACTTATAAGTAAGAACATGCGGTATTTGGTTTTCTGTTCCTGTGTTAGTTTGCTGAAGATTGGCTTCCAGCTCCACCCATGTCCCTGCAAAGGACATGATCTCATTCCTTTTTATGGCTGCATAGTATTTCATGGTGTATACTTACCACATTTTTGTTATTGAGTCTATCACTGATGAGCATTTGGGTTGATTACATGTCTTTGCTATTGTGAGTAGTGCTGCAATGAACATACACACGCATGTATCTTTATAACAGAACAATTTATATTCCTTTGGTTATACATCCAGTAATGGGATTGCTGATCCAAATGATATTTCTGGTTCTAGGTCTTTGAGGAATTGCCACACTGTCTTCCACAATGGTTGAACTAATTTACATTCCCAGCAACAATGTAAAGTGTTCCTATTTCTCCACAGCCTCATCAGCATCTGTTGTTTCTTGACTTTTTAATAATCACCATTCTGACTGGCATGAGATGGTATCTCATTGTGGTTTTGATTTGCATTTCTCTAATGATCACTGATGTTGGATTAGTGACTTTTCTAAACTACTTTTATAAAGACTGTATTCTTTCGTGTGTGTGTTCCCTAAAGGTTCTGTTAGCTTAATGGTCAGCTAGTGATTTAACCATGATTCTCCTAGCTTCCTGGATCCAAAAAGAAAAGAAAAGAAAATTAAAGAATAAGATAAGATAAAATAAGAAAAAGAGAAAAACTGTTCCCCTGTCTTGGCAGATTGTCTCTGTGTTAGGGCACTCCTTCCATAGTTAGCTAGGTAATTTACAGCTCTGCCTTATCCCTTCACTTACTGCTTACATGGATCCTAGAGATTAGCCAGAGCTAAAAGCATAGGATCTCTTCCAATCTTTCTAGGCACGTGTTTATTCCTGAGCGCGCACATAGCCCTCTAGAGCTTTGTTATATGCAAGAGCTTATTACAGCCATTATTCCCCATTCATCTCCATCCCCAGACTCTTCCTCCCTAGTCAAAACAATATTGAAAAATAAGAACAAATTTGGAGGATTTATACTTCCTGACTTCAAAATATACTACAAAACTGCCGTCATAAAAAAATGTGTGCTACTAGCATAAGGATAAATAACTAGATCAACTGAATGGAATTGAGAGTTCAGAAATAAACTCATATATGTATGGTCAATTGATTTTTAACCTGGGTGCTAAGACCATTCAATGGAGAAAGAATAGTCTCTTCAACAAATGGTTCTGGGGTGATTGGATAGACACATAGAAAGTAATAAAGTTGAGCCCTTACTTCATAGGATATACAAAACTCAAAATAAACTAAAAACCTAAATATAAGAGCTAAAAGTATAAAATTTTTACAAAAAAATGAATAAATCTTTATCACCTTGAATTTGTCCAAGTTTCATAGACATGACACCAAAAACACAAGCCACAAAAGAAAAAAATAAAGTGAACGTTATCAAAATTAAAATCTTTTTTATATCAAAAGACAATATTGTGAGAGTGAAAACACAATTCACAAAATGGAAGAAAATATTTGTAAACCATATGTCTGATAAGGATATCGATATCTTATCCAGAATATATAAAGAGCTCTTATAACTCAACAACAAAAGACGAAGGGAAAAAATGTTTTAATGGGTAAAGAACATGAATAGGCATCCCTCCAAAGAAAATATGTAAATGGCCAACAAGCACATAGAAGATGCTCAGTGTCATTTGTCATTATGGAAATGCAAGACACAATGACAATAAAATATCACTTCATACCCCTTATCATGGCTATCAACAAAATGATAAACAAATAGTTCAAAGAAATTAAAACACTCATACACTGTTATTGGGAATGTAAAATGGTATGGACAGTGTGGACAATAGTTTATTCCTCAATCAGTTAAACAAAGATACAAGATGACCTAGCAACTCTACCCCTAGATGTATACCTAAAACAATTGAAAATAGGTATTCAAACAAAAACTTGCATCCAAATGTTCGTACCAGCACTACTAACAATAGCCAAAAAGTGGAAACAACACAAATGTTCATCAATGGATGCATGTATAAACAAAATGTGGCATCTTCATATAATGAAATATTACTCAGCCATAAATAGGAATGAAGTACTAGTACAGGCTAAACATGAATGAACCTTGAAAACATTATGTAAAGTGAAAGAAGCCGGACATAAAAGGCTTGCCTTTTTTTGTGTTTCATTTGTATAAAATATCCAAAACTGACAACTTTATAGAGGCAGAAGCAGTTTAGTGTTTGCTGGAGGCAAATTTGTTTTATTTAAAAAGAAACCTAAAGTTAAAGATAAACAAATAAATAACTTGACTGTGCATATTCCTAAACAAATAATGAGATGGATAGTGACTTCATCTCATGACGGCTGACCATAGGTGATGCGTCCCTCCCCTGTGAGACATTCCCATCTTCGTTTGCCTTTCTAGCCCTATGCCTTCTACCTGGTAATGGACACAAGAAGCAGTTCTGGAAAGCTTAATCTGCTACATGCCTGTAGAGGGCAGGATAGCTGAACCAGAGATGTCTACCCAGAGAAGCCCAGTCTGGATCAAGACAGGTAATAAATGGAAAGAGATCATAAAATGGGAAATAATACCTGGAAAGGAAGGTGACTTTTTTTTTTTTAGATCGAGTCTCACTCTGTCACCCAGGCTGGAGTGCAGTGGCATGATCTCAGCTCGCTGCAACCTCAGCCTAGAAGGTTCAAGCAATTCTCATATCTCAGCTTCCTGAGTAGCTGGGACTACAGACAGATGCCACCGCACCTGACTAATTTTTTGTATTTTTAGTAGAGACAGGGTTTCACTATATTGCCAGGCTGGTCTCAAACTCCTGGCCTCAAATGATCCACCCACCTCGGCCTCCCAAAGTGCTGGGATTACAGGCGTGAGCCACTGCACCCGGCCACTGGGAGTTGTCATTTTTATCTCAGGAGCAGGAGAACAATATTCTTAGCTGTTTCTCTCATATGTGGTGCTGATCATAGCCCATACAAGGAAATACCCCAAGATTTATTTCCCCTTGATAAGGAGGATTGGACCGAAGCCACATGGCAACAATTACCTGAGACCTTATGTACGAGATTTGGAGAGAAGACCTCAGAGTTCTTTGATGACCTGCCTAAGCAACAGTAGGTTGGGATTACTGTTTTAGTCACATTTTGTTCTTATGTGTATCATGCTGATTCACTGTAGCACTAAGAGGATTCCTGCCTTTGAACCTCACTGAACATACTGTGACTGTCAGCTAACAGCTCTGCATCATGTTGTTGTAACCCAAGATGACACTCCATTGTTAAAGCAAATACCTGGGTATGAGGGAGACATCATTGCAGTTGTCTGCCTAGCATATTGGAGTCTAGTTTGCCCTTTTAACTACAGCATATGGTAATGTGTTTGGAAAACAATACAGGCAGGCATTCAAAAAATCACAATGATGTCTGAGAGGTGAATATTGACATGACCTGGTTGTCACATACCAATGATGATCTCACCCTGGAATTTCCAATACGATGATTATGGGAAGCCTTTGGGATACTTGAACTGAACAGCCCCTGGGAACTGAGTATGATAACCCTACAATCTCTTGAGGGACACAGTACTTTTTAGATGCATGTAGTGTACTTGAATTAGTCTTGTATCACAAGTACTCATGGCTGCAACACTTGTGATCACAGACCCAGCATTGGTCCAGAGTACTAAGAGGGACTTAGGAGGTTGGGAACTTGGTTAAGCATGGCAAGTGGAAATGACTTTTCTGGAGACTCATGCTTGTGGTCTAAATGGTCACTAGGGGGAGTTCTCTCCCAGGAAACTCACTGAACTTGCATTTGGCCCAGAAATATGATGAAGCAATGTGCTAGGCCATTCTTGCATGGCTGTAAAGGAATACCTGAGACTGGGTAATTTATAAAGAAAAGAGGTTTAATTGGCTCATGGTTCTGCACACTGCACAAGCATGACACCAGCATCTGCTCAGCTTCCAGGGAGGCCTCGGGGAGTTTTACTCATAGTGGAAGGCAAAGCTGGAGCAGGCAGGTCACATGAAAAGGGCAGGAGCAAGGCGGGGATACGGGCAGGTGCCACACCCATTTTTTTTTTTTTTTTTTTTTTTGAGACGAAGCTTTGCTCTTGTTGCCCAGTCTGGAGTGCAATGGCGTGATCTCGGCTCACTGCAACCTCTGCCTCCCGGGTTCAAGCAATTCTCCTGGCTCAGCCTCCTGAGTAGCTGGGATTACAGGCATGCGCCACCACACCCAGCTAATTTTGTATTTTTAGTAGAGATGGGGTTTCACCATGTTGGTCAGGCTGGTCTTGAACTCCTGACCTCAGGTGATCCGCCAGCTTCGGCCTCCCAAAGTGCTGAGATTACAGGCGTGAGCCACTGTGTCCAGCCACCATACAATTTTTAAACAACCAAATTCAGGAGAACACACCCCCATGACCCAAACACCTCCCATCAGGCCCCACCTCCAATCCCCATGGGATTTCATTTCAGCATGAGATTTGAGCAGGACAAATATCCAAACCATATCACAGTATTTGAATGGACTATGCATGTTACCCAACTCGCTCAGCATCTTGCTTGTCAATAACTCCGGACAAGAATCCATATGCTCACCAGGGAAGGAATAATTGCCATGTCAACAGCAACAGCACCTGATATATTTAAATAGCAGTTGTGCTGCAGGCTCAAGCAAGAGGAGGTATGTTTATGGGAACACTATGGCCAACCTAACCTATGGCATATGGCAAGATGACTGGTAAGCATGCCATTTACTGCTACTCCCTCAGAGCAACAGTGTCAAAAAGTTGAAAGGAGTTTTGACTCTGTGATACAATTGGTATTACCTTGGATGACCCAAAGTTGATCCTTAACCGGCTCAAACTCTACCAATTGTGGACAGATGGGCAGTGCTCCACAGTGATACCTGGAACCTGAGTTACTCTAATACTTATTCCTTGGGCTGGGCGCGGTGACTCACACCTGTAATCCCAGCACCTTGGGAGGCTGAGGCAGGTGGATCACAAGGTCAGGAAATCAAGACCATCCTGGCCAACACGGTGAAACCCTGTCTCTACTAAAAATACAAAAAATTAGCCGGGCGTGGTGGCAGGCACCTGTAGTCCCAGTTACTCGGGAGGCTGAGGCAGGAGAATGGCGTGAACCCGGGAGGCGGAGCTTGCAGTGAGCCAACACCGCACTACTGCACTCCAGCCTGGGCGACAGAGCGAGACTCCGTCTCAAAGAAAAAAAAAATTACTCCTTGGTGGGTGAAGTGTAATTATGCCCCCAGACCAGAGGGAACCTGGACTTTACTGAGCAATGACCTCCAGTAATTACACCAGTTATGGGAAATGTGTATGAGAAAATGGTATTTTTGCTGAGAAGGCTAGGAAATTGACATGATTATATTAATGTCCTGAACATTGTCTAATCTTTCTGCTACAGGTAATAAAGAATTTGTAGGCTACTTTATAAAAAATAAATGAAAATGGTTGCCAGAATAAAAAGGTATTTTGAGAAGTCAAACTAAAACTTCCAGTTGATGCAATACTCATGGAGATCTATTGGCCAAAGAAAGAAGTAAATTTAGCTTTTAAAAAGTGACATATGCAGCTCAACACCTCTGTTGAAGCCTGTAAAAATGCAGGTGAGGCCAGGCATGGTGGCTCACGCCTGTAATCCCAGCACTTTGGGAGGCCAAGGCTGGAGGATCACCTGAGGTTGGGAATTGGAGACCAGCCTGACCAACATGGAGAAACCCCATCTCTACTAAAAATACAAAATTAGCTGGGCTTGGTGGCGCATGCCTGTAATCCCAGCTACTCACGAGGCCGAGGCAGGAGAATCACTTGAACCCGGGTGGTGTAGGTTGCAGTGAGCTGAGATCGCGCCATTGCACTCCAGCCTGGGTAACAAGAGCGAAACTCCATCTCAAAATAATAATAATAATAATAATAATAATAATAATAATAATAATAATAATGCAGGTGATAGTGGAGAAAAAGGGAAGAGAGAAGATAGTCCAACTAAAAAAGATATATCAGAAATTTTTAAGTAAATATACTCATGGCTCAATGTGATTCTTGGGAAAGAATTCCAACTGCTCATTGAATAATATGGTCCTCATGGTTGCAGAGTTTTAAAATGTATTTTTGTGCATAAAATGTTATAGAAGTTACTACATTAAGGATCACTTTCTAAACTAGGTGATTTTGTCATTTGTGACAACATGGGTGAATCTAGGAGACATTATATTAAGTGAAATAAGCCAGGCACAGAAAAGCAGATACCACATGATCTCACTTATATGTGAAATCTAAAACAGTCAAATTCATAGAAGTAAAGAGTAGAACAGTGGTTAGCAGAGGAGGGGGATGGGGGAATGGACAGGGAAAAGCAAAACACTGCTTAAAGGGTACATAGTTTCCGTTCAACAGGAGGAC
Organism: Homo sapiens; assembly: GCF_000001405.40. Classification (NCBI taxonomy): domain Eukaryota; kingdom Metazoa; phylum Chordata; class Mammalia; order Primates; family Hominidae; genus Homo; species Homo sapiens. The sequence goes on along the minus strand of NC_000009.12, from coordinate 122,450,692 downwards.
TGGTTCCGGGATTTGTTGCACAGTATGATGACTATAGTGAACACCAACGTATTACAGATTTCAAAATGGCTGAAAGAGTAGATTTTAGATGTTCTCACCACAAAGAAATGATAAGCATTTGAGGTGATTATATGATAATTAGCTTGACTTGATCATTACATAATGTGTACGTGTGTAGAAACATCACATTATACCCTCACAAATATATATGTTTATTATTTGTCAATTACAATTAAATAAAACTTTTTAAAGATTTTTTTTTGAGACAGTGTCTTGCTCTGTCACCCAGGCTGGAGTGCAGAAGTGCAATCTTGGCTCACTGCAACCTCCACCTTCCAGGTTCAAGTGATTTGCGTGCCTCAGCCGCCCTAGTAGCTGGGACTACAGGTGTGCACCACCAAGCGCAGCTAATTTTTGTATTTTTAGTAGAGACGGAGTTTCGCCACGTTGCCTAGGCTGGTCTCAAACTCCTGGTGTCAAGTGATCTGCCCATCTCAGCCTCCCAAATTGCTGAGAATTACAGGCATGAGCCACCATGCACGGCCAAGAATTATTTTTTAAATGATAAGTAGATGAAATGTTAGATATGGTAATTAGCTTGATTTAACCTTTCTACAATGTATACATAGATCAAAACATCACATTGTACCACATAAATATATACAATTATTATTTGTCAATTAATATATATAATTATCTTTTAAATGCCCAAGGAACATATGGCAAAGAAGTATTGACAAAAGTCAGAGGTAAACTGGGAGGAAAGATTAACAGATGGAGTATAATCTTTTTTTCAGCCTCAAGAAAACCTGAGGACTTGACTCTCAGTTTTATTTCACGCAACAGTAATTCAAAGAATGTACAGCATACCCGATCTATGATAAACTAGGATCCGGCTATATAGTGAACCAGCATGCTGCACCTCTTTGTTGATTTGTTAACTAGTAACTGGATAACCAGCAATTGCTAGTAATTGACAAGAGGCAGCTGCACAGAAAAATGATAGATAGAAATACATCTCATAGGCCGGGCGCGGTGGCTCATGCCTGTAATCCCAGCACTTTGGAAGGCCGAGGCGGAAGGATCACGAGGTCAGGAGATCGAGACCATCCTGGCTAACATGGCGAAAACCTGTCTCTACTAAAAATACAAAAAATTAGCTGGGCATGGTGGTGGGCACCTGTAGTCCCAGCTACTCGGGAGGCTGAGGCAGGAGAATGGCGTGAACCCAGGAGGCAGAGCTTGCAGTAAGCCGAGATCGCACCACTGCACTCCAGCCTGGGCGACAGAGCGAGACTCTGTCTCAGAAAAAAATAAACTAAAATAAAGAAATACATCTCAGAGAGGGCTACATGACCATCAAGATGTAAAAGCCAAACAAGCCCCAGATCTGGTGCAATGCCCAAGCTGAGATAGTCTGGCTGTCTCTGTGACCATTCATATTCCAGTGTGAAATGATTGTAGATACAGGAAGATGAGCAGAGGATAAGCAAGGCCTCCACGGTGCTGTTGCAGTGCATAGTGTGGTGCCCATCATTTGTACTACTGTAAAGCTATATAAATTGTGGTGCTGGGTGAAGCCTGTTGTGTCTCATCAATCCCTACATAAGACCCCGCCTTCCCACTGATTTTGTATACTCACCTTGCAGAAACGTCATCTTGTTCTTACCCTACTTTTTTTTTTTACTTATTATCGCTTGTTTTTTTTTTTTTTTTTTGTAGACACGGCGTCTTGCTCTGTTGCCCAAGCTGGTCTCAAACTCCTGGGTGTATGGAAAAGAAAGAGAGGTCAGACTGTTACTGTGTCTATGTAGAAAGGAAGACATAAGAAACTCCATTTTGACTTGTACCCTGAAAAATTGTTTTGCCTTGAGATGCTGTTAATCTGTAACTTTGCCCCAACTTTGAGCTCACAGAAACATGTGTTGTATGGAATCAAGGTTTAAGGGATCTAGGGCTGTGCAGGATGTGCCTTGTTAACAGTATGTTTACAGGCAGTATGCTGGGTAAAAGTCATCACCATTCTCCATTCTCGAGTAACCAGGAGCACAATGCACTGCAGAAAGCCGCAGGGACCTCTGCCCAGGAAAGCCAGGTATTGTCCAAGGTTTCTCCCTACTGAGATAGCCTGGATATGGCCTCTTGGGATGGGAAAGACCTAACCATCCCCCAGCCTGACGCCCGTGAAGGGTCTGTGATGAGGAGGATTAGTAAAAGAGGAAGGCCTCTTGCAGTTGAGATAAGAGGAAGGCCTCCGTCTCCTGCCTGCCCCTGGGAACTGAATGTCTCAGTATAAAACCCGATTGTACATTTGTTCTATTCTGAGGTAGGAGAAAAACTGCCCTATGGTGGGAGGCAAGACGTGCTGGCAGCAATACTGCTCTGTTACTCTTTACTCCACTAAGATGTTTAGGTGGAGAAAAGCATAAATCTGGCCTACGTGTATATCCACGCATAGTACCTTCCCTTGAATTTATTTGTGACACAGATTCCTTTGCACATATGTTTTCTTGGTGACCTTCTCCCCACTATCACCCTGTTCTCCTGCCGCATTCCCCTTGCTGAGATAGTGAAAATAGTAATCAATAAATACTGAGGGAACTCAGAGACCGGTGCCAGTGCAAGTCCTCCGCAGGCTGAGTGCCAGTTCCCTAGGCCCACTGTTCTTTCTCTATACTTTGTCTCTGTGTCTTATTTCTTTTCTCAGTCTCTCATCCCACCTGACAAGAAATACCCACAGGTGTGCAGGGGCTGGCTCCCTTCATCGGGCTCAACCAATCCTCCCGCCTTGGTCTTCCAAAGTGCTGAGATTACAGATGTGAGCCACAGCACTCAGCCTCGACTATTTTTAATTTATTTTATCTTGTCTGTTGTATGTATCCTTCTAAACAACCCTATTGTTTTTAGAACAGGATGAGACAGAAAAAGAAAAGAAAGAGAAGGAAGGAAGAAAGGAAAGGAGAGAGCAAATAAGGAAAGGAAGGAGGAGCGGAGGAAAGAAACCCAGCCAGTCAAGCACTTGGCTTGTTTTTTTTTTCATGTGAATCTGGAGCATCTCAGAATGCAACTTCCAGGAATCCCAAAGTATAGATTAACAGAAAGTCTAGTGTCTCTCCTGAACAAGCCCTTGTCTCATTTGATACGTACAGAGATACTTGAGTATGCTTCCCAGTATCCATAGGGCCAGGATTTCATTTTCCCTCTTTGACCAAAAGACAGAGGTGCTCCATAGAAGACAGATGACTCCATGCCCAGTAACAGAGGCTACAAGAATTAAAGAAAGAAGAAAGAAACACAAAAAGTGGCTCAACAGTCAAAGAGAGGTTTATTTTGGAGAATAAACCTGAGAGGGGCTTCTGGCCAAGTTAGGTCAGAGGCATTCTCTCTTACAGACTGAGAGGTTTTAAGGGTTCAAGGCAGAAGAGCTTATCACGGGCTTGGAATGTTTGTCTGTCTTGCTTATCTGGGAGGGAGGGTTTTTGTGTCTGTTCCCACACATCTTCCTGCAGCTGCAGGCATACCCCCTGAGTCTGCTTTTAGCTTCCCTATCTTCGTGCACCTAAAGGGAAAGGAATGTACTTATTAGGACCCACTGTTTTACTGGGGCCCATTGTGAGTGTGAAGTTTGGTGGTTACCCAAGAGACTTTCCCCCTCTCTCTGTGCCCAAGCTGTCTTATCTGTGTTTTACCGTCTGCTCTTTCTGGCTGCTTATTGTTAGAAGATAAGTGATTTCCTTGAAATGCATGAGGTTAGAAAGGGAGCTGGAACTTAAAGTGGAGCTGTTTGTCCAAGATAACAGTACTCCTGCTCTGTCAGAGGCCAGTAACTGGAAGGAGCTGGAGGGCCACTATTGCAACTAAAACTGGAACAATTCTTAGAGTTTCCCCAATAGATAAATCATGTAAAACTATTCTTACTACATGCTGAAAATTCAGCACTTAAAGAGCCCCCGACATTGTCAATATCCCGAGAATCCAAAGAACCTGATAGAATTTGTAAACCAACATAACTCTAATCTACCTTCATCACTTGTCCCTGGACTAGCATAAATACACACACACACACACGCACACACACACAACCAAGCCACACTATTCCATTACCTGAAAACTATTGTCCCCCAATATTAAGCTATCCCATACCAAAAGACAAAATAGCATTTCACTTTTATAGACATCCCTCATATTCCAAAATACTCACTCCTGTTCCTCAACCTGAGTTACCTACAAATGGGGAAGCTGAGTCACACCTCTGAGATATGACCATGAAAGCTCTGGGAATATTCTCAGTACTAGGGAAGAGGCAATGACATGCTCCATCTCCTTGGGCTGTCCTTTGCTTGCTAAGCTTGGAAAAGGTTGACCAGGCATGATGGCTCACGCCTGTAATCCCAGCAATTTGGGAGACCAAGGCGGGTGGATCATTTGAGCCCAAAAGTTTGAGACCAGCCTAGGCAACATGGCAAAACCCTGTCTGTACCAAAAAAAAATGCAAAAATTAGCCAAGTGTGGTGGCACATGTCTGTAGTTACAGCTACTCAGGAGGCTGAGGTGAGAGGCTCACTTGAGTCCAGGAGGCAGAGGTTGCAGTGAGCGGAGATCACTTCACTGCACTCCAGCCTGGGTGACAGAGCCAGACTCTATCTCAGAGAAAAAAAAAAGAAACAAACAAAACAAAACAAAACAAATTGGAGAAGTCATAGAGCAGAGTTCCCTGAGGGAAGAGCTGGGAGAGAGACTACCCTGTTCCCTTGGAGCACAAAGGGCCCTAAGGAGGCCTGGCAAAGGAAGGTTAAAGCATTACAGTTGGGACAGGGTCTCCAGACCACACAGGTCCTCACTCAGTGGTTCTGGGTCACTCTGTCTGCTAGGATGGGAAGTTAGGATGGTGCTGGGGACCAGAGGTGGGGAATGAGTCAGGGATCTGAAGCAGTATCAGGAAAACCTATGACCACTGTCACTCTGCTTCCCTCTTCTTGTATCCTTGTTCTCCCCTAGGGAGTTAATGAGTGGGAAATGTCAGGTGGCTGGAGCCTTCAGCTGAAGTGTGGTTTCTGAATAAATTTGCAGACACAGTGTGGAAAAGGCTTCTGCTTCTGGACAGTGGAAATAAAACATCTGGACACAGGAGGCGCCATGACTAAATAGCCCCGTCTATCATGTATGCCTTCCTCACTGCCCTCCATGGGAGAATGGTGGGTTCCAAAATGTCCATGAGTCAAACATGGGCAAAAAATCACTCTGAGTGTTTTGATAAGACCCCAGTGAATCAGGAAAGGCTTATTCATGTGTTATTGTCCAAATGAACCCAATGAAATCAAGCACTATCCATGTGTACAGAAAGGAATGAGGGGTCACTATGACTAAACCTCTGATTTTTACATGTTTGGTTAATCTAAGTGCAGACCAGGCAGGCTTCCAAGATTTAGCTATGACTGGTTACTTTACTAAAATATTTTCTCTTCCTCATAGTATAAATACTAACATTTGGGGATGGGGATGTTGACCACCTGCTGGGCATTGTGCTTTAACATGCTTTTGTTCAGCAAATCTTCTCAACTTTGAGATAGGTACTCCCATTGTCCCCACTTCACAGATGGAGAAACCGTGTCACAGAGAGGTTAGGTGACTTGCCCTAGATCACTTGCCTGATAAGAGGCAGGACCATATACCTAAAAAGTGGACCAGCACCCATTCTCTTAACCTCCATGCACATGACCTCTATTACAGGCAAACCATTTACTCTTTTCATGGAGAAGCCAAGAAGTCCAGGTACCAGTCTTGACTAACAATAAAAATGTCAGGATAATTAAGGTTCTTCCTCCCATCATGCTCCAATTTCTCCCTTCTTTAAAATGATCCTAATGGATCTCTAGGAATTTCTCCAACTCAGAGTCCCTAGGAGTCTGTTTTAAAGTTGAAGCTGTAAGAGACCAAGAGGCACCTTCAAGGAGAGGGGTTCCCGCCATTCTGGTTGGTCTCTGTCCCATCTGTAGTGACTTAAATGGAATGCTGCTCTTTAGATAGTGGCTTGAGGTCTGTTGCATTTCTTCTTTACATCTGTTCATAATTATAAATGTCCATCTAAGCATTATTTCATCTCGAAAATATTTATCAAGGGACCATTGTGTCCCAGGCACCATGCCAGGTGGGATGGGGTAACAAGGAACCAGACACAGTTCTTGTATTCAGGCAGCTCACAGTCTAGTGGGGAAGACAGTGTTGTAAGTACTGATTTAGTTCCAGGTCGTGTGTGTGAGAGGGTTGCCTATCGTGGAGGAACATCAGGAAGGCTTCCAAAAGGATGCAATATCTAATCTGAGGCAAAGGGTGAGGACTAATCACCAGGGCTAACAGAGAGAGGGAACGGGCATTTTCAGGCAGATGGAATAGTAAGTCCCTAAGGCAAGAAGCAGCAAGAAATATTTTACAATGGGCACATGGAATGCAAGAAGTCAGGGAGAAAGGCAAAAGATGGAGCAGAGCCCAGCAGGAGCCCATCATGGGAAGGAGATTAGCTTTAAGTCTGCAGGCCATGGAGAAGCTTGTGCAGCACAAACATCACTGTTATGGCTGAATTGTGCCCCTTCCAAAAAAAATATGTTGGAGTCCTAACCCCTAGTACCTCAGAATGTGGCATTATTTGGAGATGGGCCCTTTAGAGAGATAATCAAGTTAAGATAAGGTCATGAGGGTGGGTCATAATCCAACACGACTGGTGTCCTTATAAAGAGGAGAAGTTTGAATACAGAAACAGAAACACATGTGCATAAAGGAAGGCAATATGAAGAGACACAGAGAGAAGACAGCTATCTACAAGCCAGAGAGAAAGGTTCAGAACAGATCCTTCCATCACAGCCCTCAGAAGGAACCAATCCTGACAACACCTCAATTTCGGACTTCCAGCCTCCAGAACTGTGAGACAATACAAATACACTTCTGTTGTTTAAGCCATTCTGTTTGTGGTACTTTGTTACTGCAGCCCTATCAAGATAATACAATGATGTATTCAAACTTGCATTTTATAAAAACTGATTTGCCTACAATGTAGAGAATGGATTGAAAGGGGGCCGTCATCTCTGCAAGGAGCCTGGTTTGGAGACAAGACATGATAAAGGTCTCCATAAGGGCAGGAAGAGCTGACATGGAGAGAGGTGAACAGACTGAGAGACGTGGGAGAGGCAGAATCTCCAGGATGTGACCATAGGTTGGGTGTGGAAAATCAGGACTCAAGGGCCATGTCCAGTCCATGTTTGTAGCTCAGATAAACCTGTGACCAGAACACAGACTAGTCAACCACCTCATCAGGAATCTTAGACACAAGTTCTATACAAATAGGCAAGTCAGGAATACACTGCATAGTCACTACTTTCAGCTTTACACCCAGTTATTCTGGCTTTTGCCAGGAGGTGCCCCTAGCTTCAATGCCAGGTGTGACTTCATTTTTTCAACAAATATTTAGTGGCCACCCACGATGTGCCAGACATAGTACTAAGCTCCAGGAATATAGTGGTGAGGTAAAGGAAACAAGATCCCTGTGTATTAGGTCAAGGAGATGACAAATGTTAATCATATTAATTAATGAGTAATTATAAATCATCATACGAGTTATAGAGGAAGGGAACAGAATTCTATGAGTGCATATAACAGGGTGCCTTATTCCAGAAAAGTGATGGCTGAGATGACATCCAAAGGACAACAGACAAGTAGGAGAAGCATCCTGGAAGAGGACATCATGAGCCAATGTAGGTAGCCAAATTTATCCTTTGATAAATGCTGATTAGCTCTTCTTCCCATGCCTACTTTCCCCAGGGGCTTCATCTTGCTTCTTCAATGTGCCAGGCTCCTGCCTACATTGGCTCATTCATGGTGTCCTCATCCTGGATGCTTCTTCTACTTGTCTATTGCCCTTTGAAAATCAGCTCAGTCATCACTTTTGGGAAGTCATCAATGGGCTTTGGAATTCCTGAAACAGAGTAGGGACTCAATCAATATTTACTAAATGAAGAGAGGATTTGTGTGGGGTTGAATAGTGTTCCCCAAAAATTTATGCCCACCTTAAACCTCAGAATGTGACCTTATTTGAAAATAGAGTCATCTACGCAGATGTAATCAAAAAGACAAGGCCATAGTGGATTAAAGTGGGCCTTAACCTGATGGCTGGTGTCCTTATAAGAAGAGAGAAATTTGGACACAGATTTGCAAAGGGGTGGAAACCAATGCCTCTAGAACACAGCCACATGAAGACAGAAGCAGAGACTGAAGTGTTGCATCTACCAGATGAGGAACAATAAAGATTGCCCACAACCACCAGAAGCTGGGAGAGAGGCATGAACAGACTCTCCCTCAGAGCCTCCAGGAGGAACCAACCCTGCTGACACCCTGATATTTGACTTCTAGCCTCTAGAACTGTGAGAGAACAAATCTCTATTGTTTTAATCTACCAGAGGCAATGGTATTTAGTCACAGCAGCCCCAGAAAACTAACACAGACTTTAATCTAAAAAGTTAGATGATTAAATATTGATTACTAAAAGATCACTGTAGTTGCAGTGCAGAGAATGGATGGAAGAGCAGGTTTCGAGAGGGGATATGGAAATGCCAAATACATCATTAAAATGAAACCACAATAATCTAGATGGGAAATGATGGCTTTTCCCAGAGTGTTGATGGAGGAAGTATAAAGAGTTACAAGATTCAAGAGAGTTAGGAGCTAAGATCATGAAGATCCTTGAAGAAACAAAGCCCATGCTGACAGATAATAGAATGGAAAAAAATTGAAAAACTGTTCTAATTTGAGCAACACCTGCTCCTCTCCCCACCATGTGCTTCTAACTCTAGCCACCCTGATTCCCACAGCCAAAAATCCCTTCCATTGTCCTCCGTGTTTTGCATAGCTCAGCCCCCTGCTGCTAGTTTCTCCTTTATCAGACACTTCACAGTCTCTCTAACATGTATCATGTGTGTTCCACTTCTGTGTCTCTACCCTGGCTTCCTTCCCTCCATTCCCCCAACAACACTTGGTACATCATTCTTCTTGAGCTTCCTTTTGGGGTCATTTGCCCTACAGGTATCTATATTTCCAACATCATTACCATCGATCTATCTGCCTATTTCCAGAAGCAGATCATCTTTTGTGTTGAAGTTTATTCTGAATGACTTTTGAAAATAGAACAAGACCCAATATGTGTAAGAATTGGGAGAGAAATTCCTGGCACATTGTAAGGAAAACACTCAAAAGTCAGAGTTGTTGAAAGGTGACGTCCACCACCCCTAGAAGAGGGTATGATAAAGACAGTTTATACATCGGGCAGCAGTTGAATAGAGGATATCAAAGGTCACTTACAACTCAGAAAAACTGTTTAATATTAAAGAGTTTCAGACTCCTTATTTTCAGAACTGAAAACAGTGATATTTTGTAACAAGGTGTATGTCCAAATCACACAAAATCTAGAAAATGTACCAGTTTTAGACATTGGTTATAATTTTATTGGGCCATAGAGCTTTCCACTGTAAATAAATGTCAGCCTCATTTGGCTCAGAAGATATCGATCCTGTGGTAAGAAATGAAAACTTGAGAATGTAGTAGAAAAATTGATATTGTAAGTGAACATCTAAAAGCAGGAAGACTAAATGTCACTGTTTGGCAGGAGTGCTTTATTTCTATTGGTGATCTTTCCTTCCACATGAAGAGAGTTTAATTAATGTAATACCCTTGCTTTTTTTCACCTCATTACTGTTTCTACTCCAGGAAGTACATTGGGAAGGCATATATTTGGCCTGTAATATGGTTTGGCTGTGTCCCACCCAAATTTCATATTGAACTATAGTTCCCATAATCCCCACATGTCATGGGAGGGACCCAGTGGGGGCTAATTGAATCATGGGGGAGGTTACCTCCATGCTGTTCTCATGATAGTGAGTGAGTTCTCACAAAATCTGATAGCTTTATAAGGGGCATTTCCTGCCCCCCGCCTTCACTCTGCACTTCTCCTTGCCCCCACCATGTGAAGAAGGAGACGTGTTTGCTTCCCCATCCACCATGATTATAAGATTCCTGAGGCCTCCCCAGCCATGCTAAACTGTGAGTCAATTAAACCTCTTTCTTTTATAAGTTACCCAGTCTTGGGGATGTTTTTATTAGCAGCATGAGAATGGACTAATAAAGCCTGTGTCAAAGCAAAAATTGCATCTGACAAGGTTCAACAGGCAAGGTAAACTTTATTCAAGGCTGTTGCAATACAGGAGAGAATCCAGAAGTCAATCTGACTTCAACTCCACGGAAACAAAGGGCAGGAGGGTTTTTCAGCACTAGGGTGAGCTAATGGAAAAGTACTGAAGAACATTAGGTAAAAGTCGTAGACCACCTGTGTTTGCTAATGGACTTTATCCAAAGGAAAAATAAACTTTTCATGCCTTTACAACAGGGGTTACTTTGCAATGTGGAGCAAGGCACCTGCTGAAGTTAGGTTCCTGCCTTCCCACAGAAGATTGGAGACAGGAGTGCTACCTCCTTGTGCTTACCTTCCAAAGAGATGGCTCCCAGGACCGTGAGAAAGACATTTTTAGTTTGTGAAACCGGCAAGAGGCTTTTTAAAAGGTTTCCATCTCAGTGGGATACAGAAAACTTTACAAGTTTTCTAAAGTAAATACTCTAAGAAAAAGGTCAAGGACCCAGAGTCAGGAAGAAGCCTGTCTGGAGTTTAGTCAAGCTGAGGGGAATGAAAAGCCATCCTGGTCACCTGCTTGACTCAGTCCTCACCTACAGGGATCAAGAATTCCTCTCTGCTTCTCTATGCACGGGAGTGAGGCAGCCAATTTTAGCCCTTTCAACTTCTACTTGATGCCACATCCTCCAGTGACATCTCTATCAGTAATAAAGGTGGCTTCCATCTACCATCCCTCTGTCCTATTCTCAGGCCTCCTCAGAGACCCCACAATCATGACTGGCCCCTACTTGTTACAGAGAGGTTCTTGCAAATGACTACTTGGAGAGAAGCATGCTTTCCCAAACCTATCTCAAGGGGGCTTTACAAAGCCCAGCTACCTACCTAGGCTGCAAACTTTCTAGCCCATGTATCAGAATCCTATTTCAATTCTAGAATACACATTTTGGTATGAGGTTTTAATAACATGAAATTTCTGCTCCTGTGTTCAGATATGTTTTGAAAATTCTAATGATTTTATTAGAAATTTTATTTTAATTTTATTTTGATCTCATTTAAATTTTTAATTTTTAAATTTTAAATGTAATTTTGAGTATACAACTTTAGTTAACCATTTACATTTTATTTAGATTTTATTGTGGAACTAGCATTCACCTTTATATAAAGCCGTGCCTTAAAAATTCCCTCAGAGACTTCCCTATACTTAGCCACTAATCCTTCCCACAGAACTGTAAAAACATGATTATAGATGGCTGAGCACAATGGGGCTATGAGGTATGAGGGCAGTTAAGGGGAAGTCCTCCTTCTGGGAGTCTTGGGAGCCTGTTTGACTCAGACGCTGAGGCATGGAAAGGCCTCTGTCTCAAGTTCGGGGATGAAGCGTCTTTGTCCATGTGGAGACAGATTCGCAGCCAGCCTGACAAGAATGCTGCTTGTACTGCACCCAGGCTAGTGCAGTGGCTCACACCTGCAATCTCAGCACTTTGAGAGGCTGAGGGTGGGTAGATCTCTTGAGTCCAGGAGTTTGAGACCAACTGGGCAACATAGTGAGACCCCATCTCTGATGGATAATAATGAGCGTCAACTTGATTGGATTGAAGGATGCAAAGCATTGATCCTGGGTGTGTCTGTGAGGGTGCTGCCAAAGGAGATTAACATTTGAGTCAGTGGGCTGGGAAAGGCAGACCCACCCTTAATCTGGGTGGCCACCATCTAATCAGCTGCCAGGGCATCTAGAATATAAAGCAGGCAAGTGAAAAGCCCAGTGAAAAAACTAGATTGGCCTGGCCTCCCAGCCCACATCTTTTTCCTGTGCTGGATGCTTCCTGTCCCCGAACATCAGACTCCAAGTTCTTCAGTTTTGGGACTCGGTTTGGCTCTTTGCTCCTCAGCTTGCAGACGGACTATTGTGGGACCCTGTGATCATGTGAGTTAGTACTTAATAAACTCCCCTTTATAGATGTGTATCTATCCTATTAGTTCTGTCTCTCTAGAGAACCCTGACTAATACACCACCTCTACAAAAAAAAAAAAAAAGAAAATTAGCCGAGCATGGGGGCATGCATCTGTTGTCCCAGCTACTCAGGAGGCTGAGATGGGGGAATTGCTTGAGCCAGGGAGATTGCAGCTGCAGCAAGCTGGGATTGCACCACTGCACTCCTGCCTGAATGACAGAGCAAGAGCCTGTCTCAAAAAAAAAAAGGAAAAAAATAATTCCTAGGAAAGTTTGGGTCTGTGCTGTACTTGTTAATTTCCATAGTATAACCACCCTTTCAGTATTCCTGAACCTTCAATAAAATATTATTAACAGGTATAGCTTTTTCTTTTTTTTTTTTTGAGACGGAGTCTCGCTCTGTCGCCCAGGCTGGAGTGCAGTGGCGGGATCTCGGCTCACTGCAAGCTCCGCCTCCCGGGTTCACGCCATTCTCCTGCCTCAGCCTCCCAAGTAGCTGGGACTACAGGCGCCCGCCACTACGCCCGGCTAATTTTTTGTATTTTTAGTAGAGACGGGGTTTCACCGTTTTAGCCGGGATGGTCTCGATCTGCTGACCTCGTGATCCGCCTGCCTCGGCCTCCCAAAGTGCTGGGATTACAGGCGTGAGCCACCGCGCCCGGCCTAGCTTTTTCTTTACTGGACTGTGGTCATGTAGGAGTTTCTGTGCTTGTACCTGAAATGAAATGAAGCAAGATATAACAGTACTTCCTTCCTTCTGGCCAGCCATGAAGGTGAAAGCTAAAGCCCTTGGCCTGGTCAGATATGTCAGAGTAGCAAATTCACAAGGGGATTTTGTTTCAAGAAATCATTCTGCATCCATTGACTATCCATATTTAATTTAATTTTAAAAATTGAATATGAATCTACCTTGCAACATTTAGGAAAAAATATTCCAAGTAATTATACATCTAAATGTGACGGACAAAATGACAAGGCTTCTAGAACAAAATATATGACTATCTTCATGACCTAGAGGTAAGTAGATATTTCTTAATTGGAACAGAAACACACCCATCATAAAATAATAGACTAATAAATTTGTCTACATTAAAATTAAAAACTTGTATTCAAAGTACATGATTATAAAGAGTGAAAAGGGAAGCCACAGGGTGAGACAACATATTTACAGCACATGTAACCAACAAAAGAGTCATCTTCAGAATATATAAAGAACTCCTACAAATCAACAGAAAAATGGATGGGAAATTTGGACAAGGAATTTTATATAAAAGAGAATATTCGAATGACCAGTAAATATTAAGAGGGGTTAAAGATACCACTAAACACCTACCAGAGTTTCTAAAATGAAAGACAAAAAATAAAAAGTCTAGTCAAGATTAAGGAGCAATAAAAACTCTTCTCCATTAGTAGCAAGAGTGTAAGTTGGTATCACTTTAAAACTGGCAGTATCTACTAATGTGAACATATGCATACTTTTTGATCCAGCAGTTTCACTCCTAGAAATACACCCAACAGATATGCATGTATATGTTCACTGTGAGCCATATATCAGAATATTTGTGGCAGCAGTGGTCATGATACCCAAAGTTGGAAACTATCAAAGTGCTCATCAACAATAGAATAGAAAAATAAATTATGATAAATTTACAAAATTAGATACTACGCAACAATGAGAATGACCAAACTACAGCTACACCCAAATATATTGATAAATTTTACGAACATAATGTTGTGCAAAAAACTCCAGACCTGAAAAAGTATTTTGATTCCATGTGTACAATGTACTAAACAGACAAGACTAATGTGTGGTGTTAGAAGTGAGCATAGTGGTTATGTCTCGGATAGGTAGTGCCTGAAACAGAGCATCACAGGGATTCCTAGGTGCTGGTAATGTTCTATTTTTTAATGGAGTGCTGGTTACATGGTGTTTTCATTGTCCTGGGAAAATTCATCAAAATGTATACTAATAATTTGGCCACTTCTTTCTATGAATGTTTTATTTTTAATTTTTAAAAAATTTAAAACATACACAAAAAATGCCACCACAAACCTACCTGAATGGTTTAATTTTAAAACATTGACACTACCAAGTTTTGATGAAGATGTAGAACAATGGAAACTCTTACCTAGTACCAGAAGGAGTATAAGTTGATTCAACTACTTTGAGAAACTCTTGGGAATTATTTACTAGATTTTAAAATATATATACCCTCTCACCCAGCAAAGCCACTCTAAGGTACACACCCAACAGGAATATGTATGTTTTCCCCAAAAAATATTTCCAAGAATATTCATATCAGCATTATTCACAGTAGCCAAAAAACTGGAAATAACTTAAATGTTCATTAACAAACAGAACAGATAAATAAATTGTGGTGCAGATACAATTCTTTATACTGTACAGCAACATAAACAATTCTGTTTATGTATGTATTGTATTAGTCTGTTTTCATGCTGCTGATAAAGATATACCCAGACTGGAAGAAAAAGAGGTTTATTTGGACTTACAGTTCCACATGGCTGGGGAGGCCTCAGAATCACGGCGAGAGGTGAAAGGCCCCTTTTATGTGGTGGCAGCAAGAGAAAATGGGGAAACAGCAAAAGTAGAAACCCCTGATAAACCCATCAGATCCGTGAGACTTATTCACTATCATGAGAATAGTACACAAAAGACCAGACCTCATGATTCAATTACCTCCCCCTGGTTCCCTCCCACAACACGTGGGAATTCTGGGAGATACAATTCAAGTTGAGATTTGGGTGGGGACACAGCCAAACCATATCATTCTGCCCCTGACCCCACCATATCATTCTGCCCCTGGCCCCTCCAAATCTCATGTCCTCACATTTCAAAACCAATCATGCCTTCCCAGCAGTCCCCCAGAGTTTTAACTCATTTCAGCATTAACCCAAAAGTCCACAATCCAAAGTCTCATCTGAGACAAGGCAAGTCCCTTCCACCAATGAGCCTTTAAAATCAAAAGCAACTAGTTAATTCCTAGATATAATGGGGGTACAAGTATTGGGTAAATACAACCATTCCAAATGGGAGAAATTGGCCAAAACAAATGGGTTACAGGGCCCATGCAAGTCCAAAATCCAGCAAGGCAGTCAAATTTTAAAGCTCCAAAATGATCTCCTTTGACTCTAGGTCTCACATCCAGGTCATGCTGATGCATGAGGAAAGTTCCCATGATCTTGGGCAGATCCATCCCTGTGGCTTTGCAAGGTACAGCCTCCCTCCCAGCTGCTTTCACAGGTTGGCTTTGAGTGTGGCTTTTCTAGGCAACATGGTTCAAGCTGTCAGTGGATCTACCATTCTGGGATCTGGAGGACACTGGCCCTCTTCTCACAGCTCCACTAGGCAGTGCCCAAGTAGGGACTCTGTGGAGGGGCTCCAACCCCACATTTCCCTTCCATACTGCCCTAGCAGAGGCTCTCCACTAGGGCCCTGCCCCCACAGCAAACTTTTGCCTGGGCATTCAAGCATTTCCAAACATCTTCTGAAATCTAGGCAGAGGTCCCCAAACCTCAATTCCTGACTTCTTTTCACTCAAGGCTCAACACCATGTAGAAGATGCCAAAGCTTGAGGATTGCACCCTCTGAAGCCACAGCCCAATCTCTACCTCGGCCCCTTTCAGCCATGGTTGGGACACAGGGCACCAAGTCCCTAGGCTGCACACAGCACAAGGATCCGGGGCCCAGCCCACGAAATCATTTTTGCCTCCTAAACCTCCAGGCTTGTGATGGGAGGGGCTGCCATGAAGACCTCTGACATGCCCTGGAGACATTTTCCCCATTGTCTTTGGGATTAACATTCAGCTCCTTGTTACTTATGCAAACATATGCAGCAGGCTTGGATTTCTCCTCAGAAAATGGGATTTTCTTTTCTATCACATTGTCAGGCTGAAAATTTTCCAGACATTTATGCTGTTTCCCTTTTAGAACTGAATGCCTTTAACAGCACCCAAGTCACCTCTTGGATGCTTTGCTGCTTAGAAATTTCTTCCACCAGATATCCTAAACCATCTCTCTCAAGTTCAAAGTTCCACAGATCTCTAGGCAGGGGCCTAGGGCAGGGGCAAAATGCCACCAGTCTCTTTGCTAAAACATAACAAGAGTCACCTTTGCTCCAGTTCTCAACAAGTTCCCATCTCCACCTGAGACCACCTCAGCCTGGATCTTATTGTCCATATTGCTATCAGCATTTTGGGCAAACCCATTCAACAAGTCTCTAGGGCATTCCAAACTTTCCCACATTTTCCTGTCTTCTTCTGAGGCCTCCAAACTGTTCCAACTTCTGCCTGTTACCCAGTTCCAAAGTTGCTTCCACATTTTTGGGTATCTTTTCAGCAATGCCCCACTCTACTGGTACCAATTTACTGTATTAGTTCATTTTCACGCTGCTGATAAAGATATACCCAAGACTGGAAGAAAAAGAGGTTTAATTGGACTTACAGTTCCACATGGTTGGGGAAGCCTCAGAATCATGGAGGGAGGTAAAAGACACTTCTTACATGGCAGCAGCAAGAGAAAATGAGGAAGAAGAAAAAGCAGAAACCCCTGATAAACCCACCAAATCTCATGAGACGTATTCACTATCACGTTCACTATCACGAGAATAGCATGGGAAAAACCGGTCCCCATGATTCAATTACCTCCCCCTGGGTCCCTCCCATAACAAGTGGGAATTCTGGGAGACACAATTCAAGTTGAGATTTGCGTGGGGACAGAGTCAAACCATATCATGTATACGCTATAGAAACATAAACAAATTACAGCCTTTTGTACCAACACAAATGACTCTCATGAGTATAATGTTGGGTGAAAGAAATCAGACACAAAAGAATACATGCTATGTGATTTACGTATATAATTTTGATAGAAAAGCTAAACGTAGTATTAGAGGTCAGGCTATCAGTTACTTTCGAGGGGGAAGAGAAAAGGGTAGCAGCTGAAAGAGAGCATGAGAGTGTCACTCATAAATGGGAATACATAAGGTTGTATGGAAAAGCACATGGATAAGACAAAGTGAGAACTGGAGCCATTATCTTTCATGGTCTGTTAATCTCACCTGTTTCCCAAGAGGAAAAAATAATAAAAACCTCAGATACATGACTCTCAGGTTTCATGCCCTGTCTTCAGATTTCATCAAGCCAGCACACCTCAGGGGCTCTCTCTCAGATCTCTGGTTCTGCCCCATCTCTGCCCCATCTTTCCCATGAGTCCTTGGTGAAGATTCTTGGGAAAGAGAAGGTTGGTGGCTACAGAAGTTCTCTGTGGCTGAGGCTCCAATTGCAGACCATCATACCAGCCCACACTTAGCCTTTAAATATTTGTTAAAAACTCTACTGTTTTGGGCCAGGTGTGGTGGCTCACGCCTGTAACCCTAGCACTTTGGGAGGCCAAGGTGGGTGGATCACCTGAGGTCAGGAGTTTAAGACCAGCCTGGCCAACATGGTGAAACCCTGTCTCTACTAAAATTACAAAAATTAGCTGGACATAATGGTGCACGCCTGTAATCCCAGCTACTCAGGAGGCTGAGGCAGGAGAATCGCTTGAACCCAGGAGGTGGAGGTTGCAGTGAGCCTAGATCGTGCCACTGCACTCCAGCCTGGGCGACAGAGCAAAACTCTGTGAAAAAAAAAATTCAACTGTTTCTTCTTGCTCTCATCTTTGGAAACTTTCTCCTCGTGCTGCTATTCCAACATGGATCAATGAAGCCTTGTGACTCTTCTAACCTGATATGGTTTGACTCTGTGTCCCCACCCAAATCCCCTGTCAAATTGTAATCCCCATGTGTCAGGCAGGTGACTGGATTATGGGGGTGGATTTCCCCTTGCTGTTCTCGAGATAGTGAGTGAGTTCTCACAAGATCTGATGGCATGGAAGTATGTGGCACTTCCCCCTTCTCTCTCTCCCTCTCTCTCTCCTGCCACAGTGTGAAGAAGATCCCTGCTTCCTCTTCACCTTCCACCATGACTGTATGCCTTCCAAGGCCTCCCAGCCATGCTTCCTGTTAAGCCTGTGGAACTGCGAGTCAATTAAACCTCTTTTCTTTGTAAATTACCCAGTCTCAGGTAGTTCTTTATAGCAGTGTGAGAACAGATTAATACACTGCCTAAAAGGAATTCATCATTTTCTGTATTTTTGTTCATTTACATAGTTTTACATTTACACTCTAAAAGTAAAAAAGTAACCACTGTTAGGGAGGGAGCAATATTCTCTTATGACTTTCTACATCCTAAATGGAAGTAGAAGTCTAAAGTTGTCCTCATTAAAGTATACGTATATTAATATTATATAGTATGTGTGTATATATGTGTGTGTGTATATATATTATAACATATATATCATTAACTTTTATATATGTATATCTTATTTTATATATATATATCTTACTAATTTTATTCCTCAATATTAATCAGGGCTCTCCAAAGAAACAGAATCAATAGGATAAATATAACAGAAGATTCATTATGGGAATTGGCTCATGTGATTATGAGCCCCAGGTCCCTCTATCCGCTGTCTGCAAGCTGGAAAACCAGGGATGCCTGGTGTAATTCAGTCTGTGTCCAAAGGCCTGAAAACGAGGGAGGCCACTAGTGTAAGACCTGCAGTCCCAAGCCCTGAGAACCTGGAGCTCTGATGTCTAAGGGCAGGAGAAGATGGATGTCCCAGCTCTAGAAGAAAGAATGAATTTTCTCTTCTCCGCCTTTTTGTTCTATGCAGACTCCCAACTGATTGGATGATGCCCACCCACATTGGTGAAGGTGGACCTTCTTTACACTCAGTCCACTGATTCAAATGCTAATCTCTTTCAGAAACATCCTTATGGACACACTCAGAAATACTGTTTTAGCAAATACCTGGGTATCCCTTAAACCAGTCAAATTGATACATAAAATTAACCATCACAATTCCTAAGTAGCTTATCTTCTTGTGGTTCTGAATGGGATCATTTTTTCAGCTTAAGTCCACATCCACCATACAACGTGAGGTACTGTTTCAAGCTCCAATATAGTAAGTGGCTTGCAACAGATCAAAACCAAGTTGATCTTGCTTTATAAATCTAGAAGTGAGCCACCTAGGTATTAGCTGAGATCTTGGCCTCTACAAATTTATGTACCAAGTTCATGCCTCAGGCAAGTATTCCCATGTTCAATGTTTCTGTCTAGAAGCATCTGAAAGAATTTACAGCTTGTATGTCACTAAGCTTTTTTCAAAATGGAAATTTATAATAAGCTAAATTTCATGAGTTTCTTTGTGACCACCTCCTGGGTCTTGGTTTTTGTAGTAACCCTCATCAACTCACAAAGATAGTTCTGGGTTTGGTTTTTGTCATAACTCATCAACCTTACACAGGCAGTTTGACAACTTAGCAATCTCTTTTAACAGTCCCTTTAAACCAGATTATGGGGCAGCAGTTGTCTATGTCTGAAGGAGGTGAAGAAAATCTGAGAAAGACCACCTGCCCTCTCCTCCTATACATAGCACACAGGAGCACAGAGCATGCTGAGGTCTTGGGGCAGGACAGGCAAATGGAGAAGGAAACCTTCAGACACAGTAGGACTTCACTGAGTTCTATGCAGCAGCCACCAGAGCTGGGAAAGGAAGTAGGACAGCAAAGAGAGACCTCCACCTGAAGCACAAGCAGAGAGGGAGCTGTAGAACTGAGAAACACGCCACTATCACTCCAGGCCTCCACGGAATACAAGGCAGTTGCTGCCTATGGCTGGAGAAGAGGCTGAAGAGCTGAGAGAGAACCATCCTATTCACCAGGCAAAGGTATACTAGGCTGGCTGAAGGCTAAGGAAAGATCAGGAGAATTAAAAGAAACCCCACATTTATTCATACACAAGCCCTTCTTAAAGGAAAGTTACAATCTTGCCCTCATATCATTTGAAGTCAGTAGTGAACTGTATCTCACTAAAGCCACAACAAAGTCCAGACTACTCAACTCTAAATTAGTTTGACTCAGTTTCCCACACTGATAGCCACAATTAAACTGGATCATGTATTTTGGGGGGCCTAAATATTATTTATATATTCTCTGTTATTTTACACATATGAAAAATGGAGATGTGATCCACCAAGAGAGAAAATAATCAATATAACAAGACTCAAAGAGGACTTTATATGTTAGAATTATTAGAGAGGGACTTTAATATAACTATGATAAAAATATTAAAGGGTGTACTGAAAAAGATAGGCTACATGCTTGAACAGATGGAGAGTTTCAGAAGTGAAATTGAAACTTTTATAGTGTAGATATAATATATATTATATATAGTATATATTTATATACCACAAGTGTATATATTACATGTACTATACTATATATAACATATTTTATTACTGTACTATACTCTCTATATATTTACTATACTATATTTTTATACTATGTAATATCTACAAGCCAAATGGAAATGTTAGAAATAAAAAATACAATATCAGATAGAAAGATTTTTTACTATGTGTTTGTGCATCAAAACATCATGTCATATGCCTTAAATATATATCAAAAAAGAGAATAACTAATTTTGAAACAGAAAAAAAAATTTTTCAATGGGCTCCTCAGCAGATCGAACACAGCAGAAGAAAGAACCAATGAATTTGTAGCCATGTCAACAGAAATTACACAGACTGAAACACAAGATGGGGGAAATAATGCATTTGGTAAATGGAGGACAATAGAAAATGGTATAACATCTAAAATTGAAAGTCAAGAATGAGAAAGGAAAGAAAATGTGGCAGAAGAAATATTTGAAAAGATGATGGTTAAGACTTTTCCCAGAGATCCAAAGAACTCATTGAAACCCAAGGAGGATAAATACAAAGGAAACCATATGTAATGCTCACTACCTGGGTGTAATGCCCATGTAATGAACATGCACATGTACCCCTGTATCTAAAATAAAAGTTGAAGTTAAAAAATAATAAAACTGGCCAGGCACAGTAGCTCATATCTGTAATCCCAGCACTTGGGGAGGCCAAGGCAGGGGGGTCCCTTGAGCTTAGGAGTTCAAGACCAGCCTAGGCAAGATAGGATACCTTGTCTTCACAAAAAAATAAAAACAATAAACAATAATAATAAAATAAAACAACAAAAATGAAAACATATGTAGGCATACCAGTAAAATGTAGCATACGTCGGCATACCAGTAAAACCAAAGGCAAGAAGATATTCTTGAAAACAGCCACAGGAAATAAGGCATATCCTATGCAAGGGAAAAGGGATGAGGAGATAAAAATAATTTCTGAGTTTTTATCAGAAATACTGAAAGTCAGAAGACAATGGAGCATCAACTTTAAAGTGCTTTAAAAATAAGCCAAAAAAAACCCTATCAACCTAGAATCTTATATCTAGCAAAAATATCCTTTAAATCTGAAAGCAAATGAAGAGATGTTTAGACAAAAACTAAGATAATTTGTTCCCACCAGACCCACACTACAGGAAATGCTAAAAGAAGTGTATTAGGCTAAAGGGAAATGACATCAGGTAGAAATATGAATCTACAGGAAGGAAAGAAAGGCACTAGATAAAATAAAATGTAGGTAAATATAAAGGACCTTTTTTAAAAAATTACATTTGTAATTATATAGAAATGAATTGTAAATATGTTTATAATCATATATAACATCTTTAAATCTCTTTAGACAACTGTTGACTATTGAAAGTAAGAAATGATAACAATGGATCATGTGGTTTATGACATCTGTAGAAATAAAACATGATATTAAGAGTACAAAGGCTGGGAAGAGGAATCACAAGTGTACTGTTATGAGGTGCTTACATTATTTGTAATTTGGTAGAACATCTTTTGAAGGTAGACTGTGATAGTTGAAAGTGAAGATTATAATCTCTAGAGTAATCACAAACACAGAGGCATAACTAAAAAGAGATAAAGAGGAGATAAAAGAGAATACTTTAAAAAATAATAATCAATCCACCCAAAGGGAGGCAAGAAAGGAAAAACAGATGAACGAAAAGCATACACAACAAATAGAAAACAAAGGCCAAGGCTGAGTGCGGTGGCTCACGTCTATAATCCTAGCACTTCGGGAGGCCAAGGCAGGCAGATCACCTGAGGTCAGCAGTTTGAGATCAGACTGGCCAACATTGTGAAAGCCCATCTCTACTAAAAATACAAAAATTAGCTGGGTGTAGTGGTGCGCACCTTTAATTCCAACTACTCGCGAGGCTGAGGCAGGAGAATCACTCGAACCCGGGAGACAGAGGCTGCAGCGAGCAGAGATTGCACCACTGCACTCCAGCCTGGGCGACAGAGTGAGGTTCTGAAGAAAGAAAGAAAGGAAAGAAAGAGAGAGAGAGAGAGAGAGAAGGAAGGAAGGAAGGAAGGAAGGAAGGGGGAAGGAAGGAAGGAATAAAGAAGAAAGAAAGAAGAAAGAAAGAAAGAAAAAAAGAAAGAAAGAAAGAAAAAAAGAAAAGAAAAGAAAGGCCAAAATTAAAAAGTAGGTTTAAACTCAAAACTATCACCAATTACATCAAACGCAGATATTCTAACTACCTCCTTCCCAGAGGCTTAAAAAACAAAGATTATCACCATGGTTTTAAAAAGTTCCAACTAAATGCTTTCTACAAGAAATATAAATTAACCTAAAGATAGAGAAGAGTACTGGGAACAGAGCCAATTCTGCAGGGTTGTTTTTTTTTTTTTTTTTCAGTTCATGCATGAAAACTTCATTATGGACAAACACTGATCCACAGACTAACACTTGAGATGCCTTGGTGTAGAATACACTGGAATCTGGGAGTTCATTCAAAAGTTACGTAGTTTAAGGTTAAGATTTTATTTGGGTCCTGGAACACGTTCGGTGGGTGCTGTCTCAGCTCACCTGGAAGCAGATGTCTGATGGCCTTATTTCTAGGCACAAGTCCTCATTAGTCTCCTCAGCTTTATAAAGATAATAATAATATCATTTATTGAACACTTACTATACTCTTGTTATTGTGTTACATACTTTACTTGTGTAAACATATTTAATCCCAACGACAACCCTACAAGACAGATACTGATGTTATTCACATTTTATAGATGAGAACCTGGAGACTTGGTGAAATTTTTAACTTGTTTATTACTGCACAGTTAGTTGAGTTATGGAGTTAGAATCTGAAACATCTGTCTGACTGAAAGCCCTGCACTAAATACTAGTGTGTTGTTTGATTGCCAACTCTAAATAGGATTCACCTCTACTTGATTGATAATAGACACCAGCCGCAGCTTAGGTATCAACGAGGGACTATTAGTTGGTGGTCACTGATACTCAGTGTTTACCAAAAGTTTAACTAAAAGAAAATATATTTAGGGAAGCTTGCTCAAAGGACATGCAGGTCATCCATACCTACCTGCAAGACTAAAATCCAATATGTTGTCCACCCAAACCACTGGAAATCTGAGCACCTAGACAGCATTCTTTTTGCCTCTGAGCTATTGTTTACTGTGAATTTTTACACCCCAATTTGATTGCCAAAGCCTACATTAAGACGGATTAAAAGAAACCCCATGCAATGTGTCTGTTCTTAGAACCGCAGATGATATAATTTCACCTAATCAAGTGGTTTATTTTTACTTTTGGTCCCAGTGAACTGTGTGACTGACCAGAAAGCCTGAGCCAAATCTGAGGCCCACCCATAACAACAGTCATCATAATCTGCATTTTCAGAGTCATTCCTGGCTCAATTTTATGTCTCCACCCTTGTTTATCCCCCCTTTTGTTCTTTTTCTAACCTCATTTTCCATTTATCTTATCTTGTATTTTATACGTATTTCCAAGCTTCCTTAAATTCTTCAGGAATAAGACTTGGCATAAATATAAATAAATTTGAGGAAATCTACCAAAATGTAGAAACAGTGGTTACCTCTGGATAGCAAAAGTATAGATTTTTTTAAATCTGCATCTTCATAAAGGATCTCATGCCCTGACCATAAACATTCTTTCTTTTATAAGTATGAAGACATATTTCTAATTACAGATAAACTGTAAAATTCTAATTTTTTGTTATGAATATTGGTAAAAATGTAGTCCATTAATAGAGACTGAAGGTAAAGACGGTGATATTCATCAGGAGAGAGACTATATAGTTGATTTGATGTATCAAATTGGCTGAGCCATGGTAACAAGGTGTTTGGTCAAACATTATTCTATGTGTTTCTGTGAAAGTGTTTTTTTGGCAATTCCTGACCTACTGGTTCAATGAAATCTCAATCAAAATTCTATTGGGCTCTTTTGTAAGTTGAAAATTTTAAAATAAAATTTATATGGAAATGGCAAAAAACCTAGAAGAACCTAAATAACTTTGGGGGAGGAAAGAAGACCCACACCATGCAATTCAAGACTTACTAAGCTATAATAATCAAGACAGTGTACTTTTGGTTTTAAAGCTCAATCAAACAAGAGTTCAGAAATAGATCTACAGTTATATGGTC
Source organism: Homo sapiens (assembly GCF_000001405.40). Classification (NCBI taxonomy): domain Eukaryota; kingdom Metazoa; phylum Chordata; class Mammalia; order Primates; family Hominidae; genus Homo; species Homo sapiens. The sequence goes on along the minus strand of NC_000009.12, from coordinate 122,426,117 downwards.
AATTGATTTTTGACAAAAATTCCAATGCAATAGAGAAAGGACAGTTTTTCAACAACTGATGCTGGAACAATTGGATATCCATATAAAAAAATCAATCCTTAACTCACACCATATATATAAATTAATTCAAAATGGATCATGGACTTAAATGTAAGAGCTAAAACTGTAAAACTTATAGAAGAAAACAAAAGAAAAGCTTTGTAACCTTGGATTAGGCAAATAATTTTCACATAAGAAACAAAAAGCAAAAACCATAATAGAAAAAAACTGCTAAATTCAGCATCATCAAAATTTTAAACTTCTGCTGTTTGAAAGATACTGTTAAGAGAATGTAAAGACAAGCCACAGGCTGGGAGAAAATGTTTGCAAAACACATACCTAATAAAGACTTTATCTAGAAAAAAGAACTCTCACAATCAATTATAAGACAAATAGCTCAAATAGTGGGCAAAGGATCTGAACAGACACTTAATCAAAGAAGATATACAGATGGCAAATAAGCACATGAAAAGATGCTTGACACCACTGGTCATTAGGGAAATGCAAATCAAAACCACAATGAAATACCACTACACATCACTAAAATGGCTAATACCAAGCTCTGGTGAGAGAAGCACCTGGAAATTGTATCCATTGCAAAATGGAGCAGCCCTTTTTGAAAACAGTTTAGCAGTTTCTTTAAAAGTTTAACACATACCTACCATACAACCCAGCAATCCTATCCCTAGGTATTTACCCAAAAGACAAGGAACCATATGTTCACACAAAGAACTGTATGCCAATGTTTAGAGCAGCTTTATTCACAGTAGCCAAACAGTGGAGACAGTCCACCAATGATGAATGGATAACCAAATTGTGGTACATCCATATGCAGCAATAAAAATGAACGAATTACTTATATGTGCAACAACTTGGAAGAATCTCAAAAAAAGTATGCAAAATCAAAGAAGCTGGACCAAAAAAAGGCTACATCTTATATCATTCTAATTGTATGACATTCAGGAAAAGGAAGCAGGAAATCAGATCACCGTTTGCCTGGGGCTAGGAGTGGCAGAAGGATAGTGACTACCAATGGGTAGGAGAGAACTTTTGTGGCAATAAGAATATTGTGTATCTTCATTGTAGTTGTTACATAACGGCATACTGTTGTCAAAACTCATCAAATGGAATACTTCCTATGAATAAATGCTATTGTTCATAAATTATGCTTTAGAAAACTTAATTTTAGAAAAAACACTTTGTAGAAAATAAAAGTTATATTTTAGAACTTAGGCTATGGAAAGATTTTCTAAATAAGATCAAAATGTAGCAAAAACAAAATATTGATAAAGTTGGCTCACATTAAAGCCAAAATCTTTGCAATAATCTGACTACAAGACTATGTGAACTGGTCCTGTGGCCATTCTGACCTCAGCTCCTGCCCCTCTTTATTCATTCAGCCCAGTCCAGCCATACTGGTCTGTTATTCCTTAAATACATCAGGTGCACTACTACCTCAGTGCTCTCACCAATCTCATTCTATAATGTTATGCCTCCTTCAACACAGAGGATATCACTGAGGTTGACTATGGCCATGCAAGACCCATCTCCCCCAACTTGGTCCCTCAATTCTAGGTGTCATTCCCAATCAGACCCAGGTAGGTCCTACTTTTTGGACTTGGAAGGGGGGCAGACGAGCCTGAGAGAGAAGTGCCTGTTTCTCCAGTATTCTGAATTGGTGACAGCCAAAGGCCGTGTTTCCAATGAAGATACTGATCCATGGAGAGACTACGCTTAATTTTTAATTACTGCTCCCTTAGAAGAAGACAAACTTTTAACCACATATGCCACTTAATTAAACCACAGAGATCTTCTCTGCATGGCTAATTACTATTGAAGCAGATGAGCCAGGAGATTCTCAAATGAAGTTTCTCTGGGGCCTCGTTAACAAGAATGGAGCACACCCCACAGAGGCAGCTACATGCGCACTGAAACTTTTCTGATATTTTACACTCAAAGCCTCCTAGCTTCCTCAAGAGGTTCTGATCACCAACCAATACCATTATCAAAAGCATCTTCCCAGCTGGACCCTGCCTAACTCCCTAGCCTCATTTCTCTTCATGATCTATCATTCTCTCTATTCCCAGAAATAACAAATAGGTTTCATCTCTTACCCTGCCACTATTTAACTAAGAGTAGCTGCCTGGAGTGCTAAGTTGAGAATGATTCAAAGGTTCAAATCAATCCCCATGAGAAATAATGCTCTGTGATAGATTAACAATGTCTGCCATGAATGTGGAATGGGGAGATTGTAGTGTGAAAGCTATATATTCTCCATCTCTGCCCTATACCAAATCCTGAACCATGCTGCATTCCCAGACCACTTAACACTTCTTCACACCTCTATGTTTTTGTAGGTTATTGCAATATCATTCCTTCTCTTCACTCAGTCAATGCCTAGTTGGCTATCCTTCAAGGCCTAACTTCCCTATAGCTTTCTCTGAGCATCCTTCCTTATCCTTGGGTTCAAGTGGGATTAATAATTTTCTCCATTGTACTTTTAACATCAGATTATTGTTGCAATTATTGCACTTATCTAAGTTATTGGGGTGCTGTGCAAGAATAACTTCTAGAGAGAAGTTCTTGGTGAATGCTATGAGAAGACACAAGAGACTGGTAACGACTCTCTGGTGGGAAAAGGAAAACAAAAAGAATAGAGGTATTTATAGCAAGAAATAGACAAAAGATAGAACCTCTAAGGATAGAGAATGAGAGGCCCTCCTCCTTAAAGTTACTGTGACGGTTAGCTACATAATAGTCCACGATATTGAAAGCAGAGTGGGGAATTGATGAAGAAAGCATAACCTGGGTGAATCATATATCATCAGAAGTCCTATACTAAAAAAAACTACTAAAGAAAGAAAGAAAATGATCACAGGTGAAAGTACAAAATGCAAGCAGTGCAGTGCAATGGAAAGAAAAATAATGTGAATAATCTAAAAGAATATTGCTTACTAAAAGCAATAGTAAGGATGTCTTGTGAGGTTTAAAATGTGTGTTGTATTAAAATGCATCAAAACTCTAACTCAAAAGGCAGGAGTGGAGCAAATGGAGTTAAAGTGTTCTACACGTCTTGCATTTACTATGAAATGGTAAAAATATAAAAATATATTGGGCTTTAATAAGTAAAGGATATACATTATAATGTCTAAAGTAAGAACTAAGAGAATAAAATGTATAACTAACAAGCCAATAGAAGTGCAAAATTTGAACAATAATTTAAAAGAAGACAAGAAAACAGAGAAAAAGGAACAAAAAACAGGCAGGATAAACAGAAAATATACAGCAAGGTAATAGAATTTCTATTGCAGTAATGGCAAAGCATCTTGTCTCAGTCTGAGCCTCCCATTTTAATAATTTTAAATTATTGGGAGGGAAACTCTGGGGAAAAATTTTTGTTTGAAGGCTTTGGAGCATAACCAAAAGCAGGTACAAAACGGAAGGAATTAACCTTGCAAGAAGGAAATCACCAGGTTAGATTCACATTTAATTGGCTTTTCTTCTGAGGGCATTCTCCAGATTATATAATGCAGGGTGGCTAACACTCAAGCAAAAAGCCAATATATCAATATCTGGATTGATGGAGGGGACATTACTACATGCCTTACAGATGTTAAAAACATAATAAAGGGGAGACTGATTTGAGTAATAATTAAACTCCAGTCTCCCACACAGCGGCTCTGTGTGAATTACTCTTTCTCTATTGCAGTTCTCCTGTCTCAATAAACCAGCTCTGTCTAGGCAGTGGACAAGGTGAACCCACTGGGTGGTTACAAATCTGGGGGCTTGCTCAGGATTGCCCTTGTGGCTACCTGCCCATGGTCCAGAAGCCCTCCTCCAGCAATGGATCCAAAGGCCAGCCCAAGAAGCCACCTAGTTCTCTTGGACTGGAGCTGACTCTGGTACTCTCTCTACTGGCGGGGTGCTGCCGACCCAATGTGCATGGATTTAATTGCAATGGAGGAAAAGTCCTGGGGAGATGTCCCATAACTGTGGCCCTATCACAGGGTGTCTGTCCATAGCCCTACTGCAGCGTGTCTGGGTTGATGAGTATCCTAGACACTGCCAATGCCTCCTTCCTTCTCCTGACTGGTTCTGTGGGCCCGTGGTGGGGTGTCTGTCTGTAGCCTCATTGTGGGGTGACACGCCACAATGTAGCTCCACCACAGGGTGTCTGTCTCGGTTCAGCTCCTTCAAAGGTCTCAGTTTGTCTGTAGCCCCATTGAGGGTGTCTGTCTCAGTTCGGTTCCTGAGGGGTCTTGGTTGGCTCTCCCTAACTAGTAGGAAGAGTCCTGGTTTGGGAGACTTCTGGATCAGGAAGATTTTGGGAAGATTTCTCAGATGGAGAATGGGAGGATAGTTTAGAAGGGATACTCTTGGAGTTCTTGGCTAGAGATGTGATTTGGAAGGCCTTTGTTCATCTCATCTTTGTGTGTTTGTATATGTGGAGCAGATCTCAGAAGGAATTGCTGACAGAAGTCCAGCAGGCCTAACTCTGAGAATGCCCCCCACCCTTACTTGACTGGTCACATTCAGTGAGCCCTGAAGAAAGCTCAACAGGCCTGACTTGGTGTGACTGTCCACTCTTTGTCTTGCCCAGAGACCACCCATTGAATTACTGTTCAGAGATCATGCCTCCCCACCTGGAGTAGACCAAGGACAACAGAGACCAATGGGAGAAAGTTTGAGCCTTGCCATGTCGATATTGGGTCCTGAATGAAGTGACTAGTGTCTGTTTTGTTACGTGTACTTTGCTCCAGCTGGGATGGAAAATGTTAATTCACTTTTCTATGCAGCCCATTGTGCAACATCTTGCAAAACTTAGAATCTTTTGTCTCTGGTTCCATAAAACAGAAAAGGGTGATTTTCTTTTGTAAAGGGGCTTAACCCCTACAGCTATAGTACAGCAAGCAGGGCCATCAAAAACCACTTCATTCTTCTGGCCTTCCTTGGTGTGTAATAACTAGGTAGGAAATATACTTTATGGTATAGCTAATGGCAGTCATGGAGGGATACTTGGCTCTTTGTACTCCTCAAAGAGAAAAGCATGCTCTTGGCCACCTGGAAGATATGGAAACATCCCCAACCCCCACTGAGACATGAGACTCCCATGCAGGATGGGCTAATTACAAAATGGGCTGATTTGCTTTGGGTTGCCTTGCAATGAAATGCATGGTAGAAGCACTGCACTATCTACTGTCATAGTGTTTCCCTCCTTTTTGGGGATCCAGGATCCAGTATAAAATAACACCCTATCCCAGCACTTTGGGAGGCCAAGGTGGGCAGATCACCTGAGGTCAGGAGTTCGAGACTGGTCTGACCAACATGGTGAAACCCTGTCTCTACTAAAAATACAAAAATTAGCTGGGCATGGTGGCAGGTGCCTGTAATCTCAGCTACTCAGGAGGCTGAGGCATGAGAATCACCTGAGGTTGCAGAAGTTGCCGTGAGCCAGGATTGTGCCACTGCACTCCATCGTGGGCAAAAGAGCAAGACTCTGTCTCAAAATAAAATAAAATAAAAATTAAAATGGCACCCTTAATTTTGGGGATCTGTCTTTGCCTTCCAGCTGTGCCTCCTTATTAGGCCCTAGAAACTGCATGCTTTCCTGACCCTGTTCCTCCAAGGACTCCACCCAGAAGCCAGTAATCCAATTAAAAAACTAGCAAATGAAAAATCTTACAACTGCTGGATCTTCTGTCTGTCCGTCTGTGTATTTATGTGTTGTTTGTGTAATATTTATATAAAAGGGCTCTGATTAATTGATTTAGAATAATAAGTGCTTAAATCATATTTTGTCAGAAAAATAGACACTTTAATGCCTTTTTATTCACGTGATGTTAGTAATATTTTGGGGGGAAAAAGACAGTTTTAAAGATTATTGGTAAAATAAAAATGTCTTCAACTGTAGGCATTTAGTCTAAATTTAAGGTCAGATATCAGATTTGCTAAAAGCATTAAGATCATAGACTGCTTCTTTGACTTTTGATAATTGTTCAATTTACCTACTTTGTAGCATGAGATTCTAGATAAGGCCTGAGGACATGTGGAGTTAGCCATGCCCCACCCATGCCCCAACCCTCTGGCTATGCTGGAAAGAGTCAGACCTTATCTGCACTTCTCTCTGATGCCCTAGGTTCCATCCCTAGTACCTAATTAAAATCGCTCACTTACCAGGTTTTTCACCAAAAATAAACATTGCTAATAGTTAACATTGTAATATGTAGTTGAGACTCTGAAGAAACAGTTTTACATACAAGGTGTGTAGGGACAGTAGAATGTGTTTTTGGTTATAAGAAGGCATGGGAATGTGGCTTTTGTTAAAGGGAATGTAATTTTGTCTACTTCAGAGGGTTTTAAAGGTCATCTTAACCTCAAAGAGTAATGGGAAAAAACTGAAGGTTTAAGCAAAGCGAAAAGAGTTTGTGAAGGCTTGGTCTTGTAAAGAAAGTTCTGTGGGTATGAGCAAGTTGGCTAAGATTTGAAGGGGATTATTTAATTTTTTTCTGTAAGTCAAACATTAAAATAAAAGCATACTAATGCAGGGCCAGAAACTGGGCCCCATGTGTCCAAATAACAGGATTTTCTTAGAAAATTGATTTGCTGTTTAACAGAAAATTGTAAAGGGTTCTAAAAGGTTTATGAAAATCTTACCTTAGGGTCAAACTAATTAAAACTAGATAGATTTATAAAATTTTCTTTAAAAACTAGCTTTAGCATTAAAGATGCAGTAATGCAAACATGAAATATGTTTTTCTCTTTTGAAAAAGATCTTCATGTAATATTAAAAGATAATGAAAGGTTTTTGTTTGCCCCTTTGGGTAAATTGCAGGAAAAAAAAAAAGAGAAGAGAAAAGAGAAGGATTCAGTTGGCCTCATGCTAACTTCATTGAGTCTTGTTTGGAAAGCTTTGTCTCTTCTATCAAAGTAAAGATTTTTGCCTTTTAAAAAGTTTTTTTGAGTTACCACTTTGGATAAATGAACAACCTACGAACCTATTTTGTGACATTCGGTGTTTTAAACCTTTGGTATTTGACAATCTTGCCAAAATCAAATTATAAAGTATGTCATTTTCTGATCTAACTAATCCTTTAGACATTAGGTTCCCTGAAGTCCAAAAGTGATGTGTTTGGCTTATTTGGTATAAAAATCATACAGGAAGCATTGTCAAATATGAAATGGTGTTTGGCTTTCTTTGGGCTATATCTATTTGTGTAAATGTGTTATTGGTATATGTTCCAAAATTATGTGAAACTCCTACAATTCTGATATGACTCAGTATATGTTATCAGTAATAATGATAATTGTTATGTTAAATTATTGTGTGCCACAGAGGTAACCAAAATTCCTGGTCAACTATTGCTTTAATAATGGCTGTCCTGAGACTTTCTGTCATCCAAAGACATTTTTTGTCTTGTTACAATCCTCTTCAAAAGGTGTTTTATAATAGGCTGTAGGACTTTGAGAGGTGTTCTTGGATGCAGCTTTCTAATAACTTTGGAGATTGTGACATTAGAATAGAGGAAAAACTTTTGGGACTCTCATGGAGAGCTGAAATGTTCATGAATATCAAGCAGAACAGGAGTTAACTGAATGGACTAAACTAATAGGAAACTGAAGTAATCATTCTTTGACCTTTTTGCTAAAAATATTGCTGATCCTTTACTTTCCAGAGCCAAGAAAACTTTTCTTTTGAGCTATGTATAGCTTTTAACAACTGAGTAAAATATACTTCTATGATCAAAATTTAGAGCATATTTGTTTCTCTCTACTTGATTTCTCCAGAATTTGGAAACTATTTGAGTATTCTCAACTTATGACAGTATAGTTATTGCATAAGTGCAATAAGAATCTGCTTTCTTTTGTAACAGGACACAGCTGGAGAAACTGGTTACTTTACCAAGACTGGAATGGCATGTTTTCCTTTAAGGAATCTAACTTGACTTATAGAGCCAATAAAAGCCCCTTGGGAAAACTGGCCTCATACCTTGTCTATACAGTCCTGTATAGGGTTTCTGACCAGTGGTAAATAAAGCATGTAACTTTTTAAGAGGCCCAAGGGCCCCAGGTTATCCTAGGACCTCAAGAGGAGAGGAATATACCCAACTCATAGTAATTTGAGGGTACAAACCCATGGCTGGGCTCAGCTTTTAAAAAATCTTATCTGAGATTCCTTATGAAACAGAGTTCCATCAAAGCCAATTTAAAATGCCTATGTGGGAATAATTATTCTTGCTGCATTTTATGCAAATAATCAGGCCAAATATAATAAGACTAAAGTTTATTTTGCAAACAAATCAGTTCTATCATGATTTGTTTTTAATAACAATGGGAACTGATGACAGAAAAATTATGTTTAAAAAAAAAACTACAGTACACCTGTTGTTATCTGTTCTTGAGTTTTTTCTGCAGTCTGGACTAGATCCTAAAGTCTTTGTGGGCTACAAGTCTCCAAACTAATGCTTTCAAATCTTTACTTTTAAAACTGGGAATTGCACTCCTTACCCTAGTACTTATTATTTACCTTATAGTATGTTGTTCCCTTAAATGCAGTACTAAAACTATAGATGACAATGCTAATGTCTTTTCCATGCAAACCTTGGAACCCCAGCCAGACCTGCATGAGTATGCTCAGACAATTGCAAAGTGGTTCCACTCCTCTCACCTTGGGATCAACACCTACCCTCACTACGCCCTATCAGCAGAAAGAAGTTAGAGCGATCTTCACCCTTTTTCCATCTTCTTTAGCCAACACCTTAAGATTAAGGTGTTATAAAACCCAAAAGGAGAGATTGAAACCACCATTGCAAAATTGTAACTGAGACAGTGAAAGAGATGTGACCTAACCAACTCCATCTTGTTTTTAACTTCCAAGCTGTCCTTGTTCATTCCTGGGGATAGGCACAACTAACTTTGGGAGGAACTTTGTTTATAGTTTAAAACAAAGAATGAGAACAGGCTTTTCCAAAGGCAAATTCCCTCCTTGTGTGGGGACTAAACTGCCTTTTTAGGGCTAACAAATTAGCCACAAGATTAGAAATTATGGGCCGGGCACAGTGGCTCATGCCTGTAACCCCAGCACTTTGGGAGGCCAAGGTGGGTGGATCACATGAGGTCAGGAGTTCAAGACCAGCCATGGCAAAACCCCATCTCTACTAAAAATACAAAATTAGCCAGGCATGGTGGTGAGTACCTGTAATCCCAGCTACTCAAGAGGCTGAGGCAGGAGAATCGCTTCAACCCAGGAGGCAGAGGTTGCAGTGAGCCAAGATTGCATGATTGTACTCTAGCATGGGCGACAGAGTGAGGCTCTGTCAAAATAAAAAAAAAAAAAAAAAAGATTAGAAATTATGGTTTAGGAGTCATGCAGCTGGAGGCTTCAATATTCTGACCCTCCCTAAACTGCTCATAAGATCAGTGCTTGAGATATTTTACAGATCCTGCACTTGATGGATTAGCTAGCACCACGCAGATCGATAAACTGGCTCATCTGATCTTGTGGCCCCCCACCCAGGAACTGACTCAAAACAAGAAGACAGCTTCTACTTCCTGTGATTTCTTCTCTGACCTAACCAATCAGCACTCCCAGCTCACTGGCTTCCCCCCACTCACCAAGTTGTCCTTAAAAACTCTGATCCTTGAATGCTTGGGGAGACTGACTAGACTAATAATAAAACTCCAGTCTCCCCCTCACCAAAAAAAAGTATAATAAAGGAGCTGGGCATGGTGGCTCATGCCTGTAATCCCAACACTTTGAGAAGCCAAGGTGAGAGGATTGCTTGAGCCCAGGAGTTCGAGACCAGCTTAGCCAACATGGCGAAACTCCGTCTCTACAGGAAATACAAAAATTAGCTGGGCATGGTGGTGCGCACCTGCAACCCAGCTACTCGGGAGGCTGAGGTGAGAGGATAACCTGAGCCCAGGCAGTCGAGACTGCAGTGAGCTGTGATTGTACCACAGCACTCCAGCCTGGGTGACACAGCAAGATCCTCTCTCAAAAAACAAAAATAAAAAAGTATGATAAAGGTATATTGTGAACAACTCTCTGCCAATAAACTCAACAACCTAAGGACAAATTCTTTGAAAGATGCAATTATGAAAACAGACTCAAGAAACATAGAAAATCTAAATAACTCTGTATCTCCTTTTAAAATCAAATTAATGACTTAAAACCCTCCCAAAACAGATCCTCGATCCTCAGATGGCCTCATTAATAATTCTTTTTTTTTTCGCTCAGCTTTCTGATCTACTCATTAATAAGTTCTATTAATCATTTAAAGAAGAAATAATACCAACCTTATGTAAACTCTTTCAGAAAGTAGAGGTGTGGCATTTCCCAATCCATTTTGTGAGACCAGCATTATCCTGATAACATAAACATATATATAAAACATAAAAATGAACATAAAAACATAAATATAAACATAAAAATCTACTTAAAATATTATCAAATTGAATGCAACAATACATAGAAAGAATAAGACCTTATGTCCAAGGATGGTTTATCCCAGATATGCAAAATTGGTTCAACATTTAAAAATCAATTCATGTAATTTACCATATCAATAGAGGAAAAAAGAAAAACAACTTTAATATCTCAATAGATGGAGAAAAAGCATATGGCAAAAAAAAACAACAATAAATAGAACTGTCAGTAAGCTCAGAATAAAAAACAACTTTCTCAAACTGATGAAAGGTCATTCCACAAAACACAGCTAACATTACACTTAATGGCAAAAGACTAAATGCCATCATCCTAAGATAGGAACAAGGGAAGGGTGTCTTCTCTCACTGATTCTACTAAATATTGTACTAAAGATCCTAGCTATACAGCATGGCAAGAAAAAGAAGTAAAAAGGCATGCATATTAAAAAGAAAGGAGTAAAACTGTTCTTATTCAAAGATAACACTATCATACATAGAAAGGCCTAAAGAATATGCAAGGAAAAAAAAATCTACTAAAGCCAATATGTAAATTTAGTGAGTTTCCAGGATCCAAAAAGTCAATCGTATTTCTATATACTAGGCAAAAAAAACAAGCCAAAGTAAATTTAAAAAAAAAAACCAGTAATTTATCCACATAACAAACCTGCACATGTACCCCTTGAACCTAAAATGAAGGTAGGAAAAAAAAAGAATTTCATCTACAATATCATCAAAAAAATATTTGTGGCTAAATTTAACAAAATCATACAAAACCTGTACACTGAAAACTACAAAACAATGCTGAGATTAAAAACCTAAGTAAAGGAAAAAATACACCATGCTCCTAAACTGGAAGGCTCAATATTAAGATGTCAGTCTGGAGGGTAGAGCCAAGATAGCTGAATAGGAACAGCTCCGGTCTACAGCTCCCAGCGTGAGCGATGCAGAAGACAGATGATTTCTGCATTTCCAACTGAGGTACCGGGTTCATCTCACTAAGGAGTGACAACAGTGGGTGCAGGACAGTGGGTGCAGAGCACCATGCATGACCCGAAGCAGGGCGAGGCATTGCCTCACTCAGGAAGTGCAAGGGGTCAGGGAGTTCCCTTTCCTAGTCAAAGAAAGGGGTGACAGATGGCACCTGGAAAATCGGGTCACTCCCACCCTAATACTGCGCTTTTCCAACGGGCTTAAAAAAATGGCACACCAGGAGATTATATTCCACACCTGGCTCGGAGGGTCCTATGCCCATGGAGTCTCGCTAATTGCTAGCACAGCAGTCTGAGATCAAACTGCAAGGCAGCAGCGAGGCTGGGGGAGGGGTGCCTGCCATTGCCCAGGCTTGATTAGGTAAACAAAGCAGCCAGGAAGCCCGAACTGGGTGGAGCCTGCCTGCCTCTGTAGACTCAACCTCTGGAGGCAGGGCACAGACAAACAAAAAGACAGCAGTAACCTCTGCAGACTTAAATGTCCCTGTCTGACAGCTTGGAAGAGAGCACTGGTTCTCCCAGCACACAGCTTGAGATCTGAGAATGGGCAGACTGCCTCCTCAAGTGGGTCCCTGACCCCCAAGCAGCCTAACTGGGAGGGCACCCCCCAGTAGGGGCAGACTGACACCTCACACAGCCAGGTACTCCTCTGAGACAAAACTTCCAGAGGAATGATCAGGCAGCAGCATTTGCAGGTCACCAATATCCGCTGTTCTACAGCCACCGCTGTTCTGCAGCCACCACTGCTGATACCCAGGCAAACAGCATCTGGAGTGGATCTCTAGCAAACTCCAACAGACGTGCAGCTGAGGGTCCTATCTGTTAGAAGGAAAACTAACAAACAGAAAGGACATCCACACCAAAAACCCATCTGTACGTCACCATCATCAAAGACCAAAAGTAGATAAAACCACAAAGATGGGGAAAAAACAGAGCAGAAAAACTGGAAACTCTAAAAAGCAGAGCACCTCTCCTCCTCCAAAGGAACACAGCTCCTCACCAGCAACGGAACAAAGCTGGACGGAGAATGACTTTGACAAGTTGAGAGAAGGCTTCAGACGATCAAACTACTCCAAGCTACAGGAGGAAATTCAAACCAATGGCAAAGAAGTTAAAAACTTTGAAAAAAAAATTAGATGAATGGATAACTAGAATAACCAATGCAGACAAGTCCTTAAAGGACCTGATGGAGCTGAAAGCCAAGGCTCGAGAACTACGTAAAGAATGCAGAAGCCTCAGGAGCCAATGCAATCAACTGGAAGAAAGGGTATCAGTGATGGAAGATGAAATGAATGAAATGAAGCAAGAAGGGAAGTTTAGAGAAAAAAGAATAAAAAGAAACGAACAAGGCCTCCAAGAAATATGGGACTATGTGAAAAGACCAAATCTACATCTGATTGGTGTACCTGAAAGTGACGGGGAGAATGGAACCAAGTTGGAAAACACTCTGCAGGACATTACCCAGAAGAACTTCCCCAATCTAGCAATGCAGGCCAATATTCAGATTCAGGAAATACAGAGAACGCCACAGAGATACTCCTCAAGAAGAGCAACTCCAAGACACATAATTGTCAGATTCACCAAAGTTGAAATGAAGGAAAAAATGTTAAGGGCAGCCAGAGAGAAAGGTTGGGTTACCCACAAAGGGAAGCCCATCAGACTAACAGCAGATCTCTTGGCAGAAGCTCTACAAGCCAGAAGAGAGTGGGGGCCAATATTCAACATTCTTAAAGAAAAGAATTTTCAACCCAGAATTTCATATCCAGCCAAACTAAGCTTCATAAGTGAAGGAGAAATAAAATCCTTTACAGACAAGCAAATGCTGAGAGATTTTGTCACCACCAGGCCTGCCCTAAAAGAGCTCCTGAAGGAAGCACTAAACATGGAAAGGAACAACCGGTATCAGCCACTGCAAAAACATGCCAAAATGTAAAGACCATCAAGGCTAGGAAGAAACTGCATCAACTAATGAGCAAAATAACCAGCTAACATCATAATGACAGGACCAAATTCACACATAACAATATTAACTTTAAATGTAAATGGGCTAAATGCTCCAATTAAAAGACACAGACTGGCAAATTGGATAGAGTCAAGACCCATCAGTGTGCTGTATTCAGGAAACCCATCTCACGTGCAGAGACACACATAGGCTCAAAATAAAGGGATGGAGGAAGATCTACCAAGCAAATGGAAAACAAAAAAAGGCAGGGGTTGCAATCCTAGTCTCTGATAAAACAGACTTTAAACCAGCAAAGATCAAAAGAGACAAAGAAGGCCATTACATAATGGTAAAGGGATCAATTCAACAAGAAGAGCTAACTATCCTAAATATATATGCATCCAATACAGGAGCACCCAGATTCATAAAGCAAGTCCTGAGTGACCTACAAAGAGACTTAGACTCCCACACAATAATAATGGGAGACTTTAACACCCCACTGTCAACATTAGACAGATCAACGAGACAGAAAGTTAACAAGGATACCCAGGAATTGAACTCAGCTCTGCACCAAGCTGACCTAATAGACATCTACAGAACTCTCTACCCCAAATCAACAGAATATACATTCTTTTCAGCACCACACCACACCTATTCCAAAACTGACCACATAGTTGGAAGTAAAGCACTCCTCAGCAAATGTAAAAGAACAGAAATTATGACAAACTGTCTCTCAGACCACAGTGCAATAAAACTAGAACTCAGGATTAAGAAACTCACTCAAAACCGCTCAACTACATGGAAACTGAACAACCTGCTCCTGAGTGATTACTGGGTACATAACGAAATGAAGGCAGAAATAAAGATGTTCTTTGAAACCAATGAAAACAAAGACACAACATACCAGAATCTCTGGGACACATTCAAAGCAGTGTGTAGAGGGAAATTTATAGCACTAAATGCCCACAAGAGAAAGCAGGAAAGATCCAAAATTGACACCCTAACATCACAATTAAAAGAACTAGAAAAGCAAGAGCAAACACATTCAAAAGCTAGCAGAAGGCAAGAAATAACTAAAATCAGAGCAGAACTGAAGGAAACAGAGACACAAAAAACCCTTCAAAAAATCAATGAATCCAGGAGCTGGTTTTTTGAAAAGATCAACAAAATTGATAGACTGTTAGCAAGACTAATAAAGAAGAAAAGAGGAAAGAATCAAATAGACGCAATAAAAAATGATAAAGGGGATATCACCACCGATCCCACAGAAATACAAACTACCATCAGAGAATACTACAAACACCTCTACGCAAATAAACTAGAAAATCTAGAAGAAATGGATAAATTCCTCGACACATCCACCCTCCCAAGACTAAACCAGGAAGAAGTTGAATCTCTGAATAGACCAATAACAGGATCTGAAATTGTGGCAATAATCAATAGCTTACCAACCAAAAAGAGTCCAGGACCAGATGGATTCACAGCCGAATTCTACCAGAGGTACAAGGAAGAGCTGGTACCATTCCTTCTGAAACTATTCCAATCAATAGAAAAAGAGGGAATCCTCCCTAACTCATTTTATGAGGCCAGCATCATCCTGATACCAAAGCCTGGCAGAGACACAACCAAAAAAGAGAATTTTAGACCGATATCCTTGATGAACATTGATGCAAAAATCCTCAATAAAATACTGGCAAACCGAATCCAGCAGCACATCAAAAAGCTTATCCACCATAACCAAGTGGGCTTTATCCCTGGGATGCAAGGCTGGTTCAACATATGAAAATCAATAAATGTAATCCAGCATATAAACAGAACCAAAGACAAAAACCACATGATTATCTCAATAGATGCAGAAAAGGCCTTTGACAAAATTCAACAATGCTTCATGCTAAAAACTCTCAATAAATTAGGTATTGACGGGACATACCTCAAAATAATACGAGCTATCTATGACAAACCCACAGCCAATATCATACTGAATGGGCAAAAACTGGAAGTATTCCCTTTGAAAACTGGCACAAGACAGGGATGCCCTCTCTCACCACTCCTATTCAACATAGTGTTGGAAGTTCTGGCCAGGGCAATTAGGCAGGAGAAGGAAATAAAGGGTATTCAATTAGGAAAAGAGGAAGTCAAATTGTCCCTGTTTGCAGATGACATGATTGTATATCTAGAAAACCCCATTGTCTCAGCCCAAAATCTCCTTAAGCTGATAAGCAACTTCAGCAAAGTCTCAGGATACAAAATCAACGTACAAAAATCACAAGCATTCTTATACACCAATAACAGACAAACAGAAAGCCAAATCATAAGTGAACTCCCATTCAAAATTGCTTCAAAGAGAATAAAATACCTAGGAATCCAACTTACAAGGGATGTGAAGGACCTCTTCAAGAAGAACTACAAACCACTGCTCAATGAAATAAAAGAGGATACAAACAAATAGAAGAACGTTCCATGCTCATGGGTAGGAAGAATCAATATCGTGAAAATGGCCATACTGCCCAAGGTAATTTATAGATTCAATGCCATCCCCATCAAGCTACCAATGACTTTCTTCACAGAATTGGAAAAAACTACTTTAAAGTTCATATGGAACCAAAAAAGAGCCCGCATCGCCAAGTTAATCCTAAGCCAAAAGAACAAAGCTGGAGGCATCACGCTACCTGACTTCAAACTATACTACAAGGCTACAGTAACCAAAACAGCATGGTACTGGTACCAAAACAGAGATATAGATCAATGGAACAGAACAGAGCTCTCAGAAATAATGCTGCATATCTACAACTATCTGATCTTTGACAAACCTGAGAAAAACAAGCAATGGGGAAAGGATTCCCTATTTAATAAATGGTGCTGGGAAAACTGGCTAGCCATATGTAGAAAGCTGAAACTGGATCCCTTCCTTACACCTTATAGAAAAATTAATTCAAGATGGATTAAAGACTTAAATGTTAGACCTAAAACCATAAAAACCCTAGAAGAAAACCTAGGCAATACCATTCAGGACATAGGCATGGGCAAGGACTTCATGTCTAAAACACCAAAAGCAATGGCAACAAAAGCCAAAATTGACAAATGGGATCTAATTAAACTAAAGAGCTTCTGCACAGCAAAAGAAACTACCATCAGAGTGAATAGGCAACCTACAGAATGGGAGAACATTTTTGCAACCTACTCATCTGACAAAGGGCTAATATCCAGAATCTACAATGAACTCAAACAAATTTACAAGAAAAAAACAAACAACCCCATCAAAAAGTGGGCAAAGGATATGAACAGACACTTCTCAAAAGAAGACATTTATGCAGCCAAAAAACACATGAAAAAATGCTCATCATCACTGGCCAACAGAGAAATGCAAATCAAAACCACAATGAGATACCATCTCACACTAGTTAGAATGGCGATCATTAAAAAGTCAGGAAACAACAGGTGCTGGAGAGGATGTGGAGAAATAGGAACACTTTTACACTGTTGGTGGGACTGTAAACTAGTTCAACCATTGTGGAAGTCGGTGTGGCGATTCCTCAGGGATCTAGAACTAGAAATACCATTTGACCCAGCCATCCCATTACTGGGCCCAAAGGATTATAAATCATGCTGCTATAAAGGGACATGCACACGTATGTTTACTGCGGCACTATTCACAATAGCAAAGACTTGGAACCAACCCAAATGTCCAACAACGATAGATTGGATTAAGAAAATGTGGCACATATACACCATGGAATACGATGCAGCCATAAAAAACGATGAGTTCATGTCCTTTATACGGACATGGATGAAACTGGAAACCATCATTCTCAGCAAACTATCACAAGGACAAAAAACCAAACACCGCATGTTCTCACTCATAGGTGGGAACTGAACAATGAGAACACATGGACACAGGAAGGGGAACATCACACTCCGGTGACTGTTGTGGGGTGGGGGGAGGGGGGAGGGATAGCATTAGGAGATATATCTAATGCTAAATGACGAGTTAATGGGTGCAGTACACCAACATGGCACATGTATACATATGTAACAAACGTGCACATTGTGCACATGTACCCTAAAACTTAAAGTATAATAATAATAAAATTTAAAAAAAAGATGTCAGTTCTTCCCTATTTGATCTATAGATTCAACACTGTCCCTATCAAAATCCCAGCAGCTGTTTTTATAGAAACTGACAAGGTGATTATAAGATTTTTACAGAAACGCAAAAGACCTAGAAAAGCCAAAATCATCTTCAAAAAAATTTTAAAAACCGAGGTGGAAAACTTATACTAAACATTTTCAAGACTTACTAAATAGCTACTTATCTACTCACTTAAAGCTACAAACCCGTGTGATGTTGTCGTAAGCATAAATAAATCAGTGAAATAACGGAGAGTCCAGAAATAGACACACATATATCCAGTCACTTAGCTGTTTACAAAGGTGCTAGTGCAATTAAATTGGGGAAGGAGTAGTCTATTCAACAAATGATGCTAGAGCAACTAGATGTCTAAATGGAAAGAAAGAAACCTTGGCTCTATCTGTATCATGGCCTTAGCATATGATATGCCAAAATTAAGTTAAAATGGAGTTGAGACCTAAGCGTAAAACTACAAACCTTCTAGAGAAAAAAACTGGAGAATATCTTTGTGACATTGCAGTAAATACAATTTTTTAGACAGGATAAAAAACAAAAACACTAACCATAAGGGAAAAATGGGTAAGTTGGGCTTTATTAAAATGTTTTAAATTATATTCTTCAAAGTTATGTTAAGAAAATAAAAGGGCAAACCACAGACTAGGAGAAACTATTTGCAATACCTATAACTTATAATAGTGGCAAGACAAACAACCCAATAAAAGGGCAAAAGATTCAAACAGACACATCATAAAAGAAGATGTGCAAATGACCAATGATATATGAAAAGATACTCAACATCATTAGTCGTCACAGAAATGAAAATTAAAATTACAATGAGATACCACTTAACAGCCACCAGGAAAATGGCTCAATTAAAAACGTATGAGAACCAAGTGTTGCCAAAGATGTGGCACCACTAGAACTGTCATACATTGTTGAGGGGAGTACAGCATATTACGACCCCTTTGGAAAACTATTTGGCAGTGTCTTAAAATTAAATACCTATCTACCATATGATCTAGAAATTCTACTCCAAATATTTATTTAGAGTAAATAATTATATTATTTATTTGCATATCTTCTTTTATGATGTGTCTGCTGGAATCTTTTGCCTTCTTGCTGGGTTGTTTGTCTTATCACTACTAGAAGTTATAGGTATTACAAATATTTGTGATATTTACTTAAGAGAAAGGAAGACTTATATTCACAAATGACTTGTATCATATACTCACAATAGTTGTTTTCACGATAGCCCAAACAAGAAACAATCTAAATGTCCATCAGCAAGGATAAACAAGGATAAACAAATTGCTGTATGTTTACCCAACAGAATGCCACCCAGGACTGAAAAAGAACATACTGCTGATAAACACAGCAACGTGGATAATTTCACAAGACATTAGGTTAAGCAAAAGAAATAAGAAACTTTTAAAAGACTATATATAGGCCAGGTGTGGTGGCTCATGCCTGTAGTCTCAGTACTTTGGGAGACTGAGTCAGTAGGATCACTTGAGCCTAAGAGTTCAAGACCAGCGAGACCCCATCTATACAAAAAAAAAAATTTAAAATTAGCCAGGCATGGTGTCTGTAGTCCCAGCTACTCAGGAGGCTGAGGCAGGAGGATCCCTTGAGCTCAGGAAGTCAAGGCTGCCTCAAGTTATGATTGCACCACTGCACTCCAGTCTGGGCATCAGAATGAGACCCTGTCTCTTTAAAAAATTAATTAAAGAATATATATAGTATGATGCCATTCGTATGAAGTTCAAGAACAGGCTAAACTATCTACAGTGCTAGAAGTCAGACTAGCAGTTACCTCTTTAGGTTAAAAAAAGTTCAAGGTAGGCCAGGTACTGTGGCTTACACCTGTAATCGTGGTGAGAGGTGACAGCGTGCTGGCAGTTCTCGCAGCTCTCGCTCGCTCCCGGCGCCTCGTCTGCCTGAGTTCCCACTTTCGCGGGACTTGAGGAGCCCTTCAGCCCGCCGCTGCACTGTGGGAGCCCCTTCCTGGGCTGGCCGAGGCCGGAGCCGGCTCCCTCAGCTTGCGGGGAGGTGTGGAGGGAGAGGCGCAGGCGGGAACCGGGGCTGCGCACGGCGCTTGCGAGCAGGCGCCAGTTCCGGGTGGGCGGGCGCTCGGCGGGCCCCACACTCGGAGCGGCCAGCCGGCTCCACTGGCCCCCCGGCAGTGAGGGGCTTAGCACCTGGTCTAGCAGCTGCTGTGCTCGACTTCTCGCCGGGCCTTAGCTGCCTCCCCCCGGGGCAGGGTTCGGGCCCTGCAGCCCGCCATGCCTGAGCCGCCCCGCGCCGTGGGCTCCTGCGCCGCCCCAGCCTCCCCGTCGAGCGCCACCCCCTGCTCTACGGCGCCCAGTCCCATCGACCACCCAAGGGCTGAGGAGTGCAGGCGCACGGCGCGGGACTGGCAGGCAGCTCCACCTGCGGCCCCGCTGCGGGATCCACTGGATGAAGCCAGCTGGGCTCCTGCGTCTCGTGGGGACTTGGAGAACCTTTATGTCTAGCTAAGGGATTGTAAATACACCAATCAGTACCCTGTGTCTAGCTCAGGGTTTGTGAATGCACCAATCGACACTCGTATCTAGCTACTCTGGTGGGGAGTTGGAGAACCTCTATGTCTAGCTAAGGGATTATAAATACACTAATGGGCACTCTGTATCTAGCTCAAGGTTTGTAAACACACCAATCAGCACCCTGTGTCTAGCTCAGGGTTTGTGAATGCACCAATAGACACTCAGTATCTGGCTACTCTGGTGGGGACTTGGAGAACCCTTGTGTCCAGCTCAGGGATTGTAAACGCACCAATCAGCACCCTGTCAAAACGGACCAATCAGTGCTCTGTAAAACAGACCAATCAGCTCTGTAAAATGGACCAATCAGGAGGATGTGGGTGGGGCCAGATAAGAGACTAAAAGCAGGCCGCCTGCACCCCGGTGGCAACCTGCTAAGGTCTTGTTCCAACCCGTGGGTGCTTTGTTCTTTTGCTCTTTGCAGTAGATCTTGCTGCTGCTCACTGTTTGGGTCCACATTGCCTTTATGAGCTGTAACACTCACCTTGAAGATCTACAGCTTCACTCCTGAAGCCAGCGAGACCACGAACCCACCGGGAGGAACTAACAACTCCAGATGCACCGCCTTAAGAGCTGTAACCCTCACCGCGAAGGTCCACAGCTTCACTCCTGAGCCAGTGAGACCACGAACCCACCAGAAGGAACAAACTCTGAACACATTCGAACATCAGAAGGAACAAACTCTGGACATGCTGCCTTTAAGAACTGTAACACTCACCTTGAGGGTCCACGGCTTCATTCTTGAAGTCAGTGAGACCAAGAACCCACCAATTCCGGACACAGTGGCACTTTGGGAAACAGAGGCAGGAGGATTTCTTGAGCTCAGGAGTTCAAGACCAGCCTGGGCAACAGAGGGAGGCCCCATCTCTACAAAAAATAAAAATAGGCCAGGTACAGTTGCTCACACTTGTAATCCCAGCACTTTGGGAGGCCAAGGTGGGCAGATCACAAGGTCAGGAAATTGAGACCATCCTGGCCAACATGGTGAAACCCCATCTCTACTAAAAATGCAAAAATTAGCTGGGTGTGGTGGCGCGCACCTGTAGTCCCAGCTACTCAGTAGGCTGAGGCAGGAAAATCGCTTGAATCTGAGAGGCTGAGGTTGCAGTGAGGCAAGATTGCCCCACTGGACTCCAGCCTGGTGACAGAGCAAGACTCTGTCTTAAAAAAATAAATTAATTAAATTAATAAAAAATAAATTAGCCAGGTGTGGTTTTGCATACCTGTGGTCCCAGCTACTCAGGAGGCTGAGGTAGAAGGATTGCTTGAGGCTCAGAGGTCAAGGCTGTAGAGAGTTGCGATCACACACCTCTGCACTCCAGCTGGAATGACAGAGCAAGACCCTGTCTCAAAAAAAAAAAAGTTCAAGCTGTAAACTTGAGATGTGTGCATTTTAATGTAAGCAAAGTATGTCTCAATTTGCATTGTAAATTTATTTTTAAGCCACCTCACTATTAAGCCTTTGATGATTTTTCTGTCACTACTCTTCTACTAGCAAGGTTATGCCCACAGGTACCCCTGTGCTTTACCAATTTTTACACTGCTCAAAGTCCATCAATGGTGAGATTCCCTGCGTCCTCCCTAAACTGCTAACAATTAGTGTCCAGACCAGCTGCCATTTTGAATGGCAGCTACAAGTTCAGCTATATTTGTGAAGCACGATAAGTAAAAATAATCTACTGGAACACTTTGTTGGGGAACTTATGTTCCATATTTTTCCAAATCAGCAGAGACTCCACCTCTGAGCTCTTGTCTGGCTGAGTGATAAAGGCAATCAGATTCAGACCAATGACCAGAATGACCAGCTACTCAACAACAGTGATCATGCAGAGAGGCTCACAAAGCAAGGTTGTTTAAGAAACCCACACAATGCACAATGCTTGGTGGTCACTGACCTTTTCAAAGGTTTATGGAATTATTTGAGACTTGGAAGAAATAATTGTACTGTCCCAAAAACTTACAAAATGAAAGTTATAAATGTTTAATTAAATGTCTACAAAATGTATTATGTTAGTCAACTAAAACCTACCTCAACATATATATGTAAATTATACTAAATGTGCCATATGGCCACATTTTAACATGTTTGGTGTGAGGTAGGACGAGGCATCCAACACAGATTTGTCTTAATTGCATGAAGATCAGGAAAACGTGGCCTTGCTTGCATGTCATATGGTAGCTTTTCTGTTAAGTCTAATAAGCTCCTCCTTTTTTTGTGGACAGAGGTTGCAATTGCTTCCTTCGTTTCTGGAACCATAAGGGAAGTCAGCCTACATGGTCCTAGCAACCAAAAGCCCAAACTCTTGAAGAAAGAATCTTAGACAACAAGGCAGGAGAAACAGCCATCTGGTACCAGTTAGAACCTTTCCTTTCGTGAGACCCCCTCAGCCTGTGACACATTTGGAGTCACTTTATTTCTTACTCTGCTTGCCCTGTGTGCCATCCCAAGATGTCAACTAATAGTTTCTGGGGTCACAGATCCCAGAAAATTCCTGGAACGTAAGTCATTTGAATGTGTGCTCACTGCGTTTTTTTGTTTGTTTTTTGTTACCACTGACCTTCAGGATGGAGTGGAAAGAATATTCTTTTGGAATGGAAAATATATGTGCTTAGGAGTTACCCAGACCTGCATCATTCATGTTTTGGTCATCATTTAGCAGTGGTTGGAAACAGCGCTGGGCTGGAGTGGGGGGTGGTTTTGTCCAGGTTCTACCACTTACGGGCTTTGTGACCTCACATAAATCTTTTCTCTCTGAGCCTCAATTATCTCATCTGTGAAATGGAAGGAAGAACCCCAGTTTCACAGAGCTGCTGGCATGAGAATTAATAAGGTATGCATATCATGATATTAGCACAATGCCTGGCATGTAGTGAATGCTGTTAACACTGTCAGACAGAAAGAAAGTTAATGGTTGCCAGGGGCTGGAGATGGAGAGTGACTGCTGAAAATGGTTATGGGGTTTCCTTTGGAATGATGAAAATGTTCTAGAACTAGGTATTGGTGATGGTTGCGCCACATTGTGAATATACTAAATGCCATTCAATTGCACGCTGTAAGGTGTTTAAAATGATCAACTTTACATTACATGTATTTTACCACAATGAAAGAAAAATAACTGGTAGACCGTCTTTTCTACCCCATAGGGTGAGTGTGGAGGAGGAGGAAATTAGGATCTGGCCTGAATCCCTCCCATAAGGGCAGGAACTGAGAATCAAGACAAGAGCAGATCCTTGAGCATCAGCCTGGTGAAGGAGGCAGAGCTTGGGTTGGGGCCTCACTGAGTGTGGCTCACTTGGTGAGGGAAGGGGTAAGGGCAAGTGGGCAGCAGGCAGGGAGAGAGATGGCACTGCTTTGAGATTTCAGATAACCAGTTATATGCAGTGAACGTCACTGAGGATGCAGAGTG
Organism: Homo sapiens; assembly: GCF_000001405.40. Lineage (NCBI taxonomy): Eukaryota > Metazoa > Chordata > Mammalia > Primates > Hominidae > Homo > Homo sapiens. The sequence continues at coordinate 122,402,607 of NC_000009.12, read as the reverse complement.
TGAGTCATAGATTAGAAAGGAGACAGCAAGCGTGGAAAAAGTGAGTCATGGGGAGAGGAAAGAAAACGTCACTCATCTAAAGAGGAAAAGAATGACCAAAGGCAGCATGATACAGTGCAGAGGGCTCCCTCTGAGGCTTATGGATAGAATCATCTGGAAGTGCATCAATATCACCAATGCCTACCACCCTCCACTCCCCCATCCCTACTGTGATTCTGGTTCTAGATGATTTGGACAGGGCACATGGTGGGAAAAGGCCACGCTTTGGAATTTCATGTGACCTCCTACCACTTTGTAGCTGTATGACTCCAGACAGGTCACCTAATTTTTCTGTGTCTCAATTTCATCCTTTGTGAAACAGGAAAACCTACCTACAAAATTGTTAGGAGGAGTTAATACAATAGGCAGGTAAAATACATGCCCCAGAGTAGATGTCTGATAAATATATGCTCCCTTTCTCCTTCTCTAATGGTACGTGTACCCTCGTGAATCCACTTTCTCTTTCCATCAGTCCATGAAGCAAGAGAAGACACAAAGGGGAATTTTGAATAGAGAACTGGAACCATTTCCCATAATAAGTGTATGTAAAGATGATGTTTTAATTACAGCCCTCATTATAAGAGTTAAAATCGGCCTGGCGTGGTGGCTCATGTCTGTAATCCCAGCACTCTGGGAGGCCGAGGTGGGCGGATCACGAGGTCAGGAGATCGAGACCATCCTGGCTAACACGGTGAAACCCCGTCTCTACTAAAAATACAAAAAAATTAGCCAGGTGTGGTGGTGGGCACCTGTAGTCCCAGTTACTCGGGAGGCCGAGGCAGGAGAATGGCGTGAACCCGGAAGGTGGAGCTTGCAGTGAGCCAAGATCGCACCGCTGCACTCCAGCCTGGGCGACAGAGTGAGACTCCATCTCAAAAAAAAAAAAAAGAGTTAAAATCTACCATAGAGGGTAGTTTTATTCATAATAGTAAAAAAAATGGAAACAACCCAAATGTCCATCAACAGAAGACTAGATAAATCAACTGTGATATACGTTAATTACACAGCAATAAAAAGATCAAACTGCTGATATACACAGCAACATGGATGTCAACAAACGTTATGTTGAGCAAAAGAAGCCAAACACACAAAAAAGTACATACTTTATGACGCTATTCAAATGAAGTTCGTGAGTAGACAAAATTAATCAAAAGTGATAAAAGTGAAAATAGTGGTTACCTTTCAGTGGTTTTTGACTGGGAAGGAGCACAAAAGAGCCTTCTAGAGTGCTGGGAATGTTCTATATCTTGATTTCTATGGCGGTTTATACATGTGTAAAAATATGTCGAATTATGCACTTAAGATTAATGCTCTTTGCTGTATGTTATACTCCAGTTGAAGGCAGGAGGGAGACCGACCTGCCACAGAAACCTGCAAGGGTGTACTGCCACATCGTTCTGAAACCCAAGCTGCAATTGTACAAATGGCTCAAAATCCCTTTTGACTAAAGGATAAAGATTGAAAGCAAAAGACGTATTTTGACCAAGTGTGGAGGGAAACCAACTTTGAATGAAACACGAATAACAGATAAGATAGTGAAGAAAGTGCTTCACTGTGATTCTCTTAATAGTACTCAATAAAAGTATCTTTTAAGTTTTAGTATTTCTTTCTGTCATTCACACATAGCTGTTTTAATTTAGAGTCCATTTTTATAGGAAAAGCATGATAAAGTTGAAAAGTGGGTTGTAGGCGTGTCTAACATATTTTTGTGTGAGACATATTTTGTGTGTGGATACATAGCAGGTGTGTATATTTATGGGTTACATGAGATGTTTTGATACAGGCATGCAATGCATAATAATCATGTCAGGGCAAATGAGGTGTCTCTTCACTTTGTTGATTGTTTCCTTTGCTGTGCAGAAGCTTTTTAACTTGATGTGATCCCATTTATCCATTTTTGCTTTGGTTGCCTGTGCTTGTGAGGTATTACTCAAGAAATCTTTGCCCACTTCAATGTCCTAGAGAGTTTCCACAGAGTTTTTGCATAGTGGTTTTGTAGTTTGAGGTCTTAGATTTAAGCTTTTAATTCAAAATTTGATTTTATTTTTGTATATGGCAAGAGATAGGAGTCTAGTTTCATTCTTCTGCATATGGATATTCAGTTTTCCCAGCATCATTTATTGAAGATTAACTATCCTTTTCCCAATGTATGTTCTTAACAACTTTATCAAAAATGAGTTCCTGTAGGTGTATAGATCTATTTCTGGGTTCAGTAGTCTGTTTCATTAGTCTATGTGTCTGTTTTTATGCCAGTATAATGCTATTTTGGTTACTATATCTCTGTAGTATAATTTTAAGTCAGGTAATGCGATTCCTCCAGTTTTGTTCTTTTTGCTTAGGATAGCTTTGGCTATTCTGGGTCTTTCGTGGTTCTCTATAAATTCTAGGATTGTTTTTTCTGTTTATATGGAGAATGTCATTGGTATTTTGATAAGGATTGTATTGAATCTATAGACTGCTTTGGGTTGTATGGACATTTTAACAATGTTGATTCTTCCAATCTATGAATATGGAATATTTTTCTGTTTTTCGTGTGTCCTCTCCAATTTCTTTCATAGTGTTTTATTTTCCATTGTCAAGATCTTTCACTTCTTTGATTAATTTCCAGGTACTTAATTTTATTTGTAGCTATCGTAAATGGGATTACTATTTTCAGAATTTTCACTGTTTTCACATAGAAATGTTACTAATTCTTTCTTCTCTTTGATCAATTCTGCTATTAAGAGACTCTGATGCATTCTTTAGTAGTCAGTTGCATTTTTCAGCTTCAGAATTTCGGCTTGATTCTTTTTAATTATTTCAATATCTTGGTTAAATTGATCTGATAGGATTCTGAATTCCTTCTCTGTATTATCTTGTATTTCACTGAGTTTCCTCAAAATAGCTATTTCAAATTCTCTGTCTGAAAAGCCTAGAGGTGTAGATATATGACCTCTCTCTGAGAGATAGAGAAAGATCACATATTTCTATCTCTCTAGGATAAATCCCTGATGACTTATTTAGTTTGTTTAGTAAGGTCATGTTTTCTTGAGTGGTATTGATGCTTGTGGATGTTCACTGGTGTCTGGACATTGAAAAGTTAGATATTTGTGGTAGTCTTTGCAGTCTGGGCTTCTTGGGAAAGCCTTCTTGGGAAGGCTTTCCAGGTATTCGAAGGGACTTGGGTGTTGTCATCTAAGTTTTTGGTCACCATAGTCATATCAGCATTAGGAGGCACCCCAAGCCCAGTAATGCTGTGGCTCTTGCAGACTTGTAGAGGTACCACTTGATGGTCTTGGATAAGATCTGGAAGAATTGTCTGGATTACCAGGCAGATATTCTTGTTCTCTTCCCTTACTTTCTCCCAAACAGACAGAGTCTCTCTGTCTCTGTGCTGAGCTGCCTACAACTGGGGGAGGGGTGGCACAAGCACCCCTGTGGCCACCACCACTGGGACTGCACTAGGTCAGACCTGAAGCCAGCACAGCACTGTTTCTTACCCAAGGCCCATTATAACCACTACCTGGCTACCACCACCTTTGTTTACTCAAGGCTTTAGGGCTTTGCAGTTAGCAGGCAGTAAGTCAGCCAAGCTTGTGTCCTTCCCTTCAGGGCAGCGAGTTCCCCCAAGCAGGTCCGTAGATGCTGTTTGGGGACCAGAGCCTGGAGTTGAAAATCTTAAGAATCTGCCTTGTGTTCTATTCTACTGCAGCTGAGCTGCAGACAAAGCTACAAGTCAAGTCTTTCCCACTCATCCCTCCCCTTCCCACAGGCAGAGGAGTCTCTCCCCATGGCCAGCACCACCACAGGCCCATGGGGAGTACTGCCTGGCTACCACCAATGTTCACACAAGGCCAAGAGCTCTTCAGGAAGCTTGTGGTGAATGCTGCCAGACCTAGGACTCACGTATCAGGGCAGTGGTCTCCCCTCTGGCCCAGGTCAGGTCCAGAAATGCTGTGCGAGAGCCAAGGCCTGGAATCAGGGATACTGAGAGCCCACTTGGTGCTCTGCCCCACTGTGGCCGAGCTAGTACCTAAGCTGCAAGATGAAATCCCCTTTACTTTTCCCCCTGCTTTTCTCAAGTAGAAGGAGTCTCTCCCCATAGCCACCACAGCTGGGAATGTGCTGGGTCACACCTGAAGTCAGCACATCTCAGAATCTCACTCAAGGGCCATAGTGTGTACTACCTGGCTACTGCTGCTGATTATTCAGGGCCCAAGGGCACTTTAGTCAGCAGGTGGTGAATACTATCAGGACTAGATCCTTTCATTCAAGGCAACAGGTTCCCTTCTGCCTTATATGGCCCATATAAGCCCAGGATATGTCTAGAAATGTCATCTGGAAGTTAGGTCCTGGAATGGGTGCCTCAGGACTCTGCCCGGTGCCCTAAACTACTGTGGCTGAGCTGGTATCCAAGTGGCAAGACAAGTCCTCTTTACTCTTCTCTCCTCAAGCTGAAGGAAGGAGTCTCTTTGAGAGCTGTGAGTTGCACTGCCTAGGGTTGGGAGAGGGGTGGCACAAGCACTCCCTTGGCTATCGCAGCAGGTCACATGCCCCTCAAGTCCACTGGCTCCAAGCGCAGATCAGACTTTCCTAGGAGTTGTAATCCTTGTGGCCTATACTGCCTTTCAAGTTTATTTAGAACCCCAGAGCCCTTTAGCCCATTCAGCAACTGGGATGGATGCTTCCCCTCTGGCTAGGGCTGATCTAAATTCTCCCTCATGGGTATTAGCTGAGTTCTGCCTGGTGTTGCTTTCCAGTGTAACAAGGCAACACTGAGTTCTAACACAAAGTCCTACAACCACTACACTCTCCCTACACAGATTCTCTGTGCCATGTGGCTGCTGCCAGGGATCGGGGAGGGATGGCTCTGGCAATTCAAGACCATCCTTCCTACCCTCCTCAGTGCCTCTTTCAGTAATATAAAGTTAAAACCAGGTACTACAATCATTCACTTGAATTTTGGTTCTAATGAAGGTGCATTTTTTGTGTAGACAGTTGTTAAATTTGGTGTTCCTGTGGGGAAGACAATTGGTAGAAGCTTCTATTCTGCCTTCTTGCTCTGCCTCCTGCGTTTCTGACACTTTTTTTAACTCAAAAATTACTAAAAGAGTGGACTGTGTGTACCCAACAGTCTTTGTTTCTCTGTTGTTCTATAATTACATAACTTCACTTCTTAAGCTCTTTGCTTGCAACTATATCGAGCTGCTACCAGGTCAACAGTAAGGCCATTGTGATGGTCTTTGTAACATTCTAGGGATAGGGCCCACAGAGGCAGAACAGAACTAAGAAAATTCAGATTCACTGAAGCAGACTTTCCACGTTTCCCAGCCCCTTTGAACACCTTCCCTATGTATGAGGAATTTTCCTTATCATGGGTTCCTCCTTTTCAAGGCACAAACCAGAAAACTCACTTTCCATTCTTTCTTGTAGCTGCAGTACAGACACATGAGCTGGGCTCCACCAATCCGACACAAAATAAAGATAATTTTAATTCTAAGTAGAGAAAAGAGAGGAAGCAAGTATCACACAGATTCCATTTTCCAGCAAAAGTGGCTGTAGAAGCAGCCTGTTTTGGAAGGCAGCAGTAGTGGGGTTTGGGCAGCAAAGGTGTCATTTGAGATGCTGTGTCCATGGCAGTAGTAGAGGCATCTCCACTGGACAGTGGCCACCATTCCTAGGTGCAAACCCTCCAAGCCTAATTCCCTGGTCCTCCCAGTGGCTCCATGAGCTATGTAATGTCCTATAATAAATTCCTTCCTGCTTATACAGGCTAGAGAATGTTCTGTTGTTTGCATTGAGAGTCCTGAATGAATCACCCATTGTATTAGTCGGGGTTCTCCAGAGAATTAGAACCAACAGAATATATGTATATTATTATTATTATTATTATTATTATTATTATTTGATTTCCAATAATCAAATAATACAGTGGTTTGTGTATTATTTGATTATTGGAACTTGAATAATAATATACATATATTGGTTACACGTGTAGGATGTGCAGGTTTGTTACACAGGTAAACGTGTGCCATGGTAGTTTGCTGCACAGATCATCCCATCAGCTAGGTATTAACATTAGCTATTCTTCCTGATGGCCCACCTCCCACCCTCCGACAGGCCTCAGCATGTGTTGTTCCCCACCATATGTCCACGTATTCTCATCATTCATCTCCCACGCATAAGTGAGAACATGCAGTATTTGGTTTTCTGTTCTTGTATTATTAGAGAGATAGAAATATATATATATATATATATTCAGTCTTGAATATATAGAGAGAGAGTCAGTCTTGAATATATATATATAGTCAGTCTTGAATATATATATAGTCAGTCTTGAATATATATAGTCAGCCTTGAATATATATATAGTCAGTCTTGAATATATATATATAGTCTTGTATATGTATATATATATTCAGTCTTGTATATATATATATATATTCAGTCCTGTGTATATATATATATATATTCAGTCCTGTGTGTATATATATATATATATATATATATATTCAGTCGTGTGTGTGTATATATATATATATATATTCAGTTCTGTGTGTATATATATGTATAATATATATATTCAGTCCTGAATATATGTGCACATATCCTCCATATCCATGGGTTCCATATCTGTGAATTCAACCAAATGCAGATCAAAATATTCAAATACAATAAAAATAATACAAAGAAAAAATACAGTATAACAACTAGCATTTACACTGTATTAGGTATTATAAGTAATCTAGAGATGATTGAAGTTATACAGGAGATTGCACATAGGTTATATGCAAATACTATACCACTTCATATAAAGGACTTGAGGAACCACAGATTTTGGTATCTGTAGAGATCCTGAAACAAATCCCCCACAAATACCAAAGGATGGCTGTATATAGCTTTATTTTTAGAAATTAATTCACACAATTGTTGGGGTTGGCAAACTTCAAATCCATAGGGCAGACTAGCAGGCTGGAAACTCAGGCAGGAGTCGATGGCTATAGTCTTGAGGCAAAGTTTCTTCTTTTCCAGGAAACTGCAGTGTTTGTTCTTGAGGCCTTTCAACTAATCAGGTGCAGCTCACCCAAATTATTTAAGTAATCTCTTTCACTTAAAGTCAACTGATTGTAGATGTTAATCACATCTACAAAATACCTTCACAGCCACACCTAGATTACTGTTTGATTAAATAACTGTGTGCTATAGCCCAACCAAACTGACAAATAAAACCAACCATCACATCCACCAAATCAAAACTCCAGGAACAAATGTTTAAATTACAAGCATTAAGATTCTTCACTCTGAAGAAGCTTTCTTGGTGCATTTAGCCTGTTTCCCTTTGCAAAACTTTCATGTGCAGTTGTCAATACTAAGCAAAGTCTACCTAATCTAGGCACTTGCATTTAAGAGAGGAATACCTCTGGAACCCATCCCATCCTTCCACCCTCAAAGCCCTTCCCCTAGCCCCAGCTGCCATCAGCTCCTGGTTGGACCACGGCTGCAGCCTCCTCCGTTCTGCCAGCTTCCTGTCCTTCCTGCTCTGCCCTGTCATCCACCCTTCTCGAGGGTGCTCTTTCCAAAACACTTGTCTGATTGCATCTTCACTGATTAAAAGTCCCTCCAGGCCATTAAAGTGCTTGTGTCACTCAGCCCAGCAGCCATAAAGGCTTGATTACAAGCAACAGACACAAACTCCAACTGATTTAAGCAAAAGAGGAATTCCTGGAATAGGCCACCGGATGGAAGGAAAAGCTAAAGTCTTGAGAAGGGCAGGGATCCAGGCTGCCCTGGGGATCTCGGAAGCAGGAACAAATGGACCATCTTGTCAGAGCCAGCTGTGGGGATGAGTCAGAGTCAGTGATCTCAGTCTCCACGGGCCAGTTTTTAAGGAGAGGGTGTCTGATTGCCCAGGATTGATTCACAGGCCCACCCCTTGGCCAGAATGCACCCCTGATAGAACCACCAAGACTGAAATTAATAAGAAAGGAGAGGATTCTCAAGCAAAGTAAGAGGTATTAGCAGAAGAGGGGAAATAGAATCTGCAAGAAAGGACAGGACACAAGCTCTTCATGGAGACTTCCAGCACCCGAAGGATCTTTCTACGTCAGAGCAACTGCAAGAGCAGGGAAGGATTGCATTCCCTGCATTCAGCAGAGGCCAGAAGGAATGATGGGAGCAGTTTCCAGCCAACTAAGGAGAAACAGGAGTTTCTGGACCATAAGACAGGAGACTTAACCCCAAGGACTGTCAGACCGAACTCTAGTTTCCCCTGTTGTTTCTGGGCCATAGCTCTTCCTGAGAAATACTAAGCCCAAAGTGTGGATCATGAAGAACCTTCCCTCAACCCCTCATCTTACCCCTCTGTCCTCTCTCTCTGCTGCCTACAGAGGTCCTGAGAAAAGGGTCTCAGAGCTGGAGTGGAGGGCTGTCTGCCCTGAGATCACTGCTGTTGGGTCTCTGGTCTTGAGAGCGCAATAGGGGAGGACAGAGCAGAGGGGGTTAGAAGGGAAGTCACACTCACCTTGTATATATCTTATTTCATCGTTTCCTTATTTATGGTCTGTTTGTCTGCCACTGGAGTGTGAGCTCCATAAGGGCAGAACCTTGTCTGTATTGATTACTCACTGCTGTGTCCCCACACCTGTTACAGGAACTGGCACATAGTAAACACTTAGGAAAATACATATTTGGGACTGAATGAGTAGCCTGAATATCAGGTGGAGGCTACACTCCACCATTCTGTCTTTGACCCTGAGCCAGACAGGCAAGATCAGGCCTGGAACTGAGTCAAACCAGGAATCAAGAGGAGCACAAGCTCTGGACTCAGCCTGCGTGAGGTGTGTCACTCGACCACTCTGAGGCTGCTTCCTTGGTTTTGAAATGGAGATTATACCACGCACTTCACACTGTTGGTGTGAGAACAAATGAGAATTAAAAGCGTGAAATTGGAACACAGTATGTGCTCTCCTCCCCGGGTGCCCCCTCTGTTGTATGCTCTGTAAGGGAGGAAGTTGTTTTAATCAGATGGTGGGAACTGAATGTTATATCTTCCAGGTCTGGGGCAATGGGTATTTTAAGAGAGCTTCCTGAAAAGGGCAGTGCCTGGCCCGCAGGGAGAAAGGAAGTACCAGTGGTAGCATGTCTATACAGTGATGGGCCCAAGGATCCCAGCAGAAAGTCTCATGCTGCAACCTCTAGCACGCCCAGCCATGGCTACAAGAAAGGCTAGCCATGTTCCAGTGTTGCCTCTGCTTTAGAGGATGGGACCAAAAGAGATATATAACAGGTAACTTTAGAAAGCGAATTTTATTAGCTTCATGAGAAACAGCTGCCATGAGTCAAGACCTGGATGGGGATAGAGCTCTGGTAGCTTCCAACCAATGGCGTGAATACAGCCCACCTGTTCTCTCTACATCCTCAGACCAGGGTCTTAGTGGGGGTCCCAAGAAGAACACCCCACTTCCTTGCCCTCTCAGTGCAGGCACAGATTCAGGGAATGCATTCTTGTTGGACCTTAGGATCTCCGTCTCTATGATATCTCACTGAACAGGAAAATGAATCAAATCCACATTCTAGACAGCCAGATGCTGACAGATTTGGGATACGAGCCACTGTTCTGGATCATCAGCCAGGAACACAACACTTTGAATCACCAATCAGAAAGTCAAGATTCTGGAATGCAAAATAAGAACCCCCTAACTTTCTAGCAGATTTCATCAGTAGCTCCACATCCTAGAATGACTGTGTTACAAATCAACCAGAAATCTGACATTCTAGGTTGTCAACTAAGAACCCAGTATTCTGGCAGACCAAATGAGAACCACTCCTAACAATCTGAAGGGCTAACAAGGAGTTCAGCATTCTGGAAGAATAAACAGAATCACAATATTCCAGATAATGGGTGAGACTTAAAGTTCTAAATGTCAACCCCAACACTCACCATGCCAAACCAGAAAATGAGCATTTAAGACCATCAGCCCTGGCCTCAGCACTCTGGAATGACAAGCACAAAGCTCTCCCCTCCAGAATGCTGCTTTCCTGCCCCTCAGAGCTCTGTGGATGGTCGCTCCACAGCAGGCCCATCATCCTGACTGGCATCCGGCACACGGAAGGAAACGTAGGGACAGGTCTTGGTGTTGAGGCAGACCAGCTTCTTCAGTGTGGCCGTCTTGACAATGTTAAAGCCCACCTCGCCGCCAAATGTGCTCGGCTTCCAGTACTCCGGAGAACAGATGGGATTCCCTAGGAGACCCTTGAGGGAAAAGGGAGCCCCAATCTCTATCATACTCTCCCCAAAGATAGAGTTTGGATGGCACTTTTCAAGAAGCAGTCCAGGGTAGAACTCCAACGCATCAATGTCTCCATACAATTCCTCCAACTCTGCTGCCATCTCCTTCTCTCCTACAAGGAGATAAGGGGAAATGCTAGCATCAGATCCATGATGCCATTAAGGTCAACCTGGGGCGGGACCCTTCCAGGTCCACCTTTTTCTGGGGATAATAGGGACTCCAGGAGACTAACTTGAGCAACTGAGCATGTGCCCTAGAATTTGGCATGGTTGGCACTGGGGAAAAGGGTCAAGAGGAAAAGCACAAATTGCCCCTCCTCAGGGACTGGGTCTAGGGAAGGAAAATGCTACTAAAGAGAAAGTCAGGGGCCTAGATCTGCCACCAAACAGCCTATAACCTTGAGCAACTCTGGGCCCTAATTACCTGATCATCACAGAAGGGAGAATGCTCCCCATCTGGCTTCCTTCACAGACAGATTTCAAGACCTTAGCCTGGGCCAAGCCCTTTTACTACTAGAGCTCAAAGATGTAACATGTCCGAGCTCACACAGAAATTCAGTGGCAGTGTTCCTTCTGCCCCCGGGGACCATTTGTCATGGGAGAGTAAAGAATAAGATGCTGTTCCAGGATCACAAGGAGCTCATGCACAGAATCTGCTCCACTCTGCAATATCCACATGTTCATGTGGCCAAGGGGAGACAAATATGGAGCTTCCCTGCTTCCCTGCCCAGTTCCTCAAATCCATCCTCCACTGGGAACTCTCATGGGCCATGTCACACCTGCTTCAGTGGCTCCCCATTGTATGTGACAAGGGCTGGAAACTTGGCTGCCCAACATCTGAGGATATTGGGGGAAATATATATATATATATATGTATATATATATATATATGTATATATATATGTATATATATATGTATATATATATATGTATATATATATATGTATATATATAGTATATATATACACACACATATATATGTGTGTGTATATGTATATATGTATTGATATGTATATGTATATATTGATATATATGTATATATACTCTATTCATATATATATTCATATATATGTATATATACTTTATTCATATGAATACGCAGATTCTTGGGCACCACCCAGGCTGGTTGAATCAGAATCCGTAGGAGAGGCATCTGAGATTTGGTATCTTAATCAGCTTTCTAAATGATTTTTATGCAGCTGGCCCGTAAGTGGGTACTTAGAAAGCACTAGACCAAATAAAACTCAAAATATTTAGTATGAAAACCAAGATTCTACACGGTTTGGCCCCAACCTCCCATCACTAATCATTCCCACAACATAAGCTCCTTGCCCCAGCCACATCTATGACTGTTTCCCTAGATACCTGCTGTCTGACCTCTATGCCTTTGTACTTTCTTTTTTTTGAGATGGTGTCTCGCTCTGTCGCCCAGGCTGGAGTGCAGTGGCGCAATCTCAGCTCACTGCAAGCTCTGCCTCCCAGGTTCACACCATTCTCCTGCCTCAGCCTCCCGAGTAGCTGGGACTACAGGCGCCTGCCTCCATGCCCGGCTAATTTTTTGTATTTTTAGTAGAGACGGGGTTTCATCGTGTTAGCCAGGATGGTCTCGATTTCCTGACCTCGTGATCCACCCGCCTGAGCCTCCCAAAGTGCTAGGATTACAGGCGCGAGCCACCTTGCCCGGCAGCCTTTGTACTTTCTATTGCTCTGCCTAAAACACTCCTCCCTCTCTTCTCCCACTGAAAATGCCATTTGTTCTCCAAACCCAGCTGAAAAGTCACCTTCTCTCCCCAAGCAGGCTTATTTACCACCCTGGCACAGCACTTCCACGCCCATTATAAGTCTGGTTGTTACACATTGCCGCATGTATTGTCCCGTTCTATTTCCTTGATGTCTCCCTGACTTTGCTGCCAGTCCCTCAAGGGCAGGGACTGCATCCAGGAAACAGCTGCTCACCTACGAGCTCCTGGAAGGAGGTGTAGGGTTTCATGCCAAACCTCTTGCGGTACTCATTGAAGGGCTGCAGCCGCATCTCCCGAGACTCCCTGATGACATCCACAGCCACATGCAGGATGTGGTGGTCCATGTTCCTGCCCCCACCGATCTGCCGAGAGAGAAGCACAGCAGTGGTCTGGGAGCCAGGCCAGGCTGTCCTGGAGCCTGGGTAAGTTCCTGGGACAAGAGCTTCCAGTGGGAGTCCCTTCTGAGCTAGGATGGAGAGTGTTGGGCAGCCTAGCAGTTGTGATGCTGCAGACCTGCCCCGGGCCTGCTGCTGTCATGCTCTCTCAGGAAGCCCCTCTGAGTCTCAGCTTCCTCATTTTTTTTTTGTGGGTTTTTTTTTAGACACTGTCTCACTCTGTTGCCCTGGCTGGAGTGCAGTGGCATGATCTTGACTCAGTGTAGCCTCAACTTCCTCAGGCTCAAGCAATCCTCCCACCTCAGCTTCTCAAGTAGCTAGGACTACAGACACGTGCCACCATGCCTGGCTAATTTTGTTTTATTTTATTTTTGTAGAGGTGAGGTCTCACTATATTGCCCAGGCTGGTCTCAAACTCCTGGTCTCAAATGATCCTCCCACCACAGCCTCCCAAACTGCCGGGATTACAGGCATGAACCACCACATCCGGCAGCTTCCTCATCTTTGAAGTGTGGAATGGGCCAAGAGGACCTCTTTTGTGGCTCACACTGCTCCCCAGACCGTTGAATTACACCAAGAGGTAGTGTAACCCCCTGTGAAGGGAGGGAAAATAGAACTCAAAGCCCAGGTAACCTGGCAAGATAAAAAAGCTGCAGAAAAAGATTCTGATTACTAACAGTTAAGGCGCATTAGTCTAAAGAAAGCTCTGGTGCTGACCAGGCACAGTGGCTTGTGCCTGTAATCCCAGCACCTTAGGAGGCCGAGGCGGGTGGATCACTTGAGGCCAGGAGTTCAAGACCAGCCTGGCCAACATGGCAAAGACTCGTCTCTACTAAAAATACAAAAATTAGCTGGGCGTGGTGGCAGGTGCCAGTAATCCCAGCTATTTGGGAGACTGAGGCAGGTGAATCACTTGAACCCAGGAGATAGAGGTTACAGTGAGCCAAAATCACACCACTGCACTCCAGCCCAGGCAAGAGAGCAAGATTGTATCTCAAAAAAAAAAAAAAAAAAAAGGAAAGAAAAGAAAGCTCTGGTGCTTAGGATGAAATAATAACGTTCATGCTTAAGAGATAGTCATTTTGATCAACAACTATAATTGGGCAAAAAAGAAAGGCATGGTTGGATGAAATAATATGAGCAAAGCAAGCAGAGGATGGTGCCAATTACAGCTTTACAAGCTGTGGGGCTGTTGAGGGTTGAATTGTGTTCCCTAAAATATTAAATATGTGTTGAAGCCCTAACTCTCTGCATCCGTGAATGCATCCTTATTTGGAAATGAAGTCTTTGCAAAAGTAATCAAGTTAAGATGAGATCCTACTGGATTAGGGTGGGCTCCAATCCAATAACTGGTGTCTTTATAAAATGAGGAAAGACAAGTTCAGGGAGAGCACCACAGGATGATAAAGGCAGAGACTAGAGCGATGCCTCTGCAAGCTGAGGAATGCCAGGGACTGTCGGCCACCACCAGATGCCAAGGAGGCATAGAGCCTTGAGAGAGAACATGGCACTGCTGACACCTTGAATTCAGACTTCTAGCCTCCATCTGTTGCTCTGAGCTTCCCAGTTTGTGGTACTTTGTTGCAGCAGCCTGAGGAAACTAATATAGGGACCTTGGGCAGCTATTCAAGCTAAGTTTGAGTTCCCGCATATGTAAAAATGGGGAAGGGAAGAGCATCTACCTGATATGGCTGTGGTCAATTTAAATGGGATAAACTATGCAAAGCTGTTATCTCAGTATTGGTCACATGGGAACCCCTGAGAGGGTAGCCATGGACAATGGTTATCAGGGGAAGCCCTGTCTTATCATCACTCACTCTTCTTAATATCCTGAGAGTCGCCTATAATCCCAGCACCTTGAGAGGCCTAGGCGGGCAGATCGCTTGAGCCCAGGAGTTCAAGACCAGCCTGGGCAATATGGCAAAACCCCATCTCTATTTAAAAAAAAAGAAAAAAGAAAAAAAATCTTGACAGTCCATACATCTCTGCGGCCTTTCTGCCTTGTGCCAGGTACGACGCCGGGGCTTTTCACGTACATCATCATGGTCATTCCTTGAAAACGTTCTGAAAACCATCCAGCCTCACACAAAGGCTATTGTCTCTGTTCATGTCTTGTGTCCCCACAAAGAACCATAAAGAAACCGACAAAGAGGCCATAAAGCAGCCAGCAGCTGCCCACCGGGGCAGCAAATGCTAATTTCAGTCAAATTACCAGAAGGAAATGGAAATCCATGTGTGCCACAGCTTCATGACAGGGTTTAGGGACAAGGATTAGAGAGAAGCAGAGGACTGTGAGGCAACAGGGGAGCCAGAGACTGCGATGAAGCAGATGGGAGCTTCCGAATGTGGAGAAGGGGAGATTGAGGAAGGCGTTGGCTGGGAATTCCAGGGAAAGAGAATGTGTTTGTTTGCTAGGGCTGCCATGACAATGTACCACAGAATGAGTGGCTCAAACAATAGAAATTATTTCCTCTGTCTGGAGACCAGAGGTTCAAGATCAAGGTGTCAGCAGGGTTGGTATCTCCTGAGGCCTCTTTCCTTGGCTTGTAGATGGCTTTCTTCTCCCTACATCTTCATGTGGCCTTCCCTCTGTGTGTGTGACCTAATCTCTTCTTCTTATAAGTCACACTGGATTAGGGCCCAGCCTAATGACCTCAATTAAACTTAATTACCTCTTTAAAGACCTTGTCTCCAAATGCAGTCACATACTAAGGTTCTGGCGGTTAGGATTTCAACATACGAACTTTAAAAGAGCCACAATTCAGCCCAGAGCGGAGGCTTATGATTTAATAAACACCATAGGCGGGCACTGTTACATACATTACCATGCCCTGAATGTCCTTCTGTTCCTCAAACTGCCATGTCCTCTGACTTCCATGCCTTTCACCCATGCCGTCCTCTCTATCTGGAACACAGCCATCCCCTGCCACTAACACCACCTCTTACCCTGGGAAATCTCTATCCCTCCTTCCAATTTCTGCTTGGACATCCCTTCTTTTCCCATAACCCGCAACTCTGGGTCAGATGTCCCTTCCTGACTCCCAGAGCATGGTGGGCTTTTCTACTATGGTTTATAACATACTCTTAGAATTCTGATAACATAGGAGAAGCTCTTAGAACAGTGCCTGACACGCAGTAAGGGCCCTAATGCTGTCAGCTGTCGTATGACTGCCATCACTTTCTAGGGTGGGAGCACTAAAAGATGAGCCAAGAACCACAAAAGTCTTGTTCCCACTACATCTCCAGTACCTGGAGTAATGTCTGGTATTGTGGAATGGACAAATGAACCAATGAACTCACACAGGAATGCTTACAACTGCCCTGTAGAAGTGACATCAGCCCCATTTTACAGAAGAAGAACCTGGAATTTGGACCCAGGTCTGCTGGATCCCTCAGCCCACCTGCCCTCACCAGCACTCCTCTGGGGCTTACCCGGCCAGCAATCTGGCGAGAGAAGGCATCCACCAGGGCCTCAACCCCATAGTCCACCAACATGGAGGTGTTGAACAAGAACTGCTCGTAGCTGTACTCCTGGGAGCCCACCTTGAAGGAGTCAGGCATGAGGGGGTGCCAGTGGTAGAGATGGTTGAACTCCATGGCAATGCGGTTGCGGTATTGGAACTGGACACCGAACAGCAGCTCTGGGTCAAATTTCAGCTGCAGGAAATAGCCACTCAGCTGCTGCACGTACTCCTCGATGACAATCTTGATGGTCTCCCCTGGGCAGGGCAGGATTGGAAATAGGGTCAGCCAAGCACAGTGATTTAGATGCCCAGCTTGGAAAGCAGGCCAGTTCATGAGAGGTGCTTGCTTTTGGTCTCTTTATTGTTGTTGTTGCTGTTGATGTTTATTTTTATTTTTACAGACAAGGTCTTGGTCTGTCACCCAAGCTGGAGCGCAATGGTATAATTACAGCTCACTTCAGCCTGAACTTTCCCGGGCTCAAGCAATCCTCCCACCTCAGCCTCCCAAGTAGCTGGGACCACAGGTGTACCACCACACCCAGCTTTCTTTCTTTCTTTTTTTTTTTTTTTAAGAGATGGGGTCTCACTATGTTATCCAGGCTGGTCTTGAACTGCAAGTCTCAAGCACTTCTCTCACCTCAGCCTCCCAAAAGCCCTGGAATTGCAAGTGTGAGCCACCACACCTGGCCTTGCTGTTGATGTTTAATTTTGTTTGGCCTCTTCCATTTTGTCTCTTTGTAACAGGATGTGAAAATAGAACTTTTGGTCTATTTTGACTGAGGTCTCAAGACAAGAGCACCAGCTACTCCCACATTTCAGAGGGAGGTTCTAGGCCCAGCTAAGCAGGACATGCAAAGGAGGTGTCCAAGAATTGGTCTTATGACCTCCCTCCTGAAGCCCATTAAAAGAAGGTGGAGAGACTACAAAAGATGGAAAAGTGGAGGATTTACTGGTGAGAGCTGTCATCATGCTGACACCCTCGGTGATAGAGGGGGACTTCAAGGAGACCACTCAGAGCTGCTGCAGTGGCAAAAGAGAATACTGAGGACAGAAGGGGAGCCTAGCCCTAAATATATTTCAAAAAACATATTTCCTATATGTTCTTATATAACAGGATTCTTATAAATAAGTTTTTCCTCTGCCCCATTTGTAGCTATAACCAGCTAGAAAGCAAAAAGCCAGGGAAAATGCAAATTGAACATTCTGTAACAAAATTAAAACTGGGCAACTAGATATTGAAAGAAACTGATATGCAGGCCAATTAGCCATTAGACAAATTGGCTTTTGGAAATCGACCTGGAGCTACAGACTGTGGGATCAGCAGACCTGGATTCAAATCTTGGCTTTACCATTTCCAGCCACCTGAGCTTGGGCTGAGTTACTTAATCTCTCAGAATCTCACTTTCCTTAACTGTAAAATGTGTGTTATAATAATATCAGTGCGGCCAGGCGCTGTGGCTCATGCCTATAAACCCAGAACTTTGGGATGCCAAGGCGGGTGGATCACCTGAGGTCAGCAGTTCAAGATCATCCTGGCCAACATGGCAAAACCCTGTCTCTACTAAAAATACAAAAATTAGCCAGGCATGGTGGCGGGCACCTGTAATCCCAGCTACTCGGGAGGCTGAGACACGAGAATTGCTCGAACCCGGGAGGCAGAGGTTGCAGTGAGCCAAGATCACGCCATTGCACTACTGTGTGGGCAACAGAACAAGACTCCATCTCAAATAATAATAATAATAACATCAATGCAATACTATATTAGGGTTGTTGAGAGAAGTAGACAATGAATACAGCAAAACTGCTGGCACAGTGCCTGGCATAAGACGGGGTGTCCATATATGTCAGCCAAAAGTAGGAATACTAAGTGTAGACGCGAGGGGGAATCCCTTTCCAATACTCACATGTCACAGATCAGACTCAGGTTTGCAACCCCTTCCCATTCAAGAAGAGCCCCCTTTGTGATGGAGTGGAAGTAGCATAGATTTTGGTGGCAACCAGACCTCAAGTCTCCATCTGCTGAGTGTCCCTGGAGAGTTCACTTCACCTCTCTGAATCTTGATTTTCACAGGGTAATCATACCCGGCTCATGAGGTTGTAGGGGAGTTAAATGGTGCCCTAGGGTCCTGCCTTTGGTCACAGCTTCATCTCCAGCCAGTGTGCTGGACAGCCTCCAGCTCTCTCAGGTCAAGGTCTTTGCAACGCTGAAACTTCAGAACCAGCCCCTCTTCCCTCTAATGACTGTTCCTATTCCCAATGCCTGGCTCTTCATGGCTCCAGTGAATTAGGCTCTATAATTGGGACCAGCCATGCCCAGTGGTGCCAGAGGTGGGGGAAGGGAGTTACTGGTGACTCAGAGCGAACATGGTCTGGACAGGGATGTCAGGGGCCAAGCTCCCAGGCAGGAAACCATCTGACATTTTAGGTTGCAGACTCGCCCCCATAGGGAACACAAAAATATCCTGTCCCTGAGTCACCTAGAAGCTACCAAACTGCAGGAAGGTAGATACATGCAGGGAAGGGAACATGAAGATTCCTGAAGGCCGGGCAAGTTACAGTTTGACCCTGCACGTGCTGGGGACCACAAGTATGCATCCGGGCGCAGCACACAGGGGAAACCGAGACTCAGGGTGGCTAATCAAATGTGCTGAGTCACCCAGCTAATAATCAACCATCACAGTCATCTATTTTCTGAAGGCCTGCTATGTGCTAGTTGCCTTCCCATTCATGATCTCAATAAATCCTTACAATCATCGTTCACCCCAACGTACAGATTTGGAGACCGAGGCTCACAGAGGTTGAGGGGCCTGCTCAAGGTCTTCTAGCCACTAAGCAGAAGGGTGAGGATTCTAATCCCAGCCTCCACCTCTAAGTACCCCCCCGCCCCCAACTTCTCAGGATGGAGGGAATGACCTTCCAGGGCAGGGCAGGTCTGGAGTCCTCACCTATGAGGATGAGGCGGGTCGTCTGGAAAAGCTGCTCATCGCCCCAGGTGGGGTGCTCAGCCTTCAGCAGGTCACACACACGGTTGTGCTCACGTAGCCAGAGCGTGGCATACAGCATGAGCCCAGGAAGCAGCCCAAACACCTCCTGGCCCACAGCCATCTGGCTCTGGGGCGGGATGCCTCGGGGGTAGTGCATCAACACAGGCGCCTCTTCTACCGAGGGCGGGTACATTTCTCCATCCAGCACCTGTGGGATGGGGCCACCTGGCAACCTGGGGTTGGGGGTCACCCACAGCTGCCCACAACCAACTCCCTCCCACTCCTGCCTCCAGCTGCCAGTTCCCCTCAGCCAAGGCTGTTGATTCCACCTCCAAAATGTCTCTTAAAATCAGTCCCCTGCTCTCCATCTCTACCACCACTACCTCAAGCAACCCCCGCTCATCTTCCACTCTGACTCCTTTCCCTAAGTGGGCTCCCTATTTCCACTCCTATCCCCAGACAGGCCAGTCTCTGCACTGCACCCAAGCAAAAAAGAAAAAAAAAAAAAAGAAAAAAAAAACTTAAAAAAAAAAAAACAACAAATCTTGCATCATGAGCTGACTTAAAACCTTTCCAAATACTCTCTCTGCTCTTGGCAGAAAGTAGAATTCCTTAACACGGTCCCCACAGACATCTCCACCTTCCTGTAAAGTCATTCTTACGCTCCATCACTAGGCTCAGCAAACGCTCCCATTTTTACACTCCCTCCAAGTCACCAAGCTGTTCTCCACCTCTAAGCTTTTGTACTTGCTAAACCCTCTACCTGGAAAGCCCTCTCCCATTCTTAGCATCCCTAACTCCTCCTCATCCTTTATGCAACTCTGGGTTTATTTGTAACTTCCTAGGGAAGTTTTACCCATCATCCAAACACTCTAGTGGCACTCACAGCTTCTCCTTGGTGGCAGCTACAAGTGTACCTAATTATATGGCAGCTTCTTCATTCATTCAGTAAATACATGCCAAGAGACTACTACATGCCAAGTACTGTTCTTAGCCCTAAAGATTCAGCATCAAACTTTGTTTTGGTGCTTGCCTAAGATTTGTACGATCCAATATGGTAGCCACTAGCCACGTGTAGCTACTGAGCACTAGAAATTTGGCTAGTGTGAATGAAGAACTGAATGTTACTTAATTTATTTTATTTAGGTTTATCTTAATTTCTATTTGAATTTTAAAACTGATACTTCAGCTATTGGAAAACCTTTAAGTATGCGTGGAACAAGTCGGACATGTCACTCTACTTATTCAGCTGTACATTTTATGAAATCTTAATACAGATTAGATCACTCCAGTGAAAATAGAGCATCCAAATTGAGATGCCCTGTGAGTGTGAAATATACACCAGATTTTGAAGCTTCAGCATGAAAAAAGAATGTGACATATTTTATTAATAATGTATTGATTACATGCTAAAATGCTAATTACCTGGACATATTGCATTAAGTAAAATGTATTATTAAAATCATTTCACCTGTTTCTTTTTCCCTCTTTTAATATGGACATTAGAAAATTTTAACTATGTATGTGGTTCACATTATATTTCTGTTGGACCGTTCTGATTTAAACAAAAGCCCTCATAGAATGAACATCCTAGAGTTTGCCTGTGGTTTTTTGAGGGCAGGGCCCATTAACTATAATGGTCACTACTCAATCACCTGTGCCAGGTATATTCTCGTGTCCAATTAATATTGTGGAATAATTAAATAAATAAATGCAGACTACAAATGTTCATCTCCTGTTGAGCTCCAAAATCCACCTCCCTGGCTGACATGGGAGGCCACGTCTGCTCCTCCCTGGCTTCTCATACCTGCTGCCTCCTCCCAGCGTATACTGTCGCTCCTGGCACAAGCTTCCCACTCCCGTGGTTGGCCCTCTCAGGACATGACCCAGACCCCCGCCCCAAGCAGTCTTTGCCAGGGAAGACCATGGGAGACCCCTCCCTCTGCCCTACCCCCTGGCCCAGCACTACCTGGTACTTGAGTTTCCCATCCTTAAAGAGCCGCAGTTGATACTGACGCTCCAGATTGTCTCCATAAATGTGGCCGAGGTCTACCTGTGGACAGAGAGGGGTTCCCTCAGGTCACCAGGGTGCCGGCCCACTGTCGATGACATACGCGTGCCAAATTAGGTCCAGAGCAGTCCTGAGCCCCTCCTAGGTACTCACCCCATGGCCCAAGGCCTTGGTGAAGCCAGGACCCATCTTGCCAGAAGTTTTGAAGAACTGGTGGGTGAAGTGTTGTGCAAAGAAGGCAAACATGAGGTTGGTGCCTTGGGGGTCAGGTATGAACTTCCTCCTGAGCAGGAAGCGGCGGGCCAGGAGCTGGGCATCTGGCAACTGCTTCTTCCCTGGTTGGGGGGTAGGAAACAGCAGTAGCTTCTCCTATCTGGATCTTGCTGCCCTGGGGACATCTGGGCTCACCAGGCAAACTGGCCCAAGCAGGAAGCCCAGAGTGGCCTCCTCAGGACCACCTCCCCACCACCACCAAGTAACCCACTCTCTACCAAAAGACCCTAGAAGTATTTATGGGTGAAGTGGCATGATTTTTAGAATTTTAAGTGGCATGATTTTTAGAATTTGATTTAAAATACTTTATAAAAATATGAGAGGGGAGAAATGAAATAAGATGAAGAAACTGTGGGTAAATGTTGAAACTGAAAGATGGGTACATAGTTCATTCTGCTTTTCTCTCAACTTTTGTGTATCTTTGCAATTTTTCCATAATGAAACATTTCACCAAAAAGAAATAAAGAAACAGAAAAAAACAAACATGAACTCCCTTGCCCTGAGTCAAGGTAGCCTGTGTTTGCAACTGACTATGCTATTTGCTAGCTGTGTGAATACAGATAAATCATCTCATCTCTCTGGGTGTCAATTTCTCCATCTTTAAAAAGGGGCAAATGATACCCATTTGATACAGTGAATCTGAGGACTGCGAGAGATAATGTAAGCATGGCAGAGAACCAGTGGGTAGAATTTTTTAAATCATAGGTCAGCAAGCTTTTTCTGGAAAAAGCCAGATAGTAAACATTTTAGGCTTTGCAGACCATACAGACATGTCACATCTATTCAGTTTTTGCTATTGTAGCGGGAAAGCAGTCACAGATGACACATAAACAAATGTGTGTGGCTGTGTTCCAATAAAACTTTATTTACAAAAATGGAGAGGTGGGCCGAATTTGGCCTGCAGGCTGTAGTTTGCCAACCTATTTATTTATTTATTTATTTATTTATTTATTTATTTATTTATTTTTGAGACAGGGTCTCACTCTATTGCCCAGGCCAGAGTGCAGTGCCGCAATTATGGCTCACTACAGCCTCGACCTCCTGGGCTCAATTGATCCACCCACCTTAGCCTCCTGAGTAGCTGGGACTACAGGCACACACAACTTCACCCAGCTAACTTTTGTATTCTTTTGTAGACAAGGTGTCTCACCATGTCATCCAGGTTGGACTTGAACTCCTGAGCTCAAGCAATCCACCCACCCCAACCTCCCAAAGTGCTGGGATTACAGACGTGTGCCACCACACCACCACCTATCAGGCATCATAGACTCTCCCCACCCACTACCCTTATCAGATGCCAAGAGTCCAAAAGGACTAGCAGGCTTGCTTGCTCCCCTTAAAATAGGTGTGTCAACCTATTTTAAATGATGCCAATCTTTCTATGTCTGGCATAAAGACAAGTCATCCTTAGAATAAGTATTGAGAGGCCTTCCTTAATTATGTCAGTGTCAAATGAGTTGTCACCCAATTGCCCTCACAGAAAGGAATAGAATTTTTTGAGTTCTGGTAAAGGCATCTCTTCACAATGCATCAAGATGTGAGCCCTGATGTTGAAGGTTCAAGATCAATGGAAATTACTTGGATTAAGATGGCTGACTGGGTTCCTCTGGCAGGAAAAAATATCAAGTACCCCTAAAGAAAATCCACCAAAAGGGAAGTTAGAGGGAGTGATCTGTCAACCGTAATTTGGAATCATCACTCACTGACACTGGGCAAGCATGATTTCAGCAAAGTTGGCAAGACTCAGCTATCCTGGTAGAATAGTCATGCTTTGGGAAAAGCAGCTAACCATATGATGGAAAACCGTCACAGTAGTGCTCTTGAGACCCAAGCAGGGACATGGTGCAAGGTTTTGAACCCAAAAAAGCACATAACCATGAGGCTGCACAGGACTGGCATTCAACAGTGCCACCATGTGGCAGGAACTGGAGTATAGCAGCAGTGGACTGATGAGCCTCTCTTGTCCTCTCTGTACTTGATGCTGAACTGATGGGTCTGAAATGAATAATATCCCAGGTTTTTGGATAATTACAGGTGGCATGGGAAGGTCTTACAAGGAAGACCCCTGCCAGTGTGGCTAAGTGAAGTCTTGAGTAACGAAAGAAAAAAATGTGGCTTATTTGTACCTTACACTGGTGAAGCATGTAAAACTATTTACATCTGTAAAGACCCAAACACAGAGACAGCACCCAATAAATAGCTCACTATTCTTTCCTACATCTCAACTTCTAAGTCACTTCCACCCCGGCAGGACCCAACTGATCATTAGAAAAGGATCAAGCAAAGAGGCACCCTGGAACTATGGAAACATTGGTCTGACTCTAGGTGACCTCAGGCAAGACCCTCTGCTGCCCTTGCCTGTTCTCAGCCCAGGCTCTGGACATGTCATATGTCTTGCCTTGGTCTAGCCATCTGCAGAATTGGGTCAATAATTGTTCTTCGCCTGATTTTTCCCAAAGAGAAGAACTGAGCACCTCCTGTAATCCCCAGGCCCAGCTCCTCACCCCATTTTACCTTTGGTTCCCATGGGTGTGGGGCAATCTTTAGGCACAGAGGGCAGAATACGAGTGTAATAGCTCACGTTGGAGAAAGACTCCCAGCTGATGTAGTCATGTGCTGAGTTGTAGGTGGGGGGACTGGGGATAAGGTTGGAGCGCACTGCAGAGAGCAAAAATAACGGTGACAAGGGTGTTTCCACCCCCAGCTCCATCCCAGTTCTTGCCTCCTCCTGGGTTGGGGCTTATTTTATCAGGCATCATAGACTCTCCCCACCCACTACCCTTATCAGATGCCAAGAATCCAAAAGGACTAGCAGGCTTGCTTGCTCCCCCAGGTCAGGGGGCCCTGCCCCACACCCACCTGTGAGTACCAGGCGCATGAGCATCTCTCGGATGAAGGTGGCATTGACAAACTCCCAGAACCAGCGCCCGTGAGTGAGCAGGAAGTGGGTGAAAGAGGGGCTGGGCCGCAGTGAATTCCGGAGCCAGGTCCACAGGCCAGCTGCAGGGGCAATGGCAGTCACTCAGTTGGTCCCTCCTACCAGAACCAGAAGTAGCCAGGGTGGAAGATGGGGCACTGAGGACAAGGGCCAGGGTGGAACAGAGTAGCACCTATGGGGAAGTGGGTAAGGATGGAACCTTGGGAGCAATGACACATGACAGAGACAGAACCGGGCGTGAGGACAGGGGCCAGGGCATGTGGTGAAGACTCACCATGGAACTCAGAAGCAGGGAGTGAGGGTGGACCAAGAGCGAGAGCTCATGCTGAAGCCAGGTCAGGGAGAGGGGCAGAACCAGGCAAGGAAGGAGAACAGGGCCATGGTCAGAGAGGAGGGTAGGAAGTTAGGGTCTAGGAGAAAGGGCCCGGGGAGCAGAAGGGCTCAAGACGGAAGGAGTGAGGGCTGAAGGCCCAGCTCACGGATGGTGCAGTTGGGGCCGGAATAGCCCGTGCGGGTGCAGTCACACTGGTAGCGGTCAAGGCCGAAGCGGACACAGATGCCCTGGTGCTGGCATGGATAGTAACAACAGGGATTCACTGTGGGTGAGAAATGGAGGTCAGAGACCATGCTAGGGTGGCCTCCTGACCCCCATCTAGCCCCTGATGGGGGAATGAGGGGCCAGAGGCATGGACTTAAGTCGCAGCTCCGTCCTGAATCACTGGGTGCCAGGGCTTCAGGGTTCCCCCAAGGGGACCCCTGTTCCCACCTCTGTGAACATAAACCACCCATCCTGACATTTCCAGGCCCTGCTCTGGAACTCCAGCCTAGCCCACATCAGGCCCCCAGGGGAAGCGCCCCCTCCCTCCCTATTGCCACCAAACGGCGGCAGGAGAAGATTCCCCGGCTGTGACACTGAAAGTTAAGAAAGAGCTGATAAAACTCCTCAGCCACGGGCTTCTAGAGCGTTCACTTCCTGCCTAGTCAGAGTTCAGTAGCAAGAGCAGGCCGGGGCGGGGGGTGGGGGGGCGGTCAGAAAAGGGACGAGGACGAGGACGGGGACTTCTCCCAGACCACCACCCCATGAACACTAGGAAAACGAGATCCCTCACCATTCCTCCATTTCTGCAGAAGGTAGAGAAGAGCAGGTATCATAATGTCCACATTGCAGATGGGGAAATTGAAGCCAGAAAAAGGGAAAGCCAGACCTATCACCCCACAAGTCTCACCAGACCAAATGCCCATCCCTTCACTTCCACTCCACCCCCACAGCCTCAGCAGCCAAGTCTAAGGAAAGAAGTTTTCCAGAACCCTGGGGACAGAGGGTGGGTGTGCAGGAGGAGGGGGACTCCAAGGTCTCAGCTGCCTCAGCCCCCATTCCTGATGGAATCAGACTTGGCCCACATCAGGGTGGGGTCTGGGCTCTAGGATCCAGAAGAAGGTCACAGACCAAGGGAATAGGAGAGATAGGGCTAGAAAATCTCCTGGGAGGGTGCATGGAGCTCTGGCATCCGCCCTGCTGCCTCCTGGAGAAACTCTATAAGGAAATCCCTCTTGGCATCTAACCCAGATCCCTCAGACCACCACCCCCTTGCTAAATCTGCCTCAGTGATTCTTTAGCAGCAAAGTTACAGACTCCTCAGGTTCAGTAGGATCCACCATCACCCCCACCACCCTGTTCAGTGAAGGAAACTGAGGTTCAGGGACAGGTGATAACTTGGCCAAGGAAACAGAACAGAGCTGGGCAGACCAAAAACTCCTAGCGCCTGGCAGGAGGCTCCATCTCTGACCTTACACAGAAAACGCCGGGCTCCTTTCTGCAAACATACTTCCTTATCTGGGCTCAGAGCCAACGTTACAGGGAATATGGATTCTTTGTGCAACTGGTTATTGCAGGTCAAAAGGGTAGTGAAAGGCCAGAGCAGCTGAGGGTGAAATGCTGTCATCTCAGGGTGCTAGGATCAGAGAGCATGACCCTGGGCAAGACCTGCCCCCTATCCCCTGCCCTGGTCTCAGTCTCCTCACTCCTCACTTCACAGCACAGGGCTTGACCTGGGCAGCAGAGTCCTCTTGGTCCCCACTTCGAAGACGGCAACACCACCTCAAATACACACACACACACACACACACACACACACACACACACACACACAAGCAAGGACCACAAGAATCATGCAAATAGTTTTGCTTAAGCCCTGGCAACTCCCCACAGCCCCACAATGGCCCCAGCAGGGGTGTAGGAGGGAGGGGTCAGGGGAAGAAGGCTGGACAAAAAGGCTTTATCAGGCAGCCACAGGCAAACCTGGCAGGCAGGATCCAGGGAAAGGGCCTGGCAGTACCCCAGCCCCCGCCTCCCCCAGCCACAGGCCCAGAAAGGCCAAGAAGCCTCTGGAGCAGCCCCCGTGCTGGCTCAGAGGTCTGGTTCCCCCAAGAAAGGACTTGTCACCCTGCTAGAACTCTTCTTCTTGCCCCTCCTGCTGGCCTGGCTCTCTCACCTGCCCAGGAGCCCCTGTAGCACCCACTGCCCAGCTCCCAACCCTGGCACACAAGGTCCGCTAGGACTCACGGTCTAGTTCTACCACTCTAAGGGCACAGGGGTTAGGCCTCCCCTAGGCTCAATTTCCCCATCCCTGCCACAGCAGGGATCTCAAAATGAACTCCAGAGGTCCGTGCAGCTCCAACATTCTGCGCCAGCCCCTCCCTTAGCCCCAAACCCTCAGCATCTCCATCCTTCATCCAGGCTGTTAGCCTCCTTAATACATTTCCTCCAAATCAGCTGAGCCCACGCCTTGCCTCCCCAAGAAGTCTTCCCCAAATGTCCACACTCCCTCCTCCCACTCTCCCTTGCCCTGGCTCCGGGTTCCAATTCAACCTGCTCTTCTCCACCATAAGCTTCCAGGAGAAGGGACCCCCGCTTCCCTTAAGGCTTTCTCTTCCCCCAGCACAGGCTATGCACACAGTTGGGGCTTAACCAGGTCTGGGATCCAGATGTGGTAGCCAGAGCTTAACGAATGTTTGTGGAATAAATAAAATGAAGTGAGGAGATTGGTCACCTCCAGCCTGACCAAAAGGAGTCCCTCATCTTCCAGGCCCTCAACAGCTGTCTGAGGTGGAGCCGGAAGGCCTCCCGCCATGGCCCTAGAGCTCTGCCTCGGCAGGCAGAAGAGCCACAAGCTCCAGACGCTGAAGCTGGAACGGCTGCCCACACCCTCCCTGCCAAGAGAGGCTGTGCGGGAGCTGAGGCTCCTCCCTCCCAGTCCGGCCCATCCAGCTTCCCCCCTCCCGCCTCCCCCGCCACGTTCTTTCCATAAACACCACTGCTCTGGGGCAGGAAAAGTTCTCCCAGGAAGGACAACAGTGGGCCTGCCGCTGGTGCCCCAAGGTGTCAGGGTGGGCGGAGAGGAGACTGGGTGCCACTAGACTACAGCCTGACCATCACAGCCCAGCCAGAAAGCCAGGGCTCCAGCCGACCAAGTCCACAACCTTCCACACCCACGCTCATTTATCTCCCCAGCACTCCCTAAGAGAGGTAGGTGAGACTCCCCATTGCATAATGAGGAATGTAGGGCCCAGAGAAAGCAGGAGGCTTGCCCAGACCCCACTGCTTTGAAGTTGCGGAGCCAAGACTTAATCTCCCTCCTCCTCCTACTCCTGGAGGTACCCAGGACTGGATTTGGGGAAGGGATGGAAAGGGAGAGTCGCTTTGATGCAGACTGAGGATGACCCAGTTGAGTTGGATTTGTCACATTCCTTCAAAGTGAACCTTGAAAATCCAGAACGAATGAAACCAGGACCCCAGGGGGATCACCATCTCCTGCCACAACCAGATCTTTAGGAAGTATTCGTACAGGAAGGCCTTCCTTCGGTCTAACTTCAATCCTGCATGTTTTCATGCCAACTCAGTTCTATGCTCAGTGGAGGACACCCCTGTTCATCAAGAAAGAAAACCAAGGAGATGCAGGTACCAAGTCTAATTCACTTTGAGTCCCCCATACTCAGCACAGGGCCAGGCACCAAGTAGTTGCTTGGGAGAGCTGTATTAGAGAGTGGCTGCTCTTACTGGCTGTGCATTCTTGGGTGAGTCCCTCCCACCTCTGGAGCCTCATTTTTCTGTATATCCCATGAAGGGGGTTTAGCAGGCGGGCTAAAGGAGGCCTTCCTTTCGACGTCCAGGCCCTCTACTCTGGGTAGAGCCAATCTGTCCCTCTCCATTATTTGTATCAATACAACCCTCCCACAACTGCCCCATCAGCAGAGAACCTTCCCATTTGCTCTCACTGAGTCCCCAAGACACGCGGAGGCAGAGATGATCAGCACACCACGCTGCATGCCAGACACACGCAGCCCAAAGGCCAAGCTGCTAGTCCCCATCCCCACAGATGAGGACTGTCCAGAACTGCCTGGTTCCAGGACCTTTCCAAGGGTTTGGGCAAGGAACACCCCCTAGCCCAAAAGTCAGGGCTCCAGGTCCAGGACTGAGCGTGACTAGGGGACAGGCACAGCCAGGGAACACCAAGTCCTCCAGGATGCAGAGGTGTCAGGCTGCAAGATTGCCCAGTGAAGAGGCAGGACCCAAATCCCCTAAAGAGTAATATTTAGAGAGTCTCTGGGGACCTGGCAGCCAGAGAGAAAAAAAAAAAAGGTGGGGAACCCTGACTGGTTTGGCCTGGGCCCCAGTCCCCACACCTAAGCACCACCACACCAGATCCAGACAACTGGGCCCAGCAGCTGGAAGAGCCTGCTGGTGGGGAAGCCCTCTCCCGGCCCACAGACCCAACTGGTGCTGGCGAGAGCAGGTGCAGGCACCCGGGCAGCCTTGGCACAGCTGGCATCTTGCCCCATGTGCCCGGGTCAGCTGGCCTGGGGCTCCTCTGCCTGGCATGCAGCTCTGGTTGCCAGGTCATGCCCTATCCCCATCTAGAAGATGGGCACTGAGTCAAGTCCAGAGACTAGAGGGGAAGTACTTGAGCATTCAGGGCGCCCCCGGCACAGCCTTGCCTCCAGGCTGGCCTCCATCTCCTCACCCACCAGAGAGGCAAAAGCAGCATTCTCTCCCTCCGCCTGCCCTCTTAGGTGAGTGCAGCCCTCATCTCTTCATCTCCTTTGCCTCTAGAGGTAAAAGACAGGCTTTGGCTTCCTGGGGCAGATGCCCAAGTAGCTTGGCCCTCAGTTTACTCGCAGACTTGGAAATATGAGGGCAACCCAGACCTTCTGCCCCTGCACTCCACCAGTCATTCGTTCTTTCCTAGATCCTTGCAGGAGCCTCGGTACCAGTTTTCTGGCCTCCAGTCTCATCCCCACATTACGCATCCAACCTCAGCCTCCTGCTCCACATTACCCTTACGGTGTTTCCTGGTCGAGTCTCTTAGTGTTTCCCCCACCCGCCACCTCCTTCGAGGTCCAGTCCAAAAGTCATCAGATCCAAGAAGCCTCCCTCAATTCTTCGCACTGAGAGGCAGCTGCTCCCTCCCCTGAGCTCCGCACACCCCTGCTCCCTTCCCTGGGCTCCCTATACCCCTGCTTCCTCCCATGAGCTCCGCACAGCCCTGGTCCCCTTGGATGACAGTCTGTTGGCATTTCTGGCTCCACCATCAGCCTGTCAGCTCCTCCCAGCTCCGTGTCTCCAGGCCCCAGCCAAAGACTGGCATAAATAACCCTTGGGGATAAAAAAAAACAATTCCGTGTAAACATTTATTATACAAAAGGAAACAGAAAAGGCAAAAAACAAAATAGCACAGACCATGGCTCATTGTGCATTAGTGAATGGACTAAAAAAGAATACAGACGGGTGGGACCTGTATACCAAGAGTGCCTGGATGAGGCCAGATGGGGCCTCAGAGGAAGTGCTGGGCTGATCCAGGGACTGACAAGATGGGTCAGCGAGGCAACCTGAAGAGCCCCTTCTACTCCCCACCACCAGCTCACTGTGAGGATTCAGACAAGTGGCTTCACTCCCTCTGGGCCTCAGAGTCCCCTTCTGTAGACTGGGTCTAACGCATCTCTCTGGCAGGGCTGTTGAGAGCACCAAAGAGGTGGATGTCCACAACCAACCTTTGTAAACTTTAAAGTGCTGGCCACATGAGTCTTCCTCCTCCTCTTCCCATAAACCAGACTTTTATTCAACGCAATCCCTTTCCTAGAGCACCCTCCGTCCTCTCTTTGGGTCCCCTAAATGCCACCCACCCAAAGCCCGTTTCAGGAAACTTGGTCTGATCCAAAATCCATGTACATATCTTTCCTCTTTCCCCCACGCACCAGATCCTTAGAGCATCACAGCAGAAAGTGCGGACTCCCTCTGCTCCCTCCTGCCCTCTCTGGGCCTCATTTTAGAGATTTTACACAGCTAGGTGGTGGAGGAAACTATATCCAACTGGGACACATGCTCACACACACGCACACACACAAGCAGCGAGCTGGGGGAGGAAGGTTGGCTGAGCGAGGAGCTGAATTCCTTCACCTGGAACCTGGCACATGCATGGGGGAGGGAAGGGCGGAATTTCCCCATCAACCTCCCCCATGAAACCCAGAGTGGCTCCGGGTCCATTGTGGGTAGAAGCAGCTTTCTGTGGAAAGACCTTGCGAAGTGTGTGGACGCAGACAGACCTGAGTTCAGATCCTGGGCCCACCATGTATTTTGTGAGCTTGGGGAATCATGGCACCTACTGAGCCTCGGTTTCCTCATTTGCTCAATGGGGATCTCTTAAACCCCAGATGAAGCATCCCGGCTCCTAAATGTATTTCCATCTCCCATGTTCTCCCGAAGTCTTCACCAGGGGAGACCTTCTCCACTGGCAATGGGAATCAGGATGGGTTCCCAGACGGTTAGAGGCTGGAGAAAGGGAACTCATTTCCCTTGGTGCCTGCGGCTTCCTCCCAAAGAGGCCCCTATAGGAAACAGCGGGGTTGTTGGGTGCAGAGGCTGCTTAGACATCTGGGGCCCAGAACAGGTGAGGGGGATGGATAGGGACTGTCCCTTCTCCCCAAGTTGGCACCAGATCCCAGTCTGCTGTTTCCCCTGAAAGAACTAGATAGCCCATTAGCCAAGGCCACACCGCCGGGGGGGCTTCAGGGAGCCCCCATCCCACCAAAAGACTCAGCCTCAGTCTTTCTCAGCACCGCGAGCAGAAAGGGGAAGCTGGGCCCGCTGGAGGGGAAAGGAGGGGGTTGAAACCAGGCCAGGGGCGCAAGACCGGGGATTCCCTTGGGGAGGGATGGGGCCGCCTACCTGGCGTGGGCGCCCCTGGGTCCGCGAGCAGGACGGGGAGCGGCGGGAGCAGGAGCAGGAACAGCAAGAACCAGAGCAAGAGACTCCCTGCAGAGGAGAGAGATGAGGGGCTGAGCCTGGCATTCAAGGCTCCACCAGGAGGCCAAGAAAATTCCCCACCGGGCACCGGGGTCGCACTCACGGCTCATGGCGCGGCTGCTGGGGTGCGGGACGCAGAGTGCAGGCTCCTGTGCGTGCGCCTCGCACACTGCCCGGAGCTCCAGCCCATCCCCTCCCCACCCTTCCCCCGGCTCCACCCCCGCTCCTCCCTCCAGCTGTCACCTCGGCTGCCCGCTTACTTCCTCTGCCCAGCCCCGGCCAAGGCATTTTATTAATTAGTGTATGCTCGCCGCTAAAGCGGCTTTTCACCCAAGATCCTTGAAGCACTTACGTTTCTGATGCCTGGTGGCACTAGATATAGACAGGAAACTGAGGCTCAGAGACGATGCTCAATGCTGAGGTCACCCAGGGCTTAGGGACAGAACTGGGGATGGAAGCGGCTCGTCTGAACCACATACCCTGCCCCGCAGAGAAGAAAGGGTCTCAGAGTCCCCTTCTGTAAAATGGGTCTAACGCACTCTACAGAAAAGGGTAGAGAAGAAAAGGGGCTAGAAACAGGGCAGTCTGCAGAGAAGAAAGGGGGCTAGAAATGGGGCAGTCCAGCCTGGCCTGCTGATGGTTTCCTAGATGAGAAACTCACTACTCCTCAGACAGATCTAACAGGAAGGACTTACTTCCCCCATGGGCTGGGCTCCGCCCCCTGAAGCCACAGGTCTCTGCCAGAAATGAAAAGACCGGGCTCCAAACTCCAAGAGAGCCTAGTTCAAATCCAGACTCCACAGCTTACTGGCCGTGTCACCTTGGACAAGGTACTTATCTTTTCTAGCCCTCAGTATTCTCATCTATAAAATCGGCTTAATAGCAAAAACCATCCCAGAGGGTGGTTGTAAGATTCAATGAGGGAATGCACACAAATCTCCTGGTGCAGTGTCCAGCATGTAGTAGGTGCTCAGTTATCGGAAGGCATTTTTTCAAAGATCTCTGAACTCAGATTCCAGGGCTGGCCAGGGTCCATGCTGTAGCTAGACTCACATCCACCGCCGAATTTATAGAATCCCAGCATCCAGCTCTCCTTTTCGCCAGCTCAGGAAGCACCTAGAAGGAGGAAGGAATAGGTCCAAGATCACCCAAAGTCCCATGGTGCTGGCACCCACAAGTCATCTCCCTCAGTTTCCCCAGCACACCCAGCCATCCTGTGGGCCCCACAGTGGGGAAAGCCGGCAGGAGAGCTCAGAGGTTCTTGTGCTGGCTCCTGGGCATCACTGGGTGCAGGGTAGAAATTATGCCAGGTGGGAGAGGTGAAACCTGCTGGGAAGCCCCTCCCCCATTCTCACCCAAGCTGTTCCCATGCTCCCCTGGGACAAAAGCCAGCTGCCCTAGGGAGACAGAGCAAGCCAGGGCAGACCTGGAGAAGGAGTGGGGCATTGGAGGGCCCTGGGGCTCTCAGGGTGCCGGGACCGGCTTCAGCCTTCCCTTCCTCCCCAAATCAAGGGCCCCCTAGCATTTACAGGGCAAGGAGATGGGATTATCAGCAAAAGGGATGGGGACAGGGTGGAGGTGTGGGGGTCCAGTTGTCCAAAGAAAGGGGGAGTTTCTGGTGAGAAGAAAGGAGAGACGGGCTTGAATGAGGTTCCATCTTCCACTCCCAGGCCCTCCCTCCCTTTGGGCCCTGAGCCCATCAAGTCACCACACCTGTGCCTCCTGCTGACTTCCAAGCCACCCATCTGCACTCAAAACAAGAAACACTTGTGTGGCCCTGGCACTGATGGGAAGAGCCTTCACCTCAGAATCAGAAGTGAGTTCAAGTCACTTCTTCCATAGCGTGACCTTAAACAAGCCGCTAGGCCTCACTGGGCCTCTGTTTCCCCATTTGAACAACAGAATGAGCAGATCAGATGGTCTCTGAGGACTGGTCCAGTTCCAGCATGGAGCAATTGAGCCCTCACTGCAGCCAGGCTCTGTGACCAGCACCACAGATCTCAACACAGCTGCAATACAGGAGAGGATGGAGTCTGAGAGAGCAGGCAGGGTGCCGAGGCAGCCCTCCAGGGATGAGGCAGGACCAAGAGCATGGAGTGGGGAGAAGGTAGATGAGAGAAATGGTGGCAGAAGTGCCAGGGCTTGGTGACCGATTAGCACTAGAGCTTAGGGGAAGAAAGGTGCTGAGGACACCTAGCCTTCTGGCTCAATGCTGGTGGTAATATCCAGGGAAGGGGAGCTGGCATGGGTAGGTGGAATTTGAATTTGGGCTTCTTGTATTTGATCCACTTCAAGGAATGAGGAGGATCAAACCTTCCCTGCCTTCTCCAGCTTGGCCCATGGGCCAGCACCCCCAACCGCCCCAGCATGCAGCTGGATACACAGGGGAGAGGTCTGGGGTAGCCCTTGCCCCAGCCCTGGGAAAGAGACCACAGCACAGGGCCACCTTTTCCTGCTCCCTACTGCAAAGCTATAGTCTAAATGCCTAGGACTGGTGTCACCATCCTAGTCCTCAAGATTGTGAGCTTCCACTTATAGGGCAAGTCCACCTCCCATGTCCCCTGGTAGGCCTCCTCTAACATGCCTCCTCCTCCCCCTTCTCTCCTCTAGGAAGCCCCTGTGCCTTCCCTGGCCACAGCAGTGCCACTCCTGATCACATTGTCCCTCTGCCCCCAAACATTATGAGGCTATAAGAGTCCTGGTCACTCTTGTAGCCCCAAGGCCAAGCATAGGATCTGGCGGATAAAAGACATCCAGGGAATGTTTGTTGCTTGAACAAAGAAATGAATGAGTATCTAAAAGAGTAGTGAATGCATTAAAAAAACAGACCAGGTCCAGCACCAGCCTCATCGAAGTGACTGCCAACCACCCATCTGCTGTGACGGCCACCAAAAGTATCACTGCCTGCCTCAGTTTCCCTGCCTTCTCCAGCTTGTCCCATGGGCCAGCACCCCCAGCTGTCCCACAGGCCCAGCTTCACCCCAGGCCCTGAGCCCTTCCCAGCTAAGGCAGCAAGGACCTCCTTCCCTATACCCCACTGGTAACAAGGGATAGGATTTCTCTCTGCATAGCCCCCTCCCCATTATCCACACCAATCACGTGCCCTCCTGCTCACCCTAGCTACAGCCTGGATTGTAATGCTCCTGGAGAGGTCTCACTCCTGCTGGGCCCCACCCACTATTTGGAAAACCAGAGCTGACTCTTACCTGAATCACTCATGGACCCAGCCCCACCCGGCCCCACCTGTGTAGGCAGCTTCTCAGTCAGGCAGGAAGGCTCTGGACTCAATCCAATATCTCTTCAAATCCCAGTCCTCCACCCCACCTGACCTCTCAGTGTGACCTTAAGCAGCAAACTGCCCTTTGTGGACCTCAGTTCCCCCACCTGTAAAAACGTGGTTAATAATGCCACTCTTGCAAGAGTTGTTGTGAGGATGAAGTAAGATAGTCCCTGTGAGCATCCCCAGCATTCAGTAGGAGCTCAATGCTAGTTCTTTATTGGCCCTCGCTTCTACTCCCTACCTGAGCAAGAGGGTTGCATGAAAAATTCCCTTCCTCCTCCTCTTTACCTACTCAGAACCAGGCTAGGGTTGACCATTGGAGGTAATAATAATAATGGCTAATATTTCTTGAATATCTACTATGTGCAGGGTAGAATGCTATGTGTTTTAAATGCACTGTTACATGTGATTTTTCTCAACAACCTTATAAAGTCAGTATCATCACTTCCATTTACAGAGAAAGAAAGTGAGGCCCAGTGTTGAAGCAGCTTGTCCAAGATGCACAACCAGTAAGAGTCAGGTTTCAAGGCCCAACCCTTTTGTTCTGGAATACCGGGTACCTGTACCCAAGCCCCAGCATAACCAACGAGTGTTTGAAGTTAAAAGGAAACAGAAAGGCTCGCTAGGGTGGTAGTCGGCTTGTGGAGCGATGTGTGGGATCCAATTTAAGCAACATAGTTCAGCTGAGAAGCTGAGAACTGAGAGTCACAAAATAATGTTTTGGTTTTGGTTTTGGTTATTTTTTGTCAGGGTCTCACTCTGTTGCCCAGGCTGGACTGCAGTGGTGCGAACTTGGCTCACTTCAGCCTTGATCTCCTGGGCTCAGGTGATCCTCCTACCGCAGCCTCCTGAGTAGCTGGAACTACCGGGTGCATATCACTATGCCCAGCTAATTTTGTTTTATTTGTTTTTTTGTAGAGACGGGGGTCTCACTATGTAGCCCAGGCTGGTCTTGAACTCCTGGGCTCAAGTGATCCTCCCACACTGGCCTCCCAAAGTGCTGGGATTACAGGCATGAGCTACCACACCCGGCCTACCAAATGCGTTTACATCCCTTTCTCATGGAAACCCTCACAATTGCTGGAAGAAGAAGGTATCATGATCCCCATTGTGCAAAGAGGAAAATGAGGCTCAAAGATGTCCGTAGATTATGCAGAGAGGAAGAAAAGTGGGAGGAGTTTTAACCACTTCTGGGGCACTTACCATGTGGCAGACATTATGCTAAAGATTTTTGGTGCATCATCCCCTTTATAACTCCTAACAGCCCCATGAGGTAGATGTTCCTCTTGTCTCCATTTTTATAAACAGGAAAATTAACTGACTTGCTATAGCCTATACCACAGGCTATATATGGGTGGTAGAGCTGGGATTTGAGCCATGGCCTGTATGATTTCAACATTTACAAGTGTAACTCCCTATTACGCTCATCGCTGGTTATCTTGGATCTCAAACCCTGAATCCTTAAACAAACACCCAAATCCTGCCAGGAATGGGCCAAGAAGATAAACAAGCAGGAGACTCTAAGTGGAGAGTCCCCAAGTTCATCTGGGGAGTTTCCACTGCAGGTGCCCTGTCCCGCAGACCTCTCCACTAGACAGCCAGCACCATCTGCTTGGCACAGGATGGCTGAGTGGTCACACCATGGCATCCTCCCCAGCCAGCCCCCACCATCAGTGTAATCCGCAGAGCCTCAGACATCAGCTCCTGGGATCAGGGGACTCAGCCACCTGTGACGGACAAACCAGGGGAAAGAGCCATTCTCTGGCTAGGGGACGTTGCTCAGGAAGTTTATGGGGCTGTAAAATACAAGTCCTCTCACCCCACTTCCTTCTCCACCATAGTTGAAGGAAGAGGAAGTGTTTCCACAACCCTCGTCTGGCATGTGGAACACTCTCCTAATTCTGCTTAGAACATTCAATAGCTCCCATCATCCCCAGACCTCAGCCTGGACTTCAGGCCCTGCCATTTGCTAAGCAGCAGGATATCATAGAAAGAGCCCTGGAATGGGGACCCAGTCTGTCTGATTTCTTGTAACATGACCCCCTGAAATCACTGCATGACCTTGAGCTAGTAACTCTTCCTCTTGGACCTCAGTTTCCCTACCTGTTAACTAAGCTTGGTGAACTAGCCATGCTGAGGATGAAGAGCAGGAGTTTTGGCGTAAGGCAGACCTGGGTTCAGAGCCCAGCTTCAATTCTAGCTGTGTGAATTTGAACCAGTCATTTGTCATCTCTGAGCCTCAGTTTCCTCATCTGAAAATGAGGAAAATAATAGTATTTGTTTCCTGGGACCGTTGTGAGAATAAAATCACTTAGCTCAATTCCTAACATTCAGGAGGCACTCAGTAAGTAATAATTACTGGTAGAATTATTATAATTAATAAGTATAAAATTACTCCAATTCTGTCATTATGGCCCCAAAGGCAAGAAAAAAAAAAAAGTTGGACTAGACGCTTAGAAAGAATTTAAGAGAGAATAGCGGCCAGGCGCGGTGGCTTATGCCTGTAATCCCACTTTGGGAGGCCAAGGTGGGAGGATTGCTTGAGTTCAGGAGTTCAAGACCAACCTGGGCAACTTAGCAAGACTCCATCTCTCTAAAAAAACAAAAGAGAAAGAGAGAATGGTTGCAGGCAAGTGCTAGCTTAGTGTATCAGGAATGCATGTGGTTACATATATCAAAAACCCCAAATATGGAGGCCTAAGCCCAAAAAAGGAGGGAGAATTATTTCTCTCAGATGACAAGAAGTCCAGAGGTAAGCAGCCCAGCCCTGTTGTGGCTTCTCGGCGTCTCAGCAGTGCCATCAGGAGTCCAGATTCTTTCCATCTTTCCGCTCCGTCATCCTCAAAATAGTTTGTGTCCTTGCAGTTAGCACTTCATGCCCATGTTCCAAACAGGAAAAGGTTGGAAAGGGAAGAGACAGCCTCAGGAGATTTCCACTTTATATTTCTTTCACCAGAACCGTGTCACGTGGCCTCACTTGGCTGCAAAGCAGGTTGAGAAATCGAATTTTTTGGAATAGACAGGGAAGGGACAGTGAGTCGGAAATGTCTCCCAGACTCCAGAAAGAGCCTCGTTCTAGCATGAGCTGTGGTTTCTGACGGGTGGCTTCTCTGGAGAATCCAGTAACCAGTGCATGCTGCAGACAGCAGAAGTGAGCAGACTTCTCTTGTCCCAAGATAAGGTCTGGGAATAGCAAGACCACAGTGGGTCAGAGCCAGCTGCTCCCTAGGAGAAGGCCCAATCCAGCCCCACTCAGGTGACAAAATCAGAGACTCAAAGCCAGGAAGGGACTTGCCCAAACAGGCCAGGTATCTTTCCTCACTGTGCTATGGCCTCTTGTAAAGTAAGCGACCTTGGAACAAATCACATAAGAAACAGTGTGACCCAATGCAAGGACACCTCCTCCTTAGAAAACCTACTCCCATTGAACTGATAATTTAGGGGACAAGAATCCACACTTCCAAAAACTCCTTCTGTTCTCAGGCAAGAACCGTAAAAGTCCATTTTCTCAAGCCTTTCAAACAGAACTGGACTGACTGACTCGTCAGTTGCATGGAATGCGCGTTCCTGCTTTAACACTTCATTAATAACTTACCGTCATTCAGCCATATACAGTATAAAGAAACATTTTTGCTTACGTTATCTTCCCTTTTGATCTACACAGCAATTTTTTGATGTAGATGTTTTATGTTTGTTTTGTTTTGTTTTGTTTTTTTGAGACAAGGCCGCACTCTGTTGCCCAAGCTGGAGTGCAATGGCATGATCACGGCTCACTGCAGCCTCGACCTCCTAGACTCAAGCAATCCTCCCACCTCAGCCCCCTAAGTAGCTGGGATTACAGGCACTCACCACCAAGCCTGGCTGATTTTGTTTTGTTTTGTTGTTGTTGTTGTTTGTTTTTTGTTTGTTTGTTTTTCTAGAGACAGAGTTTCACCATGTTACCCAAACTGATCTTGAACTCCTGAGCTCAAATGATCTGCCCGCCCTGGCCTCCCAAAGTGCTGAGATTACAGGTGTGAGCCCCCGTGCCTGGCCAACGTAGGTGTTTTTAGCCCCTGAATAAGTGAAGATTATTTCTATTACAAGCAACAGACACAATTCTAACTAATTTTTGCAAAAGAAGGGGAAGTATTTTCTCTCAAGCTGAAAATCCATAGACAGGCAAGGCTGTATCCAGAAATCATATCAGGTTCTCTCTCCTACCCACCGCTGCCCCTCTCTCTCTCCACCCCACCTCTCTTCTTCTCCCTCTCATCTCCTTCTCCTTTTCCTCTTGTTGGCTTCATCCTCAGGCAGGTGCTCCCCAAGTGATGTTACAGAGGTCTCAGGCAGCTCCAGGCTTACACTGTTCTCATGCCCCAATCCCATATGGTAAGAGAATGCCTGTCTCTTGGCCTTTTTCTTGGTACCAGGAGTTCCTGGGACACTTGTAATTGCTCCAGGGCTAGCTCATGCACCTATACCTGAACCAACGGCTGTGAACAGGAAGATGGAATGTCCGCATGCTGACTGGCCAGTCCCAGACCACATGCCCAGGCGACTGAGAATGGGAGCAGGATGTTCCCCAATAGAAAACTGGTTGCAGTCGGCCTGGCACAGTGGCTCATGCCTGTAATCCCAGCTCAGGGAGGCTGAGGCGGGTGGATCACGAGGTCAGGAGATCCAGACCATCCTGGCTAATACGGTGAAACCCCGTCTCTACTAAAAATATAAAAAGTTAGCTGGGCAAGGTGGCGGGCGCCTGTAGTCCCAGCTACTGGGGAGGCCGAGGCAGGAGAATGGCGTGAACCCGGGAGACAGAGCTTGCAGTGAGCCAAGATCGCGCCACTGCACTCCAGCCTGGGTGACAGGGCGAGACTCTGTCTCAAAAAAAGAAAAGAAAAGAAAAGAAAACTGGGTGCAGTCACCCAAAGAAGAGGGAAGGGGCACGGGACAGGCAGAAACAGCTGATGACCACCAGCACTGCGTTTCTCCATTTGACAAAGAATCCAAAGCTCCAAGAGGGGAAGTGTCTTTTGTCTGGAGCCTCGGAGCTGGTAGGTTAGGAGCCTTACTGGCCCTGGGTCCTGGGCCTGGATGGAGAGAAGGGGGAGGGCCATGTGGTGAGGGCACTCTTGCATGTCCAGAGCCTAGCTTGCTTCAGACCTCCTCAAGAGAGAGGGAGAGGGGTTTGCAAGGATGCCGGAAGCCAAAACTGCTTCTTCTCCATACTTCTTGGTATTTGCTTAAGCAGGAAAAGACCTTCGTGTTTATTGAGCAACCAAGGCATGCTAGATACTTCTGGTACTTCACATACATAATGTCTCCAATCATGTTTTTCAGAGGTGGAAACTGAGGCTAAGAACGTAAAGCGACTTGTCCAAGTCACACAGTCTTGGAATGGTAAGGCTGGGACTTGGCCGAGGTCTGGAATGACTCCAATGCCTGTGCTCTTTTCTTGAATATTTTCTCAATGGGGTGCTGTTGACAATGTGTGTAGGACTGTCCTGCGCAGGGCAGAAATCTTAGCTGGCTAACAACCAAAATTTGCAACCCTTCCTCCGCCCCACATATCCAACTTCCACCCTCAGAAAGCTACCTCTGTCCCTGGATAACAACCTCAACCACCCTCACCAGCTCTGGTTCCTTTCCGTGGGCCCAGGGACTCACATAGAGAAAGCATTTGGCCGGGCGTGTTGGCTCACGCCTGTAATCCCAGCACTTTGGGAGGCCAAGGCGGGAGGATCACTTGAGCCCAGGAGTTCAAGACCAGCCTGGCCAACATGGTGAAGCCCCGTCTCTACTAAAAATACAAAAACTAGCCAGACGTGGTGGCACATGCCTGTAGTCCCAACTACTCAGGAGGCTGAGGCAGGGGAATTGCTTGAACCCGGGAGGTGGAGGCTGCAGTGAGCCAAGATCATGCCACTGCACTCCAGCCGAGGTGACAGAGCGAGACTCTGTCTCAAAAAAAAAAAAAAAAAAGAGAAACTATTTAATAAATGTTTCCTGAATGAATGAATGGAATACTCTTGAGTTGATCAAAGAGGACTAGGTGTGAATCCCAGCTGTACCATTTACTAACCAGATGGCATTGAGCAAGCTACTTAAATCCTCTGTGTCTCAGTTTCCTCGTCTATAAAATGGGGGGCAATCCTAGCACCATCCTCATAGGGTTGTTAGGAGGATCAAATGAGTTAATGCTTGTAAAAGGCTCAGGACACTGCCTGGTGCTTAATAAGGCTTTCACCAGCCTTTGTTAAATGGATGAATGAATGAATGACTATTTATATGTTTGTAAACTATAAACTCTGATTACAGTTCACACACACTTTGGCTTTTGTTATCTTGTTTGATCCTCTCCATCACCCTGCAAGAGAGCATTATGTACATTTTACAGATAAGGAAACTCAGGCAAAGAGAGATGAGATGACTCGGCTAGAGATTTCTGCTTGTTGAACTGCAGTTCCAAAATTTCAGGCTCTGGCTTCTCTCTATGTGTGCTATCCCCACAAATATACATATTTTAAGCCAAGAATGAACAAGAAATGAAGGAGCTGCTGGGATCCTGATCCCAGCCCCTCAGAGCAGCTTGACAGGGAGAGCTGCCCCGGCTCCACAGCTGGGAGGAGTCAGTCTTCCCTCCATCCAACCTGGGGCTCTCTTGTGGGGCTGCCCAGTAGTTGTGTGGGGTAAATGTGGGGTGTTTGTGTTGGTGGGGAGGGATGTGTGTGTTGTGGTGGGGCGGGGTTATGTGAGTCACCAAGGCACCGGGGAAGGAGGAGGCCCAGCCATCCAGCCAGGACCACAGGACCACAAGAAAGAACTGGGTGGTGAGTAGGACGTGCAGCCGGCTGCCCATAGCCACCCACTCGTGAGGAGAGGAGCACCAGCTCTGTGAGCACCCCAGAGACTCCAAACCTGAACCCCTCCTCCAGGCCACCCTTAGGACAGAAACTGGGAGCCTCCTCGGGGCACCTGACACCCAGCACACAGGCGTGACCTCGCTGCTCTGTGATTCCTTCAGTTCCACTGCACCCATCCTGCAAATACTCAGAACATGACATCTTGGCCAACCTCCAGACAGGCCCCGGGAGTCCTCACCTCTCAAGAAGCTCCGAGATGATGGGGTGAGCCTCAGGAACAGAAGACAAAGCACAGAGGAGAGCGCTGGGAACCTCCTTGGAGGGACTCACCTGCCAGATTCTTAGGAGGATCTTAATTCCCAAGTGCTAAAGGTCCACAAACCA
The DNA here is from genome assembly GCF_000001405.40 of Homo sapiens. Taxonomy (NCBI): domain Eukaryota; kingdom Metazoa; phylum Chordata; class Mammalia; order Primates; family Hominidae; genus Homo; species Homo sapiens. The sequence continues at coordinate 122,360,685 of NC_000009.12, read as the reverse complement.
GCACCTGACCTGTTGCCACCTCACTGAGGCCACAAGTTCCATGACTAGGCCTTCACCTGCAAAGCGTCTCTGGGCTGCCCACTCCCTTATCTTCTCACCTCTTCTCTGACAGACCATTCAGCCTACCTTGTCTGCACCCCAGTCTCCTCTGACCCTCACTCTCAGTCCCCCAGCAACCCCCACCACCCTAGCTCATCACTCCCGCTTGCCTCCCCTGCCATCCTTTGGTTGCTGTCACCCTAAACCATCTATGGTTTTCTGTCACTCTCTTGGCAAAAAGGGACACACTGACCTGGGTTTACATCACACTGTCTGTGTGATCTTGGCCTTGTTGCTTCAATTCGTTGGGCCACAGTTCCCCCACTATAAAATAGAAGTATTTTGTGAGTGTTCAATACAACAATGGAAGCAAAAATACTTACCACATATTAGATGCTCAACAAATATTACATTTTCTTTTCTTCAAAGTCTGCTACCTATGAACTGGGTTAAGAAACTGAGAGGGGAGACTTTCTGACCTTTATGTTCCCCTTCATTCTCCTTAAAAAAATTTTTCCAGCCAGGGATTCATCCAAACAGAACTTCTCAGGGAAAGTGAAGATTCTGCGGGATATTTATTCTCCACTGGAACATGCTGTAGCCTGGGAGGCATTTATGACTCACCTTTGGGGTATGTCAAGGGGATATCTGCACGTCTGGGTTCATTTCAGCATTATTCCCAATAGCCAAGATATGGAAGCAACCTAAGTGTCCATCAACAGATACATGGATAAAGAAAATGTGGTGGCCAGGCGTGGTGGCTCACGCCTGTAATCCCAGCACTTTGAGAGGCTGAGGCGGGTGGATCACGAGGTCAGGAGTTCAAGACCAGCCTGGCCAAGATGGTAAAACCCATCTCTACTAAAAATACAAAAATTAGCCAGGAGTGGTGGCGTGCGCCTGTAATCCCAGCTACTTGGGAGGCTGAGGCAGAGACTTGCTTGAACCTGGGTGGCAGAGGTTGCAGTGAGCCGAGATCGAGATTGTACCACTGCGCTCCAGCCTGGGCAACAGAGCAAGACTCCATCTCAAAAAAAAAAAATAGAAAGAGAGAAAATATGGTATGTAGATGCACTGGAATACTACACAGCCTTTAAAAAGACAGAAACATTCACAACATGGATGGAACTGGAGGACATTATGCTATGTGAAATAAGCCAGGCACAGAAAGACAAGTACTGTATGACCTCACTTATATGTGAAATCTTACAAAGTCACTCTCATGGAAGCAGAGAATAGGGAGGTGGTTACCAGAGGCTGGGAGAGGGAGGTGGGGAGGAGGAGAAATGGGGAAAGGAGAGATGTTGATGAATGAATGCAAAGTTTCAGTTAGGAAGAAGAAGTCTTAGTGATCTATTATACCTGCATGGTAACTAAACTCAGTTAATAATAATGTATTATATATTTCAAAATTGCTAAAAGATTTTTAACATCCTCATCACACACAAAAAAATTACAAGTCAGTGAAGTGAAGGATTTGTTAATTAGCTTGATTGAATCTTTCCACAACAAATACACAGATAAAATCATCATATTAGCCAGGAGCAGTGGCTCACACCTGTAAATCCCAGCATTCTGGGAGGCCAAGGTGGGCAGATCGTCTGAGCTTAGGAGTCTGAGACCAGCCTGGGCAACAGAGTGAAACCGTCTCTTAAAAAAATGAAAAGAAAATTAGCCAGGCAGGGTGGCATGTGCTTGTAGTTCTGCTCAGGAGGCTGAGATGGGAAGATTGCTTGAGTCCAGGAGATTAAGGCTGCTGTGAACTGTGATCATGCCACTGCACTCCAGCCTGGGTAACAGAGCAAGACCCTGTCTCAAAAAAAAAAAAAAATCATATTTGATATGGTTTGGCTGTGTCCCCACCCAAATATCACCTTGAATTGTAATAATGCCCACATGTCAAGGGTGGGGCCAGGTGGAGATAATTGAATCATGGGGGTGGTTTCCCCCATACTGTTCTCATGGTAGTAAGTCTCACAAGATCTGATGATTTTATAAATGGGAGTTCCCCTGCACAAGCTTTCTTGCCTGCTGCCATGTAAGATGTGCCTTTGCTTCTGCTTTGCCTTCCATCATGATTGTGAGGCCTCCTCAGTCAGGTGGAACTGTGAGTCCATTAAACCTCTTCCTTTATAAACTACCCAGTCTTGAGTATGTCTTTATTAGCAGCATAAAAACAAACTAATACACATTGTACCCCATAAATACGCATAATTATTATTTGTCAATTAAAAATAAATAAATTTTAAAAATAAAAAAAGGAACCACCTTTGGGTATTTTTTCAGATTACACACACACATGCACACACACAAGTGAGCACACATGCATATGCAATGAAATTCTGATATTCCCTTCTTCCCATGCCATCATGAGCCTCCATTACCAATGAGAGTGTAGAGTGCAAAAGAAAATGGAGAAACACTGAGATAAATCATTTATATGCCAAATCATCTCAGACTCACAGTCTGCTTAGATCTCAGCCATGGACACCTCCCCTAACCAGGACTCTCCTTGCTGGAACTTCATGCCACCTTCCTAAGGCATGGTTCTCCTGGATCTGTCTCCTAGGAGTCTTTTAACTTTCTTAACCCAACCAACCCAACTTAATTCAACTCAACTCAATGCATCTCAACTCTCCTAAATTCAACTCAAGCCAACCCAGTTCAATTTACTTCCACTCAACCCACCCAAATCAAACCTTACACAAGGTCAATCAAACTCAACTCCACTCAACTCAACCCAACCCAACCCATCCCAACACAATCCAACTCAGTTTAACTCTACTAAATTCAGTTCAAGCCAAACCAACTCAACTCATCTCCACTCAACCAATCCCAAATCAAGCTCCACTCATTCAACCAAACTAAACTAAATTTGACCCAACCCTTCCTGACATGACACAACTACGCAACTCTACTCCGCTGTACTCTACCCAAACAAAACCAATTACACTCAACATAATTTAACTCAACTAAACTCATCCCTGCCCAGCTCAGTTCTTCATTTGTATCTCCTCCTTCCTTCCAACAACAAAGACCTTCCTCCCACCTCCCCACCAGATATCCTGTCATTCCCTAAATGACAGAGTAATGCCTATCTGTAAATGACAGGATATCTGGTAGGGAGGTGGAACACAAGAGTTAATGCCTGATCTAATGAAAGAAGGGGAGATTTTTCTTTGGACTTTGCCTCTCCTTGCTCTTCTCCCAACTCTAACCACATCCCCATACATATAATAACTATTATTCATCCCTGACTTTGCCATTTACTGCTACCCTTTAATGAAGCCCCAAGGCCATGAAGCCTCAGGCCTGTGACAGCTTTCACCTCTGCCCACACCACTTCTAGGGAGGTGAAGTCTGGAGGAGATTTAGATTAGGGGGGCAGGAAAAATTCCAAAAGAAGATTTGATGGCCAGAAGAGGGACCACCAGACTGGACACCTTGCAGGGAAAAGCAGGGTCTGAGTTGACCTCCAGGGAGCAGAAAACTCTGTCCCTGGCTTCTCTGCTCCATCCACCTGGCACTGTCTTCCCTCCTTTTTATGACCAGTCCTCCTTTGCTTGCCTTTATCAGCTTGGTGCTCCCTCGCTCCCTCTCTCTCTCCCTCTCTCTCATTATGTCTGCTCTGTCTGTGTGTGGCTGTCTTGGACTCCCCTCCTCTTTCAATAACTCTGTATTGCTGTCTTCCTCTCATTGACTCTTCCCTCTCTGTCTCTGTTTCTGGCACAATCTGCTTCATGTTCTAAGCTTTGGGTGGGGAATTGTTCCTCCTGAACAGAGATGCCTGCGTCCCTTCATCCCCTCCACCCTTTCTCCACCAGGGGAGCCCTAGGTCAGTCCCGACTGCCTGAGAACCAGGAGCTAAAGCTACTTCCCCAGTCAGGAAATTAGTATTAGACACAATAGAGCTGGAAGGAAACTGAGGCCAATCTTCTCATTTTATGGATGGGGAAACTGAGACCCAGAGACTGGAGGGGGCCTGCCCCAGATCATACAGTGTTAGGGGAATCAGAATGAGGCCCTCCTGAGGCTGGAGAGCCCAGAATCTGAACCCAGAGTAAGGAGATTTGAGCGTCAGGTTGGGAGGTGGGTGGGAAAACAACAGTGTCTGTCCCCAGAAGCCATCTTTATGAACAGAAGCATCAATCGCCATGCCATTACCGCCTCAGAGCAGTGCCTCACTGACTGTCTTTTTCCTCCATCTCTATCTCTTCTCTGTGCCTTTCTCTACCTCTCTCATAGTAAAATGTGTTGTCTGGAGGATGGGGAGGAGGGGAGCCAAGAAGCAATCTGGGTGTCCCTTTGATGACAGTCATCCACCACTGACCCCAACCCTTCCACCTCTTGGGATCAGGACTGCAGGTACCATTCTGAGAGCACCAGGGGGAAGGCCTCATAGGCCCAGGAGAGAGGAGGAAGCAGGAGTTTGCCTCCCACCACAGAGTGGCTGCTTGTGATGGATAGGACTGGGGTTTTATGACTCAACTATCCTAAATTCAACTCAGTTCAATTTACTTCCACTCAACCCACCCAAATTAAACCTTACTCAAGTCAATCAAACTCAACTCCAATCAAGTCAACCCAATCAAACCCATCCCAACACAACCCAACTCAGTTTAACTCTACTAAATTCAGTTCAAGTCAAACCAAGTCCCAGTTCTAGACTGAATGTAGAATCCAGCCGTTGCACCCTTGGCCACAGGCCCCCCAGCCAGCCAGGCACAGCCTCCATGACTTTCCTGGTCAGGGTGAGCTCTCAGACAAGGCCAGGGCTGCATTCCTTCCTATCTACCTCCCCCGCCAACCCACACCAGCCTCCTGGGTAGTCCAGACTCCAGAAGAAACCAGTGCTGGGGGGTGGATACTGGGCCAAAGGTAGGCTAGGGTAAGAAAAAGACCCCTCACCACTCCCACGGCACTCAATGTGGCCCCTCCTGCAGCCCAGCTGTCTCCTCCCAAGCCTGTGGCCTGCTGTATCTCTAACTGCAATCCCTCCTGCTAGAGTTGCCTCCTTCAGCAGCTCAGAGTTCCCAGGAGCCAGCCTGGGCCTTCCCCAGAAGGATATCTGAATACAGAAAAGGAGAAGAGAAGGCTGTGGTCTGTGTGGTGGGCAGAGGAGAAGCTGGGAGTGGGTGGGGTGGCTGCGGAACTCGGCTCTAGGCCCATGGACAGGCACCACTAGGACCCATCCTGACCCAACCTCCAGTTCCCTCCCCAACCTTTCTCTGAGCCCCAGCTTCCTGCCTTTCTGTAGGGGGTGCCTCAAGTCATTGAGCCCAAACCTCCATTCAACTGATCTGGAGACTGAGGCCTACAGCTGAAAGAGTTTGCCCAAGAACACGAAACAGAGAAGGAGCTGGAATCCAGGGCTCCTGGCCCCCAGGCCAAGGTCCTTCCCCAGTTGGCTCTCAAGATGGAGTTTGTTTGAGGCCCTGATTTCTGCCCCATCTGCCCAAAAGGTCAAATTCAGGCAGCCCACCCCCAACCCAGAGAGCGTCTTGTTTCTCAGAACCCACGAACTCAGGCACTGGAGGGAGCTGGGAATCTCAGAACCCTCACTCTGAGCCCTCACTCCGAGCCCTCCCTCCTTCCTCTTCCTTCCCTCTTCCTTTGGCTCCTCTGCAGACCTCTGGCTGGACTGGCTCTTCCTTCCTCTTTCCCCAGAACCCTCTCCCCACCCCCAGCAGCACTGGGGATAGACAGAGAGGAGGGATCTCAGCCCAGGCCTGGACCTTGAGGCACATGGGCAGCAAATGTGCAAGGCAAGAGTTCATTTGCTGCCACCCCGTCAGGCAGCCTGCGTTCTTGGACACAAGAAACTGAAATCCACCTCCCCAGCCTCCTGCTGGCCCTGCTGCTGCTCAGGGCCCACAACACAGGTCATTTTCTCTGCCCAGTGGGCCCTCAGAGTCAGGCAAGCAGCAATCACCCTCCCTGCCAACATCACTGTTTCCAGAGGCTACAAGCTCTCGGAGGCAAGCTCCTCCAAGAGGCATGAGTTCCGCCTCGGCCCTTACTAGCTGTGTGACTTTGAGCAAATCACCTTGCCTCCCTAAATGGCCAAGCCCTCATCACTAACATGGAGATAATTGTATGCATGGGCTTTAAAGGAGAAAAGAGATAGCATGGATAAGCACCTGGCACAGAACCTGGCATTTAAATGGTTAATGTCATTATGAAGTAGAGGAAATGTCCCTCTTCTGACCATGGCTTTTCACCAGATTTGTATCATTTATTTTCAAATCCTTTCTGAGTCTAATCTAGTTTTTAAGTTCTGTCCTATAGCACAGAGTTCAAAGTTTAACTTAATAACCAGTTCCTGGCTGAGCGCAGTGGCTCACGCCTGTAATCCCAACATTTTGGGATGCTGAGGTGAGTGGATCACCTGAGGTCAGGAGTTCGAAACCAGCCTGGCCAACATGGTGAAACCCCGTCTCTACCAAAAATACAAAAATTAACTGTGCATTGTGTCATGCACCTGTAATCCCAGCTACTCAGGAGGCTGAGGCAGGAGAATCACTTGAACCCGAGAGGCAGATGTTGCAGTGAGCTGAGATTGCGCCACTGCACTCCAGCCTGGGCAACAGAGGGAGACTCTGTCTCAAAAATAAAAATAATAAAATAACCAGTTCCTTAGTGCTTACTTTGTGCCGAGCACCTGGAACAGGGAAGAATAAGACAGAAGCTTCTGTGCCCACAAGGTACCCACACTGTGATGGGGGACACAGACATTGACCACTGACCAGGCAATGACCATGGGATAAGTCCTGGGAAAGAGGAGAAGAGGAGGCAGGTGAGGTACATGCAGGGCACCTAACTCAGTCCCCAGGGTCTTCCCAGAGAAAAGGTGTTCGTAGCAGAGAAGACAGTAGGTGCAAAGGCCCAGAGACAGAGAGTTCCCCTTTAGAGGAACTGTGAGAAGTAGATTGCATCTCAAGTGGATAACAGCTAGTACAGTTGACCCTTAAACAATGCAGGGGTGGCGAGGCACGGTGGCTCATGCCTGTAATCCCAGCACTTTGGGAGGCTAAGACAGGTGGATCACTTGAGGTCAGGAGTTCGAGACCAGCCTGGCCAACATGGTGAAACCCTGTCTCTACTAAAAATACAAAAATTATCTGGGCATCGTGGCAGGCACCTGTAATTCCAGCTACTCAGGAGGCTGAGGCAGGAGAATCACTTGAACCCAGGAGGCAGAGGTTGCAAGGAGCCTAGATCATGCCACTGCACCCCAGCCTGGCAACAGAACTAGACTCTGTCTCAAAAAAATAAAAATAATGCAGGGATTAGGGAAACTGACCCCCATGCAGTCAAAAATTCACATATAACTTTTGACTCCCCAAAAACCTAACCATTGATAGCCTACCGTTGTCCAGAAGCCTTACCAATAACATAACAGATGATTAACACATATTTTATATGTTATATATATTATATGCTATATTCTTACAATAAAGTAAATTAGAGAAAAGAAAATAGAGCCCCAATAAAAACTCTGAACACTGAGCTCAGATGCACTTCCTCAGTTGGCAATACTCCACAGATATTGTCACATTGATTCTAGGAGAGTGACACATTCTGATTCCATGGGAAGGACAATGGAAGCTTTACTTCATGTTTGAAAGAAACCCCCCTGGGCTCTGCCCTATACATCTCTCCCTTTGGCTGATCTTAATCTGTATTCTTTCCCTGTAATAAACTATAACCATGAGTATAACGGCTTTCAGTGAGTCTTGTGAGTCTTTCTAGCAAATTACGGAATCTGAGGGTGGTTTGGGGAACCTCTTGAACTTGTAGCTGGTATCAGAAGTGATGGTGGACAGGCATCGTGGCTCATGCCTGTAATCCCAGCACTTTGGGAGGCTGAGATGGGTGGATCACTTGAGGCCAGGAGTTCGAGACCAGCCTGAGCAACATAATGGTACTGTGTCTCTACAAAAAATAAAAAATCAGCCTGGCATGGTAGTGCATGCCTGTAGTCCCAGCTATTCAGGAGGCTGAGGTGGGAGGATCACGTGAGTCCAGGAGGTCAAGACTGCAGTGAGCCATAATCATACCATTGCACTCGAGCCTGGGTGATAGACTGAGACTCTGTTTCAAAAATAATAATAAACAAATAAATGAATAAATTTTAAAACTTTAAAATTTTTTGTCCAGGCACAGTAGCGCACACCTGTAATCCCAGCATTTTGGGAGTCCAAGGTGGGCAGATCACTTGAGCTCAGGAGCTCGAGACCAGCTTGGGCAACATAGTGAGACTTCATCTCTGGGGGAAAAAAATTAACACAAAAAATTATTTTTTAATTTTTTAATTAAAAAAAATTTTTAAGAAATGAAGGTGGGCCGGGCACAGTGGCTCACGCCTGTAATCCAAGCACTTTGGGAGGCCGAGGCGGGCGGATCACAAGGTCAGGAGATCGAGACCATCCTGGCTAACACGGTGAAACCCTGTCTCTACTAAAAATACAAAAAAAAAAAAAAAAAAAAAGCCAGGCTTGGTGGCACGCACCTGTAGTCCCAGCTACTTGGGAGGCTGAGGCAGAAGAATCACTCACACCTTGGAGGTGGTGGTTGCAGTGAGCCGAGATCACACCACTGCACTCCAGCCTGGGCAACAGAGCCAGACTCCATCTCAAAAAAAAAAAAAAGAAAGAAAGAAAGAAATGAAAGTGGTCTTGTGTGGAGTCTCTGCCCTCTAACCTTGTAGTTGGCCCAACTTAGCACAATTTCTTATGTGATATTTCAGTTAATAGTGCCTCTTAGGCACTATTATCATCAATCCCATTTTGGAGATTGGGAAAATGAGATAAGGAACCTGACTGAGGTCACACAGTTATCAAATGACAAAAGCGAAATTTAAAAGCAGATACCAGCAGGGCTTGATGGCTCACGCCTGTAATCCCAGCACTTTGGGAGGCCAAGGCGGGAGGATCATGAGGTCAGGAGATTGAGACCATCCTGGCTAACAGGGTGAAACCCCATCTCTACTAAAAAAAAAAAAAAATACAAAAAATTAGCCAGGCGTGGTGGCAGGCGCTTGTAGTCCCAGCTACTGGGGAGGCTGAGGCAGGAGAATGGCGTGAACCCAGGAGGCGGAGCTTGCAGTGAGCTGAGATTGCGCCACTGCACTCCAGCCTGGGCGACAGAGTGAGACTCCATTGCAAAAAAAAAAAAAAAAAAAAAAAAAAAGCAGATACCCAGGCACTAGCATCTACTCCTGTAACCACTGTGCTATGCTGCCCAGCTAGTGGGGGAAAGAGGGGGCTTGTGGGAAGCAGAGCTAGAGGGTTTGTAAGAGACTATTTCTAAGAGGGTGGCAATTCTAAGAGGCAGCCTGGCAAAAAGGCTAAGTTTTGTCCTGGGGGTAATAGGGAGCCATTGATGGTTTCAAGCAGGGAGAATATAAGTATTCATGCATTTTAACAAAGTCCCTCTGGATGTAGACTGGGGAGTGGATTGCAGACAGGCCTGAGTGGGGAGAAGACCAGGTGAGGACAATGACGCGGCTGGACCCGAGTCGTGGTCTTGAGAATAGAGAGCATGGGACACATGCCATATGTGCCTAAAAGGTAGGCTTGACAGGACTTCGGGACAGACCGGATTTAGGGGAAAAGAGAGGGGGAAGAGTCAAGGGTAAAACCCAGGCTTCCAGATTAGACAATTAGGGTATTAAGTCCCTTAGACTGGGAAAGACAGAAGGAAGAACAGATTTGAGGTGGGCCATACCACCATTAATAGTCCCAGATTCCCAAAGGGGTCAATGCCCCAGAACAGGGCAACCCCCACCCAGGCACAGGATCCCGTGTCTAGACCATCAGTTACCAGGACAATGCAGCTAGCTCCCAGCAGAGAAGTGGCACCCTCCCCTGCCTGTGAGTGGCCACCAGGTGGCAGCATAGGCCGCCTTTTTCCAGGGCTGGCCTGGCAGGCCGGCCAGAGGAGGGAGAAGGAAGCATCTATTGCTGCTGGAGATGCAGCTTTGCCACGAGACCACGGAAACTGGACCACAGGCCTGTGGAGATGAGTTCCTGCAGCTATGAAGTCAAAAAAGCACCAATCTAGTAGTCAGGAGTCCTGGGTTCTAGATACACCAGGGACCCAGAGCAGACACCTGCCCCTCTCTGAGGCTATGGGTTTTCCTTAAAGAGGGCAAACCCTCCTTAAGGAAAGAAGGCCAGAGCTGCCAGACGGAGTATTAATTCCTTCTCTGTTTTCCATCCCCGACAGCTGTGGCTTTTAACCATATTTTTAGAGGCAACTTCTTTTTTTACAAGCAAAATCCAAAGACCCTCTCACTCCCTGCACCTCCATCCCATGTATAAAACAGAAAACATGTTTACACTGATCTGCTGTGGTTGGAGTAGAAGCTGGGGACTCTCCCAAGCCCACACAGAAGATAAAATCTTCACCCTGACGTTGAGGCCCCTACCTCTCCAGTGCCATCCTCATTCTCCTATCCAGACTGAGCGATCTTTGCCCATCCTGGACCTTCTCTTGGGAATATCCTTCCCCTCCTCTCTTGATTCAAACCCTCCTCATCCTTCAATGTCAGATCCCTTGACACCTCCTCCAGGGAGCCCTCTCCAAAGCCCCTAATGGAAAGCGTCACTCCCTCTACCACACTGCCCTGGCACCTCAGTCCCCCACAAGTACCAAGCACCTGCTGTGTCCGGGCAATGCAAACAAGTGAACAGCATCTCTCTTCTCTCTGATCCTGAGCACCTGCGGGGGTCAGGGGAGGGGACCATGCCTGTTTCCCCCATAACAGAGTGTGCCCAGCCTCACCCAGCTAGGAGCTGGCAGACCAGCCTCTGCCCCACCAGGCTTCACTGAGCCACGTTAGTGGTCACCTTTTCTGGGCTTCAGCTTCCCCCCTCTGTATAATGGGGGCAGCTAACACCTAATCAGGACTGTGTGTAGAATCAGGACTAGCTACGTAATTTGAGGGGCCCTTTGAAAAATAAAAATATGCAGCCCCTTGTTCAAATATTAAAATGTTCAAGACAATGGCAGTAGAAGATTAAACCAAGCACAAGTCACACACCTGTGGAGTCTGTGCACTACACAAGAGGTCTGAAATCAGCCAACCTATGCCCAAGTGTGGGGCTGTGTCAGCCAAAAAAGATGGTCCGTTTTCTTCATGTAAGTTCACTTTCTGTTGGTCAAGCTGGGGACCAGCAGGACTGCATCCTCCCATTAGGGAGCACCTTTTCTCAAGTCAGACAAAGGTATGGTATTGGCCAGCAGGCACCCTGCCCGACTTCATAGCACTACCATGTAAAATGGGCTTGTTGAGTGAGGAGAGAGAACCAAAATCCAGACACAAGAAATTGGAGACCAGGGGCCAGGTGTAGTGGCAGGCACCCATAATCCCACACTCGGGAGGCTGAGGCAGGAGAATCACTTGAACCTGGGAGGCAGAGGTTGCAGTGAGCCGAGATCATACCACAGCACTCCAGCCTGGGTGACAAAGTGAGACTCTGTTTAAAAAAAAAAGATAGTGGGGATTTATACCAGAGATGTGCAATCAGGACAAGCCAAAGGGTGGAGATCCGAAACTGCAAACCTCACCTCAGAGCAATGTGATTCAAGGCCAACTTCCAAGTTCAGAGGTCAACAGCAGTTGCTCAGTCCTTGCCTTGTTCTTTCAGCCAGTATTTACTGAGCACCTACTATGTGCCAAGCACAGTTCCAGGCTTCATGATACAGCAGTGAGCAGGACAAAGTCCCCTTCCTCCCAGGGTTCACATTCTTGCGGTGGGGAGAGGAAATAAACATTATTGAAAGAAAATAAATGAACCACCCAACTAAAGATAAGTGATATGAAGAGAATTAAACAGGGTGAGAGGGAAGGACTGCTGGTAGGTGGGCTGGTTCATATAGGGTGGCCAGGGAGGGTCTCCCTGAGGAGGTGACATTTGAGCTGGGCTCTGAATGAAATGGGGCCAGCTGGTGCCCCAGCTGCAAAGCATGGGGGTGGGCGTGCGGAGCTGCCTGCAGGAGGAGAGCCTGCAGAACCACACTTTGCTAAAAAGGCGAAGGCGAAGGCAGGCTGGGCAGGAAGTCTGGCCCCCTGTAACCATATCCCCAGGAAGGAGGAAGCCAGGAAGACGCTTTCAGCAGTCGTATTCATCAAGGCCTCTGCTCTAACCCGGGGCAGCACCAGAGGCTCCTCAGGCCCGATCCACCTTCGGCCAGGCCGCCTGGGGAGGGGACAGCAAGGGAGGGAGGATAACCCTGGATTCTCTTCCAGACAATAAATGCTTCCAGGTTCCTAGGGAGCATTCTGTGGGTCACAGCTGCATCTGATCTCAATTACCCCAGGGTGTAGGGTTCCCCGGCCGGGCAGGGATAGGGGTGGAGGGGAGGCCGTTTCTCCATAATCAGAATCTCCTGGCCTAGTGGGTGAAGACACCTCAGGACAGGTCCCCAAAATTTCAGGACGCAGGAAAAGGGTTCTCCCCAAAAAGAGAGGTCTGGCTGTGTGTGAGTGGAGGCTCTGCTTCACAGCCATTTTGCTGTGTGACCTGGTGCCACTCACTTAACCTCTCTGGGCCCCTGTGGGAACTGTGAAGATTCAACCTTTTCCTTTCCTACCTTTTCCCACCAAAGAGGCAAGAGGACAATCTAGGCCAAGAGGGCAAAGCTCAATGCTATGGGCTGGGCTGGGCTGCAATGGGTGGGGTTGCTAACTCCTTACTTTTTCCTGACTTGATTAGATCTTAACCCTTATGCAAATATGTCCCCGCCCAAGATTATGGTGCCAGCATTGTCAGGAGTAACATCTCCCAAAACAGAGCAGGGCCGAGTCCCATTCCTCAACCAGCTGGGGCAAGACACTTTATATCTCTGGGCCTCAGTTTACTCATGTCCACCTCCAAAAGGGACGTGAGGATTCAGTATCAGGTGTGACGCCGGTTCACCCAGTAAGTGATCATTCCATCAGTTTTTCAATCAACAACCACCATGAAAGTGGCAATGCCTCTAAGCACGGGAGAAAGCCCCCGGTTTGTAAAAATTTTGCACAATAGGGTTTTTGTTATTGATGGCCTTAAGCAAGTTTTTCCTCTTCCGGGTCTCTGTTTCCCATCCATAAAGGTGCCTGCAAACAACGTTCCGCTCAGAAGAGGGTGTTTTAGGCCAGAGTTGTGGGGCGTGGCTCAAGCTACAGTGGTAGGTTTCTTAGCTGGTGAAACTTTCCTCCGAAATCCTGGGTTTCACTGTGCACCTTCTCTTGTCAGGAGGCTGAGGAACCGTAGCACAGGGTTGGGTTTTTAGCGGAGCAGGAAACTGGACGCGGGGAGTGGAGGGGGCGAGCACGGGGGTCTGCCCTGAGAGGGCTTCCAGTAGCCAACGTTCATTTCCCAGGCTCAGGGAGGCGGCGAGCCGGGATTCGAATCTGCGCCTCAAAGCCGAGGGGCGGAGCCGGGAGTGGACGCCGGGGTCAGCGGAGCACGGGGCCGCGCTTCCCCCGGCCGCCCGGGCCGCTCCGCGGGCGCTCTTTCTCCTTTTATGTCCGCGCGGGGCCGGGAACTCCCTGCCGGGCCGCGGCCCGCGAACAATGCGCGCTTCCTGCCCGCCCGGCCGGGCCGCGGCCCGCTCACTCCCCGCCCTGCGGCCGCCGGGAAATGACAGCAGCCCGGGACCGCCGCGCGGGTACACGGGGTCGCGCCCCGGGAGACGGACGGGGCCGCCCACCGAGGGCCGCCGGGCGAGGGTGCGAGGTGACCTAGCGACGGGCAAGCGGCAGCGGGCAGGCGGCCGTCATGTATTCAGGCGCGCGCACAAGCCTTCTGCCGGTCGCACCCCTTGTAACATGCGTGTCTGTGCCATGCACCTAAGTCTCCACTGCACGCTGCACGTGCCCCACACAGCCGCATTGCCTGCGCCGACATCCACGTGTTGCTTCCACACGTGGTGGCTGAGTGGGTGGGCATCTGCCAGGGACCAGGCCCTGTGCCAGGCACTGGGGGTCCAGCGTGAACAAAGAGAAAAGCTGGCCAGGCGTGGTGTCGCGCGCCTGTAGTCCCAGCTACTCGGGTAGGTGAGGAGGGAGGATCGCTTGAGCCCATGAGTTCCATGCAGGCTGCAGTGAGCTGTAATGGATGGCGGCCAATACAGTAAAAACTGAGAAGAGCTTTGGACTTCTGAAGTTTATGCTCTAGTGAGGGAGGAAACAGAACATCCTAAATTACTACATTATATGGTATATTAAAAATCAATACTTTTAGGGAGAAAAGGGAAGAAGGGACTGGTGGGAAATTGGGGCTGTTTTAAACAGGGTAGCTATGGATATTTTAACTTAAGAAGGTGACGCTGGAGCAAAGATGCACAAAATATGTGTCACAAACAAATAGATACATCTCAAAATTATATACAATATATACCTCCAAGTATATGTATTACACAAACATACTCCACTTACATCCACATGCCTATAAATACCCCATGCATAAGCACCTCACATACATCTGCACATACTAGACCATATAAATGCATGGTATACAGTATATGCATAGTCTAGTATACAACATGCATACTATCTCTGCTACATGCATACCTTTTTTTTTTTTTTTTTTTTGAGACAGAGGGTTTCACTCCCATCACCCAGGCTGAAGTGCAGTGGCACAATCTGGGCTCACTGCAACCTCCACCTCCTTGGCTCAAGCAATTGTCTTGCCTCAGCCTCCTGAGTAGCTGGGACTACAGGTGCACGCCACTGCGCCTGGCTAATTTATCTACTTTTTGCACAGACGGGTTTTGCCATGTTGCCCAGGCTGGTCTTGAACTCCTGAGCTCAAGTGATCCATCTGCCTCAGCCTTCCAAAGTGCTGGGATTACAGGCATTAGCCACCACCTGGCCTACATCTGATCTCTCTCTATGGCATCTGCATCTATAATATGTATCACTTCTGTGCACACAAGTGTCCTGCTGTGTGCCATGTGCACATTTATGCCTGCACCCTAGATGTATACATACGCAGACCCCGGGTAGACCATATGTGTATCACAACCCTCAAGTATGTGCTTGTCTAATTTCATAAGCCACATGTCAATATAGTACATCCAAAGACATCATAATACATGGATTTACATGCCTTGTGTTCATCATGTAAAATATATCGTATATTCATATACCCAAATACATGTGTCATAAACCTTGTGTAAATGTATGTCTATACACACCACACAAACACAGCTACACATCTCTCTGTCACAAATATACTACATGCCCATTTCCCACACATTCTTGTAGCTGTTTTATATGTCCCATATCTATGTGCAAATAATAGCAATAACATTTACCGAGTGATTACTATGTGCCATATGCACTGCTGGGTGGATGACCTCATTCAATCCTTCGGACAGGCCTATGCAACAGGTCCTATTCATTTAGCCTGGCTGCTAAAAGTTCACACCACAGTCAGATCACCTGAGTTTGAATCCTGGCTTCACCATTATCTAACCTGTGGCAAGCTTGTTTCCCCATCTGTAAAATGGGGCCGATAGTAGTACCTCCTTTTTTGAGTTGTTGGGAAGTCAATGAGATCATCATGCATGAGAAGCGTATAGTACAGTGCCACACATAGACTGAGTGCTCAGTAAATGTTAGCTGTGATTATTAGTATCTGTGTTACAGATGAGAAGTCAGGCTCAGAGGGGTTAAATGACTTCCCTAAGGTCAACCTGTAAATGGAGGAGGCAGTTCAGCATTCCACAGTACTGTATCTGGAGCTCATGCCCCCCAATCACACAATGGGGACAAATACACACACACACACACACACACACACACACACACACACACACACACACACACATCAGGCACATTCCCTGTAGACTCCAAATGCTCATATCATTAACACATGCCTCACATAGTTCCCCTGTACCTATCACACAGACATAAATTCGTTGAGCATCTATAGTTTTGTTTGTTTGTTTGTTTATTTGATGTCCAACTTTTTTTTTTTTTTTTTTTTTGAGACGAAGTTTCACTCTTGTTGCCCAGGCTGGAGCGCCATGGCGTGATCTCAGCTCACTGCAACCTCCACCTCCCAGGTTCAAGCGATTCTCCTGCCTCAGCTTCCCGAGTAGCTGGGACTATAGGTGCCCGCCACCATGCCCGGCTAATTTTTGTATTTTTAGTAGAGACGGGGTTTCGCCATGTTGGCCAGCCTGGTCTTGAACTCCTGACCTCAGGTGATCCACCCTCATCAGCCTCCCAAAGTGTTAGGATTACAGGCGTGAGCCACTGTGCCCGGCCCGACTTCCAACTTTTATTTTAAGTTCAGAGGTATATGTACAGGATGTGCGGGTTTGTTACATAAGTAAACGTGTGCCACGGTGATTTGCTGCACAGATCATCCCATCACCTAGGTATTAAGCCCAGCATCCATCAGCTATTCTTCCTGATGCTCTCCCTCCTCCCACCTTCCACCCTCCAACAGGCCCCAGTGTATGTTGTTCCTCCCCCATCTGTCCGTGTGTTCTCATCATTCAGCTCTCACTGTAAGTGAGAACATGCGGTATTTAGTTTTCTGTTCCTGCGTTTGTTTGCTGAAGATAACGGATTCTAGTCATTGAGCATCTATATAATCAACAGCTATCCACCATGTGCCAGGCTAGATGCTGGGGTACAGCGGTCAGCTTCTTGCTTTCATGGCACTTACCAGCACACACCACTGTGAACACATACCACATGTAACCTGCATACATGTGGCCCTGCTGTGTGCACATTTCCCATTTGTAGCGTCATGAACATACAGCCCATAGGCACGAACCACTCACTTGCCCCCTTGATGGATCAGCCCAGCCTGGACAACATAGGAAGACCTCATCTTTGCAAAAATAAAAAGAATTAGCTGGGCACGGTGGTGCCCACCTGTAGTCCCAGCTACTCAGGAGGCTGAGATGGGAGGATCGCCTGAGCCCAGGGGGTCCAGGCTGCAGTGAGCCATGATTGCACCGCTGCACTTCAGCCTGGGTGACAGAGTAAGACCCTGTCTCAGAAAAAAGTCAAAAAAAAAAAAAAAAAGGTGGATCACCTGCACATAATCCATGTAGACACATCTCCTATTATTTACCCACACCCAGTATATTCATACCACTTGTACCTGCAACCCACACATACAATCCAAAGTAGAGTGTGCACACAACAAATGTAGATGTACCATATACACATCTGCTCATGTTCATTCACCCTCTGCCAGCATGCACACTTTCCTTAAGGCATTTACCTATAACCTGTGTGCATACACGTAGCCGGTATGTGTGACTGGTGTACCTGTTCCCCTATCTACCCCACACGGGCAGCTTGGGAGGCCCAGGCGGGCTCCCCTGGGTGGGTCTGATGTGAGGGTGGGGGGGTCAAAGAGGCAGAACCTGGACCCCCATCACAGGGGAGAGAAGGTGGCCCTTGGCTTCACGGCTGGTGGCCAGGAAATTATAGTCGACACCAAACCAAAGCGGCCTCTTCTAGGGCCAGGTAATCAGGCCTCTCCCGGATTTGGTGTGACAGCTTAAATGTTCTAATTCCGCTGCCAGGGCCCCCACTCCCCAACTCCGGCCGTGGCCCAGGCCTCGGCCCTCTGAGGTAATTAGACCCACGTTTTCATTACCCTGAGATTAGACAGGTCCCCTCCGGCTGGGGGACGCCCACAGCTGCACGGGAACCATCCCCCGCACGAATGCATTTACCTGATTATGGAGTTTATTTTATATCAATTGCCCCAGAGTGTTGGAGGCCCGCTTTGCCCTACCCCCTGCTCCCCGGGCCCCAGAGGCCTCTAACAACCCCGGACAAGTGGTTTCTGCCTAATGTACGGATGCTGCCTCCTCCAGGCCCTGCAATTCTGGAGGCCCCACTGACCCCCTGCATGGACTGGGTCCCCTGTTTTAAAATCACTTAAGGAATCTGAGGGGGATGAGAGTTAGAAAGGGCAGGAGGAAAGCATTCCAGGAATTTTCTCCTGCGGTACATGTGGAGGTAGGGATGGAAGATTCCTTTAGGGATCTTCCTTCCAAAGCTGTGTTTCATTTATTCATCCAATGAATGCTATTCAGTCCCTGAGCTAAACGCAACACCACTGATGGGTGAGAATGTTCATTCATTCAGCACCAACTGTGTGCCACAGAAGAATATGCACATGGCCCCGGCATTCCTGGAGACCACAGTCTGGAGGAGGGAGGTAGGCAATAGTCATTGCAGGTGACTTTTGCTTAGATGAGGGCGGTGAGATTTGCAGGCTGACACAGAGTGGAGAAAGGAAGTTTAGGGAAGGGGGTGCGTTTCAGGCAGAAAATACAGCAAGTGAAACAGCCTCCAGAGAAAGAGGGTCTGATGTGACTGAGGAATTGACAAAAGAATGAATATAAAGTTTAGGGTGTGAGGGGCAGTGGTAACACCTGAGAATCAAGCTTTGCAGGACACCAACCATAAAGGGCCTCAAATGCCATGCTAAATTGTTTGCACTTTATCCTGAGGACATGGGAGCCATGAGAAGGCTTTGAGCAAGGGAGGAAGCCATTGTCTACCATTTATGTCTCAAGTCCTCACTATGTGCCAGGCATGGTTCTGAATGCCTTGTGTATAGGAACTCATCTTATCCCCTCATCAGCCCCATGCGTGAGCAAATACTCCAGGCTCATCATCCCTTAACCACAAGATTGAAATTCAAAAAGCTTCAGTGACCAAAAAGGTTTTCCACAGGTCTGATGCCACATCTGACCTGGACTAAGGAGAGGCTATTTTGGGTCTTCATTTCACTACCTGATACGAATATTTATATGTTTTTGGGAAAAAACATGAATTTAATTATAAGAAATGCCCTAGATCCCACTGGGAGGTCACGCAGCACACAGGATACGTTTTGCGTTAGACTTTAGAATAAGAAGAACTCTGAAACTCATCTAACTTTACAGGTTTTAGAGAAGGGACTCTGGACTTAGAATCTTTATGTTACAGATGAGGAAACTGTCATAGAGTGGGTTAAGTACCCTACTCCAGACCACACAGCAGTACAGATTCAGACAATATAGATCCAGACTGTATTGGCTTTGGAGTCTGCAGCACACACCCTCTCTGTTGGCGTCCAGGCCTGGCCCAGAGTTTCAGGGGCCCCTGGGGATGGGAGAAGGAGCCAGCACTGCTCAGCACTTGCTCTGAACCTGGCCCTGTACGGACCCTGCTGGCCCTTGACTGTCAGCTGCACCCAGCTGTGGGCATTTCTACCCCCATTTTGGAGGTGGGGAAAGCAAGGATCAGAAAGGGGCATAAGCTTGGCCAAAGTTCTGCAGCAAGTGGGTAGCAGGCCAGGCGTGGTGGCTCACACCTGTAATCCCAGCACTTTGGGAGGCTGAGGTGGGCAGAACACTTGAGGTCAGGAGTTCGAGACCAGTCTGGCCAACATGGTGAAACCCCATCCTTCTAAAAATACAAAAATTAGCCAGGTGTGGTGGTGTGTGCCTGTAATCCCAGCTACTCCAGAGGCTGAGGCAGGAGAATCCCTTGAACCCGGGTTGGGAGGTGGGGGGCGGAGGTTGCAGTGAGCGGAGAGCATGCCACTGCACTCCAGCCTGGGTGACAGAGCAAGACTCTGTCTCAAAAAAAAAAAAAAAAAGAGATGATAGGGTAGCAGAACTGGGAATGGGGCCCAGGTCTGGAGTCACCAGAATCCTGATCTTCTTGCTTTTCTGGGGACCAGCAGATGAGGCACAAGCTGGGCCTGGTGGGGCTACGGAAGTAGACCCCAGTCAAAAGCAGATCTTGGTCAAGAACCCCAGCCCCAGGCTGCAGGCAGCACAGCTACTGTACTCCAGGCCCTGGGTGACAGCCCCCACCCCACCTCCATCCCCACCAGGCCTGCCTCAGCCTCACTCCTGGGCTGCCCCTCTGCCTCTGTGTCCAGCGCCCTCCAGAAAGCCTGCCCTGATTCCCCCAAGCCAAGCTTCCATCTTCCTCATACTCAGGCACTCTGCTTATGCCTTCTGTACTCCCCTTCATTAACTCAAAGTGTGTTTAAGCCATTTCACTCACATGGCCTCACCTGCCCAGGGATGTGGGGGTCCTCCCTTCGGAAGGTCAAGTGGTGCCAAGGGACTGAGCACAAGCTCTGGAGCCAGAATAGACCAGGATTCAAATCCTAGCTGGGATCATTATTAGCAGTGTGATTCAGGAAAATCACTTTACTTCTCTAGATCTCAATTTCCTGAACTGTAAAGCGAAAACAATAGTAATAGCATCTCCCTCAGCGGCTGCTGTGAAGATTAAATGAGGCAATGCTTGTCAGATGCCCCAGCACGAGGCCTCTACTCACGGAAGCTGCTGCCTTAATCACTTTTAGCTGCCCGGTTCATTGTTGACTCTCAGTAAGTTCTGATCATTCCTTTTGCTGCTACGAGGGATGCTCAATTTTAAAAAGAAAAAGGAAAAAAGCCTCTGAGCCTGGCTCTTCACACTGCCAGGATGTGGCCCTTGCCACTTCTGCCTCATGTCCTGAGACTTTCTTTTGGGACCCCTGACTCTGCATTTGTACTTCACGTGCTCATGGTTCCCTGTCCCCTCTCCAGGGTTTCTTACCTCCTGCCTCTGCCTGTACCATTCTGGACACCTGGCACTCCTTCTCCATGCCCCATTTATGCATGTCTCAATTCTATGATTCACTCATATTTACTCATTCATTTATTCATAACAAATGTTTTATTAAGTCTACTTTGTGCCCAGCTCTCTACTAGCTACTTTCACATAAGATAATCTTCTTGACAGCCTTGCAGGGGAAGGAGTATTGTCTGCATTTTATAGAGGAAGAAACTGGGCTCAGAGAGGTTCAGTCACTTGCCCGAGATGACACAGCTAGCACGTGGCAGAGCTGGGATTTGTCGTGGTCCTATCAGTCTCCAGAGCTCAGCTATTTCCTCTCCATCCTGCAGGTGCGCAGGTTGGAAAGCAGGCGTGGTAGGGGAAGGCAGCCCTTTGTGCCTGGGTGGGAGAGAGGGGAGTAGGGAAAGGTGAGGCAAGGTAGATTCATTCTGCCAGGAGAACCTGGGGGAGGGGAGGCAGGAAGGGAGCTTCTTTGGGGGCAGCTGGCCGCAGACAGCAGCAGGTTTGTCTAGGATGATCCCAGTCGGCTTGAAGAGTCAGTGGGAGTCCTCTTGAACCCTCCCCACCCAACTCCAGCCCCCTCTTCCAGCCTGAGTGAGAATAGGTCTGTGATGAAAGAGAGCTGGCTGCTTCCCAGCCGTCCTTCCCTCGTCCTGGGAGGGAAGGACAGATGACCCAGTGCAGGTCACTGTAGGAAGGCTCCAAAGAGTTCAGAAATGAGCCGCTCCCCAACCTCCTCCTTCCAGGGCCACAGCTCTAAAGGAAGCAGTCCTGGGGATCTCAACTCTGCCAATCCCAGACAGAGGCCAGCTCTGGGCAACACGTGACCTGACAGCAAAGGAGCAGATGTGGCCTGGCAAAGGGAACAGACAACCAGACCCAGGGAGATGAGGAGATGGACAGGGAGGCAAGGGAAGGGATGGGGGAGGAAGGGACAAGGAGACATACAGGGAGATGGAGACAGGGAAACAGGAGAGAAATGTACACAGAGATGCAAGCAGAAAGAGCCTAGGGAAGCTGAGCGAAAGCAGAAGCAGAGGTATAGGCATGGGCAATGACTGGATGAGTGGGGGCGTCCATTCAACCAGGAAAGAAGACATCTTCCTGACTGCACACAGGACAGAATGATGAGGGAATGGTCCCCAGGGGCAGCCAGAGGAACAAGAAAGTGGCCCCCAGCCTGCATCAGGAGACTCTCACTTCAATGCTGTGTGACTTTTTACCCAGACCTCCCCTCTCCAGACTTCAGTAGTCCCACCAGCCACACAGGAGCCCTCTGCTTCAATTCAGATTCCTGCATCTCTACAAGCCCCGTCTAGGGAGCCGAGGGCAGTGACAGGAAAGAACCTGAGCCCGGAGCGGTGGCTGCACAGGCGTGTCTCGTTCCTGACCATGGCTGGCTATGACCCCAGCCACTTCCAGGTTCCCTTGTGTCCATGATGGCAGTAGCTTGGGTCCCTGAATTTTTGTGCATCCACATGTCTCTCTCTGCATCCTGTCAGGTCTGTGTTTACGTTTGAAGGTTTTATAAAGAAGCTGCCCAAAGGAAGTGAGGTTTGCAAAGTGCAGACCGTCGTCTTGGCTCTAATGCTTAGCGTGTGGGATGCTCAGCTGTTAGCCCTGGGTCCTCTTCCTCCCCACACCTCCCTCCAGCCTTGTGCCTAGTGTTGAGTCCAGGCCCGGACTATGAATCGTGACAGCCACCAGAAGCATTTGGAGGACAGACCAGGATAGGAGGCTGGAGGATGGCTTCTGGGAATGGAAGCTGCAGGAATCGAGAAGACCAGCCCTAGGAAGGTGACCCAGGAGAGCACAGTCACCAGCTGCTGACCTCAGGGGCTACAACGGGGCAAAGGAGCAGAGGTGGGCTGGGCCCAGAGCGCACAGTCAGGGCTGGGGAGGGTGGCTTCAGGAGTCATAGAAAGCACCTTCTCGCTATGGAACTGTGGGAGGCGGAAGAGGGTCCTTGCAGGGAAGGAGTTTCTCATTCCCAGGGAGGAGAAGTTGCCAAACCACTGGACAGAGGTGTCGTAGAGAGGATTCAAGCATCAGATAAGGGATGGATTAGGAGACTTCTGAGGCCCAATTCTGAGAATATCCTGGCCCTCCACCCAATAAAGCAATAGAGAAATCCAGAAAATGATGCCGGAGACAACTGCCTCAGGCTCCAAAATTTCCCACCTGCCTCGGGCTGGCTTTTGTCTCTTACTGGTTGCCCACACGGCCACAGCTTAAGCCCTCCAGAGGGAGTAATGACAGTGATTATGATCATAACAGCAGCAGCAAATACACAGCAGGAATGCACTGCTATAGCCCCACCAGTTGTTAAAAGATTGAAACATGTCCACACCAGTTGTTAAATAGCCACTGCTCCAAGCATCTTGAGCACACCCTCCCCTGCCAGCCCAGCTGCCAGGGCCTTAACTTCACATTCCAGTCTCTGCCCAGAGAGAGAGCCTGTCCTACTCGGAGCATCCCTGTGCTTCAGTTCACCTGGAGAACACTATCCTGAATGGGGTGCCCAGCCTTGGCCACAGAGGCTGCCCACTGCAGGGTGCCCCCTCCTCCAAGGCCCCTCTCCCAAAGCCTGAGCAATCAAGGCTGCTGCCTCCCTGGGCTGGTGCAAGTGCCCGCCTCCTCCCGGCCCCTCTCCTCGGCTGCAAACCCAGCTCATTTGCATGTGGATCGCGCCTGCCACCATGGGTGCTGGGGTCAATTGAAACTCAAGAAAAGAGAAGAAATTTATGCAAAACTGTTGATTGCATTTGTATGTAATGAAATCATCCAATATTCATCTGACTATAGAATCTAATCTGAGAAGAGAACTGAAGGACATGAGTGTCACTGCAAAACCGTAATGAGCCACTGTAGTGATTAAAAAAGCTCTTGAGCCTTCTGAAAATCCAGGCAGAAATAGCGTCTAATCAACTCTGAATATAGGAGGCGAGATTGGGCTGGCGCGTTGCGCACGGCCCGCCGCGGTGCTGGGGGTGCGTGGTAAACCCTGGCGGCCGCGGTCTGTGGGTGCCAATCGCCCGGCACCCACCACAATCAGCCGAGCCCTCGGCGCACAAAGCAATCTCTGCCTCTCGCCATGCAGAAAGAGCCCAATCACAGCTGTTGTGAAGAGCAGCTTGAGGCTTCTGCACCGGCCTCAAAAGCCTCACCTAAGGCCTCTTCTGGGTTCCTTGCTCCAACCGAGAGGCAGGAAGAGTTTGGGGACCTGGGCCTGCCATACCTGGACACACCTGTGGCCCAGACAGCCCCAGGCAGGGGAGGGTCTGTGTCTCGCAGAAGCCCTCGCTCATCACTGAAATGTCACCTCCTCTGTGAGGCATTCCCTGACTGCCCCATCTAAACTGACAACCCCCACCCCCTCACCACCACCCTCCCAATTCTTTAACTCCTGCTTTGTTTTCCTTCACAGCACTCAGCTATGCCTGGCACTAAGTTATTTCTCTATGGATTTAATGCCTGCCTCTCCCAAGTAGACCGTGAGCTCCACAAAGGCAGGGACTTTGTGATGGTTTGTTTACCCTGTGGAGTGTGGAGAACCATGCCTGGCACTTAGTAGGTGCTCAACAAGTATCTACCAAGATGCTTAAATATTTGTTGAATGGCTACATCAGTTTCACTAGGAAGCCACATGTATTTATTTGTGCATTCAGCAAATACTTGTTGAGTGTACAGTGTGTGTCAGGCTTCATCCTGGGGACTGAGCGTGCAGTGTGAATGAGACAGTTCTTGCCTTCTCAGAGCTCACAGTTGGGGCAGGAGACAGATGCGAAAGTCGTTACATATAATCAGATGGGATAGTGCGGTGCTGGGGGCAGACCAGAGGCTCTCAGAGCTGCTAAACCCAATCTGGGGAGGTCAGGGAAGGCTGCCCGGAGGGAGTGACATTGGGTTGAGAGCTAACGGACATATAGAAGTTAGCAAGGCCAGTAGGGCCTGGAATGTCCCAGGCAGAGGGAACACCACGTGCAAAGTCCCTGAAGTGACAGCCACCGGTGGGGAGCTGAGAGACGCCAGAGCAAGGAGAGGCTGGGGTGAGATGGGGTCAGAGAGATGGTCAAGCCTTGCAGTTAAGACCTTGGGTTAAGAATTTTGGATTTTTTCCTGGAGGTCATAGGGAGCCTCTGAAGGCTAGTGGCCTGATTTGCGTTTGAAGAATTTACCCTCTGGAGAAAACGGATCAGAGGGCCAGGCATGAAGAACAGAGAGACTGGTTAGGAGGCTATTCAGTCATCCAGGTAAGGGGGAGCCACTGAATGTTTTTGAGCAGGATGTTATAGCAAAGGCTGTGTTTTTGTTGTTGTTGTTATTGTTTGTTTTGTTTTTTGAGACAGAGTTTTCGCTTGTTGCCAGGCTGGAGTGCAATGACACAATCTCAGCTCACCGCTACCTCTGCCTCCCGGGTTCAAGTGATTCTCCTGCCTCAGCCTCCTGAGTAGCTGGGATTACAGGCATGGGCCACCAGGTGCAGCTAATTTTGTATTTTTAGAAGAGATGGGGTTTCTCCATGTTGGTCAGGCCGGTCTCAAACTCCTGACCTCGGGTGATCGGCCCGCCTCGGCCTCCCAAAGTGCTGGGATTACAGACATGAGCCACCGCGCCCTACCTAGGCTGTGTTTTAAGGTTATTAATCTGACGGCAAGAGATAGAGGAGAGGAAGGGAAGTGAGGTAGAAGCCAGAAATCAGCCTGGCAGTCCATTCATTCATTCATTCATTTGTGTATTCCTCATTCAACAGACATCTCTGTGTGAAAGCTGCCCTTCTCCACATTGTAATTTATAGTTTCCAATCTGCTCTGGGTTTTGATACCAAGTTACCTATTATTAACACAGGTTCTAAAGCTGTAGTCAGTCAGTTCTGAGACTCCAACGGACTCTGTGGATCATGAGGCTGCTTATTTTGGCATGGACTTTCTGACATCAAAGTGTTCTTGTGAGTCATTTGCCCTGTTTAGGCCTTAAATTCCTCATCACTACAAAGAGGGCGCCAAACTAGATTATCTCTAAGACCCTTCTCTGCTCCCCAAACCCTGCAATTTTTTGCCCCATGAAGGCTTAAAGACATCTCAAACCCCGGCAGCTTAAAAATCCCAAAGTGCGGTCTGACCTGCAGTCTGTTAGACTCCACTGGGCAGCCAAAGGAGCAGGGAGGAAATCAGGAAATCTGGGTTCAAGTCCCAGCTCTGCTATTCACTGACTGTGTCGTCAGTGGATGAGTTCTTCCCCTCTCTGTGCTTCAGTATCCCACTTGTAAAACATGGAGCTGTCTAGAAGTGGGAAGAGCTATAGCAGACCCAAGACACATCCACCTCCTAACAGGTCAGATGGGAGTCCCAGTTCCAACACTCACTGCATCTGTGACTTTAGCAAGGCACTTAGCCTTTCTGAGCCCGTTTGCTAAAAATCTAAGCCCAAAGGGCTGTTGTGGGAATGAAGTTAGATAATGTGGCTTAGGGGCCAAGCATCGCGTAAATGCTCCATGAGTAGTGGCTGCCTGGATGGGTGGGCTGGGACTGATGTCCTTTCTCCTTCCTTCTCTACAATGGCTCCATTTTAACCAGCAACTGGGATTCACTGGGGGCTGGAGAATTAGTTTTTTTTTTTTTTTGGAGATGGAGTCTCACTCTGTCAATCAGGGTGCAGTGCACTGGCGTGATCCCGGCTCACTGCAACCTCCGCCTCCCGGGTTCAAGCGACTCTCCTGCCTCAGTCTCCTGAGTAGCTGGGATTACAGGCACCCACTACCATGCCCATATTTTACATCCATCCATGGAAACCCCACTCTTCAGCAGGTAAGTAAACGCAGTACATCTATATGGTGCAGTGGTCAGCTGGGGCCATGTTTCAACAAGAATAGGGCCCTCAACACATGATGGGCAGTGGAAGAAGCAAGCAGAGTCCTATTACAGCATGATGCTATTTATACAAACTGGAATTACACAGACACAAAGCAATTCCTTTAAAAATGATGCCTAAAATGTTTAAAAGGGCAGGAGGAATTTAGAGGGATTTCTATTTTTAGTAGAGATGGGGTTTTGCCATGTTGGCCAGGCTGGTCTCAAACTCTTGACCTCAGATGATCCGCCCGCCTCTGGCTCCCAAAGTGCTGGGATTACAGGTGTGAGCCACTGTGCCTGGCCAACAATGGCTCCATTTTAACCAGCAGCTGGGATTCGCTGGGGGGTGCTGGAATTTGGGTCTATTTTTTAATCTGTAGCTTTGGGTGGAAGGGGTTATAATGCATCTCTAGCCCACTAGGATGGGTTGGGGAACGCTGCTAGCTAGAGGCCTTGTTAGCAATGTGGCCACAACCAACCAGCTAACAAGCAACAAAGCGATTCCTTGGCCACAGCAAACAAGACTTCCTCCTTCCTCCCTGAACATTTTTGAATAGCAGCTCCCCACTAGAGGTAGATCCTCATTCTAGAAGCCGTGCTTTGAATTTCAGGAGCTCCACCCTCCCACCTCCCCACATCGTAGTGGATTGTGGGTGTTGGAACCGAGAAATGGTCAGCACCTTCCTGGTTTGCCTCCTGCAGTAACAGGGTGGAAGACCTAGGCTCAGTCTCAGATACCTCTGTACTGGAAGTCCCTGCCCTTGAGGGCCTCCCATTCAATGGGGAAGACAGTCCATGAACATCACAAGGGGAACCGCGAGGGGGAAAGTGCTTAAGAGCCCTGAGAGTTTGGTACAAGGGGAAAAGGGAGACCGTGTCTGATTGGTGGATGCATTCCTGGAAGACTTCCTGCAGTCGGAGGTATTTGGGGTGGGTGTGGAGGATAGCTAGAATCTCTCTCTCTCTCTGGAAAAAAAAAAATTAAAAGTACAGGGGAAATAAAAACAGAAAACGAGGTTAACAACCACACCTATTTTCACAGCTCCAAATTAACATTATGTCAAGTTTTCATGTACATATCCATACACACACACACACACACACACACACACACACACGATGACTTCAGGGTATACTTTAAATCTTCCCCCCACTCCCCAGTGTCAATCACCGTTAGGAATTTAGCCAGTATCCCTCACAATCCCCCCTGCCCTTTTAAAACATTTTATAATGCAAAGTAGGCATCGTTTTTAAAGGAATTGCTTTGTGTCTGTGTAATTCCAGTTCGTATAAATAGCATCATGCTGTAATAGGACTCTGCTTGCTTCTTCCACTGCCCATCATGTGTTGAGGGCCCTATTCTTGTTGAAACATATGGCCCTGGCTGACCACTGCACCGTATGGATGTATCACGTTTACTTACCCTCTGAAGGGTGGGGTTTCCATGGATGGATGTAATAAGGGGAAGACATTCCAGGTAGAGAATGTGGCAGAAGCAAATGCATAGGGATAGAAAAGCAGGGGTCCAGGGCGGAGGGAGCACCGGGCATATTTGGAGGAGCAGGGGAGGTGCAGTTGGCACACTGGACATCTGGGTTGTGGGGGAAAAGGCCCCCCACTCAGAGCCACCACAAGTCCTCAATAATTCCACTTAACCACTTTCCAAGTCCTCCTCAGGGAGGCCTATGTTACTCTTTCCATTAATTGTCTCATTAATGACCCACTGAAGTCAAGTACCCATTGTTCTCTGGGCCTGGGGCAGCCTCCCTGGCTTTGCCCCTATGGGGATTTGTAAACGTCTTTCCTTCCCCTGCTTTCCTTTGGCAGGCATCCTTATCTAGTCCCTGCAGCCCCGGCAGGGCTGATGCGACACTTCCTCTACCCACGCCCTGTGCCAGAACCTGGGGCTGCCCAAAGCCACCAGGCCTGGCTCACCCTCCCTCTCCCCTACATCTCCAGCTGCCTCACTCCGTCTCCACCTATATGTGTGTCTGTCTTCTCCTCTCTGCTCCCCTCCCTTCTTTCTTTTTGTTTTTGTTTTAAGGAGCAAAAAGTTTAACAGGCAAGAAAGAAGGAAGAAGAAAACAGCTCCCCTGCATAGAGACGGAGGGAGGGGTGGGATTCGAACAAGTAGAAAACCCCCTCCCCTCCCTTCTTTCTAAACTGTTTCTTTTCCTGGTTTCTGTTGCCTTCTCTGTGTGTACTTCTCTGTCCTCCTCTGTGTCTGTCTCTATCTCAGTCTCTGTCTTAGTGGGTATCTCTTTTGGAGTATCTCTACAGATGATACTGTCTCTGACTCTCACTGTCCCTGTCTGTTTTCTGTCTCTGGGACTGTCTCCATCTCTCTTCCTGGGTGTCTCTCTGTGTCTTTGTCTCCATGTGCTGATCTCTGTGTTTGTATGTGTGCATGCGTGTGTGTTCCTATTTTTGTCTCTGATTCTGCCTCTATCTCCCTCCCTCTGTCCCTGTATCTCCCGTCTCTGTCTCTCTCCTCTCTCTGACTCACCTCCCCCAACCTGTCCCTCCTCCCTTGTGGGTCTCTCAACCCTTCTGATTGACTATTGTCCTGTTTCCAACCCCTGCCTCACTGCCACTGCTCACTCACCCAGGAGTCCCCGACACCCACACAGGTCAAACCACCTCCCTCCCTTGCTTCTCTCCCTAGTTACAGCTCCAGCTTCCCTTGGATGACAGCCTCGGGGACATCAGAACTAGGAGTAGGCGTGAGGTCCCATAGCTCCGAGACTTTGGGATTCATACATCTGTGAAGTTAAAAAACAGAATGAAAGGAACCCACAGAATGTGACCAATTATTTTTTCTAAATAAGGATTTCTAAAGAATCACCAACTTATCATTTTATAATAGAAAGGATATTTTAATGCCAAAAACAAAAGAGAAAGCTCTAAGAATAGGTAATAGTCCGTTAATTTAAATTAACACTTTTATAAAAACATTTGCTACATTACTTTTATTTTACTTATTTTGCCCCCGATGGGTGAAGATGTTAGGGATCAGCACAGGTTCTCTGGCCTCATTGGAAACCAGAGAACTTGCCCAAGCCTTTCCCACAGAGAAGTGGAGAGACCTTTTTTTGAGGGAAGAAAGGGCAAAACTGCGACAGGACCCAGAAGCTCTCACTGGCTACTTAGCACCTCACAAGTCCCTTTCCAGCCCCACTGGTCTCTTAGTGAAAATAATGTATGAGGCTGCCTAGTTGCGGGTCAGACAACAGACTCCCTGATGCCAAGTGTTCCTCTGTGTGGAGACAGAGTCTCGCTCTGTTGCCCATGCTGCAGTGCAGTGGTGCAATCTTGGCTCACTGCAACCTCTGCCTCCTGGGTTCAAGTGATTCTCCTGCTTCAGCCTCCGAAGTAGCTGGGATTACAGGCGCCCGCCACCACACCTGGCTAAATTTTTTATTTTTAGTAGAGATGGGGTTTCACCACGTTGGCCAGGCTGGTCCCGAACTCCTGACCTCAAGTGACTCGCCCACCTCAGCCACCCAAAGTGCTGAGATTCCAGGCATGAGCTACTGCACTAGGCCCTCTGTGTGTCTCTGGACATGTAACTTAACCACTGTCTGTGCTTCCTTCCTCACTTGTAGAATGAACAAAATAACAGCTAGCTCCTTGAGTTGCCTAAAATCTAGTAAAACTTGTTAGCCACTATTATTATCAGGAAGAGGAGGCCTGGGGAGTAGTGTCTTGGAAGAAGGGAGCTATTTGGATCAAGGCCTGAGCCAGGAAAGGAAGAGAATAGCAGGGACTTTTGCCCTGCCCTCCCCTAGGCAAGCTGTGAGCCTCGGTCAGGGGCAGCTAGCTCGCGGAGGAGCTGCTGTCTTTGGAGATTTAGGGGCTCTAGAGCCTAGCGAGGCTGCTTTGGAACTCAGGGATGCACGGCAAATGTGGGATGTGGGCAGAGACCTTCTCCCTTCCTCTTCAGGGCTTCCACCCAGCATGCTCAGACCCCCTCAGCCCAGCAACCAGCACTTTTGTCACAGACACTAACACTCCCAGTAGTGGAGGTAAATCTCCCTTAAGTGTCACTTGTGGCTGCAGATGCTAGCAAAGGGAAGCGCCGGTGGGAGGGGAGTACAGTAGATGCCAGTGGCCTTGGATGCCATGCGGTCCCTTAAGATGTCTAGAAACGCCTGAGGCCGACTTAGCAGATGAGGTTGAAGGTCCTGGGCAGGCAGGTGAGGATAATTAGAGAAACTCTGGGTTATTCATGTAAATGTGACGCCATTTGTATCAAGGCCTGGCAGGCCCCTTAGAATTAGACAAACATTTCCTCAACACCTGCTCTCGCCACATACTGTGCTAGTCAGAGAATGCACAGACTAAGACAGCAGGGGACTTTCTTGCCAGGAATTCACACAAGGCTTATCTAGGGTTAGCCATGTTCTGCCTCTGAGCCAAGTGTCTAGAGACCCGGGTGAGGCCAGCCTGGAACATTTGCCACATCTGTTCCCTGGTGAGCACCACTCAAGGGTGTGCCCAGGAAGGAAAGGAAAGGTCTGTTGAAGGGAGAATTGACAGGACTTGGTGACTTATTGGATGAGGGGAGAGGGACAGGGAGGCAAAAGTGGCTCCCAGTGTCCTGGCTTGGCACCTGGGTGGATGGTGAGGCTTTTCCTGAGAGAGGAAACGCAGGTGGGTAGCTGAACGTCAGATGCTTGAGGCAAATCCAAGCGCTTAATAGGCATAGGCAGGTTTAGGGATCAGGAGAGGCATCGGTATGGATAATGAATGAATGAATCAGGAGAAGCATCGGGATGGATAATGAATGAATGAGTTAGTGTAAGGAAGAACATGGGACCAAGAAGGGCTTATAAGACTAGGTAAGTTTTGCCTGCTGGTGGGGAAGTGGTTTAAGGGAGCATACACTAGGCAAAGAAAATAGCCTAAGAAAAGGCTTGAAGGTGAGAGAAAGCAGCACAAAATTATTAGCTTTCAGAAAAGCTAATAATTCCGTTTCGCTTAAGCACTGGTGGTATCAGGGTAGTTGTAAGAGATGCATCACAATTAAAGGAATACATCAGGCCCAGATTGCAGAAGTTACTGAATGCCAGGGTGAAGAGTTTACATAATTCAGCAGGCAACAGGGAACCAATGAAGGTTTCTGAGAGAAGAGTGACATGATAAAAGCTGTTTCAGGTTGTTCTAACTTAACAGCGTAGGATGGACTGAAACACAGACCAGAAGAAAGGAATGTAAGAGAAAGGGATCTTCGGGCACAGCTGTGCATATCTGCAGTTCCAGGATCACTTGAACCCAGGAGTTCAAGTCCAGCCTGGGCAACATAGGGAGACCCCTCATCTCTTATTAAAAAAAAAAGAGAGAGAGAGAGAGACAAAGAGGCAGACAGAGATAATCACTTATTTGTTTATTCCACAAAAACTGAACTTCGTCTATGTGAAGCAACCCTCTTCCTCATTCTAATCTCTAATCCTTTATCTGCTTAGGGCTAAAACACCAAATCACTTATGTTAATACTGAAAATAAAGAAAAAGTAAATGGGTTCTACTAAACATATCACTATTATAAATAAATGTAAATGAATTTAAGTGTCTGTTAAAAGGAGCTTTATATATACTTATTCATATATACAACAGATTACTCAGCCTTAGAAAGGAAATTCTGATACATGCTACAATATGGATATACTTTAAGGACATCATGCTTCAGTGAAATAAACTAGTCACAAAAAGACAAATCCTGTATGATTCCACTTAACATGATGTTCCTAATCAAATTTATAAATTCATAAATGGTGGTTGCTGGGGGCTGAGAAGGGGGAACTGGGGTTGTGTAATGGGTATAGAGCGTCAGTTCTGCATGGTAAAGAGTTCTGGAGGATGGTTGTACAACAATGTAAATGTACTAAATGCTACTGAACTGTACACTTAAAATGGTTAAGGCTGGGCACAGAAGCTCAAGCCTGTAATCCCAGCACTTTGGGAGGCCAAGGTAGGAGAATCACCTGAGCTCAGGAGTTTGAGATCAGCCTGGGCAACATAGCCAAGACCTTGTCTCTACAAATAATTTTAAAAGTTAGCCAGGTGTGGCGGTGCACGTGGCTGTAATCCCAGCTACTCAGGAGGCTGAGGTGGGAGGATTGCTTCAGCCCAGGTTGTCAAGGCTACAGTGAGCTGAGATCATGCCACTGAAATCCAGCCTGAGTGACAGAGCAAGACCCTGTCTAAAAAAAAAACATGGTTAAGAGAGTAAATTTTATGTATATTTTACAATTAAAAATAAAAATAAGAAAAAAGGAGTTTCAGAATGGTTCATCGAACAAAACCCAATTCCAAAAAAAAAAAGAAACACCTAAAATAGTGATTCTGAAAGCTTAAAAATCAAGAAATGGGGAAAGCAAATGTAAACAAAAAGCAAGCAAGAGCTGTAATCCTGATATACAACAAGATAAAATTCAGACTAAGAGCACTGAATGAAATAAAGAAGATGTAAGCGTCTGGAGCGCTATGTATAAAACAACACAGCAGTACTTTCACAAAGCAGAATCCATTTTCATAAAGCAGAAAATGCAAGAAGGAACAGAAATGTTAATAGCAGGGGTCTGAAACACACCACTTTCAGTCCAAGACTCATCAAAGGGTCAAAAAATAATGGAAAACCTAAACAACATACTCTATAAGCTACATTTCCTGCATACATATCAAAATTTGTACCCCCAAAATAGGGAACATATCATTTCAAATGCACATCATGAAAAATGACCGTCTATTAGGGCAAAAGAAAGCCTCAAAGTGGCTTTTGAGGATACAAGCTTTTATGATCACTCTTTGTCTAACCGCAAAGTTTCACTGAGTGGTTTCAATGCAACAAAGAATGTAGAAGCAGTTTGAAAACTAAAAAGCACCAAGCAAATATTAGTTACTGATCTGTCAATACTGTTATTGTTGTTATTATTATCATTATTCACTGCTTGGTGAACATTTTGCTTGCTCTCTGACATATTCTAGAGAAGTTGGCCAAACAGGTGGGGGATTAATATGTAATCTTTACTGTCTCCATAAGAGCTACCATTTCTTTGGTGTTTACAATGTGCCAGGTACTATGCTATTTTACTTGCAGTCATTAATTAGGAACAGCTTGCTATGTGTTTTATGAAAGCAAGACTTCTGCTTCTCTCACATCACCGTCCAGGTCCAGAACAGCGCGAGGTCCCTTTTGAGTAAGTGTTCAGCGAAGACTTGGGAACCAAAGCACACTGATTAAGGACCTACTTCAAGGTCAGATGTGGGTTTGAAATTTCATTCTAGCACTTACTACCTGTGTGACCTTGGGCAAGTTAAATATCCTTTCTGAACCTGTTTTTTTCACAGAAAAACACAGATAATCATAACACCTACATTAACAAGGATTCATCAGAAGTTTCAATGTGGGAACACGTGTAAAGGGTCTAGCATGGAACCTGGCCGACTGTAGGCATTCAATAAATGTTAGCCTGAGGTTGAAGGAGAAAGAGCAGACCTTATCAGATAATCTTAGAATAGGGGCCTTTCTTTTTTCTTAAAAAAAAAAATCATCTTTAAACATTCTCCAATGCATGTGAAATAATTTTTAAATAGTGTCATGGGCTAATAGTGAATTAAGTTATGGTAGACCCATATTATGGAATACTGTATCACAATGAAATAATAAATTGTATCTATTATGTACACACATGGACAGATGACCATGATTGTTACAGGGTAAGAAAAAAAAGCAAACATCAGAATATGAATAGTTCCCCTCTCTCCTTCTAAAAAATTATATGGCCGGGCGCAGTGGTTCATGCCTGTAATCCCAGCAATTTGGGAGGCTGAGACAGGTGGATCACCTGAGTCAGGAGTTCAAGACCAGCCTGGCCAACATGGTGAAACCCCATCTCTACTAAAAAAAAATAAAAAATTAGCTGGGTGTGGTGGCGGGCGCCTGTAATCCCAGCTACTCAGGAGGCTGAAGCAGGGAAAACTGCTTGAACCAGGGAGGCAGAGGTTGCAGTGAGCCGAGATTGCGCCAATGCACTCCAGCGTGGGCGACAGAGCAAGACTCCATTGCAAAAAAAAAAAAAAAAAAATTATATATGGCCAGGCAGAGTGGCTCACACTTGTAATCCCAGCGCTTTGGGAGGCTGAGGCAGAAGGACCGCTTGAGGCCAGGTGTTTGAGACCAGCCTAGGAAACAAAGCAAAAAAAAAAAAGCCAGGTGTGGTGGTGCATAGCTGCAGTCCCAGCTACTCAGGAGGCTGAGGTGGGAGAATTGCATGAGCCAAAGAGTTCAAGGCTGCAGTGAGCTATGATTGTGCCACTGCATGATGGGCGACAGAGTGAGACACTGTCTCAAAGGCAAAACAAAATGAAACGAACACACACACACACACACACATATATGCACAGAGAAAGGAGGTCTGGAAAGATATATACCTAATTTTAAAGGAGTAGGGCCTGGTGAGATTTTTTTTTTAACTTTCTGCATTCCAACTTATTTTGTAATTTCCAACACACACACACACACACACACACACACACACACACACACACACACACACACACCAGACAGGAAAAAAATTCTCAAATTCTCTCTGGCCTGAATATTTCATAGGACTTTGAAAGTCATTAAACTGAATAGAAGAGGTGGTTAATTCTTCTGGCAAGTGTGAGAATTTCCATACCCAGTGTTTCTTTTTGAGAGAGGCTGTAGGAGAGAAGAGATGGAGAATGAATTGCTCCAGCATTACTCATTCTCAGCACATCCAAACAGGTAGTCTCATTCTTGTCCCTGTCACCACTACAGCCCTGACACAGAGTCACAGAGAAACTCTTTGATAAATGTCAACTGAAATTGAGTAATCATCTGAAAGCCATTTGCTGAGCTGTCTGACTGCCCTGGGCTCGAGGTTTTCCTTTATTCATTTATCATGATACAGCTTTGGCCAACATACACACAGGAGAGAAATTGTTGACATGTGGAACCCAAGTACAGAAAATCTTTCATTTTCCTCCCTGTCTGTTCACCAAATAAGTTTTTGTTTATTTAAAGACTACAGAGGATTTGGCTGTTAAGAACCAAATGCCTTTGGAGTGGAATTACAACATAATTTATCATTTCCTCTGTTTATTAAAAAATCCTGCATCTTTGAGAAGCACATTTGCAGTGAGTGGGGGATTTCGGCCACTCATGAAAGACTGTTGCAAAGCCCCTGTCATGTGGCTTACCCCAAAAGAGGCTCCTTAATTGCTCTATCTATCCCTGCTCTTCCCCCAGCTGACTTCTGATCATGTGATGACCACTTAGGGCTGGTGGATGGGGTTAGAGGACAGGTAAGTGGGGCAGGAGACTGTGTTAGTTTAACTTTGACCCAATTTTGACCTTGAATCCTCACTGCATGTTTCACCAGTGTAAGTAAAGAGGGAAGTGCAACCCTTATTACCTCCAGCACAGGAGAGAATCTGGAGGAAGTCAAAGAGCAAAGAGAAGTTGGATGTTGCTTTGAAAGAACTCAGCCAGGCCTTGCCACCACCAAAGTGGGCTCCATTCTGAAAGCAGACACCTTGCAGAACTGGAATGAACTT
This sequence comes from Homo sapiens, assembly GCF_000001405.40. NCBI lineage: Eukaryota > Metazoa > Chordata > Mammalia > Primates > Hominidae > Homo > Homo sapiens. The sequence continues at coordinate 122,324,611 of NC_000009.12, read as the reverse complement.
CCTACTTTTCCACCCAATAGATTATTATAGACAGCAATTTAGTTCAGTGCACTATGTACCCCCCCAAAACAGGGGTCATATCTTTCCCATTTTTGTATTGCCAGTACATAGTTCAGCACCTGACAAACAATTGGTGCTCACTAAATGCTAATGAAGGCAGCAGGACACAGTGGTTCCTTCCAGATTGGTGAGGTGCTGAGAGAGTGTGAGCCCAGAGAAGGCATGGAAGCTCCACACCCTCTCCCTCTCCCTCAACCTTGCCCTGTGTACCTCCTTCATTGGGCTGTTCAGCTGTATCTTTTATAATAAACCAGTGAACGTGTTTCCCTGAGTTGTGTGAGCTGTCCTAGGAAATTAACTGAACCAAAGGAAATCAAGGACTCTAGTTTGTAGTTGGTCAGTCAGGAGTATGGGTGGCCCAGACTCATGACTGGCATCAAAAGTGTTGGCAGTCTTGGGAGATGGAGCCCTCAACCTGTGGGATCTGACACTATTTCCAGGTAATGTCAGAAATGAATTGAATTATAGGATACCCAGTTGGTGTCTGCTGGAGAATTGCTTGGTGTGTGGGGGAAACAAACTCACACACCTTGTCACAGAAGTGTTCCATGTTGAGTGTGAAAGTACAAAAGGAAAAAAAGTTTGTTTTTTTCCTTTTACATTAGCACATCAGGCCTCAATTTGAATGCCAGCTCTGCTACTTGCTAGGTGTGTAACCCTGCACAAGAAACTTCACCTCTATGTAAATGACGCTGACAATGAATCATGAAAACCTTCTACCACTGATCAGCTTTGCTTTGTTACTTTGGGCAAATTACCTAATACTGTCAAGACTTAGTTTTCCTATTTGTAAATGAAGATAATACACATCTCTTAAGTTTACTGTCAAGATTATAAATAATGCCTAGAACTATACCTAACTCATAATGGCTATATTAGGAATGAATGAATGAATAAAAAATAATTGGAGGGAAAAAAACCTAATAACCCAGTATCCGAAGATAAGCCACAATAAACTACTTGTCTGTCAACAATGGGCAGGCCCTGCAGGAAAGGTATGTCACTACCAAGTAAATGTTGAGAACAAGTACAAGAGTGGAAAATGATAGAAAGGGAGTGTTAAGACTAGAAAGAAAAGAAGTCAGCATTTGCTGGGTAGCTACTATGTGCAATTTATTCACGATACAACATATGACTGCCTACTATGCTCCAGGCATTACACAAAGTTCTGAGGATATACAGGCTAATTAAGTGCAACAAGAATACTTAGAATTCGTACAAAGCAGTAGACTGTGCTATGAGAGCCGGTAATGAGGGTCCTAGGTTAGAGGGGAAAAGAAGACTTCCCAGAGGACGTGATATCCAAGACAAGGCCTGATGATAAACAGGACTGGCCAGGTAAGGAGGGGAAGAGAGAGCCAGGCAGAGAAAACAGCATGTGTGAAGACGACTCACAGGCAAAACTACTGTTATGGGTGCCTCACATACAGATCCTCAGTGATCATCAATCCAGACCAACTCTATTCTTTCCTTTGTGGTTGTTATTCCTTCCAATTTATTTAGATTTTATTGTTTAGTGAAAATGGGCCTCTAGTAAAGTGTCCAGTCACAGGTGAAGGCCAATATCAGAGTTTTAAAATGGGAACAGAGCCTAATTATTTGAAAAGGAGACTCCTAAGATGAGGAGCAGGTGGTACTAAGCCTGCCAATGGCCTCAGTCCCTTGGCAACATCAAGTCAAAGCAAATGCCTGAGTACAGGCCTTTTGCCAGCAGCAAGTATTTTCTGAGAGCCACCCACCGGCCCAGAGCAGAAGCAGGAAGAGAATGAACATGTCTGAGTGTTCCCCTGGAAGGCTGGGCCTTACAAGGACAGGCTTCTGTCAGCATGGTGACAGTCTTCTGTGTAGATGGGGGAGGGAGAGAAGTCCCAATGTGCCACCCATGGGATCCAGCAGAAACTGGGCTCTGGAGTATTGCTGGCCCCAGTGGACTTTCATCCAAGGAGTTCTTTGGTCTTCACTGCCAGATGCCTGTCCAGTTCTGCCACTGTGTCATCGGCCATTTGGCTGATCTGCAAGAACACAAAATGAGACAGCCTGATTAATGGGGCTGGAAAAGGGTAGGGGGATGAATATTCCAGAAACATGAAAAGGTTATGTGAGAAATAATAATAGTGACAAAAGTTCACATTAAGTACCAGTCAGGCACTGTACTAAGAACTTTATATATACATTCTTTTTTTTTTTTTGAGACAAAGTCTCGCTCTGTCGCCCAGGCTGGAGTGCAGTGGTGCAATCTCGGCTCACTGCAAGCTCCGCCTCCTGTGTTCACGCCATTCTCCTGCCTCAGCCTCCCGAGTAGCTGGGACTACAGGTGCCCGCCACCGCGCCCGGCTAATTTTTTTTTGTATTTTTAGTAGAGATGGGGTTTCACCGTGCTCACCAGAATGGTCTCAATCTCCTGACCTCGTGATCCTCCTGCCTTGGCCTCCCAAAGTGCTGGGATTACAGGCGTGAGCCACCGCACCAGGCCTATATATACATTCTTTTTAACTCCTAACAGCAAACCCATAAGATAGATACTATTATTATCCCCATTTTGCAGATAGGAAAACTGAGGCATTTAGATCGCTTATTCAGGACACATAGCTAGAAAGTTGGAATGACAAAATTTAATCCACAGCATTCAGATTCCACAGCCCAAAATTCTTAACTATTATTCTACAATATAGAGAAGCTAGTCTTATCTGTTCCTTAATGAGCCTCTAGAATTTCCTACACCTGAAATACTTTGTATATAAAGCCCTCATACAAATTGATAAGAAGAATATTAAGATCCCAATAGTTAAGTGAAAAAAAAAAGCCTTGAAAAAAAATGAGGTACATCTGGTTACCAAACATGGAAAATAGACATCAAAGAAATGCAAATTAAAATAAGATACAATTCAGCTATCATAGCAAAATTTGATGCTGTGGTTTTTAATTACAATATTCAATGCCAGCAAGCTATGATGAAATGGATAAGCTCGTATATCACTGATAGAAATTCAAATTGATGCAAATGTTCATACCATTTAACCCCAAAATCTCTCAACTGGGAAATTATCACATGAACAGGATCTGAAAAAATTTTCTGAAGTTCTATACACGAAGATATTTATCCCAGCTTTATATTTAATAATACAAAAATTAGAAAATCTAAAGTTATAGAATGAGGAAGTAGTTGAATACATATAGTCATTAAAAATGAAATGGTTAAGATTTTCTACTACTTAAGGATAGGGTGTTAATATGAATAACATTCCAGTACATATCATGGAAACACGCTCACATTATCCTTGAATTGAAGAAAAGCAGGACACAAAATTGTGTATATACATAGTAGAAATGATCTCTAAAATATGTAAACAAAAAATTGTGTATTTTTAAAAACTGGAAGGAAACTTGTCAAAATATTAATAGTGGTTATATTTTACTGATGGGAAGACAGGCAATGTATTGTTTATGTCCATCTCTGTCACATCCAGCCTAGGACCTAACACATATCAAGTTCTCAGGAAAAACACACTAAGTGAATAATTATTAAAGTTTTTTGTGCTTTTCTATATTTTCCAAATTTTCTGCCATAAACATGTACTCCAAGAATGAAAAAACACAATACAGTTTAGTAGCTGCCACAGTCTCCTTCCTATGTCGAAAAGAGACTGAAAGCAGGAAGCCTTAGGCAGGAGGCTTTAAGGGCTGCAGCATGGTGCCAAGGATCTGCATGCTCAGCAGCATAGCGGCTGTTGGACATCTTTATTTGCAGACCACAGGCCTTGGCTAGGAATTGAGAACTAAATGCACTAAAAAGGGTAGAAACTAAAAAGGATTTAGTGCAATTGGTCCCAGGCAGGGAGGTGGCCAGGCTCTCACCATAGCAACAGCTGTGCATTTTTTCAGCTAGAAAAGCAAAACACCTGGGGGCTGCCAGACACACTGCAAGAGTGGCTGGACTCAGAATGACAGCTTGGTCCCTCCTCACTCAGCTAGCCACAAAGCCTTGAGATGCTTTTGCCCCCTGTGGCTGCCTTGCATGGGGTGTGGCATGGTGCCCAGCAGTACTCCAACACCTGCAGGCTGGCAGCCTGGGACAGCCAGGAATGATGGCTAAAAGCCTCCTCTGGAAAAATGGCTTTGAGGGTAGTTTGGGGACAGGGATGGGGACTGGGAGGAGGGAGAGTACTTAGGGTAATACTTAGGGTAACAATTTGATAACATGGGTTCTGGGTGAAATTAGTGGGTTAAAAATGTGTAGGTCATTTCCCCACTTTGACTTTCAGTTTCCTCATCTATCAAATTAATATGCATGCACATTTTAAACTGGTTATTTGCTATTTCTTGTTACTATAACTTTTACTATCACTTCCTGACTTCTTTCCAATTAATTAATGAAAAAGGGCAGGTGTGGTGGCTCACACCTGTTATCCTAGCACTTTGGGAGGCTGAGGTGGGAGGATCACTTGAGTCGAGGAGTTTGAGACCAGCCTGGCAACATGGGGAAACCCCATCTCTAAAAAAACACAAAAAGTTAGCCAGGCATGGTGGCACACGCCTGTAGTCCCGGCTACTCAGGAAGCTGAGATGGGAGGATAGCTTGAGCCCAGGAGGTGGAGGATGCAGTGAGCCGACATGGTGCCACTGCACTCCAACCTGGGCAACAGAGACTCTCTCTCAAAAAAAAAAAAAAAAAAAAAATTAATGAAAATATTTACTAACATTTTACCATAGTACAAGCATAAGGTGTTCTTGGGGACAGCCTGCCTGTAAGTTCATCTTTTCCACCTTTATCAGACGTCTTAAAATAATGATTAATAGCAACAAGGCCAACAACAGCTTCCACTTACCGAGTTCTTACCAAATGTCAGACACTTGCCTAAAACTTCACATGCATTATTGCACACAATCCCTATAACATATGAAAGACTATTATCTCTCTTTACCATATAATAAACATTATTTAACTTGACAGTTGCATAGTAGGAATGCAAAAGTGTTTTATCTTCTGTTACTTCATTCAAATCCAACAACCTCACATAGCCTCTATGAAGCAGGTAGAATAGGTATTATCCCCATTTTACAGAGGAGTAAATCAAGGCACAGAATGTTAACTGATCTGTCCAAGATCACATAAAAAGTCAGTGGTTGTAATCCCAGCACTTTGGGAGGCCAAGGCAGGCGGATCACAAGGTCAGGAGATCGAGACCATCCTGGCTAACACGGAGAAACCCCGTCTCTACTAAAAATACAAAAAATTAGCCGGGCATGGTGGCGGGAGCCTGTAGTCCCAGCTACTGGGGAGGCTGGGGCAGGAGAACAGCGTGAACCCAGGAGGCAGAGCTTGCACTGAGCCAAGATTGCGCCACTGCACTCCAGCCTGGGGGACAGAGCCAGGCTCTGTCTCAAAAAAAAAAAAAAAAAAAAAGAAAGAAAGAAAGAAGTTCAGTGGTGTGGCTGAGCCAAGAACTCACCCACCTTAATGGCCAGTTTGAGGCTCTTATTCCCTTTTGGAGGGGTCCCACAGCACCTGGCCTAGTCCCGCCTCATTCCAGACAGGCTGTGTTAGGGACATTAAGTGTCAATCCAAGTTCTACATTTAAAGTCACAACACTGGGGAGAAGAGGATAAAGAAACAGGGCGAACAATTACTGAGGACCAGCAACCATACTAGCCACTTTTAAGTATGTAGCCTCATTTGGTCCTCATATCAATCCTGTGCTCCCACTTTATGGATGAAGAAACAGAGGCTCAGAAAGATGACACCATTTGCTGACATTAACAGCTAAGAAGTAAAAGAGCCAGGATTTTAATCTAGGCCTGTCTCACTCCAAAGCAAGAACCCTTGCCAACATAATACCCTGCCTCATAGAGATGATAACATCGTCACCATCATTATCATCATCACATTTGCTACTTACAAATTCAGGAAAATGAAAGGCAGGGACAGAGAAGGGGAATGGCAGGAGCACAGAGTACACTCCTGGGGCAGGCCCGCCTACCAGCCATCCTTCCTGAGGCCTAGCTCAAAACACCCGCTGCCTTGCCTGGACCAGCCTCCCTGCCTTCCACCAGTCTGCCAGGAGCCTTTCCCTCCTTTAGCTCTGCTAGCACCCAGCTTTGCTCATTTCAGAGCAGCACTGTTTCTCAGGGAAAGGCAGCAGTGAAAGGATCTTGGCCAGATTTACTGGTGGCTTCTGCCAAGTGCTTTAATGTTCAGCAGGCTCATTTATAGCAAACCAAAGCAAAGGTGAAACAGCAGGCTGGCAGATGTCAGAGTCCTGAGCGGGAAGACCTCGGTCCTTCTTCAGCAGAGCTTGCCTGGAATGCGGGTTGGGAAGTAGTGGGGTGGGGGGAACAGGTGAGGAAATCTGGGGGTCAAACATGACTATAGGGATAGAACCTACAAATGAATCATTTCATTCTTATTTATTTTTTTTGAGATGGAGTCTCGCTCTGTCACCCAGGCTGGAATGTAGTGGCGCGATTTCGGCTCACTGCAGCTCTGCCTCCCGGGTTCAAGCGATTCTCCTGCCTCAGCCTCCCGAGTAGCTGGGACTACAGATGCCCACCACCATGCCCGGCTAATTTTTTATGTTTTTAGTAAAGACAGGGTTTCACCGTGTTAGCCAGGACGGTCTCGATCTCCTGACTTTGTGAACTACCTGCCTGGACCTCCCAAAGTGCTGGGATTATAAGCGTGAGCCACTGCGCCCAGCCTATCATTTCATTCTTATACACCAAAAATTGAAGAAGCATTTTTATAATAAAGCTTTAAAAAATCTGACCTCAAAAGATTTTTGAAAATTAAAAAAGATAATCTCACTCAAAATAAAATCCAAATTGTTTATAATCCCATCATCTGAAATGACCACCTTTAATATTTTGACATGTATAAGCTGCCAACCCCATGTGCATGTGACTTTTCTTTATAAAACTAAAATCAAACTGCTGTATAATCTACCTTTTAAAAGCAAATTCCAAAAAAATTTACCATGTCTATAAAATATTTTTATAACTTTCTATGTAGATTCTAATGAATGTAAAACAATTTACTTCCCACAGTCAGAAATTTATAGACAGTTTCCAGTTTTCTACTATTATATATATCAATGAACATTCCTATAAATAAGGCTCTTGATTATTTATTTTGGGCAAATTCCTAAGTCACTAAATCAGAAATGTATGGATTTTAGTATATATTATCCTTTAGAAAGGTCGTATGGATTTATACAAAGAATAACAATCTTTTCTGTAGAGTGTGAAAGTAAAAGCAACAGTTCCCAGATAAGCAACATTTTCAGCTCAGATAAAAAATTCTAGGTTCAAGTGTTAGGGGTTATAAAAGGCAAATTAAATACATATATATTCTAAAAACACAGTAGTATGTACCAAGAATCTTACAAAAAATATGCAATCCCTCTGTACAGTAATTCCACACTTGGGACGTTCCAGTCTATTCTAAGGAAATCATCTCAACAAAGATTTATATATATATATATATATATTCACTGCAACCTTATAACAAAGAAGTTTCAACAAACTAAAATGTCCAAAAAGAGGGCTTATGAAAGTGAACAGCACACCACCAACTATTTAGCAGCCATCAGAAAGAGTTTTACAAAGAGTTTTTCAAGACATGAAAAATGCTAATACCTTTGAGGTCAAACAGAAAATAAAAAGCTGAATACAAAATTGTATATATACTATATGTTCTCAATCATGTTTAAAACTATGTAGTTTTTTTTTTTTTTAGAAAAAAGGAAAAAAGAAATATTCCAAAATGTTAAGAGCGGTTGCCTCTCCAATGTGGGAGGGGAGGATGAACTTTCTCCAATGAACATATATTACTTTGATAATAAGGAACAAAAGTAAACAAAATTTTAAAACTGTCTGATGAAGCGACAATCAGCCATAACCTTGTTTTATATCTTTAAAACATGCACGCACACGTACACACACACACACACCAAAAATTCCAGTCTGGGGCCTTCTGACAGTAGAAAGAACACCATGAAGTATATATAAGGCTCTCTACTGTTCCAAACTTTTAACTCTATGACAGTAAATTAAGTTATTAACAATCCTGGTTAAGAATAAACATTTAGCTGGGCACTCATGCCTGTAATCCCAGCACTTTGGGGGGCTGAGGTGGGCGGATCATCTGAGGTCAGGAGTTCAAGACCAGCCTGGCAAACATGGTGAAACCTCATCTCTACTAAAAATAAAAAAATTAGCAGGGCATGGTGGCACGTGCCTGTAATCCCAGCTACTCGGGAGTCTGAGGCAGGAGAATCGCTTGAACCCAGGAGGTAGAGGTTGCAGTGAGCCAAGATTGCACCACTGCACTCCAGCCTGGGTGACAAAAATAAAAAATAAATAAAAATAAACATTTAAATAATAATATGTTTAGAAAGATATCTGTGATATATCGTATCATATAAATTGTATGATACTTTTTCTTGTTTCGAGAGATAACTTGAAGTTCTACACTAAAATGTTAACAACAGTCATCTGAGTGATGAGATTTCAATTACTTTCTTCCTTGTTTTAACAGCAAAACGAATACAGCTATTTTCACTTAAAAAAATCACAGTAAGAAGCACTAAAGAAAAAAAATTTAATCTGAAGAGGATGGCGAAAAGCCAGTGCTAATGAGTGAAGGCTTCCAGCAAGGTCTTTGTCAAGAGGGTTTTATCAAGAATGCTTGCTATCTGATCATTCTTCCTCTTTCAGGAGTTGTGGGCTCTGGTCCCTGAGGCAGATGTCCTGGCTTGCTGAGTGACTAGTGCCTGGCAGGCCCTGAAGGTCCATAGGCTTACCACCAAGAAGCAATGACAAGGGAAAGCAGTGAAGAAATCCCCTAGGAGAAAGACAAGGAGCCGGCCCAGCTGGAGCCAGGGCCCAGACTATTAATGAGGCCTGGTCAGTGCACAGGAAAGGCCCGCCTAATCTCTGAACCTCTTCTTTTAGCTGATACAGGGAAGGAGGAGGGCAGAGAGATGGCAAGAGGGGAGTTTTGAGGGTTTGGGTGTTAGGTACACTAATGGTGCTTTCTAGCATACCAAGGAAACCATTCAAGGCAGAAATTACCAATCCCTTTTTACAGAAAACAGACTCCAAAGAGTCAAGCAACTTCCCCAAGGTCATAGGACATCAAGTGCAGAACAATCTTTTTCTAACTCTAGTGTCATTACACAGGTACATTACCAGGCTTCTAGGTCATTATCTTCTATGTGTGCTTTTACACAATTACCTGAGAGCTTTTTAAAACTATACATTCCAGCTGGACGCATCTGTTATCCCAGCTACAGGAGGACTGCTTGAGCCCAGGAGCCCAAGACCAGCCTGGGCAACATAGTGAGACCCCATCTCAAGAAAAATGAATTAATAAAAGTAAGTAAAATAAAAATATACATTCCTAGGCAGAGCTACTGTATCAGAAAATGCAGGAGTAGGGCCCAGGAAGCCACCTAAAATTCCCCCCCCCAGGTGACTGTTGTGGCTGTCCTACTAGTAAAATGCTAGTAAAACTAGCATTTTAACTGCTGGTGGAGGAGAAGGGGAGCAGCTAGTCAACTTATGGACTTCTCCAGGGGTCCCTTGCTTCTCGCTTCTCTCTTCACTCCCTATCCAGCCCACATGCCTGTTCAATCTCCCTAAAACAATGCTTTATTGTGGATGAGGAGGCTTTAAGGCCTATCAAACCCTTTATATTACATTGAACATTACTAATTCTATCTCCACATCTTTCCACAGGTGCCACTCAGGTTCAGGCCACCATCACTTCCTGGCTGGATTTCTGCAGCAGCATCCCTATCGCCCTGCCTCCAGTCTTGCCCCCTACAATCTGTTTTCTACCTGGCCACCATAGTCATCTTTCATAAACATAGATGTGCTCTCTCCATCATCTAAAAAAAATCTTTTAAGTGTGTCACTGTATGAGAATCACCTGAGAAGGATTTAAAATACAGATTCCTGGCTCTGTCCCAGATTCATTGACTCAATCTCTGGAAATGGGGCCCCAGATACCTGGATTTTTATAAGCTACCCAAGTGATTAAGGTACTTTGGTAGAGAGATGCTGTTCAGCAAATATTCACTTCTTTCCCCAGACCTCCATAAATATATATATTTCCTTGTACCAAACATATTGAGCTTGGCCCATGTGACTTGCTTTGGCCAATCAAATGTGACAAGAGCAGGTGTTTAAAATGTACTTGAGTGGTTGGGCTTATGATCTTGGCATCTGCTGTTACCATGAAAAGAGGCCCTAGGAAACCTGTTGGCTTTGGAAGATTGAGAGATATAAAGCAGATTTGAACCCAATCCAAGATCTGGAGCCAAGCCCACTGAGCCCAGCCTAGAATAGCTACACCCCAGCTGGCCCATGGAAATGAGAACAAGAAATAATGCTTTGATATTGTCGATCACTGAGTTTTGGGGTAGTTATGTACCATTATTGTGGCCATACATGACTAATATAGATGCACAGCCAATGTGGGACAGTCTGTACATGTTAACGTTCAAACTCCTAAACCTGGTGTACGAGACCTTCCTTCTATTATCTAGCCACTCTGTTTTCTTTATTCATTCCCTAGTCTTATCCTACGTTCAAACCCCAATGATCTTAACTGAATATTGTTTTTATATCACCTTACCTTTGTACATATGGTTACACTTTTCCCCCTTGTCTCTCACTATTTTACTCCAGCAGCTTAAGACTTATTCAAGTGCCACTACTCAGCACACTGAGAACACTAAGTGCTCAATTCTCAGCAACCGGAAAACCAGACAGGAGAGCATTAGCGTAGAGGCTCTGAAATCCGTCTGCCTAAGTATGGATCCGATTTCTACCAATTTCCAGCAGTGTGATTTCGGGCAAGTTATTTAACTTGCCTGAATCTCAGTTTCCTTACTACCTACCTCATAGTTTTGTAGTGATGAGGGTAAATGAAGTAATATAAAGTGTTCAGCACAAAACCTGGTACACAATACAAGTGTCTTATCCTCCTCTATGGATCCCTCTGAATCTGGCATTAGGCTAGGCCCAGAACAGAGACTCAGACAATGGTGATAATGTGAATGAAAGATCAGAGGTATTCTGTTTTAACTGTCCTCACCTCAAACATGAACAAATGATTCCTTATGCTGAATACACAGACACTACTACATTGCTGGCAATAGTACCTGTTTCTCTATTAGCCTAATGGTGTCCTCTGAGACTGTATCCTTGGATTTCTTCAGCTTGTTCATTGAGTTGGTGCGAACCTTCCGTAAAGAGTCTTTGGCCTTGTTGGTGTTCTGTTTGGCCAGTTTCACCAGCATTTCTCTGTGCTCTCTGGTTACTCTGATAAAAGACAAAAGACATTCAACAAAATCATTCTATACATTAACTGCTGGCCAAGAATTTAACATCACTCTGTCAACCAGTTCAGCAGTTTGTAACTTTCCTCTCTGTGGGCTGAACTCCTGGAATTTCCAGGAGGAGGAAAACGCATGTATAAAGGCTTTAAGTTGCCCAAACATGGGCAAACTGGGTTTGACTTTGTAGAAGGTACCAAACTTCCCAGTGAGAGAACTGGGATTCAAATCCCAATATTTCTGGCCTGTATTCTTTCTGCTACTCTTCTAATCTATTTCAAGTAAATCATGCACTGCTGCCATTACTTCTGCTTCCAGGCAGAAAGCTCTTCACAGTCAGTAATATGAAGCTTGGGACTGAAAAGGACAAAACCATCAAGAGCCCATGCTTCATTTAAGGAATTGGCTGGAGCACTGATAACAAAGAAAGGAGTGACAAGAAAAGAGGCTGGGAAGCCATATCACAGACAGTCTTGCAAGGTCACGAACCACGTTTTACAGATGAAGAAAATGAGGCCCAAAGAAATTTGGTACCTTATACAAAGTCAGACCCAGTCAAACCCAAGCTGGCCTGTCACAAAAGCCAATGGTCTTAGTATGACAGCATTCCTCTGCCCCCTGGGTCCTGAAATGGACATGCTTATGCTTCCTTACTCTCAAATCAACACGGTTCTTGCTCAAGGAAGGACAATCCTAAGTTCTGGGTACATGTTCAGTGTGGAATAGTGATGAGCAGCTGTTAAAGATTTAGTAACATCTACCTTACATTTTCTCTGCTGAGAAAAAAAATTAAAGAATTTTGAGAAAGAATAAGCTCTGAAGTGAACAGTTGTATTTACGTAAATCCTTTTGGATTCAGCTATTTGAAGGTATTCTCAAAACAACAATGAGTCTAATTACTACTATTATTAAACCGTTCTATGCCACATGAGTACTTTAAGTGTGTTACTTCATTGAATCCTCACAACTCTTCAAATGAGGAAACAGGCTCACAGATGTTAAGTGACTTGCCCATGAGCATGAGTGAGAGAACTGGGATTCAAACCCCGATCTTTCTGGCCTGTATTCTTTTTACTCTTGTAATCTATTTCAAGTAAATTATGCACTGCTGCCATTACTTCTGCTTCCAGGCAGAAAGCTCTTCAAAGTCAGTAATATGAAGCTTGGGACTAAAAAGCACAAAACCACCATGTCAGGAGTTTAGGGATTTGGATCAGATCTTGTTACTTTTATGGTTTTTAATTCATTGAACAAAAATCATGCTGACATGTTTAGGTCTCTTTTTTGTTCTGCCAAAGCATATGTCAGTATAAGGAAGGAACAGGAAAATTAAAACTTGATCCACTGATTCAAGAACTTAATCCTGCTGAAATACTAAGAGGGGCAGAAAATAAATGAATCTAAGTCTTTAAGAAACCTCATAAACTTCTCCAAAAAGAACATACTGAAGTATTTCAATATTGCATTTCACATAATTTCAAATAGGTATCTCACTGTTTAGAAAATGCTTAATCAAAGAAAAAAAATTATCTGATCAACTTTTCTTTTCACTACAATGTTATATTTTAAATGGAGGAAAAAACATACATTAAAAAATATAAAATGAGACTCAAAAAAATCTTAAGAATTAAAGGCTACAGAAAGAAAACAAAATCATAATATAGGTAATTTGGCCTTAATAAAATGTATTACTTTGTATTTATTAATGCAAATGTGACATTACCACACTATTAACACCAGTTTCCACATGTAATCGTGTCCAATCACTGACATTGTCAAAAATATTTCCATTTCAGGATGCAAAGAGGCAATAATCAAAAAGATACTACAAGGAAATGGAGAGTGGAGTGCAGTGAGAAGGGAGAAAGGGAGGGAGGAAGACAAACCATGCTGGACACAGGGAGGGCTGAGGGGGAGAAGGGCATGTGTGTGCTGGTTCAGGGTACTGAGCTGAAAGGTATCTAAAATACAAGATCAGAAGCAGTTAGGGTGATGGCAAGGCACTGGTTTTGAAGTCAGACAGACTAGGTTCATACCTGTATCTATTGCTCAGAAGCTGACTATCCTTGGGCAAGTTACTTAATCTCTGTGAGCCTCAGTTTCCTTATCTCTAAAATGAAGATTTAAAAAGACACCTTACAGGAGGATTAGGAGAAGCAGACACAACAGATAAAGTACCAATAAAGAGAGCAGCATATATAGTAGCCTTGAATAAATGATAGTGTTTATGAATGTTTTAATCAAACATGTTTAATTACTTCCTCATGAAACAATGAGGGCATATCTGTTTTAGAAAATAAACATATTTTATTATGGAAATATTTTCATTCTTTTCCAAATGTGATTAATACATCTGATCATCTCCACCTTGCATTCCTGGGTTTCTGTGAGTATGCACTAGAGTTTGTATTCCAGGCTTCTGAACTCAGCTGGTTAGTTCTGAGTACCCACTTTAAGTTGATGTGCATTCACCCATCAAGCACTGACTGAGCCTCCTACGCTCTGTGCCAGTTCTTGGGCCAGACCAAGGAGCTCCAGAAGAGGCAGACCTGGCCCACCTTTTCCAGAGGCTCAGACTAGTGGTGGAGACAAACTTGTCAGCCACTACGTAGAAAGAGGATGACTGTTGCTAGTATCTACTGCGGAAGGAGCATACAGAAAACACAACACTTCTATCTTGAGATTTGGAAACCGCCTTATGGATGCACAGTAACTTGTTAGCTGCAGAAGAATGCAAAGTGCATTTTGGGAAGCACAGTGGGAGATGTAGTGGAGGGACAGCATGAAGCTGAAAAGGGTACATCCCAGTCAAATATACTCTACAGGCCTGGAGTTTTCAAATTCTTCTTTAGCCACAAACCCCTGGCTCCAAAGAAAACTGAGGCAGAGGCCCCATTTGCAAAACAGATAAAAAGAGACTACTTCAGTTGATGAGGAGGAGCGGTGGGCTCTATCCCAGGCTACAAAACTCAGATCCGACCCCACTTCTGGGCCTGCCACTTACAAGCTGAGTGACCCTATGCAAGTTATTTAAACCGTCTGAGCCTTGCTCTTCTCATTTGGAAACAGAAATTAAAAACAAACAAATGAAACAGAACCTCCCTTTCAGAGTTATTGTGAGATTTAGATGAGGTAATACATGGGAAGCATCCAGTACAAGGCCTGATAGAGAATAAACACTCAGGAAATGTAAACTGTCTCTGCTGCTGTTGTTGGTTACATTTTTGGAAGCCCTGAAGCATCTTCAAATAATGAAAGTTTTTAATCAACAGAGGAATGACAGAGCAAAGATCTATGCTATGGCAAGATGACTTTTTGAGATCTCACTGGTAATTTAACATCTCACAGACATTTTAAAATCCAAACGCTCTCAGCATGTAGCCCTGAAATTTTCTCTTTTCAGGATTCATTCATTCAATCTATAGCTTCATTCAACAACTACTTACTAGGCACCTACATTATAGACATTATGACAGAAAAAAGGGAGATAGCATTAAATACACAGGAGTTTACCATTTGGCAAGGAAGGCAGTCATTACACAAACACATGCAAATTAATGAATAAATTACAGTGGTAATATGCACCATAAAGACATATAGAGGTTCTACAAAAATAATTAAGTGGGGAAAGGAGTCTGACCAACCTTTCTTTGTGGGACCCCAGGAACTAAATGTGGAGATACTGAGGCTAAGTGATATTTAAGTTGCCTAAGAGTTGGGGGGATAGTGGAAGATCATTCTCACCACAGGGAATAGCATATATAAGAATATAGCTCTTATAGGATGAAAAAAAGGTGATAGTATAGAAAGAAGAAGGCAAAGACTATCCCAAAAGAGAAGGGTGGAGAGGCTGGCAAGAGCAAGGCTTTGTAAGCCCTTCAATGTCTTAGTAGGTCTTAGTAGATCCACTGACAGCTCAATAAACAAAATATGGTATATGCATATAATATTATTGAGCCTTAAAAAGAAATGAGAATGTGATATGTGCTATCACATGGATGAACCTTAGCATAAAAAACAGTTAGCATAAAAAACATTATGCTAAGTGAAATATGCCAGACTCACAGAGACACATATTGTATGATTCCACTTACATGAAGTTCTTAAGAGCTGCCAAATTCATAGAGACGGAAAGTAGAATAGTAGTTACCAGGGGCTGGGGGAAGAGGTAAGTGGGGAGTTGTTTAATAGGTACAGAGCTTTGCAGGATGAAGAGCATTCTAGAGATTGCTTATACAGCAATGTGAATATACTTAATGTCACTGAACTGTACACTTAAAAAATGACTAAAATACAAGCCTGGACAAGTCAGTGAGACCCCATCCCTACAACACACAATAAAATTAGCCAGGTGTCATGGTATGCGCCTGTAGTCTCGGCTACTTGGGAGGCTGAGGCGAAAGGATCACTTGAGCCCAGGAGTCTGAGGCTGCAATGAGCCATGATTATGCCACTGTACTTTAGCCTGGATGAGACAGCATGACCCCATCTTTTTTTTTTTTTTTTTTTTTTTGGAGATGGAGTCTTGCTCTGTCACCCAGGCTGGAGTGCAGTGGTGTGATCTCGGCTCACTGCCACCTCCGCCTCCTGGGTTCAAGCGATTCTCCTGCCTCAGCCTCCTGAGTAGCTGGGATTACAGTCACAAGCCACCATGCCTGGATAATTTTTGTATTTTTAGTAGAGACGGGGTTTCGCCATGTTGGCCAGGCTGGTCACGAACTCCTGATCTTAAGTGATCTGCCTGCCTCGGCCTCCCAGAGTGCTGGGATTACAGGCGTCAGCCACCGCATCCGGCCTGACCCCATCTTAAAAAAAAAAAAAAAAAAAGACTAAAACAGTACATTTTAAAAATGCATATTTTACATTAAAATAAGAAGAAACTTGATCAGATTTGTAGTTTGTGTAGACAGCAATATACAAACCAGATCTAAATACATGGCAAGAGTCTGACCAGGAGCCTTTAGGCAGGTAGACAGGGAGCTCAGGACCCACCCTGTTGCAGTTTCTTGGCTGGGTGAGGAAGCCTTTTCCGCTAGGGTCAGAGAGCCTCTAGCACAAGGCAGGGGTTTTGGCTGAGCTGGCAGGGTCATACTTTGTTTGTACAAGCTCCACCAGGCAGATCTTCCAGTAACATCCTGGATGGGGGCCTTCCTGAAAAATTCCTTGAGCATGTTCCTATGAACAATAAGCAGAGGGCATGCCCCACTGCTAACTCACACAACAGAGAATCCCACTGACTGAAATGATACTTCCTATTGTTTCAATGAGAATGCAACACATGTACAAAGCTATACACCAGGTGCATATCAGAGGAAGCCAGGCTCAGCTCAGGTAATGACAGCAAAAAAGTTGTTAATGCAACAGACACTCAACTTCAGAAGGCTCTTTGGACACTTGAAGGGGGCTTTAAAATGTAGAAAGGACACGGTTTAGGGCCAAAAAGACCTAAGCTGAAATCCCAGCTCTGCCACTTGTTAGCTTCAGAATTTTGAGTATGCTATTCAGCCTCTCCAAACTCAGTTTTCTCCTACATAAAATGGGAGTAAGAATATTACAAAGAGGGTGGAAGGGAGGATTAAATGAAATAATGGGGGATAAGTACTTGGCGTGCTGTCAATATGTATGCATTGTAAGAGCTCAACAAAGGATAGCTGAGTAAATTATTCTTACTACAGAATCTCCAGGACTTCTCTCCTGGGGAGAATAGGATGCGAGTGGTGAGAGAGAAAATGGTCACAAAGGATTTAGCCACTTGGTGCTTAGGCAACTGAGCAGATAGTGAGCAGAGAGAAACAGAATGGGAACAGAGGAGAGCAGAAGGCAATGGGGAAAGCAGGGGACAGGAATTCTGCTCCAGCAGCTGTGGGGAGCAGGCTAAGGGAGAAGGAAGCTGCACTTTCAAGGAATGGCCTATCAAGATACATTCCTGACATTGCCACTGACAGAAACCTTGCCACCTCCTCCCTGGGCTTCCGGGACTCCCCCCTACAGGAGCATGGGCCTGAAATCAGCAGCACCACGTTCCTGCTTCACTGTTTGCCAGTGGGAGCTGCCCCATGCCTTGGGGCTGCCGGTCCTGACGGAAATGTTTTTGTTTGTGTAGCCCAGCCAGATTTCCTATGCTTCTAGGGACACCACCCTCGCCTCATCCCACTAGCCTGTTTTACGTACATTAATGTCTCATAAAGACATTAGATCTTCTGTAGGTGTCCCTTTAGCCCAAGGAAATCATACATTTTGGAAGGACTTCTAATACCAGTAGTAATTTTGGTTCTCTCTGGGGACACAACTGGGCACCTGCTTTCAAAGGACCATTCTGTGACTGATGCCTGGTTAAACCAGACATACCATTCTGAAATACAGCCCAGCCTGACCAAATGAGAAAGGAGGTTAAGGTCGGGGTCACAGCTCCACATTCCCAGCTGAGTGGTCTTAAGTCACTTGTCTTCTCTTTCCCTGTCGCCACAGAAGGATGGAAACCCAAGTTTTGGGGTGAGTAGACATAACTCTTGCCTCAGCTCCATCATACATGCGAAAAAGCACAAGTTTGGTGGTCAAAGCAAACCTGATTTCCAATTCCAGCTCTGACACTTACAAGTTGAGTACCTGTGGACTTTAATTTTTCCTCTCTGAACGCAAGGTTGTCAGGTGAAGCACTTAAGAGAACGGGCTCTGAAGTCAGACTGTTGGGGCTTGAGGTCCAGATCTATCAGTTTTTAGCTTTGTGGCCCTGGGCAAGTTATTTCACCTCTGCCTCAGTTTTTCCATCTGTCAAATGTGTATAATACCATTTACTTCACTGTTCTCCTCTGTTCCCATTCGGTCCCTCTTACAACAACTTAATTATTGTGAGGATTAAACAAGCTAATAAATGTGCTGGTACATGGGATGTACTCAATACACATTATCTGTTATTTCCTCAACTGTCAAGTGCAGGGGGATGAGGGAGGCCATACAGGATTTTTCCACAGTGTTATGAGCAAATGAGAGAAGACAGCTGAAGAACTTTGCATATATAGGTAATAAACTATTTTAAGTTATCAATAATATTATTAATAAAAGTAATTGTGATGTTTCCTACTGGGGGAGAACACAGCATAGTGGCTACAAGCCCAGGCTCTGGAGAAAGACAGCCTGTTCTTTTACTTATTAACTGTGTAACACTGGGCACAAAAAAACCCATTCCTCTGTGACTTAGTTACCTCATCTGTAAGATAGAGATAACATACTGATCTCAAAAGTTGTTACGAGTATATTAGCTAATACATAAATGGCACCTGGAACAACAGTTGGCACAATGTTCCAGAAACAATGATTACATTATTGCATACTTACTACATGCTAGGCTCTGTTTGAGGGCCTAGGAATACAGCAATGAACAAAACTGACAAAGCTCTTCCTCTCTCCTCTCAAAGCACTCACATTCTAGTGAAAGAGAGACAGACACAGTAAACAATTAAGTAGATAAAGTGACACAAAGTGTATGAAGAAAATAAAGCAAGAGAAGAAGATAAGGAGAGACCAAATTATTATCACAGCAAGGCCCACTTATATTTGCCCAGCCACCTGACCCCAGTGTCATCTGCTCCCCTTCAGTACTAATAATAATGATAACTGCTACAGAGCCATTTCCCTGTATCAAGCTCTGAGCTGATGCATTCTCCATGCATTAGCTCAGTAAATCTTCATAACATTCCTATGACATTAGTGGTATTAGTACCTGGATTTTACAGATTAGAAAGTGGACAGCCTGGACAACATGGTGAGACCCCATCGTTACAATTTTTTTTTTTTTTTTTTTTGAGATGAGTCTCAGTCTGTCTCCCAGGCTGGAGTGTAGTGGCATAATCTCGGCTCACTGCAAACCTCTGCCTCCCAGGTTCAAGTGATTCTCCTGCCTCAGCCTCCTGAGTAGCTGGGACTATAGGCACGTGCCACCACACCAGGCTAATTTTTGTATTTTTAGTAGAGATGGGGTTTCGCTATGTTGGCCAGGCTGGTCTCGAACTCCTGACCTCTGGTGATCCACCTGCCTCAGCATCCCAAGATGCTGGGATTACAAGTGTGAGAGAGAGTGCCCAGCTACAAAGGTTTTTTTAAAAAATTAGCTGGGCATAGTGGGGCATGCCTGTATTCCCAGCTACTTGAAAGGCTGAGGCCGGAAGATCCTTGAGCCCAGGAATTCGAAGTGGCAGTGAGCTATGATCATGCCACTGCACCCCAGCCCGGGTAACAAAGCAAGACCCTGTCTGGAAAAAAAAAAAAGTGGGAAGTGGGGGTTCAGACAGATCAAGTAACCTGCCCAAGGTCACACAACAAGTTCTTGGCAGACACAGGATTTGAGTCCAGTATAGCCTGACTCCTAAATTCCAGGCCTTCTGCTCTATTTCCTCTCTTGTTGGTGCTAGACAAATCTAGCAACTATTCTTACCAGTGGTGGTAATAACAGTACTACTCTCACATTAAGACCGGCTTAGATATATAATTCATGCTACTCCCCAACACGTCCAAGAGCAGTAAGGAGAAAGAAGAGAGGGAATTTATGGAGGAATGCAATGGAATAGTGATCTGATCTGTGGTAGTCAACCGGTAGGTACCATAAATAGGTGCATGATACAAGGCATGGAGAAGAGAGGAGGGGCAGAGACAAGAGTAGCCTGTCCTTTTGGGTGCAATTTTTGCATAAGTGTTGGTGGCAACTTGCTCTTCAGCCTATCCTACGCTTTCGATTCTTGACTGAACATCCTTGTGTGTTTCAATTGGTACATCTACGCTGGGAAGGAGCCCCATTCCACACACTTGGGACCTGCAATAGCAAGATGCACTCCTAAAAAGCCACAGGCCAGGTGGGAAGCAACACTGAGCAGAAGACAGGTGTTCAAAAACTGCATGAAGGCTTACCCAGGCCTGGAAAGTAGAAAGAAACAGTGTACTGGAACAAACCAGGAGAATGAATGACTCTGCAAATGCAGCAATGGCAAGCAGGCAGTGGGAATAAAAAGGCTAAAGAAGCAGCTGCAGTTGCTCAAATGCAGTTTGTGGCTGCCCCAGCCCAAGTCAGGTCATGAGGCATTCATCTTTGAGAGTTTTTTTCTTTCAATATCCCTAAAGGGTGTGTGTGTGTGTGTGTGTGTGTGTGTGTGTGTGTGTTAGAAAAGGGTATTACCAGTATTTCCTGGAATGTACAAACTACAGACACTACTCTGTGTGTGTGTGTGTGATGTAGAAAAGGGTATTACCAGTACTTCCTGGAATGTACAAACTATAGACACTACTCTGTAACAAGATCCACAAGGCAATATAGCAGCTAGCACAGGCAGGCCACTGAAAGGAAGTAGGTTTCACGTCGGCAGCCCAAGGAGCAAATGTGATTACATGGCAAGAGCCCGGGCTTTGGAAACAGACAGATTCAAGTTTGAATAACGGCTCCTTCACTTACTAATCTATGACCATGAGCAAGTTACTTAAACTTTCGGATCCCTAGTTTCCTCCTCTGTATTAAATCCATCTCAAAAGGGCATTTCTAGGCAGCCAAAAGAACAATGCGATCACCATGAAAATACGTACACAACTTTCGGAAGCTGAGGTGAGGATTGCTTGAGCCCAGGAGCTCAAGAAAAACCTGGGAAACACTGTGGGACCTCATCTCTACAAAAAATTTAAAAATTAGCCAGGCTTGGTGGCTCATGCCTGTAGTCCCAGCTACTCAGGAGGCTGAGTGGGAGGATCGCTTGAGCCCAGGAGGTTAGGGCCACTAATTGTGATTGTGCCACTGTACTCGAGCCTGAGTGACAAAGTAAAAGCCTGTCTCAAAAAGATAAAATTAAAAAGTACACAAGATATTAAGTCAAAGGGGGAAAAAAACAAGTTGTGGTATTGTAGACATTTCATCCCACTTATGTAAACTAAATATATATATATATATAATATATTTATTTAGGTTTGCATATTCATCTTTTGAAATCTGGAAGGATATACTGACAATGGTTACTTCTGGGAAGAACAACTGGGGAACAATAAATGAACTTTTCGTTATACTTCTGTAGGATCTGAATTTTTGGGATAAACTTATGTTATTTTTGCAATTAAAAAAGATGAAAGCCATGTATCTGATAAGAGTCTAATATCCAGAATATATAAAGAAATCATGTAACACAAGAACAAACAATCCAATTATAAAATGGGCAAAGGACTTGAATAGACATTTTTCTACAGAAGATATACAAATGGCCAACAAGCACATGAAAAGAGCTTAGCACCATCAGTCATCAGGAAAATGCAAATCAAAACCGTAATAAGATACCACTCCACAGCCTCTAGGATGATAATCATAACAAGTGTTGGCAAAGGAATGGAGAAACTGAAATCCTCATATATTGCTAGTGGGAATTTAAAATGTGCAGTCCTTGTGGAAGTTTGGAAGTTCCTCAAAAAGTTAAACATGGAGTTACCATATGACCCAGCAATTAACTGGTCATAAACCACTCCTAGGTTTATATCCAAGAGAATTAAAAGCATGTTCACACAAAAAACTTGCACAATAATGTTCATAGCAGTGGTATTCATTTAACAGCCCCAAAGTAGAAAAAACCCAAATGGCCATCAACTGAGGAAGTGATATATAAAATGTGGTATAGCCATATAATAGAATATTATTTGGCAATAAGAAAGAATGAAGTACTGACACGTGCTACAACGTGAAAGAACCTTGAAAACATTATGCAAATAGAAAGAAGCCAGTCACAAAAGACCACATATCGTGTGACTCCACTTACATAAAATATTCAGAACTAGGAAACCCACAGAGATAGAAAAGTGGATTAGTAATAGCCTACAGCAATCCCTAGGAGAAGGTTCTGCGGTCAAAGTCAGGAGTGACTGCTGGTGGGTAGAGTGTCTTTTTGGGGTGATGAAGAAAATGTCCTAAAATGGATTGTGGTTATAACTGGTTGCACACCTCTATGACTATACAGTACTAAAAACCATTGAGTTGTACACTTTCAATGGGTGAATTATATTTCAATGAAGGTGACAAAAATGCCATATGCCTATCTAGTTCTCAACATTGAACAATACTTGTATCCTAGGTAGAAAGCTTGATGACAGGCAGCACGCCTCACGGCAGTAGAGACAGACAATACTCCCCCATAACAGTTAATAATCACCATGCAGGCCAGGCATGGTCTTATGCCTGTAATCCCAGCATTTTGGGAGGCCAAGGCAGGTGGATCACGTGAGGCCAGGAGTTCAAGAGCAGCCTAGGCAACATGGTGAAACCCCGTCTCTACTAAAAATACAAAAAAAAAAAAAAATTAGCCGGGTGTGGTGGTGCATGTCTGTAGTCCCAGCTACTCAGGAGGCTGAGGCAGGAGGATCACTTGAACCTGGGAGGTGGAGGTTGCAGTGAGCCGAGATCATGCCACTGCACTCCAGCCTGGGCAACAGAGAGAGACTGTATCTCAAAAAGAAAAAAAAAAAAATCACCATGCAGAAAAGTCATAGAATACTCAGTAACAATGGCTAACCTGATCATGACAACTTAAAAAATAGTATTAACTCTCATTTACTGAATTTCTTTCCTTTCTTCACTGGTGTCAGACCTATACTGCTGTCCGAAGGTTATCCCTGTCTACTCCTGTTCTCTTCTCCCCTCTATCCTTCACAGGAGCTTCTCCCAACAAATCTTCACAAAAGTAAATATTCTATGATCCCATTTTTAGGTGAGGAAACCAAGGGTCAGAGAGTTGAAATAAGTAGCCTAAAAGCACAAAGCTCTTTCTACTGGTTTTCTTTTTAGAGTTTTTCTGACTGCCACCTTGGCTCCTGCAGCTGTCAACTGCAGCTCTCCCTAGCTACACAGCTTCCCCTCCACATTTACCTCAGCCTGGGGACCACCCTGCTCTGCCTTACCCAGCTTGCTCTCCCTGGAAAAACCTGGTTATCATTCGTGAGAAACTGCACATCAGCATATGAGGGACGGCGGGGTGGAGGGAATAAACACGTGAGAAAGAATTTAGGCTGAGGAACTATAACTCAAGGCTTTTTTACTGTTATCCAGGACACTCCCTGGTCTCAGTGGCATTCTCCTTCCTATCATCAACTTGGAACAAAGTCTGGGGGAAAGAGCCTAGTCTAGCCATAAAGTCTATCATCCCCAAAAATGCCCAGAGGAAAATGACGATAGCAATTATCTAACGATCTTGAAGCTTTAGGAAGCGGTTCAGTGGGCTGAGAGTGCCAAGGACAGCCAAGGCTTCTTGCCTTTTTCAGGAACGTAAAGAAATTCTCATGCCATAGGCAGGACTAGTCACTAGATTTTCTTATTTGGGATATGCCTTCCAGGAGGTCTTGCTCACACATAACTCATATTCAAAGAACAAACCAAGTGCTTATTAACAATCAAACTACAGTATGCCCAAGCAAGTTAAATTCCAAGATACTTCCAATATAATCACTCAACTCCTCCCATCTGTAAAAATGCAGGAAAAGATAGGGGAAAAAAAGAACATGGGGCTTCAGGAAGGGGGTTAG
Source organism: Homo sapiens (assembly GCF_000001405.40). Classification (NCBI taxonomy): domain Eukaryota; kingdom Metazoa; phylum Chordata; class Mammalia; order Primates; family Hominidae; genus Homo; species Homo sapiens. The sequence goes on along the minus strand of NC_000009.12, from coordinate 122,300,681 downwards.
TGAGGAAGAGAAGGAAGGAGGGCATTAAGGATTAAAAGAGAAATCAGCAAACAGAAATAAAATATTACTTATTAGTTTTACTCCCAAATAATCAGGAAAAGGACATTTCCAAGAACTCCTTAACCAGGAGGATTAGATAATAACAAATACTCTAAGATAAAGGAATTAAAATTTAAGTACCTATGATATGCCAGGCTTCACACTATGAGCTTCACATATAATATCCTATTACTCTTCAAAACCATAAATACTACTCCAGTTTTACAGATAAGGAGGCTGAAGCTTCAAAAAATTAAGCAACTTGCCCAAGTTCACTGCAGTGGGCATGAAGGTATGCTGCTCAGATCACCCTCCAGGAGAACCTGCTGTGAGGGGTACAGATGCCTGACAGCTTCCAGCCCCCACACCTTGATCCACTGTGACATTCCTGCTGAGATCACATTGAGGCCACATCCACTGTGCTTCTCCCAGTCAATGACCACACATGGCAGAGGTACTAAAGCCAGGTTCTTATGCCCAAATGGGGCTGCTGTAGGGGCAATCTTTGCTCAGGAACGCCCCATCAGCCTGGCTGCACTGCAGTGTGAGTCTCCCTCCCCACAACCCTCTTCCTTCCCTTTCTCCACCAGTATCACACCTGCACTAGGTCTACTCCTGCTCCCTCTCCCCTTTGTCTTTCCCAGACATCTGCTGCACATCTAATTCCATCCTGGCATCTGCTTCTCAGAAGACCCAAGCTGACATACCCACAGTGACAGAACAGGAATTTGAAGCCAGGTCTGTCTAACCCCAAAGCCCATCAATCTCTGTCTAACCACAGAGACAGATTAATTGATCAATAAAATTATGTTGCTAAGTCCAATAATCTCAGATCTTACCTTCTTTGACCCCATCACTCCCTCCCCTCTTTGAGATACTTTCTTCACTTGGTTTCCAGGACCCTATACTTTCCTAGTTCTCCTCCTACCTCACTGGCCACCTGTTCTCAGTCTTCTTTGCTGGTTCTTCCTCATCTCTCTGATCCCCAAACCTTGAAGTGTCCAAGGCTTAGTCCCCAAACCTCTTCTTTTCATTATCTATATTTAATCTCTAAAGTAATCTCATCTAATTTCGTGGCCTCCTTTATAAGTTCCTGATTCCCAAATTTATCTCTCTAGCCCACATCTGTCCTCTGAACTTCAGGTCCATATATCCAACAGCCTACTTGACCTCTCCAATTAGATGTCCAGGAGCACCTGAAAATAAACATGGACAAAATCTTCTCTTCCGCCAGGTGCAATGGCTCATGCCTGTAATCCCAGCACTTTGGGAGGCTGAAATGGGTGGATCACTTGAGGTCAGGAGTTCGAGACCAGCCTGGCCAACATGGTGAAATCCCATCTCTACTAAAAATCCCAGCCTTCTGAGTAGCTGGGATTACAGGCACATGCCACCATGCCTGGGTAATTTTTGTAGTGGAGACAGGGTTTCACCATGTTGACCAGGCTGGTCTCAAACTCTTGACCTCAAGTGATCCACCCACGTCAGCCTCTCAAAATGCTGGGATTACAGGTATGAGCCACTGCACCTGGCCCTCATCTTCTATTTCTCTTTCCTCACTCACTCTGCTACAGGCACATGGCCCTCTTGCTGTTCCTTGAACATCCCAGGTAGACTCCCACCTCAGGGCCTTTGCACTTCTTGCTTCCTCTGCCTCAGTGCTGGATATAGGCATGGTTTGTTCTTGTACATCCCTCAATTCTCTGCAAGTATCACCTTCCTCTGAATACTTCATGAACATCTACTTAATATTGAACCACCACTATCCCCACCTTCACAGCATGCTTTATTTCCTTTTACTGCCTTATTTTTCTCTACAGAGAGAAAAATATGACCATCCGACACATACAAACTATATGTGTGTGTTGTTAACCATCTCCCCAGTAAATGTTCCATTAAGGGCAAAGGTTTTGTCTGGCTTATTCACTACTTTATCATCAGTGTCTAACACTATGCTTGGCATATAATAGGTATTCAATAAATGTCTGTTGAGTAAATTTACGAATGTCCTAGAAGTTTTACATTTCAGCATAAAAACTCTATATCCTCATAAAAGCAGACAAGTGGTTGTCCGGGACCAGAGGAAGAGGATTGAAGACCGACATGCAAAGGGGCAGAGGATAACTTTTTGGGGTGACTGAACTACTCTGTGTTGATTGGGGTAGTAGTCACAGGGACACATATATCTGTCAAAAGCCATCATCACATATACTTGAAATTGATTCATTTTATTGCATATAAGTTATACCTTGATAAAGTTGAGTAAAAATAAATAAATACCCTGTATTCCAGACTGCCTCTTGAACCAAAAAGTGGCAGACAAGTTCACTGTGAGATTAGGCATCCTGACTTGAGCTTTGTAAATTATGTTCCACATAGTTTGGGTTATTATATAATTAAACTTAAAAATGCCAATTGCTGTCCTTTGCTACAAAAACGAAGAAGCAAACACAAAACAAAAACAGAAAGTACTCTCAGAAGTCCATGGATGCAAGAATACAGACTTACAAGTAAAACAGACCCAAGTTTGAATCCTGCTCAACTCTACCTTTACTAGCTAAATGAACCCAAGCAAGTTACCTAACAACTCGGGCTGACTTTGCTCATGTATAAAAAATAGGGAACAGAGTGAGTTCAATCATAGAGTATAGAGCCTAGAATACAGTATGCACTCAGTAAACAGTCACTTTCCTTAATATTATTATTGCCGTACAGTGAGCCAGGGGAGGCATTAAAATACCAATCGGGTTTCCTAAAAGAACCACATCAAGTTTGGGTCTAAGTACCAACAGAGGGGTCACTTGGGTGTGTTGCAGATGGTTTTCTGGCCCTGAAATGTCCATGTCTCTAAGAAGCGCAGTACTATGCAGTGATGTTGCAAACAAGCACTCAATCAAGGGCAAGAGCCACAGCATCCCCCACATTCTGCATTCACTTCTTTCCCAATTACGGTCCCCATGCCACCACTTCCCACTCCCAGCAGAACAGGAAGTAGGCCTTAGAAAATCATTGAGACATGGTTAGCAAAAGAGAAAAAATTTAAACTAAGATACTTGACACTTGGGAACTGGTTAATGTAAGTGTAAAATGCCAATAGTACACCTTTAGAAAAAGAGTGAGGAAGAATTCTCATAACAGAGAGCAATGGCACACTGTTAAGTTTTTTTTTTTAGGTACAGAACACTATGTATAGTATAATCCCATATCATTACAAGAAAAATGAAGGAGATACCAGACATATGCTTGACTTTGCATTGGAAAAAATCTAGAAAATCAAGGTACTAAAAGTGGTTCCCTAAGGAGAAAAGGATGGAGGCATTTTCTCTTTTTTTTTGAGATGGAGTCTCACTTGGTCGCCCAGGTTGGGGTGCAATGGCACGATCTCGGCTCACTGCAACCTCCACCTCCCGGGTTCAAGCGATTCACCTCAGCTTCCTGAGTAGCTGGGATTACAGGCGCACGCCACCATGCCCAGCTAATTTTTGTATTTTTAGTAGAGATGGGGTTTCATCATGTTGGTCAGGCTGGTCTTGAACTTCTGACCTTGTGATCTGCCTGCCTCGGCCTCCCAAAGTGCTGGGATTACAGGTGTAAGCCACTGTGCTTAGCCTCATTTAAATATTTTATGTAATTTTATTTAAAATAAAACCAACAGAGACGCTGATGAAGGAATCGGAAGACAATCAAGGAAAGATGCAAACTTGGTGAGGAATGAGTCAATCATCTGTAGTTTTGTTTCCTGGGTGAATTCATAGTTTCCTTATAGCATTATTTAAAGCCAGGCATGAACTCAGCAATCTCAAACCAAAGCACCACTATTCTACTTAGTGTGGTTTTCCCATAGACATTTGGTAAAACAATGAGTAAGGGAGTGTATTCTTATTTGTTTATTTGCTTGGGGGCATAATGATGATGTGAATAAGGTGGAGGCAGAAACCTGGCCTGAACAAAATGAACCCCTGATCAAAACTTTTCAGGGCCCCTGATTAAGGAGTGAAAAGACTGATATTCCAGATAAATCTTCTATCAGGAGACAGGAACAGGAAGAAAGGCAGTGACAAAGACCCCAATTCTAACCCTGCTTCTGCCACTTACTAGCTATCTGATATTGGGCATCAACTTCTATGAGCTTCAGGACTCTCATCAGTCAAATGAGCCTAAAATAGTCTCTTCACCACATAGTGTTGTAAGAATTTGGGGAGAAATTGTAAAGTGTTCAGCTCAACACTTCCAGGCATTATACCTCTAGTTTAGGTGGTTGATAAATGGTACCTAAAATGTAATTACATGAATTGGAAAAATAGAAGAAACTATTTCAGTATATCTCCATTAACAGGAATGTCCCAAAAAAACCAATCCAGTTGACTAACTTATCTAAATAAAAATCACTGCCAGAGAAGCAAACAAAAGCTATCCACATTGTCAGTGGGAAAAGATATAATCCAGAGCCCCTAAGACTCAATGGTTATTTACCTGAGGAGACAGCCACGATAAAAAAAAAACTCGCAAACAGCCACGCAGAGCTGAGTCTCAGAGGCTGTAAAAAGAGGTCTTGATGATAAGGACCACTCAGGCTCCAAGCCTGGCCTGTTACTGATTTAGGATTTATCTTTTACCTACTTCCCCAAAAGATCAGAGGCAGATTATAGTTAAGAGTCACATACTCAGTAGACTCATTTAAATAAGAATATAAGAATCAGAGGAATGTAATGAGGGTGAGGTAATAGGTGAGATCTGCTTCAATTGAAAATAAAATTTAGTTCTGGGTATCCAGAGTTAAGGCAAAAAAGCAAACCTATAGACTATCATTAGGCAGTGGAAGAATCAGGATCAATCAGAGGAGGCAAATTTTCCTAGAACTAAACTCAAACTTTTATAATCAGAAACTGATCTAAGGGGCCAGGCGCAGTGGCTTACAACTGTAATCCCAGCACTTTGGGTGGCCGAAGTGGGCAGATCACTTGAGGTCAAGAGTTCGAGACCAGCCTGGCTAACATGGTGAAATCCCGTCTCTACTAAAAATACAAAAATTAGCCAGACGTGGTGGCGGGCGCCTGTAATCCCAGCTACCTGGGAGGCTGAGGCAGGAGAATTGCTTGAACCTGGGAGGCGCAGGCTGCAGTGAGCTGGGATCGCACCACTGCACTCCAGCCTGGGCTACACAGTAAGACTCCATCTCAAAAAAAAAAAAAAAGGAAACTGATCTTAAGAATGTATGCTTCCTATTTCCCCTACCCCTCAAAGTCCCAACTTAAGATATGATGTGTTATTTTCCTCCTCACCGCTTTGTCAATTACCAGCTGTGTGACCCAGAACCAATGCCTCACCTCTCTGAATCTCATTTTCTTCATCCCTAAAAAGGAATGATGCTCCTATTTGTGAAAGGGGATGATGGAAATAGCATATTTGCTAGCATTAATTGGGTGCTTACTAAGCATCAAAAGCTTCATGTACATTATCTCACTGAAATCTCCCAATAAGCATATATGGCAAGTCCTGTAAATTATCATTTCACAGATGAGCTGCCTGAGATTCACAGAGGCAGAGACAGGTGCCACTGTCACACAGCTAAAAAGCAGGAAATGTTGGAACTCAATTTCATGCTTACGTGACACCAACGCAAAATTTAACCATTATACTTTTCTGCTTTCCTGAATATGTAAGGCACCTAACCATTCCTGGCACATAGTAGGTGCTCGACCTATTAGTTCCCTTCTTCCCTCCATCCTTTTCTCCTAAAATTATATAATATGTAGAAAATTAAAAGTTTACTGAAGTAATATCTTATGTTTATATAGTTTAAGGAAATCATACCACTTAATTTATTTTCTCTATTAATCTCACCACATCTCTGCTTATCATTATGCACTAACCTATTTTACAAATAAGGAACTAGAAGGCAGCAAGCAACTAGGGCGCTGTGCCCAGAGTCATATGGAAGTCACTGCTAAAACCAAATAAAAACCTCGATCCTCTTACTTATAAATCAACCTTTATCCTCTCACGTAACACAGCCTCTATAATAAAGAACAGATCATTCATTTTTTATCTGGAAAACTACCAAACGTTATAATTCAGTAAGGGGCCTCATGACCCCACCACCTTGTCAAAGGGAAGAAAGTATATAAAAAAATGAGGTTTGCAGGAGCAGACGGTTTTGGTCCATCAACTTTCTCTTGGATTACACCCATTAACCAAAATAAAATAATGTAAAAAATAATGTAACAGATCCTCTTATCTTTGGAAATTCGAGTTAAACTCACTGATCTTTCAAACTTACATACAATGCACCGACAGTGATCATTTACTCTTGCGGGGCTGCAGAAATGCATGTTATGTCAACCAGATCTTTGAAAGAAAAATGTGATACACAACTGAGTCACCCTAAGAAGAATCCAAATCAGCAATGAGCATTTAGTAGCACAAATTCATAGCCCCACAGTATTTTGGAGCTTCAGAAACGACCTGGCAGGCCACTAAGAACAACCCCTTCATCTGACATGTGAGGAAGCCAAGGCTCAGGGAGGTTAAGTGACTGTCCAAGGTTTCACAAACAGGACAGCAAAAACTAGAAAATAAGCCTGCTGACTACTATCTATTACTCTTGTAAATCTTGCTTCTAACGTCCATGTGTACATTTAGCACTTTCCAGAATTATGCATCTACACAGAAAATGCAGGAGAAAGGTAACAGAAAAACTCAGGCTTCAAATCCTGACTGCCATTTACTGGTCATGTGATCTCGGGCAAGTCCCTTAATTTCTCTGAACTTCACATTTTTCATCTATAAATGTGGGCCCTAGTAATTTCCACAAGTAAGTTGGAGGCAATACAAACAAGAGGCCTGGCACACAGCCTGTGAGCTCCATGAAGGCATACATCACGTCTATACATCCCCAGCACAGAGCCTGGCACATACGCATTCTCAGAACATTCACTAAGCAAATCAATGAACTTGCCAAACAAACTTGAACTATCTGGTTCAAGCAGAAAGACTTGAACCTAGGTCTATCTGCTTCTTAAACGTTAGGTTATATTGTTCCCAATTCACATGATTTCAAAGCAGAGTGTTACTTCAGCCTCACAGAGTACTGAGAACACAATGGAACAAGACAGCTATTTTCTGGCCACGAGGCAGGAAAAAGTTCAGTGTGGAAAGTTTCTGGACTCCCGTGTTGGGATTGATTCTTGTTGTCTGCATGGGTATGGGTACATCATGAGGCTTTGTTATCAACTAAACCTGGGTTTGGGTCCCAGCTTCAGCACAAGCTGTGTGGCTTCAAAGACATGAGCCTAAATTTCCACAACTAGGAAAAAACCTACTTTACAGGGATTAGACAAATGAGGTAATATATGTAAAGGAATACAGGATAATGTGTGGCACTAAAAGACACTCAACTAGTGTTCAACTCCATTTCCCTTTTAGTTATCTGGAAGCTTTGTTCATTAGGTCTTTGTTCAAATGTCCCTTTCTTCATGACCCTCCCTATCCATAATAAAAGCCCCAAATCTCCCTATCCCCTTACTTTGCTTGTTTTTCTTCATTGTCCTTACTATCACTTGACATTCCATTACGTACTTATTTACTGTGCCTATGCAACTATCAGGGAAGCCCGAGGAAGAGAGGGACTTTTTGTTGTTTGTTTTGTTTACTGCTATATTCCAACAACTAAGAAAGTATCTGGCATGTCATTAGTACTTAATAAATATTTGTTGAAAGACTGAACGAGTTAATTCAACACTTATTTGGGCCTTGCTATATATGAGGCACTGTGTAGGAATAGGGATTTAAATCTTTTGCTGTGGAATCGGAGAAGATGTGTCTCACCTGGACTGCTGCAGGTGCCTCCTGACTGTTCCCCTTGTGTCCACTTTGTACCCCTATAGTCCATTTGTTAAACCAGCAGTCAGAGAGACCCTCACATAGTCAACATCAGATCAGGTCATTCCCCTGCTTAAATCCTTCCACTGACTTCCCATCACAGTGAGAATAAAGCCCACTCACCATGACTTATAATGCCTAAACCATCAGCCTCTACTGACTAGTCCAACCTCCTCTCCTACCACCCTCTCCCTGCATTTCACACACACTGGCTTTTTTCTTTCTCAAAAAGGTCAAGGTCTTATATTTTCTCTTCTTTTTTTAAATTTAAAAATGAACATTTTTATTCACTTAAAACTTTAAGTTCTATATATTTATATAATTAACAATATTCTGTTCTCAGCTTAAAATTCTTCGACTAGCAAGGACTAATGTAAAAAAAATAGCTCTTCAAAGAATATAAGTTAGAGACTACCAGTGTCAAGGTCTTTTCAAACTGGAGGCCTTTCTGCTTGCTGTTCACGCTGCCCAAAATGCTCTCCCCTAGGCTGGTTCTTTCTCATCATTTAGCTCTTAGCAAAAATGTTACCTGCATAAAGAGTCTTCTCAGGCTACAGGTGCCCCTGCCACCATCATCCTTACCAAGTCACTCTCTATTGGATCCCACTGTCTTTTCTTTCCTCATAGCATTTCATTATCTGGAATGACTTTATTTATTTGTCCTACCTTCCCAACCAGAATGTAAACTATGTAAGGACAACAAATTCTCAAGCTTACTGCTGCAAACCTCACATCTAGTACATAACAGGCGCTCAATAAGTATTTCTGAATCAGTAAAGTGATCTCAAAAGATGTTTGCCAGGGTGAAAGGTACAGGTAAGGTATGTTATTGGCCTAACGGTATAGTAGGGTATTTGTTGGTTTCCTTCCAAGGACAACCACCCCGTTTCATCAAAATATGTGAATTTCAGCCAAACTTACTGGGGAATGGGTACCCGAATTAGCGTCCCTTCCACTTCTGGGTTCAGATTCATTCCACTTTCTCTTATAGCCTTGATAGCTGCAGCTGTACACTGAAAACCAGATCAAAAGGTAAACAGAATTAGTAAATAATTATTACCAGATGCAAGCCCTCTGTCGATAACTGGCAACCCATCTTGGCAGAACATGGAAACATTTAGTTCTGTTACCAGTAAGATCAGGAAGTTACATTGGTGTAGAGTGCTTTGATCAAGCTGAATAGCAAACTATGTCCACTCCTGGTACCACTGTACTGCAGGAGGAAAAAAAGAAAGAAGAAAAAATAAAAAGAAAACAGCTCTGCCTCTTTGAAAAGATTTCAATGGTTTGAGGCAACACAGATCAAAACCACAATAAATCCTCAAGGGAGGGGGGCTGGTCTCTGCAAAGATTGGTGTAAAGACAGATGAAAGATTTCATACGTAAAAAAATCCAGTTGACATTTTACACTCAAAATATACCAGTGCCGATTTGGAATGAGTAAATAAATTTAACTCATTCGCATCTGCACTCACACCAAACTCACTCATATTTTGGAATGAGCAATGAATCTCTGCTGGTATATGCTCCCGCAAAGGTAGTGTGGTATACTAGCTTAAAGCATGGGCTTTGGAGTCAGAAAGATCTCAGTTCACATCCCAGCTCTGGTAACCATGTGACCCTGGGCATATGCTTGACCTCTCTGAACCTATATTTCATCATCTGAGACCATGTGGTCCCTAAACCTCAGAGAGGTAGTGAAATAACATGAGCGATGCATCTTGCTCTGTGCCTGGGACATAGTAATACTCAGGCAAGGGCAGTTATATGAACATATTATATACATTTATTATATAAAGGTAAGAATGCATAAAACTCTCAAACAAGGTGGAGTTGATGTCTTCATGTAGCTGATGTACTGCTAACCTGCCCAACATCCTTCAGGGGTTTCTCTGACAGTTTGCTCACTAATGTGCCAGCTGGCACACTGGCACACCCATTTCCCAAAGTGCCTCACCTCACACTCAAGCAACATTATAACTATACCTTGTATGCAATCCTAGAGATCCTTTCATTGGCATGACAATGTGGAACTCATGAAAACAAAGCCTCTGACATTTTCAAAGAATTTTAGGCTTGACCGGAGACAATCCACATCACTTGGATTCAAAGGCCAATTCCTGCACTTGAGCTCCTCCTAGACTTTCTAATTTAAATGAATGGCGGTTGATATACACCTATTTTACTTTTCTGGGTTCTCTGCCCATAAAACTCATTCATTTCATTTTTAAATAACCTTACTGCTACGGCTACCTGAGGTGTTACTATAAGGTCACAAAGACAAACCAGAACTTCCACATACACATGAAGAATCCTCTTGGGAGGCTGTACACAGAATCTAACATTGTGGCCACTACCTAAAATAGTACATTCTTAAAATAGTACCTCTGGCCACAGATTATTAGAGCTGGAAGGGATTTCTGACATAACCAAGTCTCTTCATTATGTGAAGAGGAACTTGTAGAATAGGGTCACACCCCCAAGAGTAGACATGGTCTTCCCTGACAGCCCAAGAGAGATGGTTTGAGGACTCCCATCCATCAAACTTCCAGTTACTGGCAGAGTTAAGAGGAGACTGAATAGGGATTTAATCCAATGATGCTGCTCTACCTTTACTTTTTTCCAGATCCCCAAGCTCAATGCATTCAGTAATTATAACATTAAGGATTTGATTTTTCTTTTCTTTTTCTTTTTTCTTTTTTTTTTTTGAGACAGGGTCTCACTCTGTCACTCAGGCTTGAGGGCAGTGGCATAATCACGGCTCACTGCAGCCTTGACCTCCCAGGCTCAGGTGACTCTCCACCTCAGCCTCCCAAGTAGCTGCAGGAGGAAAAAAAGAAAGAAGAGCTGGGACTACAGGTCTGCACCACCATGCCTGGCTAATTTTTGTATTTTTTATAGAGATGGAGTCTCACCATGTTGCCCAAGCTGGTCTCAAACTCCTGGGCTCAAGCGATCCACCCACCTCAGCCTCCCAGAGTACTGGGATTTTATAAGCATGAGCCACCACGCCTTGCCTGATATTTTTCTTAAATAGCCAAATTTAATTTGGAATTATGTTTGCGGTATAAAGGTTATACTCAAGGTAATAAAAGAGCTGAAAAAAGAAATAAAATTAATTTTTCTCTGCAAAAGAAATGCCATCTTCCTTAAAAAAAAAAAAACAGATTCTAAAGTTAACAATAAAGAGAGAATCTCCATTGTGAAGGGGTAGTCCATTCTTAAGTCTTTCAATCCTCTACTATAGCTTCTCATGAATGACTGATAATCACTACTGTAACACCCCATCACCACTACCTCCCTTTCACAAGCTGACCCAAGTGTTTCCATACAACCTTCCCCTACAGGCACTAGGGCACCGACTACTGACACCAAGCTGGGCAGGAACTATGCTTCAATATTTACATCTTCCCAGTACAAGTTAGAGTGCCAGGTACATGGTAAGTGCTCAGTAAAAGCTTGTTGATTGAATATATTAGTGATCTGGTTCAGATGTATTAGAAAAACTCACTTCCTTTACCTCATGTATAAATGGCTCAAAATCTTATTTTATACTTAAACTTTTCTGTATCTTTTCATATGCAGAAAAATCATGAATCAAAGTTTCATTTTACAAAGAAACCTACTGAATTCTACATGTATTTTCCTTTGACATGGTAGGACACAGAACCTCAGGGAATTAGTCATGTTCTCATATGACATCTGAAAAACTCTTTAGTTCAGACTAAAGGGGCATACATTCCTATAGACTTTCCATCTCTTATGCATCATCCCTTCACGGAAAGGATGCTCGACAGTATCACAGGGCAAACAGGTTGCTCTCAAATGATGACATAACTAACTGGTTGTGGCTGCTTGGAGTAGAGTGTTGAGAAAAATCACAAATCTCATCTGGGCGTCAGGCAGAGAAGAGTGATGTGATCAATTAGTAGTGTCTGCCTTTGTTATTCTAAGCTAATCTGTGCTAAATAGCAACAACAACAAAAAAATAAGACTTTTGTAGACAGGTGAACAAGTCCTTGAGAATTTAAATTCAAGTCAACTCTGCTAGTGCCATATCAATTACTGGCCTTCCATTTTCTTCATATCCCAGTAAGTCCTTAGAATGTAGTCTATGAAAGTAGACACATAGTCTGTCTTAATAATCAGTGAATTCCCAGCACCTCAAATAGAAACTAATCACTTGCAAGGACTCAAAAAATATGTGCTGAATTAACAAACGAATGGTGAAAGGAGCACAGGCTTTTTCACATCCAACAGAGATATGTTCAAATCCTGGCTCTGTCACAACAGTGTAAACCTAGTGGAAATATTTTACTGCTTTGAGTCTCAGTTTCCTCATCTATAAAATGAAATAAATAATGCCTAATTTTACAGAGTACCTGTACTGATCATAGGAAACAAAACATGAGAAAGAGACTAGCAACAAAGCAGACAATCAATACACATTCATTTTCTTCCTTCCGCAAGAGCAATAATGGTGCCTGCAGAGTTGTGCGTGGTTTTTTATTTTTATTTTTTTTCATTTGGCTTGTTTTGTTCAAATCATGCTGTGGTTTTTATTCCCTTCTTTTCTTTCCCATCATTAACTCTAGCTGCAGGCAAGTTTATGGAAGGCAGCAACTATGTGTATCATTTATCAAGCAGGACACATGTTAAACAAATGCAACACAGTTTTCTGTCTTCAATGCATTCAAAAAGATCATGCATGTAAATCTGCATCGTGTCACTACAGCATGACACGGAAATGCTCAGGTTTGGAAAGAAAGCCAACTGTATGTGAAACAGAAATTACATAAACACAGGATTAGCTCAGCATTTTAAAGCTATGAACCTGGGTACTCTACGGTCAGCTTCGAAGCTGGAGGAAGGAAATCTTTAGTTAGAGCTATTTGTTTAATATATACAACAGACGAGATAAAGGAATTCAAAAGACAATGTAACTCACACTTCCTCATTCTGTTCCTGTAAATGAACCTCTCTACTGATATACTTGTAAGGATTTTTTCAAAACCCATGGAATTTCAACTTGAACAAATGGCAAAGATGTCTGAGTTGAAAAATGAAGATATACCCCAACTTCCTAAGAAAAAATTAAGCTGTTAATATCTCCTCCTGCTTCATAAGATGCTCTGGTGGCCAATCAGGTGCTTCTTCTGTGAATGCCATTTGCTATTTAATAAAAGAAGTGGCTGGCTCTGAAAAGCAATCTGCCTGATGAGGTCTTCAAGCTGTGTAATTAGGAGGCTATTCCCTAAATTGGCCCACAGTGCCTACGGGATTAGATGAACAAGGAGGAGAGGCCTCAGTGGTTCAGAGGGGCCCAGAAAGAGAAACAGTTGACAGTTCCCTTTTCATCAATTTCTCTGTTCCTCACTAACATCAGAAATGAGTGCCTCCCTTTTATCAACCTAATAACAGGTATTCATCCATTCAAGGAAAATTTACCAAATGGTGCCATGTGCCAGGCACTGTTTGGTGTTGGACACAATGAGCAAATTAGACATTCCTACATTCCAAGCTTACACTCTAGTAAAAGTGAGATGAAAAATAAATGTGTACACAAATGTACACTAGTAATAAGTGCAATAAAGAAAAAGAATTGTGCTGTATAGGAGAACTTAGTGTGGAAGAATAATTTAGATTGGAGAGGTCAGGAAAGGCTTCCTTAAGAAAGTGACGTTTAAGCCATGATCCAAAATATAAGTAGCAATTAGCCATGCAACAGTGTTCCATGCAATGGGAACAGGATATGCAAAGGCTCTAAGGATGCAAAGGGTTTGGTGTGTTTGAGGAACTGAAAGACCAATGTGGCTAAAGCATTGTACAAGGATGACAGTGGCACAAGACTGGCAAAACTGAAAAAACAGAGGCAAGATCAAGCAAAGCCATCTAGGCCATAATGAAGATTTTGGACTGTTTCTTGGCCACAGTGAGGATTTTGGACTGTTTCTTAAAGATTGCTAGAAGCCACCAATAAAGGCAAAGCATGGGAATGACAACTGACAAAATCTTTTATACATATATTTTTTTTTCCTTGTTTATTTAAGATACAAGGTCTTGCTCTGTCACCCAGGCTGCAGTGCAGTGGCATGATCATAGCTCACTGCAGCTTCAAACTCCCGGACTCAAGCGGTCCTTCCACTGCAGTTTCCTGAGTAGCTAGCACTACAGGTGTGTGCCATCACACCTCACTAATTTTTTTATTTTTGAAATTTTTGTAGAGCCAGGGTTTCACTATGTTGCCCTGGCTGGTCTTGAACTCCTGGCTTCAAGTGATCCTCTAACCTTAACCTCCCAAAGTGCTGGGATTACAGGCATGAGCCACCACGCCTGGCACAATATATATTTTTCAAAAACTCATTCTGGTTATAGTATGGAGAATGGAGTAGGGGAGTGGTAACAGCACACCCACAGGTGTGCCTGGCCCATTAGCTATCAGAGCCCTTTGATTTGAAACAGTGTGTTCACAGCAAGGGCTTTCCCTTTCTCCTATCTCTAGCCTAGTTTGTCAAATACAACAGGTCCAACCTTGGTCTATGACTTTGGAATACAACTACTGAAATAGACAATAAGAACAGGAGGATTCCTTCACCTTATATTAGCAGATGAGGAAATGGAGGCCCAGAGAGTGAAGCAACTTGCCCAAGGTCAAACAGCCAGTTGGTGGTAGAGATGGGACCGGATTCCAGGTACTCTAAGACTCCTAATCCAGGCCAATTCCTAGTGGACCAATAACAAAAAGCCCAATTACCTTCTTCAACTACACTTAAAATCATAAAGCTTCAAAGATGCAATGACCTAATACAACCCACCTTCCAGTTTTGGAAGCACTGTGCTCCATGCAATATTCTGCAATGGTCAGTCTAGTATAAAAGGACTTCCTGGAGGGTCTGCTCCAAATACTAATGCAGAGGTCACAAATTGGTGGCCCTCAGGCCACATTTGGCCCATTAAAGTATTGTTTTATTTGCTTCATAGTCTTTAAAAAAAAAACTCAATTAGTCATCAACATTTACAGAATAAAGATGTCACATAAAAATTTGTGTTACTAGCTTCTTCTGGAAATAAAAATCGTAGTATCAGGTAACACTGATTACCAGGCCTACATTGTGCCTGGCAATGATCAGCAGGAGCTGGGCAGAGGCATTCCACTCACACAAGGTACAGGCTCTCCAGCTCACCAGAGCCTTTTCACGCTGGCCAAGCACCAATCACTGCATCTCCAGTATTGTTTTTCTTAGATGGGACCCGTTTGGGTATTCAAACAACTTACCTAGCCTCTGTAGCATCTGAGTTTAACAGAAAAGGAATCTGGCAACAGGAAAAGAGCTTTGCCTTATCCTTAAGTTCTCTTTATTATGTCTTCTCTCTTGTTTCATCCTAAGCTGAAGGAACACTTCCTCCTGATATGACCCAGTCTCCTCCATTCCAAAAGAGACCACGGAGAGAGATTTTAGCAAGGCCATCTTACCTCTGGGAAGCTGGCCATATTCACCAAAATCAGCTGTGGCGACTTCATGGAGATCTGGCTAATCTGGTTTAAAGCAAGCTTCCCGTCAGCAGTTACCACAGCAATCTTGTCAAGGGATCCTAAAAGAAAAATTACAGAGTTTTAGAATTCCAAAGAACCTTAGTAGCCCCAAATCTAAGTCCTATCTAATTCAGATTCAGGTTGGATGCAGTGGCTCATGCCTGTTATCCCAGAGCTTTGGGAGTGAAGTGGGAGGAATGCTTGAGGGCAGTAGTTTGAGACCAACCTGCGCAAAACAGCAAGACCACATCTCTACAAAAACATTTTTTTTTAATTAGCAGGTATGGTGGCATGTGCCTGGAAGATGAGCTACTCAGCAATGAGGCTGAGGTGGGAGGATTGCTCAAACCCAAGAGGTAGAGGTTACAGTGAGCCGTACTGGCCACTGCACTCCACCCTAGGCAACAGAGTGAGATCTTGTCTCAAAATAATAATAATAATTCAGATTCAACAAACATTTAGGGATTCTTATCAATGTGACAAGAGTGTACAAGGGGCTTTCACAGGAACAGCAGTATCGTGATAGAAAAGCTTGAAATGTTGACAGAACTAAGTTGGAATTCATCACCAGCAACTAGGGTGGCCAACCATCCTGGTTTGCCTGGAGCTGAAGAATTTTCTGTGACAGGGCTTTTAGAACTAAAACTGGAAACAGCTGATCACCCTCACAAGCAACTCTGTCATTTACTTGCTATGAAACCTCAGGTGAGTTATTTATCTTCTCTGTGCCTTGGTTTCCAATTCAGTCAAAAAATAACTACCTTAGAGGATTAGAGTGAGGACTGTACCTCTTACTATCCCTTTTAGTCCTTACAACAACCCTGTAACACTGCATTATTACCCCCACTTTACAGATGAGGAAATAAGACTTGGGAAGAATAAACAGGCCAAGATCATAGGGGTAACAAGAGGAAAAACAAGAGCCAAGACCCAAACTCAGGTGTGCTTAATTCTGATTTCAGTCAAGGCTCTTTCCCTTACAAATGGAACTCAAATCCGGCTGTGCATCAGAATCACCAGGGAGCTTTGAAAATTAGATTCCTGGGCCCCACCCTGGAGAGATCCTGATTCTGCAGAGGCTTCGGAGCCTGTGATTTGGGGAAGCTTGTAATTTTTTTTTTAGGTTCACCACATTATTCTGACACAGCCAGATTTGGAACCATTTGCTTATACGACCCTTCATTTTGGTACTTAGATCCCCTTTAGAACTAGCCCATTAAACAAACAACAACAACAACAACAACAACAACAACAACAACAAAACTATTAACATTTTCCTATTATCCTGGATATAATCTTTATCTGCATCTAAATTCTGGAAAACCCTGGGAAAAATTTTCAAAAATGGCAAGAAGGCAAGCAATAAAGCCACAGTTACAGATGGAAAAGAGGCATTATTCAAACTCCCTTATTTCCCATGCAAATGAGAACTAGAAGAAAAACCTTACTATTCACAGTAGGAACCACTCAAGGATGGCTCATTCTGAGACACAAAGAGAAAAGGGGGGAAATGGAGTCTTAAACAAATTGGAGTTGTCCTGGCAATATGTTGTTAGAATAATGCAGTACCATACTGTGGCCCAAAGATCTGATTTGAGATACTCAACCAGATTCAATGTCATCATAAGACAGAAGGTTGCTGACAGCAGTGGCTTCAACCTGGAAAAGTCCGGGAGGTATAATGGTAAAAGTCTTTGTTATTCTGAAGACCAATTACCTGAGTTCAAATACCAATTCTGCCACTTTCTGATTGTGTGACCATGGGTAGACCCCCTTCAGCCTTCTTGGCCTGTTTCCTGATTTCTAAATGGGACATAAAAATTGTACTTATATCTCACCGGGTACAGTGGCTCACGCCTGTAATCCCAGCACTTTGGGAGGCTGAGGCGGGTGGATCACGAGGTCAGGAGTTTGAGACCAGCCTGGCCAACATAGTGAAACCTTGTCTCTACTAAAAATACAAAAAATTAGCTGGGCATGGTGGTGGGCACCTATAATCCCAGCTAGTTGGGAGGCTGAGGCAGGAGAATCGCTTGAACCCGGGAGAAGGAGGTTGCAGTGAGCCGAGATCGCGCCATTGCACTCCACTCCTGGCGACAGTGCAAGACTCTGACTCCAAAAAAAAAAAAAAAAAATTGTACTTATATTTCATGGGGTTTTTATGAATACTAAATGACAGAATGTAGGAAAAGCATTTAAACTGTGTCCCACTAAATGCTGACTATTATTACTTCTTGACATTCTGTGTTTTAATTTCTCTAATACACTCTAATATTCTCTAATAAACTCTGTTCTGTCTTGCTTCAGGACCCTTGCATATATTTTTCCTTCTACTGAGAACACTCTTCTCTGTTCAGATAAATCCTGCTCATTCCTTAACAGTCAGATACAGTGGCATCTAATCTCAGTAATCTTGTCTGATCTCCTAGGCTGGACTATAAACCCCTTTTACAAGCCCCCAGCATCCAAGCACATTTCCATAATAATAATTGCCTATATTTACTGAATACTTCCTATAAGCAAGACATCATGATAAATGCTTTCTATAATGTATTTGCTGTCAATATCATATTAACTCTATGAGATAGTTATTATTATTTCTACCTTATAGACAAGGACACTGAGGCATACAGAGTAACTTGCCCAAGATCACAACAGCTCTTAATGGAACCTGAATTCAAACCCAGGTCTGACCAACTCCAAGTCATTTGGTCTTCACCACTCAGCTTTGCTGTATAGTTTTATACATGTTGGTTTACTTGTTTGACCCTTCACATCAGGTTCTAGGCTTCTGGAAGGTGGGGACAATATATTTTCTCTCTGTATCCACAGCACATATTAATCAGCACAGAAAAAGTGCTCAATAATGCTTTGACGATAAATCAATGTATGCATGGACGGATGAAAGGGAAGAGGACAACAATGAATAAACAAATAAACCTGTATCTAGACAACTGTTAAAAGGTGTCAGTTATCTGGGAGATAGAAATTGCTGTGAGAAAGAGGAAAAGGTAGGGGGAAAAGTACCTGTTGGTTCAGATGGTAATGAAAGATAAAACGGAACAATCTGGCAAAAGAGACTAGTTAAGTTTAGTCTGTTTCACCCAGTCTCTTCATGGCCCCAAATTCTATACAGAACGTTAAACAAACATAATCCTGAAGAGAAAGGAAAGAGGAAATACCAACAGGAGGCCTTTTGAAATGGATCTTAATTCAGTCTTCCTGATTTGCCATGAGATCCTTTGCCACAGAAGTCCCAACACAGGCTTTTCAGAATGCAATTGTGGTGGTTACCATTCCTAAATCCGTATCGACATAATGCATCAAATCCTTTTCCCTCAATCTGTCCCCAGCGAGAATCTCCCTCAGCCTCATTCCTGCCCCTCATTTTCTCAGAGGTTAACATTTAACAAATTACACTCCCAACCTCTTTCCAGGCCCATCATCTTTTTAAGTTCAACAAGAGTGGAGCTTGCTGGCTAATTTTAAGTATCACATTTCTCCCTGAGCTCCTCTCAAACTGCTCTCTGGTTTCGGCTGCAGAATGTTAACAGGCCAGAAAACACAGGGGAGACAGAGCACTTTATCAGTTTCATACCTAAAATAATAAGCAAGTTTAAAATAAACAGTTGAGAGAGATTGAATGGCACGCTCTACTGTCAGCAAAGGCAGAAATGCCCCAGCCCAAAGGTTGACAAGTGACGGGAACAGTCTTCTAGTTTCACACTGGATCTCATCTCTGAACTCGGTAATGTTTCTGATAGTGTTTATAAGTGGAGCTGTATTTTTCACTTGGTTTTCTTAAGAGCGAAATATTTCTAGTTTTCTTATGAACTATCCTAATCAAGATGTGAGTAGAAGCAGCCCAAGCTCCCACAGGTACCTTAAGAGAGGGGTCCCAGGTTTGACTTTAGGATGATGACAATTTGCAAAAGCCTAATTTAACAGCAACTGGATTTTTCCTGCCTGCTTGCACCATCAGCTGACAACTCACTTCTCCATCACATCTGCAAACAGTTGGCCTAGACAGTTCTGACATTTCCCACTTAGAAAAGCCACTTTCAGGAAGTTATTAACCCAAACGGAATCTTCCTGGTCAAGCTCAGGGGTATAGAAATGCCTCACGTGGGCAGGTCTGTATTCATTTGGTTCCCAGTAAGGGATAAGAACTGCCAAACAGGACAAATTGGAAAAATCGGACCAAAGATGTCAGTTACTATGAGACTAAATACCTAGATGTGTTTATAGTACATTCATAATAAAAATCTCATTTTTCTGAGAGTCTAATTCCATGATAGCAAAGACAATACCTATTTTTGTTTACTACTATGCACTAGCACAATGCCTAGTTCCAAAGTAGACAAAAATTTGCAGCATGGATAAATAAATGTAGTGTTAACTATGCGCCAGGCACTATGCTAGAACCATAATACGTTACCTCATTTATTTTAACTACCACCCCAAAGCTGTAAGTTAAGAATCAAACAAGAAAACCGAGGACCAGAAAAGCAAAGTAACTGCCCATGGCCACCAGTTAGTAAATGGCAAAGCTGGGACTAAAACTCAACTCTGCCAAACCCATGCTCTTTCCATTACATCCCTCCCCAGAACATTGGTTCAGTCACTAACCTGGTGAGGTCCTTATATTGAGAGTCTTATTGAAATTATCCTTGAGAGCTTCTATCACAGACTTCATTTCTTCATTCACCTCTTCCAAGTTGATTATATCCTCAACCAAGGCAGCATTAATATTCACTCTGGTTTGGGACTGTCCTTTCCCTTTGGCTAAAAAGTGAACATTCAGTGAATAAAACAACAGCAGCATAAACAGAGCCAATAAGCAATTGGTGAAGAAGTACCTACTATGTACAGGGAAAAATGTCAAGTGTTAGAAAATTATAAAACATTATCGCTCCACTAAAAAAGAGCCTATATTAACTGAGTGTCAACTGTGCTAAACACCTTCTCAGATACTAGTGAGGGGGCACACTTTATAATCAGACACCCCAGGTTAGAAGTCTGGCTATAATGCATACTAGCTTTATGACCTTAGGCAAGTTATCTTTCTGAGTATCAAGTTCCCTACCTGTAAAAGAATAGTAACATCTATATTGCAAGGTTGCTACAAGGATACAAATTAAGTCATTCAAACACCTAAAAGAACACTATACACATGGCAGGGAATCCATAACTAAATTAATCCCTTACTTTTCAGAAAAGTAAACAGAAGATGAGAAAGGTAAAGCTATTTGCCTAATGTCACAGGTCAGGAAATGGAAAAGTCAAGATCTGGTTCCAGATCTGCCTAATTTTAAACCCATGAACTTTTCACTAGCCCATCTCCACAAAATCTAATTAGAGAGACAGGAAATACATTAATTCATTAAAAATGGACACTAAGACAAGGATATGCACACAATATCTGATGGCTGGTAGAGTACAGACAAAAGGAACAATAGTAGTTTACAGACATTAAACACTACCAATGGTAGAGACAATGGCTTATATTTTAGAAAATCAACAGCATTGGGAGCTGAATATAATTTCATTTTATGTCTAAATCATCGTAGTGATTTTTCATATACATTCTAGGTGTATACATAGATAATTTCTGTGAGTGATGCAAATATTCTTGCATTTCTTTTATAGGGAATGGGGAAGGAGAAAAACAATAAAATTTTAAACAATATTTACACTGTTTATTCATTAAACATTCAACAAATATTTATTGAGATTCATTAAATAAATTTTGTTGAACATCTACAGTGAACTCAATCCTGTACTATTTGGGTGGCATATTATAACTTGCAATGCAATTTCAAGTACATTCTCCTCCTTGCTATCCAAGATAGCTCTCTGAGGTAGGAAGAATAGTGATTAGTATTGTCCCCATGGTACAGATGAGAAATCTAAGGCACAAGCCATTTAAATGTTTCGTCCAAAGTAAACAACTGGTAAGCAACAGAGTGATTTTTAAAAACATTTATTTGCCCATGTTACCATTATGCTTTGAAACCAATGGCTTAGGTTTTTTTTCAGAACTGATAGAAGATGTGGGGCTGGGCGCAGTGGCTCATGCCTATAATCCCAGCACTTTGTGGGGCCGAGGCAGGCAGATCACGAGGTCAGGAGTTCAAGATCAGCCTGACCAAAATGGTGAAACTCCATCTCTACTAAAATTACAAAAATTAGCTGGGCGTGGTGGCGTGTGCCTGTAATCCCGGCTACTCGGGAGGCTGGGGCAGGAGAATCGCTTGAACCCGGGAGGTGGAGGTTGCAGTGAGCCGAGATCAGTGCCACTGCACTTCAGCCTGGGCGACAGATCAAAGAAAAAAAAAAAAGATGTGGATCTTCGGATTGAGAAACACAAGTTTCAAATAGGACAATAAAAGTAAATTCACACCTAGACATGTTGTGACTGCAGAAAACAAAGGACAAAGAGATCTTTATAAACGCCCAAGAGAAAAGACAAATTATCCATGAAGGATTAAAACTTAGAACACTTTCCAAGAGCAACAACAGAAGCCAGAAGCAACTGAAATAATATCTTCAACTTTGAACTTTTAAAACCAAATATGCACATTAATAATTTAAAGATATGCCTGTCAATATTGGAATGAATAGTAATATTTATGAATGAAATACTATGCAACCATGAGAAAGAATGAACACACACAAAAATTTAAATGAGTCTCACAAACATGATGTTGAACACAGAGGCCAGACACAAGAAAACAAAACTGTACAGTACAAAGGCCAGATATGAGAATATAAACTGAAAAGTAAAAAAAAAGAGAAAACGAATCCATGCTACTAGAAGTCAGAATAATAGTTATCTGCAAAGGGTCAAGGGTAGTACTTACTAGAAAGAAGCACAAAGGGGACTTTTGACATGCTAAGAATGTTCTGTTTTTTTTATCTGGGTGCTGTAAGTGATTTCAGCTTGTGAAATTTATGACAGCTGCACTTTCCTACAGGGTTTTTTTATTTCTATAAAAAGGTTAAAAAATTAGTTAAGGGTAACCATCAAAACAATAATAAATTAAAAGTATATCTTCCAAATCAGCAGAATTTAAAAAAGAGAGAGAGAGGGATAAAGAAATTTAATCTAATGGGAAAAGAAGAAGAAAAAAGGAAAAAAAGGAATATTTCAACACAGCTAAAAGAACTTTAAATGTTCCCAACACATAAAAATGATAAAAGCTTGAGATGCTGGATACCCCATATACCCTAACTTAAATCATTTATGCATGTAACAAAACATCACATATACCCCATAAGTATGTACAAATATGTATCAATAAAAAAAATTTTTAAATATGCATTTAAAAAAAAGAAAAAAGGAAAAAACATGATATAAAGAAAGTCCAAAATAAGGCCAGGCGTGGTGGCTCATGCCTGTAATCCTAGCACTTTGGCAAGCCAAGGCGGGCGGATCACCTGAGGCCAGGAGTTTGAGATCAGCCTAGCCAACAAGGCAAAACACCATCTCTACTAAAAATACAAAAAATTAGCTGGGCATGGTGGCGTATGCCTGTAGTCCCAGCTACTCGGGAGGCTGAGGCACAAGCATCACTTGAACCTGAGAGGCGGAGGTTGCGGTGAGCCGACACTGCACCACTGCATTCCAGCCTGGACGACAGAGTGAGACTCTGTCTCAAAAAAAAGAAAGAAAGTACAAAATAAAATAATAACACAAATATGCAGTGACTACAATAAATATAAATGGATCAAAATGACAAGTTAAAAGTGGGAGATTCTCAGTAAGATTTTTAAAAATCTAGCTGAATATAACATAACGGTTTTTAAAAATTATAAAAGATCACAGAAAGTTTGATGTATAGGGATGGAAAAATTATAAGCCTGGCAAACATCAGTCAAAAGAAGGCTGGTGTAGCTACATTATCATCAAACAAAAAAGATTTTAAGACAAAATTCACTATTGGAAATCATGAAGACAACTTCAAAATGATAATAGAAACAATTCACCAGAAAGATATATAACAATTCTAAGATTAAATATATCAATAAGATAGCCTCAAAATTAATACAATTAAAAGAAGAAACTGGCTGGGTGCAGTGACTTACACTTGTAATCCCAGCACTTTGTGGGGCTGAGGTGGGCAGATTGCTTGATCCCAGCAGTTCAAGACCAGTCTGGGAAACATTGCAAAACCCAGTCCCTACAAAAAATACAAAAATTACCAGGCATGGCCGTGCGTGCCTGTAGTCCCAGCTACTTGGGAGGCTGAGGTAGGAGAATCAGTTGAGCCCAGAAGATTAAGGTTGCAGTGGGCTGTGATTGCACTGCTGCACTACAGCCTGGGCAAGACCCCGTCTCAAAAAACAACAAAAAAGGAGAAACTGATCAATCTACAAGCATACTAGGAGAGTTCAATATACCTTCCTTGATAACCGATAAGTAAGCAAATAAAAAAACAGAAAAGTTGATCAATAAAATTAGTCAATTTGATCTAATACAATACACCCAAGAAAAAAAGAATACACATTATTCTCAAGCACACTTGGACCTTCTATGAAACAACCATGTTTTACACACAAATCAAATCTCAACAAAAATAAAAGAATCTATATCATATAGAACATGCCTTCTGAACAGAGTAGAATTAAGCTAACCCCAAAACAACCATTTGTTTGAAAAACTTTAAACACTTCTTAATAAACACTCATGGGCTATAAAGAAATGCATAATGGAAATGTTTAAATATTGAGAAATGACCATAATAAAAATATTCAATGTCAAAAACTCAAGTCAGACACGATGGCTCAACACCTGTGATCCCAGCGCTCTGGAAGGCCAAGGCGAGAGGATCACTTGAGCCCAGGAGTTCAAGGTTACAGTGAGGTATGATTGTGCCACTGCACTCCAGCCTAGGCAACAAAGCAAGACCTTATCTCTAAAATAAATAAACAACCTTATAGGAAGCATTTAAAGTTGTATTTAGACAGAAACTTCTAACCTTAATACTTTAAAAACAAAACAAAACAAAACAGGCTGGGCGTGGTGACTCATGCCTGTAATTCCAGCACTTTGGGAGCCCAAGGTGGGCGGATCACCCAAGGTCAAAAGTTCGAGACCAGCCTGGCCAACATGGCGAAATCCCATCTCTACTAAAAAAAAAAATACAAAAATTAGCTGGGCGTGGTGGCAAGTGCCTATAGTCCCAGCTACTTGGGAGGCTGAGGCAGGAGAATTGCTTGAACCCAGGAGGACAAGGCTGCAGTGAGCTGAGATCATGCCACTGCACTCCAGTCTGGGTGACAGAGGGAGACTCCATCTCAAAAAAACAATAAGAAATAAAAATAAAGAAGAAAGTATTATGCACAATGGTAAGATATGAAAACAACCAAAGTGTCTGTGGATAGAGAAATGATGTGGGTGCATGTATGGGTGTGTGTGTTTGTGTATAAAGTGGCATATTATTCAACCTTAAAAAACGAGACCTTGCCATTTGCCATGGATGAACCCGGAGGACATTACACTAAGCAAAATAAGCCACACACAGAAAAATACTGCATGATTATACTTGTATGCAGAATCTCAGGGTTGGGGTTTGCTTGTTTGTATTTTAGACAGGGCCTCACTCTGTCACCCAGACTGGAGTGCAGTGGTGCGATCTCAGCTCACTACAGGCCTCAACCTCCCTGGGCTCTGGTGATTCTCCCATCTCAGCATCCTGAATAGCTGGGACTACAGGCGCATGCCACCATGCCTGGCTAATTTTTGTATTTTTTTTGTAGAGAAGAGGTTTCACCACATTGCCCAGACTGATCTTGAACTCCTGGGCTCAAGTGATCCACCCGCCTCGGCCTCCCAAAGTGCTGGAATTATGAGCATGAGCCACCATGCCTAACCACATGCGGAATCTACAAAAAAGATGAATACACACAGAGAATAAAATAATACTTAGCAGGGGTCAGCGGGGTGGGGTGGTGGTGGTGGTGAGGAAATGGAGAGATATAAATCAAAGGATACAAAGTAGTAGATATGTAGGATGAACAAGTCTGGAGATCTAATGTACAATAGGAGGACTATAGTTAGTAATATTGTATTATACTCTGGATTTTTTGCTAAGACAGATTTTATGTGCTTTCGCAAAAAAAAAAAAAAGGAGGTAACTATGTAAGATAATGGATATGTTAATTTGCATGTATGTAACCATATCACTGCATGTATATCAAAGCATCATGTTTATAATAAAATTTTTCAAAGAAAAAAAGAAAACAGGAAAGACCAAAAATTAATGAACTAATTGTCCAACTCAGAGGATAGAAACAGAACAAGTACACAGGAGAAAGTAAATAATAAAGAACAGAAATCATAAAATTGCAAAAAAGAGAGATCAAAAAATTAAAGACTCTTTTAAAAGGTTTATAACTTCTGTCAAGAACAATTAAGAAAAGAAGAAAGTAGATGCAGATAAATAATATTAAGAAAGAAAAAATGGACATGACTATAAAAATAGTAGAAATCTTAATAAGAGACTATTATGAACAACTTTATATCAACAACTTTGAAAGGTCAAAAAAATGAAAAATTTCCTAAAATATATAACTTACTAAATCAAGAGAAAAATCTAAGCAGTCTCATAATCATTAAAGGAACCAATTCTATGATTTAAAGTCTACCTACACACACACACACACACACACACACACACACACACACACACCAGATTCATATTACTTTACAGGCAAGTTCTATCAAACACGCAAGGGGCCGGGTTTTGCCATGTTGGCCAGGCAGGTCTCCAACTACTGACCTCAAGTGATCCACCCACCTTGGCCTCCCAAAGTCCTGGGATTACAGACGTGAGCCATCGTGCCTGGCCTAAATCTTTTTCCTTTATAAATTACCCAGTCTCAGGTTTTTCTTCATAGCAGCATGAGAACAGACTAACACAGTCTATGTGTCTGTTTTTATGCCCATACCATGCTGTTTTGGTTACTATAGCTCTGTGGTATAATTTGAAGTCAGGTAATATGATTTCTCCACATACATAACTCTTAAGGTTAACATATAAGAAGTGTTTCCTATAAAGTCAGGACTAAAACAAAGATGCCTATTATCACCAGTCACATTTATTCAAATTACACTAGAGTTCCTAGCCAATCCAATGACAGTGAGGGGAGGAGAGGAGAAGGGAGGGCAATAGGACAGGAGGGGAGAAGAATGGAAAGGGACATATGTGCACCACAACACATGTACAAGAATGCTTATACTAGCATTATTTGTTTTAGCTCAAAACTGGAAACAACCCAAATGTCTGTTAACTGTAGGATGGATATTAAATTGTGGTATATACTTTCAGTAGAATATCATTAAAAAAATAAAAATGCACAAACAACCATTATGTGCACAACATGGACATATCTCACAAATAGATTATTACCACAGAAGTCAGACACAAAATCCATACTGACGTCACAAAGGACAAAACTAATCTGTGGTGTTAAAGTCAATATAGTGGGTTATCTATCCTTACAGTGAGACAGTAACAACTCAAAGGGACATGTGGTAAGTTTGGAAAACACAAGTGACAGTCTATTTATTGATTTGGGTAATAAGTACATGATTGTGTTCACTTTGTGAAAATTCACTGAAGCACAAACTTATGATTTACGTAAACACTTTTCCTTATATATAACTCAAAAAACTAATACATATAAAAGTGACAAAAAAAAAAGATAGGATTCCCCCAGAAATAAACCTGATTAAAGAACTGATTAAATAACTGTACAAGATCTTTTTTTTTTTTTTTTTTTGAGACAGGGTCTCACTGTCCCCCAGGCTGGAGTGGCAGTGGCATCATCATGGCTCACTGTAGCCTTGACCTACTGGGCTCAAGCAATGCTCCCACTTCAGCCTCCCAAGTAGCTGGGACCACAGGGGTGCACCACCACACCTGGCTAATTTTTGTAGAGACAGGGCTTCCCCATGTTGCCCAGGCTGGTCGGAACTCCTGAGCTCAAGCAATCCAACCACCTTGGCCTCCCAAAGTGCTGGGATTATAGGCGTGGGCCACCACTCCTGGCCTTGTGCAAGAGCTGTCTGGAGAAAACTTGACACTATGATCATAAATTTCATATAGAAAAGGAGAAAGTCAAGAACAAAAAGAAAAGCATATGTGTGGTGAGGGGAAAGATCTGTACCAGTAAATTGGACTTTATGACACTAAGTCAGGCAGTATGAAATTTACTGAAGGGAGAGATAAGCAGTTCAATAAAATCAACAGCTCAGACACAATGCCATATATATACAGAAACTCACACAATGGGGCGGGGCATTACAAATCTGGGAGTAAAGAGTAGGCTAATCAATAAATGATTTTGACACAACTTCTTATCCATCTGGAAAGGAAACTTTAAAAATTACCTCACATTATATTCAGAAATAAATTACCTTGCAATAGACGGGTATTTCTTAAAGAAGACACAATTAATAAAGGACTAAAAAATATGACATTAAAACCCATGTTCAACAAAAACATCATAAAGTAAAAAGCAAAGAAGACACTTGGAACATATGGACAAAGAATGAGCATCCCTAATATGAAAGAATCGAATAAATCTAAAAGAAAAAGTCAAACAACCAACTTCTGCAGCCTCAAACTCCTCACCTCAAGCCATCCTTCCACTTCAGCCTCCTGAGTAGCTGGGATTACAGGTACAGGCCACCAGGCCCAGCAATTTTTTTTTTTTTTTAAGAGGCAAGGTCTCATTATATTGCCCAGGCTAATCTCAAACTCCTGGCCTCAAGCAATCCCCTCACCTCAGCCTCCTGAGTAGCTGGGATTACAGGTGTGAGCCACAGCACTCGGCTAAACCAACTTTTAAAGAGGCAATCAAAGAAGACAAAACTGAATAGCCCACAAAATATGAAAAAATGCTGCTTATGCACTGTAACTGTCTATTACACTAGAAGACTGCAGTACTGTAGGCATCAGGAACTCAAGTTTCTGGTTCTGCCATTAACTATATAGGAACATGGGCAAATTTCTCACAAACTATCTCAGTTTCTTCGTTTATAAAATGGTGAGATCTGGATTAACTAGATAATTATAAGGATTTCTTCAATGGAAAATTATAATTCCTTCAATGGATAATTATAAGAATAAAATTAGTAAATGTATAGAAACTTTAAAAAATATAATGCTACATACAGATCAAAGGTTATTACTATTAACACTATTAACAGAATATAACTCTTCTAAGCATTACTGTTCTTCCAGTAATTTGTTAATTTTCCTATTACAGAAAGGGGAAGGTCTGCATGAAATTAGAAAAGGAAAGTCAGTGGGAAAATATTCAGCAGCATATATCTAGCGCCATTCTTGGGGGAGGACTCCCTGATCCACCACTGCAAATTGCTGGTGTGACTGACAATTTTCTATCACTCATTCTTTCATTCAACAAAATTTGTCAATACATACTAAATCCAGGCCCTGTTAGGTGCTAAATAAGAACAATATAGAACCTACCTTCATCAGGTCCAGCATAGAAGACAGATAAACGATAATCAATCTTACATTTAATTAATTAATCACTGCTGTTCTAAGTGCATCAAAGGCAAAATAACAGAATGCACGAGTGCAGGCAACAGGGGACTTGACCTAGTCTAAGAGGTCAGGAAAGGCTTCCCAGAGGAAGTAGCATTTAAGCTGAGACCTGCAGTACATCAGAGTCTCATTCCTGGATGACACAAGCCATTAAGATCATCCATCTAAATCCATGGCTCTAATACCCACTTCACCCAACCACCTTCTGGTCTTAATTATACTTCCAACATGCATCTTCCTATAAGGAGACAATATATTGATCCCTGCTACAAGCATTCTGGCTTGCTTGGCACTTAAACCTTTAATTCTAAATCTAAAAGAAAGAAATTAGGCATTTTCTGAGCTACCAAGAAAACAAATGAGGCAGCATGGTAATGAGAAAACAGGCACTGGGTTATAACACCATCTCTGCCACTGTAACCTTTTAAGCTAATCCAATGAAATAGCTGAGGCACCATTTCCTCATGTTAGCAAGGGGAGAAATTCAGTACATCTGAGATACCTGCCAGCTATAATTCAAGGGCCAACTATAAGAAAGGGGTGAAGTAGGAGAGAACGTCACATGTCTCTACCTTTGGCTTTCTTGGTAGCAAAATGGCGGACTGGTACAGCTGAATAGGCCATGTATTGCCTATGGCCATGTTGTCTTTCATGCACTGTCTTCAGTGTAACTTCTGAAACGGGTCTGATAGAGGCTGCAAGATAATTGCGAAAGGTAGGGTGGACCATGCGGAAGCACTTTAATCCCAAGGCCATGACTGAAGACAATCCTTGGAAACATCCACTAAAAAGAATAAGACAAAAAGCAGATCTAAGTAAAAGATCTAAGTACAAAGCTTGCAACTTCAGGTAATTCGTACCAATTATCAAGCAACTCCTATAAACTGAGCTAAGTACTAGACAATTTAAATACATTATCTCTAATCCTTTTCCCAACAGCCCTAGAAGAAAATATTATTTGCCTCATTTTACAGAATGAAGAAACTAAGGCTCACAGAGATTTAAGGAACTTCCCCACTTTGGACTCCAAACCCCAAGCTCTTTCCACTGCACCAAAATGCCCATTAAGCAAATATGCAGCAGACTAAAACTTTAATGATGCTAATTAAACCCTTACATGAGAAAAAGCACAAAATCTTGATAAAGTTTAAAGAGGGAAGGCAGAGCACTAGAAGAGGACTTTAAATAAGAAAACCGTCTCAACAGGCATAAAATGACTGGAAAATTCACACGACAGCATTTAATTAAAATTTTATTTGGTTCCTTATGCACTGATTACCAATTAGGATGCCCTTTAATGTGAGTCTAAAGCATGATTGAGGTTTGAGGTCTTCCATGGTATAGAACTAGAGCTCTGGAACATGCCACCCTCTCCTGTGTTAACACAAGTTACGCATTCTACATCTGAGGTCTTTGACCATGGAAAGATGCCATCGCCTACAACTACCTCAGGATAGAACACAGCCCTAGCTAACTGACAAATATATCATTGATAGCTTCTGCCAGTAATGTTGCTATGGCTCAGGTAAAAATTAAGAACAATTAGTATCAAATACCTGGAAGCTGTTTCCTTTGAGTAACAGTCCCACACCTTATTTTTTTTTTTAAATCCCATCCTAAAATTTTGATCCAACACAATGGAATGAATAACATGGGCTTTGCCGTCAGGAAGACCTGGAAGCCAATCCTAGCTCCATTACTGACTAAATATTCCTGAATATTTCTGCTCCTTGATTTCTTCAACTATAAAATGGGAATAATTGTACTCATTTCTTAGGGTTAGGAATAATTAATGAGGTTATGCAAGTAAAGCCCTTGACACAGTACTTAGCAAACAGCAGGAGCCCCCCAAAATAATACCTGTTGATAGCTATCACCTTTTTTTTCAAACTTTTAAAAAAATATTATCTTTATTATCTTTTGAGACTGAGTCACACTCTGTTGCCCAGGATGGAGTACAGTGGCACGATCTTGGCTCACAGCAACCTCCACTCCCAGGTTCAAGCAATTCTCATGCCTCAGCCTCCCAAGTAGCTGGGATTACAGGCACATGCCACCATGCCCAGCGAATTTTTTTGTATTTTTAGTAGAGACAGGGTTTCACCATGTTGCCCAGGCTGGTCTTGAACTCCTGGGCTCAGGCAATCCACCTGCCTTGGCCTCCCAAAGTGCTAGGATTACAGGTGTGAGCCACCATGCCCGGCCTCTAAAACTTTTATGCCAGGGTCAGACACAATAAAGAAACCTTGTATGTTATTAATGATGTACAAAATAGCCTACAATCAGTCAGACCTGGATGTAAATTTCAACTTTAGGCAATTTACTCTTCTTTTCTGAGCATCACTTTCCTCATCAATGATAAAAATAACCTTGAACTTAAAATAAAATTTAATAATGAATACATGTAAACAACTAACATAGTGCCAGGAATATAGCAGCTTAATGAATGATGGCTATTATTATTATTATTTTTTTTTTTTTTGAGACAGAGTCTCACTCTGTCGCCCAGGCTGGAGTGCAGTGGCACGATCTCGGCTCACTGCAAGCTCCGCCTCCCGGGTACACGCCATTCTACTGCCTCAGCCTCCCAAGTAGCTGGGACTACAGGCGCCTGCCACCACGCCCGGCTAATTTTTTGTATTTTTTAGTAGAGACGGGGTTTCACCTTGTTAGCCAGGTTGGTCTCGATCTCCTGACCTCGTGATCCACCCACCTCGGCCTCCCAAAGTGCTAGGATTACAGGCGTGAGCCACCGCACCCGGCCTAATGATGGATATTATTTTTAAAGCAAATGAGTAGCACAAAGGCAAATCATTTCTCGCGATGGAATTTTTAACAGTAAGGGATACTAGAAGTTAGTGATCAGTGTATGAAGTCTATAAAACCAGATTTGATGAAAAAAGGGAATATTTTTCTTCTTTACTAGTATCAATAGCTACTATTAATTGAGGTCAAGTTTGGACTGTTTGCTTTAACCATACTATTTCATTTAATTCTCTCAATAATGCCACAAAGAACGTATAATAATCCCCATTTTACAGATGCTGAAACTGAGGTTCAGAGAGATTAAGTCACTGTCCAAGGACATGGAGCTAATAGCCAAGCTCTATTTTAGCAGAACTGTTCACAGAGGTTTGGCTCAGAGTGAAGTTTCTATATCTAGGTTTTTCCCTAATAAAACCAATGCCTAACTCATACTTATAACCAAATATGGCTGTAGAATAATGAGTAGATTTTATTTTAGTCTACAGGGTCTCAATCTGGCTGCTCCATTTAAGACAGGTTTCCTGGTATTCCTGTTGCAGGTCATAATACCAACTCACAAAGCAACAGGAAATCAAAATGGGTTAGAAATAAACAACCTTTGACAGAAAACGCAGCACCCAAAAGCAGACCCAGTACACGTGAACCGGAAGACAACTCTATAAATAAACCACATCGCTGAAATGCTTAAGGCGTAGATTTTAATTGCACAGAAGTCAAGAAATTTCAAAGTGGAAGTTCAATAAAAGCAGTCCTTTAGGTCCTTTACCTTAAGGGTATACAAATTAACATTCAGTTCAGCACAGATAAAGAATTAAAGTTGAAGAAAAATTTGTTGAGATCCCAAGTATGAGCCAACAAAATTAACCTATACATAGAAGCAATGTGGGGAAGTGTCTGAGCTTTGGACGCAGTCTGGAACTGGAATCTCAATTCCCCCACTTACTAGCTGTGTGACCTTGGGGAGGTCATTTAGCCTCTCTGAGCTACAGCTTCCACATCATCATCATAGTGATATTAATGAGACTTTAAAAGATAACAATAATGACAATACCTAACATTTATATAACAATGACTACGTGACAGAAACTATTCTAAGTGGTTTATGCACATGAACTCATTTCAGCCTCATGATAACCCTGAAGTAAGTACTATGATTATTCCCACTTTACAGATAAGAAAACAGAAGCAAAAATCTGCCCAAGATTTGAATTCAGTCAATCTAGCTCTAGAGTCTATGTTATTAACTGCTATACAATGCATATAGAACACTCAGCATGGCTGGGAACAGTGATGGGTGCCTATAGTCCCAGTTACTTGGGATGCTAAGGAAGGAGGATCACTTCAGGCCAGGAGTCCAAGGCCAGCCTTGGCAATATAGTGAGACCTAGTCACTTAACAAAACACATACACACAGTACAATGCCTGGCATCCAGTAGGTACACAATAAATTGTAGCTATTATAATAGCATCCCAACTATTAAATTTTTTTTTTTTTTTTTTTGAGACAGAGTCTCACTCTGTTGCCCAGGCTGGAGAGCAGTGGCACGTTCTCAGCTCACTGCAACCTATGCCTTCCAGGTTCAGGGGATTCTCCTGCCTCAGCCTCCTGAGTAGGTGGGACTACAGGCACCCACCACCACACCCAGTTAACTTTTATATATTTTAAGTAGAGATGGGGTTTCACCATGTTGGCCAGGCTGGTCTCAAACTCCTTACCTCAGGTGATCTGCCCGCCTCGGCCTCCCAAAGTGCTGGGATTACCGGCGTGAGCCACTGCGCCGGCCTGAATTTTTTTTCTTTTTTTTTTTTTTTGAGACGGAGTCTCACTCTGTCGCCCAGGCTGGAGTGCAGTGGCGCAATCTTGGCTCACTGCAACCTCCGCCTCCAGGGTTCAAGCCATTCTCCTAACTCAACCTCCCAAATAGCTGGGATTACAGGCGTGCGCCACCACACCCAGCTAATTTTTGTATTTTTAGTAGACGGGGTTTCACCGTGTTAGCCAGGATGGTCTCGACCCCCTGACCTCGTGATCCGCCCGCCTGGGCCTCCCAATGTGCTGAGATTACAGACTGAAATATTTTTTTAAACTACTTGAAGCACACATTCTTTTTCCAAAGTTGAGGGTCTCAAACGATTTCCCTGTTCTTCACAGAAGGTTCATTTTAATTTTGGCTAGATGACCAACCCAAAATCCTGGCTTATCTACTGTCCCAGCAACTCTTTTCAATGCAGCTGTATACTAGCTTATAACATAAGCACTTCTATGAGTGTGCATATACGCAGGCTCTTGCATATAAAATACTTTCACATGTACCATCTTAACTGGTTCTCATAACTAAAGAGTGATAATCACCACCCGTATTTTGCAAAATAAGAAAAGTGATCTTTCACTTCTCCAGGGCTCCCCCTGCTCCAGGGTCTTCAAACATGCCATTGAATCTCCTTGATGATCTTCCCTCACCTCTTTAACTGTTTGTCTCCGTTTTTATTTCAGATTTCAGCTTAACCATCACTTCCTCAGAGGACGGCTTCCTTGGCCATCTCCTACAGCCCAACTAGGTCAAGTGTCCTGTAGTCTGCTTTCATAGCACCCTTTACTTCATCATAGCACTTAATTCTTAACAATACAAGCTAACATTTGTGTAATTATTTGATTGTCTAATTCCCTCCATATGACTCTAAGTACTACAAGGACTAATCTATGATTTTCTTGTTCACTGCTGTATCCCCAGTACCTGGTACATTGCCAGAACACAGAAGACACTGTGAATGTGATGAATACATCAGTGAAAGTCCAGAAAGATAAATTCCTTATCCAGGGTAAACCAGAATCGGATGGGAATCTACCCTTACTATTATGGTAGGTTCTGGGCTTCCCAGCGTTGCCTCCACTGTCTCTGGTTTGCCAGATTTTTGCTTAGAGATAGTAGATGATGTTCTTCTCTAAATGCAGTACCAGGTAAAGAAAGGTACTTGTAGTATCTGACTATACACAGAATCATTATGCACCTGGCACGGCCAAAGAAGGAATGAGACACTTTAACAGGTAGAGAAAGGGCTTTTGCCTAAGAGTTAAGAGATCTGGATTCCAGTATGCCTACCTTATCACTCCCTGCCATCTGCCATTTAGATTCATAATCACACGTATTCAAAAAGCATTTGCGGCAGCTCTACCACTGACTTGTGACTTGTACCAAGTGATTTCTCCTACGTAGATTTTGTTTCAACCATAAAATGAAGGGGTCAGATCAGGTTTTCATTCTTTCCAACTATAAAGCTTTCCAAAATGGGGGGAAATGCAACAGTGTGGTTTAAAACAAAATAAAGGCACTAAACTTAGAGAAAACTCCGAGTCTTGGTTCCAGCACTTCCTAGGCACGTGACCTTAAATCGGTCAAACTCTCAGGACTTCCGTCTCATCTGTAAAACGTAAATGACAATACTATTTGTCAGGGTTAAGTAAATGGAGAAGGGCTACTGAAATGACAACTGTTTTGCCACTGGGTGGCACAGAGTGGTGGTTAAAAGTCCAGGCTTAGGAGTCGGATAGCCCTAGGTCTGAATTTAAGCGCCCTCACTTTCTGACCGCGTGACCCTGGTAAAATTACCTATGTGAGCTTCCGTTTCTTCATTATGGGAGATAATAATATCTACTCCTATGGGATTGTTCTGAAACTCAAACGTTCCCGTCAAGTGTGCGGCTACTCTTTAGTAAGTTCCTCCAGCATCCCCTAAATTCCTAGCTGGTAAAAGGAGCCCCGCCCCCACCCCATGAGACTCGCTCCAATGCCACAGGTCCCGCCCTCAGCCTTAAAGGTCAAGCTGGACTCGAACGGGTCGGGGACGGTAGTCTGGTCCCCTGAGGTCCCCCAGAGGTCCCTGAGTAAGGGTCTCTGGCACCCAGACCACACGCGCCCCTCGAGGCCCTGTCAAGGACACTCACCAGCTATCGCCCAGGTTACTAAGGAAAGACTCGTGCGACGGCGGCGACCGCAGCTGCGCGGACGTCGTGACGTCACGAAGCCAGGAGGCGGCGCAGGCTTAACGCGTCACGGGCGGCCTGGCAGCTGGCGGCATTGAGGCGGACGCGTCTAGAGGTCCGTCTGACCGCGGCGTCGGGACCTGGTTTCCGGGCATGAGCTGAGAGCACCACGCCGAGGCCACGAGGTGAGTTCGGCCGCGACATGTCCCTGCACCTCAGCGATGGGCCCGCTAAGAGGTCTTACAGGAGGCCGCCCTCGCAGGACTGCATCTCAGGCCCCGCCCCGGATTGTCCTGTCGCTGGCCCGGAAATAACAATCCGAGTAATGACCCTTCGCCTGTAGGAATTCGCAGCCAGAAATCGGGAAGCCAGGGTTCCAGGCATGACCCCACCGCTTGCTGTTAGGATCAGGTGTCTCTTCTTCTCTGGATTGCACTTTCCCCAGATGACTATTTCTGGCTTCCAGAGTTATTGCAGCTCAGCTGGAAAGACAAATGTAACCGCGTTTTGTGAACTCTGGTAGTCTAAAGGATTGTTGCTATTGCAAACGCAAAGCATTTTGATAGTCCCGTGCCGTCTTGATCTTTTATTACCCTTTACCTTTCCTCAAAAAGCCATATTCTGAGCTGTCACCAAAATTGTCTTATTTAAGACTCACAACGACCTCGTGAGACGACAAATTGTACCCATTCTAGGAAGGAAAAAGAAACTAAGTCTTCGAGTGGAGAAGCGGCTTGCTTCATTTAGTAAATATTAAGCACCAACCGTGAGACAGGCAGTGTACTTAAGTGCTAGAAATAGAACCGTGATCAAGATTGGCAAGGTCCTGTGCTGTGGGAGCTTACGTTCTAGTGAAGGAAATAGAAGAGGAAACATTAAGTAATACATTGAATTAGCATTTAGTAGGAGGAAAAAGATGGAAAAGTGGCTATGATATAGAATAACAAGGAACTCTGTTTAGGAAAGCTTTTCTATCGAGAGGATGCTTAAAGAAAGGTCATGTGACTTGCTAAAGGTGCAGTTACTAGGTGCAAAAGTCAGGATTTGAACCCAGACCCGCATAGCCTGCACTCTTACCAGTAAAACATGGTACCTTTTCGTGGTAATAAATATTAATAGCTATTGGTATTATTCCTGATTTTAGACATGAGAAAATCAGAATGTCCTATCATTCAAGTCCCAAATGTCATCTCCTTTAGAGAGGCCTTCCCTCCACTCAATCTATAGTCGTCGAGTCCCTGTCACATCACCCTGCTTAATTGTGTTTGTGGCATGTATCACTAATTATATCTTCTTTATTTATTTTGCTTTTGTTTTGTCCTGCTCCCCTTCCAAATACAAGCATCCAGAGGATAGGGACCTTGCTTGTTCACTGCTCTGACTCCAGTAACTGGATAAGTCCTAGATAATAGAAGCAGTGAATTTATTTTTTGAATGAATGATTTGTTTAAAAAGTAGGGGGAAAGGAAAGCAGAGGGAAGACAAAAATGTGTCTCCCCTGGGATTAAATTTATGTCTGTTTCACCTTTCTCCCAGGAGGTAAGAACAAGAGCTGTGGCTTTTTCATTTGTCTATTTCAGTACATAGCCCAGAGTTTAACAGTTCCTAGTTGCTTGACTTACATTGCTGAACAGATTAAAGATGTGAATGGGAAAGGAAGAAAAATACCCTCATGTGCAGGGTATTCAATAAACAATTACCTAGGGACTGCTGTGCTAGACTTTACAGGGTGTGCTGAGATGATTAAGAGGTAATGGCAGTTGTTGTGACTGCCTCCATGGTTCCTGTAGTGCTGACCTCTGAGGTACTTCTGGGTATAGGATATGTGTTCTCTAGCAGGGACTTCTGAACTCTGACACAGCCTGCTGTCCTCCCAGCCCCTAAAGCTTTATTTCACATCTGTCGTCTCATTTTTGGTCCTCGAAGCCTTAAGTTATAAACAGGGCAAAATTTATTAAAGATGGGTAAACTGAAGCTCAGAAAGAAATAACTTCCAGTGGAAATGCCACAGTTTGTGCTGGGCATGGTGGCTCACACCTGTAATCCCAGCACTTTGAGAGGCCGACGTGGATGGATCACTTGGGGTCAGGAGTTGGAGACCAGCCTGGCCAACATAGTGAAACCCTGCCTCTACAAGAAAATACAAAAATTAGACAGGCTTAGTGGCATGCACCTGTAATCCCAGCTACTCGGGAGGCTGAGGCATGAGAATTGCTTGAACCCGGGAAGTGGAAGTTGTAGTGAGCCGAGATCGTGCCACCGCCCATGAGTCTGGGCAACAGAGCGAGAGTCTGTCTCAAAAACAAAAAAAAAGAGAAAGAAAGAAATGCCACAATTTGAAACAATGTCTTCTGACACCAAGGTTTCTGCTCTTTCTACTGCTGTCTCCATCATAATCATAATCCTCTTTTCTCCTTGGCTGTGAGATGAGACATTTCAGGAACTAAGACTAGTAATAATTTAAGCTAACATTAATTGAATGCTTCCTAGGTGCCATGCACGGTTCTAAATGCTCTAGGTGTATTAACTCAGTGAATCTGCACTGTAATTTCATGAGGCATTATCCCCATTTTACAGATGAGGGAACTGAGGCCAACAGCTGTTAAGTAACTTGCACAGGGCTACATAGCTAGCAAATGGTGGAACTTGAATAACTAAGGAGGAAATTAGTCTCTTCTTCCTGGTCTGTCCCAAAAGAGTAAGCATGATAATAGCTAGTATTTATTGATTACTTACTGTTGTTAGATACAGTATTTAGTGATTTTTTTACTGTCTTTAATCTTCACAACAACTCTATAAAATAAGCACTATTATCTCTCTAGATAATGAGGAAACTGAGGCCTAGAAAGTTCAGGTAGTTCATCAAGTCACACAACCTGCTTTCAAACCCAGTTCTGTCTACGCACAGATTTCTTATATTGCCTCTTCTCTTTGCTATATTGCCTCTTCTCTTTGCTATATTGCCTCTTCCATGAGGAAAAGGGATGGAGTGCTGCTCTTCCCTACCCATCCCTTTTAATGCCATTAAGACTCTTCCTGGTGGTTTCCAAGGCTTATTTTGGGTGACAGTTGTTGAACTGAAGTATCATGTAGTAATAGAGACTTTGGCCTCCTGCCCAGTCAGCCTCTGGCTTCAGAGGAGGAAAACTTTAGTTTCTCCACACAGAACCACGCCCCTTTCACCTTAAATGGCAGCTTGTGTGCCCTGGCTGCCAGAGCAGTTGTCCCAAGGGAACTGGTTCTGGGGCCCTGGTTGTGGAATCACTGAGGCCTTTGAAGGACTGCCCAGAGGGCATGCCCTCCTTGAATAAATGTTTGTTGAGTTGAATTTGAAGTCTTGTGTTCACACATTGTTACTCCCCTCCTGCCTGAATGTTCACATTTCCTTTAGTATTTCATAGACATTGATGGAAGCAGAAACCAAAACTCTTCCCCTGGAGAATGCATCCATCCTTTCAGAGGGCTCTCTGCAGGAAGGACACCGATTATGGATTGGCAACCTGGACCCCAAAATTACCGAGTAAGTCTAAGTTACCTTAGTTTTTTACCTACAATATTGGGATGTTTTGTGGTGATGATGTCAAGAAGAATTTTCAAGGGGTGTGGGATATACTTAGACCCTTTTACTTACATCGTGTCTTCGGAGAGATAAGATGTTGTTAGCCTGTTATCTTGTCACTTTTTTTACATTTGGACTCTGCTACTGCAAGGACACAGACTTGGGTATCCTTTAATCCATATACCTGTTTTTTTCCTATCTGCCAAAGACGTTCTCCCATTTCCAACTATTTGAATCCTTGTACCTAGTAGCTCTAGGGAATTATTCTCTAGAATCAGCCTTGGGAATACATTTGTACCCAGAATAAAGGAACAAGCAGAAGTCTCAGTACCTTTGCAAACAGGCAGAGGAGACCACTTGACTGTAATTCATATTAAGCAGCCATAGAACTATAGAAGGTCAGAGTTGTAAGGAACCTTAGAAATCATGTCCCTTTGGTTTTCATTCATTCATTAAATGATTTGAGTGCCAAGTGCCATGCTAAGCAGTTTGCAGACTTCTTAAATCTGAAGAACCCTGTCTTAGAGTAAAAGTAATAATCAGAGCTGTATATAAAATAAGAGCTCAGAGTTGCTCTGACTAAAAGGGAGAAGAGATGGAACCAAAATCTTTTGTCAACTACTACCCTTTCTTTGGCCATCCCTGTTTAGGCTCTGTAGAACTTCCAGGGCTCCATAGAGCACACTTGACAACCTCTGATGGGACCCAGCTTTTTTATCCTACATAGAGGAAACCAAGTCCCGAAAGACAGAAGTACCTTGCCCGAGTTCACGAAATTGATTGAATTGCCCTGACTCCCTGCTCTTTTACATCACAGCCATTAAGATGAAAAGGAATTTCTTAGCTGAGAAAATTGAGAGGTTTTTCCCTTCTGCCAGTTATTTGATAGAGGGAGGGTGGTGGTTGGTGGCAGAGTACAATGAGTGGATTGGCCTGTATGAGGTCAATGCTGAAAGCCAGTTTTTTTGTTTGTTTGTTTGTTTTTGTTTTTGTTTTTAAGACAGTCTTGCTCTGTTGCCCAGGCTGGAGTGTAGTTGCACAATCTTGGCTCACTGCAACCTCCACCTCCTGGGCTTAAGCAATTCTCATGCCTCAGCCTCCCGAGTAGTTGGGACTACAGGCATGCGCCACCATGCTGGCTGATTTTTGTGTTTTTAGTAGAAATGGGGTTTCACCATGTTGACCAGGCTGATCTCGAACTCCTTACCTCAAATGATCCACCCACCTTGGCCTCCCAAAGTGCTGGGATTACAGACTTAAGCCGCCATGCCAGGCAGAAAGCAAGTTTTGAGCATATCATCAGTCCTAGAAGTTACTCCCTTTAGAATAGTGTTAAAGACAAGGGGAGGCCGGGCACAGTGGCTCACGCCTATAATCCCAGCACTTTGGGAGGACGAGGCAGGCGAATCACTTGAGGTCAGGAGTTTGAGACCAGCCTGGCCAACATGGTGAAACCCCGTCTCTACTAAAAATGAAAAAATTAGCCAGGCATGGTGGTGCATGCCTGTAGTCCCAGCTACTTGGGAGGTTGAGGCGCGAAAATTGCTTGAACCTGGGAGGCGGAGGTTGCAGTGCACGGAGATTGTGCCACTGCACTCCAGCCTGGGCGAAAGGTGAAGGGAGGAGATGAGGAAACCTGCTTCTTTGAGTATGAGATGAGACAAGGTATATATGAGAGTTAAGATTAGGAAAGAGAAGAAAAGGATATAACCTTATAAATCAGGATTATAACAAAAAGTTCCTTAAACCTGCTCAAGCTCATATCAGCCAAATGTAAATATATTCAGTTCCCTTAGAAATTATGACGGTATTTAAGATGTGTTGCCCACATATTATGTTATCTTGGTCACAGGGACCCTAGAGTGGATTGCATTTATTTCAGTTCTCTTTTACGGTTCATGGCTTTTGAGGGTGAGTATATGAATCTGTCCAACCTCTCAATTAATGTCTCTTCATCAAAGAAATTTTTTCCATCATCCAAAACCCAGGCTATGAGGGGATGCTCATAGTGGTTTCCATTCCCACCTCTGCCTGTCTAAATGGAAATCTAAAGTGTGGAAACAGCGTTGGTTGTGTTGGCTGCACTTCTCTGTAATGAGACTTTTGTTCTAATTGTGTCCTGCTGCTTGACGGGAAGGTTCAAATGGGCATTTGCCACCTCAGTTTATGTCATAAGTTGGAGTGTGTGGATGTTTTTTTCAATTAGAACATTGGCAGGAACATTGAATCAGAACTTTCCCACTGATATCTCTGCTCTTTTTACATCAGGCCAGAGGTAGACATCAAGTAATAAACTAGATCAGAGCATGCTGGCTGGAAGTGCTGGGCTTTCCCTGTGGCTGGCTTCTCCACTTCTGTATCACAAAAGACCATTTTTATTATTTTTTCCTATAGATTCTTTTTTCTTCTTCTTCTTTTTTTTTTTTTTTTTTGACAGCTCTGTCACCCAGGCTTGAGTACAGTGGCACAATCATAGCTCATGGCAACCTAGAACTCCTGGGTAGCTGGGACTACAGGTGCTCGCCACCATGCCTGGCTAGTTTGTTGTTTTTTGTTTTTGTTTTGTAGAGACAGGGGTCTCAGTATGTTTCCTAGGCTGTTGTCAAACTCCTGGGCTTAAGCAATCCTCCTGATCAGCCTCCCAAAGTGTTGGGATTACAGGCGTGAGCCACTATGCCTGGCCATCCTATGGATTCTTTACCTTAAAACATTTTATCTGTCAAACAGACTGGTTTATTAAATTGTAATAAATTTATGCTTAAAGATATAACTACCACTGAGCACGGTGGTTCACACCTGTAATCCCAGCACTTTGGGAGGCCGAGGCGGGTGAATCACAAGGTTAGGAAATCGAGACCATCCTAGCCAATGTGGTGAAACCCCATTTCTACTAAAAATACAAAAATTATCCAGGCGTGGTGGCGGTTGCCTGTAGTCCTAACTACTCAGGAGGCTGAGGCAGGAGAATCACTTGAACCCGGAGGGCAGAGGTTGCAGTGAGCCGAGATCACACCACTGCACTCCAGCCTTGGCGACAGAGCAAGAATCTGTCTCAAAAAGAAAGAAAGAAAGAAAGAAAGAACTACCAATCATAGCTTATGGTTAACATGAAATATTAATATTACCTCATTTAATTTACTTAATTAAAAGGAACCTGACATTTTAGTAAAGTAAATCTTATCTTGTAGAAATTGATGATTTCCTTCCATGTTTTTGAAATACAAAAACTTCTGGATCTTGTTCCTCTGAGGGCATGTAATGGTGAGCCTGGATGAACTATAAAATGCAGTAATTCCCAAACATTGAAGGATTACATAATGTAACTTATGTGAATATATGGTACCTGTCTTGTGGTGCAATCTCAAAAAGTATTGCTTGAATCCAAATCTGTAAACTTCTAATGACTCTTAACAGAAATTTGCAGAGCATCCTCCAGCTTTCCTGTTTAAACCTACCTTCTATCCACAAATTGCTGCTAGTTCCTACCACTTCCCCATTCAACAGACCCTTCTTACCTCTCTCTTTCTTATATGTGTCCCTACTGTCCACCTGATCTCTTTTATAAACTGATTTGAATACGTCTCCCATTCAAATATTCTTTTACCGCTTGTTAGAAGACATTATAAACTTACTGTTATGAATGAATATGTAAAACAATGACAATTTTTTTTAAATAACCACTTTTCCACCTGGTTTTTTAGTCTATTCTGTGATTATTTCTAGTCATTCTATGTGTGTGTGCCTGTTGGTTATTAATCTGAGTCCTGCTCAAGTTACACTAGGATGTCTATCAGTCTCCTCCCAACAGAATATGCGTTTATGACTGTCTAGCACTCTAATATTACTCGTCTTGTTTGTTTATGTTCACTCTGTGGTTGTAATATTGACCATTGGCTGGGCGCGGTGGGGTTCAACGCCTGTAATCCCAGCACTTTGGGAGGCAGAGGCGGGCGGATCACGAGGTCAGGAGATCGAGACCATCCCGGCTAACACAGTGAAACCCTGTCTCAACTAAAAAAGAAATACAAAAAATTAGCTGGGCATGGTGGTGGGTGCCTGTAGTCCCAGCTACTCAGGAGGCTGAGGCAGGAGAATGGCGTGAACCCGGGAGGCGGATGGTGCCTGTAGTCCCAGCTACTCGGGAGGCTGAGGCAGGAGAATGGCATGAACCTGGGAGGCGGAGCTTGCAGTGAGCCGAGATCGCGCCGCTGCACTCCAGCCTGGGCGACAGAGCAAGACGCTGTCTCAACAACAGCAAAAAAATACTGACCATTTTAGGGCTATGTTAGATGCCAGAAATATTTATATGACTAAATACATCTTGGAGATTAGGATTTGAGGGAGTGATGATGCATTCTTGTT
Source organism: Homo sapiens (assembly GCF_000001405.40). NCBI lineage: Eukaryota > Metazoa > Chordata > Mammalia > Primates > Hominidae > Homo > Homo sapiens. The sequence continues at coordinate 122,256,978 of NC_000009.12, read as the reverse complement.
TATGGAATTAGCAGATTCCAAACTTATGTTCTTTCCACTATATTCTGATTCCTGTCAACTATATTATATGTAATAATTTCTTACCTATAGAATAAGAATGTTCAGCTAAATGATCTGAGCATTACTTCTAGCTCTAGACTGCATGAGTCTGTCTTACATAACCCCTTAAAACTTTGTGAGGGAAGTGGAACAGATATTATTTTCCCTATTATATAGGAAATGAAGAGTGAAGTGAGTTGGCTTAGTATACTGAAGTAATGATAATTTCCACCACCTAATTTAGTGTTTTTTTGCACAAATATTCTAATTTTTGAACAGTCACAACCAAAAGTATCCTATTTTAAATCTTAAAATGTAAGGTTTTCTTTTTCTTGGTTGTGAGACCCAATCTAACTGTAAGCATAAACAATACCTCTGAATATCATTATAAGTGCCATCCACAAAGAAGCTGAAAAACTTAATGACCTCAGACATTATCTATTTTCTACACTGTGGTTTTCTTTCTAAAAGGGATAATACCGACTTTCTTTTACAAGTATTAGATGTGCTGTGTAAAATGCCAAAGTCGTAGCCGCTGTATTATGCATATAGAGGTATGAAAGAGAACAAAGCCCATAGAAACGCTAATAGAAGGAGGAATCTGAGTGGAGGGAAAATCGTAAATAAAGGCCTATAAGTACTAATAAGAAAGATTGTTATGTGTTAAGTAGAAAATGAGGAAGATCTTTCTGACTTAAGCAAAGTTTGAATACTGGATGGGAATGAAAATAGTGGCTGCATAGATAGAATACTCTCAGGTTAAGACAGGGTCTTTAAAATTCATTCAGACAAGCCTGAATTTCATGAAAAAGAAACTCATTGTGGGTGTTTAGCAGGAGGCTGACATCATGAAAGTGATGTGGGTTTGGTTTTTGTTGTTGTTGTTGTTGTTGTTGTTGTTTTCTTTTTGAGACAGAGTCTCACTCTGTTGCCCAGGCTGGGGTGCAGTGGCTCAATCTCAGCTCACTGCAACCTCCACCTCCCAGCCTCAAGCAATCCTCCCACCTCAGCCTCCCAAGCTCAGGCAATCCTCCCACCTCAGCCTCCCGAGTAGCTGGGAGTACAGGCATGTGCCACCACACTCAGCTAATTTTTTTGTAGAGACGAGGTCTCACTATATTGCCCAGGCTAGACAATGATGTGTTAGTAGAGAAATTTTACATCGATATGCAGGATGAAGGGCAGAAATTGAAGATGAAGATTAGCTAAGAGAGATCGCCATGAACCAGTCTGGCCATCGATTATCACCTAGATAGAGACAGTGAACTTGGAGACTGATGAGTGAGTCTGAGAGATGAGGAAAGTGATTGAAATGGAGTGGAAGGTTGAGGTGATCCTGAGGTTTCTTGCCTGAGGAATATAAAAAGATCTTGTTCCCCCTGACCAGAGGGATAGCTGGAAGGATCATCAGTTTGTGGCAGGGAGGGATTCAGTTTGGGGTGTGTTAAGCAAAGTTAAAAGCAGTGGAGAGCCATCCAGGTGGAAATGTCCTCCTGGTACAGACTTTCAGGGATAAACTAGGTAAGCTGGAATGCAAGGGAAAATAAATGCATGAGCATGCAAGAACAGTGTGTTCACCCCCGAAGAAACCTGTTTCTCTCTCAGTCCATACCTTATGTCTCCTCATTGTCCATACTTCTTTTTATGTCTTGGTTTACATGAAACAGCCTTCACTGTTTGGTTACTTAAATTGGAAGCACAATAAGACCATATAATAATGTACTTATCATAAAACATAAAGACCCATCTCATAGTAATTTCTATATCCATTTATAAAGAAAATTTTCTCTACAACAAATTGTGCATCAAAAATAATATTAAATGTCATTTCATGGGCTTCCAATTGCCTACAACCCGAAATTAAAATTCCCTCAGCCTACGACATCCTTCACAACCTGTCCTCTGCCTACCTTTCAGCCCCATCTTACTGGCTACCCCCACTCTACTCCAATGGATCAGACCCTTTTTCACCTTTGTCTTTAGTACTCACTCACACTGACACAACCCAGTCAGATATCACTCCTTTCACAAAGCTCTCCTTAACCACCACCTTCCTTGTACCATTGGTCTTCATTCTGTGTGCTCGTATTCATCCCTCTGTGTACAAGCATCCCATTGTTTTGTAATTGTTTGATTACATCTCTCTCTGTCTTAACTAGAATGTGAGGTTCTTGAAGGCAGGAACCTAGTTTTATTCATCTGCATAGCCCATAAGCCTGCTTGGCTCTAGACACATTGTAGGTATCTATTTTAACATGTGTATAGATTAATTATTTCTGTGCCATTAGGCAGAAAAGCTGTCTTAAAGACCAATTACAGAAAACACTGATTAAGTTGCAGATATGTGTGTGGGGCTGGTGTGCTAATTTTCCAGCTCCTGAAGGCTGCAGGGCGCACATTTCATTAAGTGAAGCAAGCCTCTGCTGAGTAGTGTGCTCTCCCGCACTTCAGCAGCAGATAAAAGTGCTTGCAGATGTGAAAGCAAGATCCTTCAGGCTTTTTTCACTATCAGAGCCTGCAGTCCCCATCTCCAGGAAGCAAAATAGTAAACATTTCATTCCTTTTGTTTCAGTGTTCCGATAATTTTAAGAAATTATCAAACAAGAAAAGAAATCCTGGAGAAGTTGAAAGACACAAACCTAAGCAGATGTTCCTGGAATCTTAAGGTCACACTTCTTGGGCAGAATGTGTTTGTTAGCTTTACAAAGAGTAATCTTTTGTTGGTGTGTGTGTTTTTTTTTTTCTGAGTAAATTAAAATTCATTTCTTAGGAAATGCCAATCGTGTTACCTTCCTGCTTCTAAGCAGAATGGAGCTAATGAAAAGATGACCAGCCCACAGTAGCCTTAGATTGTCTTTTTTGTTTTTTTTGTGTGTGTGTGTTTTTGTGGGTTTTTTTTCTTTTTTTTTTTTGAGACGGAATCTTGCTCTGTCGCCCAGGCTGGAGTGCAGTGGTGCGATCTCGGTTCACTGCAACCTCTGCCTCCCGGATTCAAGTGATTCTCTTGCCTCAGCCTCCTGAGTAGCTGGGACTACGGGCATGCGCCACCATGCTTGGCTAATTTTTTTGTATTTTTAGTAGAGACAGGGTTTCACCATGTTAGTCAGGCTGGTCTCGAAGTCCTGACCTCAGGCAATCCACCCACCTCGGCCTCCCAAAGTGCTGAGATTACAGGCGTGAGCCACTGCGCCTGGCCTAGATTTTTTTTTTTTTTTTTTTAAGAATAGGTTTGACTCCCCATTCTGTGGCAACTGGCACGGTGTTAAGATTTGAATAGGCTTAGTAATTTGAAGATACAGCTGTGAATTAAAGACCCTGGGGGAGACTCTTCTCGCCCATCTTTGTGTGTGAGAGACTCACCCTTGCTGTAAGCCTGTTCAAAAAGTCAAGTAAAACCACACATTTGCACTTAAGGTGTCTTCGTTTCCCCTGAAGTCACTTCCTACATTCTCTCTAGTGGTTGAGGTGTCCTGATGGGAGTTGGGAAGTTAGAAAGTAGGGGATCATGGTGGTTTTACCTTTCAAAATAGACCAGATTAATATCCACAATATGCCTTGGGATCCTTGCATTTGTCCCAGTACTAAACCTGTATTATGTCTTTCTTGTTCCACTGTGTCAGACACTTGATCCAGGATATTGGACTTGCTTGTTGATGTGCATTAGTATCAAATTTAGTATAGTGTATGGTCCATTTCATATCTTTCTGCCTCCCAAAGGAAATTCTTGCTCAAGAATAAAATTTTGATGAGTTTCTCTTAGAAAACAATGTGAATATAAATGTGGCTATAACGACAACTTTACTGACTCCCTGTGGGGTAGAATTCCCAGTAATAACAGATTTAGCATGTGGGCTGATACCTTTTTAGTATCACAGGGACAGCATTGTTTAGAGAAAGCCTTGACTCCATTTGAATAGCACGGAGGATGCCAGGAGGAAGGCCAAAGGGAAAGGAAACGGGAGAGCTGTTGGTTTGTCTCACCCCCACATCAGATGACAGGAAGTCGGAATTGAGATTGGCCGCAGCAACCTGTTAAGGCCACATCTGTTTGAATAACTTAAAAGCTCTGTAGAAACCAAGTAAGTTTTGGAGTAAGAAATTTAATAGAGGATGAAGGGCAGAGTAGTGGTAAGCAATAGCTTGGAGTGAACATCCTGCCAGGAATAAATTTCTCCCTTGACCATCTGTATTCTTTACTTGACCGTACCCTAGAGTATAAACTGTTTTAAGGCAACTGAGGTTGGTTAGTTACCCATAGCTGGGTGATTTATAGGACTGGCCAGGTTCCCCTGCCCTTTGTGAAACCGGCCTCAGTCACATAGTTGTTCCACATTGTCCTCATGTTCAGTCACATCAGTCATTGAAACTCTCAAGTGCTGTGGAAGTATCACTAGCTGTGGTTTGATTAATGGCAGAGTTTCTCACAAGTGCAATTTGGGTCTAAGAATTAACTACAAAATCTAATAGGAAGATCTTCCAGGACTGTTTGTTTGTTTGTTTGTTTGCATGAATGCATATATGTTTGTTACTTTATTTTTGAGATAGGATAGGCTTTGTCTTTTGGAGAATGGGTGTGTGTTTCTGATGGAGTTATAGTTATTCACAAATGCCATTTCATTGCCAAGGAATTAAAAATAAATAAATCAACACTATTTTTGAGCTTTTCTCCAAAAGAAAAACAAATAGTGCTTGTAGGCCAGACAGCTGTTTGTAAGGTGTGGTTTTTTTGTTTGGTATTTTTGTGTTGGACAGATGCATAGCCATGACAATTCTAGTTCCCATACCAAATAGAGGCAAACAACTCTGTTTGCCAAATAAACTAACATAGCAGTTTAGAGGAAGGCAGGGGGCTGGGGCGAGAGATTTCATCCCTGGGGTAAATTATCTCCTGCTTTTATCTCACACTTCAGGCTGAGTGGCCAACAGAATTCCCAGAGCATACTCATGGACTCTTCTTTCTCCACAGATACCACCTCCTCAAGCTCCTCCAGAAGTTTGGCAAGGTAAAGCAGTTTGACTTCCTCTTCCACAAGTCAGGTGCTTTGGAGGGACAGCCTCGAGGCTACTGTTTTGTTAACTTTGAAACTAAGCAGGTAATTAAGCTTTCTCCCCATTTTATAATATTTATCAAGCTCTGTCATAATTATTTGTGCATGTCTCTTGCCTACTAGAATAGCAGTTCCCTGTAGGCAGGAGCCATGTCTGATTCATCTGTGTGCCTTACACTGAGTCCTATAAGGGATCCTCAATAAACAAATGAATTAGTGGCTTTCACAATTCACTGTCCCTTGGCCAAAGTTTAAGGCAACTGACTCACCTACATTTTTGACCAAATGCACTGGGATGCCCACATCGAGCACATGTACATCCCCCTCCCTATTCTCTTTTGTTTGTTGCTTTACTGGCTGGCCAACTGACAAAGCCTTCTTTTCTTTCAGTAGTTTTGTCCTGTGGTACAGAAACCTATCTGTGATGAGACACCCACAAAGACTCTTTTGTTATTTCTTCTCAAGGTCTCAGAACAAATGCATATAAATTTTAATGTATGTAGAAGAGCGCATTCACCTTCAACCATGATATATACATGGATCTCCTTGTATTAAAATTTAGTCCTTGAAGTGGAAGTGCATTGATAAAGAAATTGAATTTGATTGTTACTAAATGTAGAGATGCCGCATAGTACTTATAAATTTATTCATCATATGTAAGAACATTGCATAGTTAACGTTATATTAATAATTTAGGCCTGGCTCACACCTGTAATCACAACTACCCTGGAGGCTGAGATGGGGAGATTGTTTGAGACCAGCCTGGGCAACATAGTGAGACCCTGTCTCTAAAAAAAATTTTTTTAATTATGTGTGATGGTGCACCTATAGTCCTAGCTACTTGGGAGGCTGAGGCAAGAGGATCACTTGAGCCCAGGAATTCAAGGCTGCAGCAAGCTATGATCACACCACTATACTCCATCCAGCCTGGGCGACAAAGCAAGACTCCATCTCATAATAATAATAATAGTAATAATAATAATAATAATTTGTATGAGTGTTTTTTTATTATAAAATTAATGTGTGAATATTATAGATGAAAATATAGATAACTGAGAAAGAAAATGTAAATCACTTGGCCTAATACCCAGAAATAATCACTGTTAACACTTAGTCATATATCTTTCCAGTCTTTTTGTTTCTTCACATTCACACACACATAAACACGTTACACAGTGTTGTAACACACAAATGGAATCATATTATCATGTTTATCATTCAAAGTATACTAAAATTTTTCTACCATTTAATCACATCAGGGTGACATTCTGTATCTTGATATTGTGGTTTCACTGGTGTTTGTATGTACGTGTGTGGAGGGGAGTAAAATCATTAATCTGTATTTGAGATTTGGGCATTTTATTGTATGTGACTTAGACTGCATTTAAAAACTAATCATTTTTGATGACTACATAATGTGAATATATCATATTTGACTAGTCCCCAATTGTTAGCTATTTGGGTTGTTTCACTGGTATTTGGGTTGATTCACTAGTATAAATATCACAAGAGTGAGTATTTTTACAGCTCTAATTATGTATATCTGCCACATTTGGGGAGATGGAATGGCATCATCAAAGTCCATGCATAGTTTTTCTTAATAAAACTGCCAGATTGTCTTCAAGAAATGATATATCAGTATGTTCTGAGATTGTATGGTAGTGTCATTTCTCCTTGCCAGTGCTGGGTATTTTTTATTTCCTCTAATTTTTGTACATATGATAGCCAATAAATAATACATTGTTACTCTAATTGTTCAAGTATTTTGAGGGAAGTGAAATAATGCAATATAGAATATAGAATTAGCATTCTTTTTTTTTTTTAAATAAGGTCTTGCTCTGTTACCCAGGCTGGAGTGCAGTGACACAATCATGACCCACTGCACCCTTGACCTCTGGGTTCAAGTGATCCTCCCACCTCAGCCTCTGCAGTAGCTGGGACTACAGGCACATGCCAGCATGCCTGGCTAATTTTTGCATGTTTTGTAGAGATGGCATTTCACCATGTTGCCCAGGCTGGCCTCAAACTCCTGGGCTCAAGCCAACTGCCCTTCTCTGCCTCCCAGAGTGCTGGGATTCCAGGTGTGAGCCACCACACCTGGTCAGCATTTTTAAATATTTTATTCTTTCTTAATGATAAAATGAAGTGTGGTGAGAATTCTTTTTGTTGTTGTTTTTTTTTTTGAGACAGGGTCTCTCTTTGTCATCCAGGCCGGAGTATAGTGGCACGATCACAGCTTAGTGCAGCCTCAACTTCCTGGATTCAAGCAGTTCTCCCACCTCAGCCTCCCAAGTAGTTGGGACCACAGGCACACACCACTACCCCAGCTAATTTTTGTATTTTTTGTAGAAGCGGGGGTTCGCCATGTTGTCAGGCTGATCAAACTCCTGGGCTCAAGCAACCAGCCTGCTTCGGCCTCCCAAAGTGCTGAAATTACAGGCGTGAGCCACCATGCCCGGCCTGGGAATTGTTGCAGACAACTAAAATCAGTGATCATGTTGGGCATAGATGTTGGTTTAAAAACACTGGGTTAGGATACAAAGCCTAGTTTATATTTCTGGCTCTTTTATTTATTAACTTTGAGCAAGTCTCCTAACTTCTTTTGGCCTCAATTTTCCATCTAAGAATGGAGATTAAAAATACATATCCTTCTTACCTTATGGGAAGTTGGGAGAATAGATGAAAGTATAAAAAAAAAGTAGACATTTAATAATATTTTTAAATATATGAACTTTGAAATAATTTGTACAGGTAGGAAATTATTTTAAAAAAAACATTTAAAAATAAGATGCCCCTGCTGGCAGCTTATTACTGCTCCTACTTTGGAACTAATAGAGTGCTCTATGAGTTCTCATTCACCAAATGAAGCTTAAAGGAATAAAATATTTCTTACCTGTCACTCTAGCTTTGTGTGCTGTAGTGGGGCAAGGATGATTAGTGAATATCCAATGCCTACTACACAGTGAGAACTCAGTAAATATTTGTTAAATGTCATACTGGTAGGTTCTGGAGGAACAAGAGAATCACCAGTAAAACCAGACTGGAATGCCAACTGGCTTCTATAGCCTCTCCCGCTCCCTGGGACATCCTGTTCCTCCTCTGTTCCTTAAGGGCTTCTTCACCCTCACTAAACATGGGTTACACTTGGCTGAATGCCTCATGGATGCAAATGGGGCAAAGAAGGTTTGGCAGGATGGAAAGTACAGCCAGGTTTCCTGGGAATGACCTAGAGTGACTGTTAGCCAGCTTCAGGAATTCCTTTCAACCGTATTACTCCTCTGTCTGATGGGGAAAGGGTCAAGGAACTTTCGGCTCTGAAAACCAGGTGCATAGATTGACTCACACAGATACCTTGCTAACGGTCTCTTTGACTCACTCCTGCTTTTTCCGGCCTAGTTTCCTTGACTCCCATGCCCTTTAAAGCAATTATTCCTCACTATGAATCCAGGGAGTATGCCCTAGTCCAGGATATGGTTCCAGGGCCCTTGCGGGGAGTACAGTTTCTTGACATAGGAGGTGCTACCCTACCTAACGGAAGTGCATATATGTCTATCACCTAATAGGAACAGCACTATTACTAACATATGTTAAGTGCATATCATATACTTCATGCTTTACATTCTTTGAGTCCTCACAACCACTGAGGAATAAGTATCCATATTATCTATTAAAGATTATACATTATTTATCTGTATTTTACAGTTGACAAAGCTAGAGACACTTAAGTGACCTGCCAAATAGCATACTGCCAGCAAATGGCAGACCAGGATTTGAATTTTTGTCTGACTTTAAAAAATTCACGCCCTTAGCCAGGCGCAGTAGCTCACGCCTGTAATCCCAGCACTTTGGGAAGCCGAGGGGGCGGATCATTAAGTTGGGAGATTGAGACAGTCCTGGCCAACATGGTGAAACCCCGTCTCTACTAAAAAATACAAAAAAATTAGCCAGGCGTGGTGGTTCATGCCTGTAGTCCCAGCTATTCGGGAGGCTGAGGCAGGGGAAGCGCTTGAACCTGGGAGGCGGAGATTGCAGTGAGCCGGTATTGCACCACTGCACTCCAGAGCCTGGCGACAGAGCAAGACTCCATCTCAAAAAAAAAAAAAAAACAACAAAAAAACCATGCCCTTTTTAAAATTCTGCCTTGTAAAATTGTAAACCCTTGCCAGTTATTTACCAAAAACAATTTGTTAGAAACTCAGCCATCAAAGCTAGTGAAGCCCTGTGAGAATACATATAGCTAGTTAAGCATTTCAGTTTTTAACTAACATTTGTCCCTTTCCTGGACAGGAAGCAGAGCAAGCCATCCAGTGTCTCAATGGCAAGTTGGCCCTGTCCAAGAAGCTGGTGGTGCGATGGGCACATGCTCAAGTAAAGGTACGTCTGAGAGGCTAGAAAGACATCAAGCCTCATCCTAAACAAGCCTTCTGAAAGATGGTTGTCCACTTACCCGTTTATGTCCCAATCTCTTCACACCTGAAACAGCCATACTTCAGTCTCCTACTTGTATCTACCATGTGTGTTGCCCGATTTTTCTTTTGAAAACATCTCGGGAGGGATTAAGTTCCTTGGTTATTTCTCTCCACATGCCCACTGATCCTGGTTTTGATTTTCTCATGTGGCTAATGTGTACGCTCAGACCTCTGTCATTTCTTCGGGTGGAGGGTTCTTTGGAGGAAAATATATATTTATTTTTAAAATCAGTTGCTCTAGGCATTATTAGACTCTTCCCAGCCTTTGACTCTGTGGAGATTTGAATTTGTTTATTCTAAACGCTTGAGACATGGGTAGTTTCTGTGAGTGCTTAAAGCACTGGCATCTCCTTACTCCAGAAATCTTGGGAGTTACTAGGGTGTGGGTTCGTGGGACTTTGCAGTGTCTGTATTGTGTCTAAGTCCTGAGAAGTAGCAGGCTGCCCTGTTCATTCTGTAATTAGTCTCCTGGGAGAATGCGCTAGAAAAGCTTCAGCCATTAAAAAAAACAAAACAAATGGCATTCTGTTCCAGCTGGCACAGAGGTGGTAAAGTGTGTTGACTGGAGCGTTCCCAAGAGTTGATCTGCCTCCTTCTGCAGTGGGGACTTGAAAAACCTGCCTGCACAAAGATTTGTGACAGTTTTGAGTTGGAGCTGAAATCTTTAGCTCTAAGCATGGTTTTTGATCAGAGGCTCTCTACCCCACTCCCCAACAAACTTCCCAGTAAAGAGTCACAGAGACTAAACAAGACATTTAAGCTCAATGTCCAAGCTGAAAAACTAAGTTCAGATACTTTAGATCCTTCTGAGTATTTCAGGTAATCACAGAGCCTTCTCAATTTCTAGGACACATTGCCTTAAAAATAGAAACAACAAGGAGAATTACCAAATGCTTTTTTACTCAAGGGAAAATCAAGTCTCATTTACCAAACTCGTTTTCTCGTTCTGCATCTCATTGAAAAGGCACGCAAGAGAAATCATCCTCCATTCCTGTCTTTCATTTGAAAATCTCTGTGCCTCACGGTTCTCTTCTCCTATAAATCTTTTTTGACCAGAGGCTCTTGATTGCTCTTCAATATTATATTTGCTTTTTACAAGAAGTATGTAATTATCTGGCTAGGCATGGTGGCTCATGCCTGTAATCCCAGCACTTTGGGAGGCTGAGGCAGGAGGATCGCTTCAGCCCAGGAGTTCAAGACCAGCCTATGCAACATAGTAAGACCCTGTCTTTATTTTTTCTAATAAAATTTTAAAAGAATAAAAAAGTATGTAATTATCTGGCATCAAATTAAACTACTACTTTACTGTAGAATGTTTTCTGTATCAACAACTGAAAGCTGTTACAACTTTTATTCTTCACTCAGGCCTGTTAAGAGTTGAATATTATGCTTGGTTGGTACTTTGCAAAATTTAAAGGTTTTTTGTTTTTTGAGATAGGGTCTGGCTGTGTCACCCAGGCTGGAGTGCAGTGGCAAGATCTTGGCTCACTGCAACCTCTGCCTCCCAGGCTCAAGCAATCCTCTTACCTCAGCCTCCTAAGTAGTTGGGACTACAGGCATGTGCCAGCATGCCCGGGTAATTTTTGTTTTTTGTTTTTTTTTTTTAAATAGAGACAGGGTTTTTGCCATGTTTCCCAGCCTAGTCTCAAACTCCTGAGCTCAAGCAATCTGCCCACCTTGGCCTCCCAAAGTGCTGGGATTACAGGCGTGAGCCACCGCGCCTGGCCAGTTTAAAGTATTTTTAATAAAATAAATATTGTAAGAGGTGATATGTGACAGTTAAGAATATAAGAAGGCCACCCTCCTGTGTGTTTGTACCATCTGAGATATTGAAAGTTGACATTTTTTTCCTACCAAATAAGGAGGAACTGATGGCTGGATGGAAGCTTCTTTTTCTAAACTTACAGCTTTTAGGCCAAAACCATGTGAAGTTTTTCATTAATTCTAAGTGTAAAGTGGTCCTAAAATTGTCTAGAAGTAAGCTGATGATATACTGATGGTATTAGTTTCTGAACCCATCCACTACAGTAAAGGGCTGGTTTCTGCCCATGTGAAGTAATTTCTCTATTTCTCATTTTCAGAGATATGATCATAACAAGAATGATAAGATTCTTCCAATCAGTCTCGAGCCATCCTCAAGCACTGAGCCTACTCAGTCTAACCTAAGGTAAGATGATGTACTATAGAAAGACACAGTAATTCAGGAGCTTCAGCCATTTCATTATTCCATGTCTTCGTTCATAAAATAGTGAGTCTTCAGACTCTTAGAATTTATTAACTTGACAAGAGAGATGTTCAGTTAGTCTCCAGAATGTATACATTTCCTCTCCTTCCATCCACCTAAGGTCATATACTCCCCATTTACAGAATCATTCCCTCGAAAAAGACTGGGTGTAGCTACTACACACCAACCCTTGTGCTTGGCACTAAAATTACAAAGACAGGTCAGTCATTACCCTAAAAACAAGCATTTTAATAAGGCCTTGGGTCTCTTTGGCATTTGTCATTATATACTAATTTTTCCCCAATCTTAAGTTCCCTTATACAAAATTTTAGTTTGCAGATGTTTGATTCTATGTACCATTGCAACAGCCATAACAGTTTTGGTTCTAGTTTGTACAAATTGTTAGTTATTTGAAGTTTAAAACAGGAGAACTAAGGGTTGGGTAGAGGAAGGGGAAGTTAAGTGGATGGTTGAGCAGAAGTAGAAGGTGGGTTTTTTGTTTGTTTGTTTTTTGTTTTGTTTTGTTTTGCCTTGTAGCCTAGGGAGACATTTTAGCAATAACAATAACAATAGCCAGGATTTATTGAGCTTACGCTGAAGCAGGCACTGTGCTAAACACTTTATTTGCAGTGTGTCATTTACTTATGGCTGAGATCACACAGATGGCAAATAACACTCAGGATTTAAAGCCAGGTCTATTAGACCTCAAAATTCAGTCTTGTAGTTACTACTTCAAAGAAGCCCCAGGCTGTAAATGCAGGACTAAAACCTGTTCCGGGGCAGGGGAAGAAAATACGTGAAGGAGCATCAGTGATACATAAGGATCAGAAACCAACAATTCTAAAGTCAGGAAAGTGATGCCTATTTGGGTGGAGTACCAAGCAGGGGAAATAAATGCCTTTCTTGTATATTATCTGCACCAAACAAAACAGATTTACAAGCATCTCATTAAACCCAAGGGAAGGTGTTCCTGAAATGTTTTCAGGAATGGTAAATTGGTAAATTTAAATTCATTCTATAGTTATTCATTTAAGTTTAATATGATTTTTTTTTTTTATTTCGTGCTCTAGGGAATTAAGGGACTTCTGTAGAGTCACTGGGAGCATATATCCACTGTGTTATTTTCCTCATAAGATTTGAACCTCCTTGATCACAGATTGATTTCCATGAAGGTTTTCATAAATCTAACTAACTCCTATTTGAAAGAGATGACTGCATTTATGCTTGGTGGTCTTCATGTTACAATGAACATGTCTTTAGTTTCTTATGATTTGTATATGCCACTTGTTTACAAGATAGCCTAGGGTTTTCCATCTATTTTTTTATCCAGAGGACCTCAGCTTACATCTCTCTATTAACATCTATGCCTAATGAGAGAAGGTTGCTTCCCTGTGACTTATACAAAATCAGTGACCAGCTGTGGCATTAATGGAAGAGGGGCCAGAATGCATCTCGGTAATATATCAGTGTTCTTTTTCTTGTAACTTAGTTTTTAAATTTCTCGCCCATGTATACCTTTCGAGGATCTCCAAAAGCCCATGTATATACTCCTTCCAAGTTTCTCTCACTGGCCATAGACCATTAACGCATCAAGAATGGAAAATGAAGGTAGCCATAGGCCAAAAAATACCTACTCCCTGAGTGCTCTGCATTCTGATCCAGGGATAGCAATGATCTCAATCAAAAGCAAATTCCTCGCAACTTCTCTAAGATCTCCTCTCCCTTCCTGTACAATATAGGACTATTCAGCTCTTAACTTGATGGAGAAGAAAAAATGAGGGCTTTGGTGATGAGTTGAATCCTCACTACAGTTTGTTAACTGTGTGAACCTTGATCATATCACCACCTCTGCATTTGTTTCTGTATCTATAAAACATGCATGATAACCCATGTAGAGCCATTGCAAGGATTAAAAACATTATAAGTAGGTCGAGTGCAGTGGCTCATGCCTGTAATCCCAGCATTTAGGGAGGCTGAGGCAGGAGGATTACTTGAAGCCAGGAGTTCAAGACCAGCCTGGACAACATAGTGAGACTCCATCTCTACAAAAAAAGTTAAAAAAATCAGATGGGGCTGGGCGCGGTAGCTCACGCCTGTAATCCCAGCACTTTGGGAGGTCAAGGCGGACGGATCACGAGGTCAAGAGATTGAGACCATTCTGGCCAAAATGGTGAAACCCTGTCTCTACTAAAAGTACAAAAATTAGCTGGGCGTGGTGGCGCTTGCTACCTGTAATCCCGGCTACTTGGGAGGCTGAGGCAAGAGAATTGCTTGAACCTGGGAGGCGGAGGTTGCAGTGAGCCGAAATCACACCACTGCACTCCAGCCTGACGACACAGCGAGACTCCATCTCAAAACAAAAACAAAAACAAATTCAGATGGATGTGGTGGTGTGTGCCTGTAGCCCTACCTACTCACGAGGCTGAGGCAGTAGGGTTGCTTGAGCTCAGGAGTTCAAGGTTTTAGTAAGCTATGATGGCACCACTGTATTACAGCCTTGGTGGCAGAACAAGACCCTGTCTAAAAAAAAAAAAACAGTATAAGTAAAATGCACTGTGCCTGGCTCATTGTAAGCACTTTGTAAATGATAGTTTTTATTAACATGCATTCATCAGTAAAAAGAGATTGTATAGGATTTCCAGAATGTTTTTTTTCCATTTTTATTCAGTGATTCAGGTGAAACCTGGGCTTTTGAGTCAGTTTGTATTCAAATCTCTGCTCTATCGTTTACTTGCTGTGTAACATTGGGCAAATGAACCTTTCTGTGCCTCAGTTACATCATCTGCAAAATAAGGAATATAACCTATCTTATAATGTTGTTTTCAATTCTAAAAGAATTATTTTTAGTACCTACTCTCTGCCAAGCATTAAGGTGCTAACAGTGTCTGCGTCTGAGGATTAAATGTAGAACTATATGAAGTACTCCCAACAATGTCCAGGCTTATGTTAAAAACTTAATAGATGGCTCAGACTTGATCTGTTTCTTAGAATGAGAGAATTAGTTATTTCTGGCTTTTATATAAAATGTTTAAATGTCTGTAATTTAGTATCTTGTTGCGTCTCTAATATTCCCAAGAGGCTCAAGGAGAGGAACTGTACAGCTATTTTCTGAATATACCTAGGCCCACTCTGATCCTCTGCTATTATTTTTCCAGTGTCACTGCAAAGATAAAAGCCATTGAAGCAAAACTGAAAATGATGGCGGAAAATCCTGATGCAGAGTATCCAGCAGCGCCTGTTTATTCCTACTTTAAGCCACCAGATAAAAAAAGGACTACTCCATATTCTAGAACAGCATGGAAATCTCGAAGATGATGGTTGTGAATTACTGTAGCAGCAAAAGCAAATTGGTCTCCACACCTAAAATCGTCTGCCTGTGTACTTTGTAGATGTGAATGGTACTATTCAACGGAGCACAATCACATGTTAGCATTTGGTAACATAATGTTTTTGGATGTTCTTATGGATGTTTCTTCCCTAAACTATGTATGGAATTGAGCATCATCCAGAATAAATAGCGTTGTATCCCAAATTGTGATTTGAACCCTGGGATGCTCTAATTGGCTGGTTGGTTTGGATTTGTAACTCCAGAAACATTCTATAGTGTGCCAGAGCAAAAGGCAAATACACAAAATATTATTTAAATCAGGAAACTAAAAATATTAACATCTATTAAAAAATTGAGCATTTTTCTACGCTCGTGTGTCTTTTACAACATAAAGAAAAAGTAAAAGGCAGGGAGGGAAGTGAGAGACAGATTTTAAATCATGTTCAGAACTGTTGTTCCAGAATTTACTACGGCAATCCCTCCAACTGGACTGAAAAAGAGAAAGTTCTTGGCAAAAAGGAGCTGATTCTTTGAACAAATGTTGTAGTAATCTGTTTAAGAATTATGCTTATTGTTTCAAAATCCCAACTAGGAAAACATGGTGTATATCTTAAAATTGTTTGTGTTGACAAAACTAGAATCAAATTTAACATTTTATACCACAACACAAGTTCTATTTGGAAATTGAACTTTTATTCTATAGCAACCATTTTTTTCAAATCTAAATAACCATGCCTTCTATAATAACAAATGTTGCTATTATCATGGGACTTTTAAAATTACATTTATTGCATGGGATTGTTTTTATAGCATGAGAATGTTCTGTTTGGAATTATATCATGGTCAGTCTAAATAGAAAAAGCAAAATTTCTTTGAAAACCTAAACATTGCTATATTGGTCACTATCAAACATACAATTTTCTAATAATTGTGTAGCGGTCTAAGTGGAAGAGATTGCATTATCTTGTGCAGGACGAGGAGAGGACATGCAGTGGGCACAGAAAGTCAATGGAACAGATGCCACTGTGGCACCAAGACTGTAATGACTCTGTGTGGTAGGTAGTTTTAAAGGACTGCATGCCTTGGAAATGATTCTTCACTTGGAGAACATACTTGCCTCTAGATATGTTTGTCACTCTAAGCATCCTGAATATAACAATAGAGAAAGATAAGTCAACCAACAGATTTAGGGATGTGTTTCTTCAGCACATTTTGGTCATTTTGATGCCAAGTTTGACATACTGTTTAATTGGGCAGCACCTTTGCTCCTTTACCAGGTATGTATCACTTTGTTACTCCAGGTGCCATTCTTGGTGATGACAGAATGTTTATCACTATCGTTGTTAGCAAGAGGAAGCTTTCAATATAGGAACTTAACATCTTCCCATGAGTATAAATGAATTTAAGACATTTGAATCAAAACTTCAGTAGAGGGAGGTTTTAGAATTCATAAAACTGGTTTAAGGAAATTCTTTTTACTTTTCCCAAGGTTAATCTTTTTAAATATCTCTAGACATCAAATACTTTCTGTATGTATTAGCTGTGTCTGTCTATGATGCAAGTAACTCTCCTCCTATTTGGGGGATAGTTCAGAGAGGTAGGAGCATTATCTCCCATTTTTCTGGTGACTTCTTGGAGTATAGAATTCACCATTTTATCCGTAAGTCTTCAAAGGATTATGGTGGACTAGAACTTACATAGTGCAAAATAGTCTTCTATTTTTAATAGGAACTTAGAAAAAACTTAGAATTATATATAGAGTTGTTTCCTTTAGAAACCAGAGCTATTTATTTGTATTTAAAGCACTGTTTATTATTTGTACTGATTCTTATCCCTCTGTGTGAATAAATGTAAGACGGTGTCCGTGTGGTTATATCTTCTCTCGTTCACTTACTGGCATAGACTGCAGTTCTCTGACAGGCTTGTTTCCACTCAGGACTCTGGCCAGCATGTCCACGTGGGGTGCTTCTTCTAAGTGCCTTCTCTGCAGAGGGTTCTGGCTAGAGAGTCAAACTGAGAGGCAACTCTCTTTACCCTTTATGCCTGCCTACCTCTGTTGTTAGAGATGAGAATAGAGACCAGCTGTTTCCATTGCAAATGTCACTATTTGAAAAGAAGTTGTTAATGGAAATCTCTGCAAGTATCGTACTGTGTTTAGTCTCTCGTGGTAGAGATTTCAAAAGAAGAAATGTATGTATCCTAAATATGCTGAAAGCAGTCTGATGAAAGGTTTTTAAATTTCAGGTGTTAACTTGGTCAACTCTTTGTTAGGAGGTTGTCTGTACTTTAAGTAAAATTATTCTTTGGTTTACTGGTTATTTTGGTTTGCTAAAATTATGTCACTTATAATTTTGATTTATATACAAGAGTGAAGAATTGAAGGAAATACTGAGGAGAGACGTATGAACTATTTTCTTCATCTCAATTCCTATTTTATCAAATGCAAAATGTAATCCTAACCAGTTGATTTTCTATAATTGGTATCTTAGTACTGGGGAGGAGTATCACATGAGGAAAGATTTTTCAAAGCATGTCAGCTGAGGCACAAGAATCGCTTGAACCCAGGAGGTAGAGGTTCCAGTGAGCCGAGATTGTGCCACTGCACTCCAGCCTGGGCAACAGAGTGAGACACCGTCTCAAAAAAAACAAAAACAAAACAGGTCAAAAATCAGTTGCACAAGTTGTATGAAACCAGGTATTCTGCAGCTCTGTCTCTTGTTTATTAAGATATGCACAGTTTCTGAATCAACAAATATATCTGTGATTCTTTTATACTACTACATAAAAGAACAGGAGTAATTCTTGCCTTATAAATTAAATGTCAAACATTTCCTATATGTAATCATTTGTTCCTAAAATATGATTTAGTCCCAGCATGCTTATCCCTGTTTTCTCTTTTTCTCTCCAGCTCCTATCTAGTTCTTCAACAAATCCTGTCAACTCTACCTTCCAAATGCCTCTTGAATCCAGCCATCTCACCACCTCCAACACTACCACCATTTTTCTTAAAGCCACCATCATCTCTTCCCTGGACTATTACAATACCTTCCTAATTATCTCCCTGCCTCTGCTATTGATTCTTTAGGGTCCGTTTTCCACACAGTAGCCAAAGCAATTTTTAAAAAAATTATTTTAAAATGTGATTCTCTTCTTTGTGGCTTTCCATCACAGCCTAGAAAAAATTGAAAGATCTGTAAGGCCCTAATGACCTGTCCTTCACTACGTGTCTGACCCTATAGCCTACTGTTCTCCCCTTGTGCGGTGTACTGCAGCCACGTTGGCCTTCTTGCTATTCTTTGAATACAAGGGAGCTTCTACTTCAAGGCATTTACATTGGCTGTTGCCTTAGCTTAGAACGCTCTTTCTCCAGATAGCCGCAGAGCCCGCTCTCTCACCTGACTCATGTCTCTGCTCAAATGTTAATGATCAAGAGGCAGTCCCCGGCCTCCCTCTTAAAATTACAACCTGTCACTCTCCAATCCTTTCCTCACGATTTTCTCAAAAGCACTTACCGCTAACCAACATTATATCTAAATTTTTTTTTGTCTCTTTTTATTGGAATGTAAGTTTCATGTAAGCAGGAACTGTATATCACTGCTATACCCTCAGCATTTAAAACAATGGCTGTACATCATACATACTCAATAAATATTTGTTGGATAAACTACAAGAATTCTGGTATTTGAGAGCCAAAGGGCCTTAAGAGACCATCTCATATAGCCCCCTCATTGTCCAGATGGGGAAAACGGGAACCCAGAGAGACAAAGCGATTTGGCCAGGGTCACCTGGTTAATGGGAGAGCTTTAGGTAGAACCCAGGCCTGCAAACATCTAGTCCAGTGTTCAGCAAACTGGCCTCTGCCTCCTAATTTTGTATAGCCTACAAGTTAAGAATGATTTTTTTTTCATTTTCGAGTGGTTGAGAAAAAAAGTAAACAAAATATATATACTATATTGTGACATGAAAATGATACGAAATTCAAATCTCAGTGTATGTTAATAACTATTAGAACACAACCATGCCCAGGCATTTACATGTGGCTGTTTTCCCCATATAATAGAAGAGTTGAATAGTTGGCAATGAAGACTGTGGCCTACAAAACCTGAAATATATACTATCGGTCCCTTTACAGGAAAAATTTGCCAAACCCTACTCTAAACAATATTCCATGACTGGAAATGTGTTTTCTAAAATTCTCGTATTAATGCAGAGAATAAAAGCAACAGATGTCAGAATGATGTGCACCGAATATTGTTTCTTAGTCAATGTCTCTGACCCCTTACACATCTTTTGGGATAGAGAACTGGCTGTGCCAGCCCTAGTGGCATCACTGTACTGCTTAAGGCTATCAATGTGGGCTAAATCCTCTCATTGTCCCTGTGAGGAAACTAAGGCCGTAAGAACTTGGGCTTCAGATTTAGACTTGTAGCCCCAGCTATGTAAGCAGATTTGTCAGGACTCCCAGCTCAAGTGACAAAAACACTACTCCAACTCCCTTGCGGTAGAACATGTATTGGTTCATGTAACTGAGAAGTCCAGGTGTTCAGTGAAATGGTTAGGATTCTGTCTATCTCTTGATTGTGTTTTCCTCTGGGTTGGTTTCATTCTCAAGCAGGCTCTTCCTTGTGGTCTCTGGAGAGACCTCTTGAATCCCAGGTTAAAAAGAAAAAAACAAAAACCCAAAAAAAACAGATCTGTCAGAATTTATCCGAGTACGCAGGTCTGTGTCTTCTTTCCTCTGCATTCAATCTTAAACTTGGCTAAGATTACTGATTATGCTGAATGACATTTAATTTTTACATGCCCTGTGACTTTTCTAAACTAGAAGCATAATTTTAAATTTTCACCTTAAAAAACAAGTTATGTGTTCCTCTTCTGAAAACAGGCCTATCCCATTTGAGAAGCTTTCTGGTGGGCGACCTCATCAGAAGGAAGGTTACTCATTCCTGAAACAGATGGCATTTGCCATGTGTGATGCGTGGAGGGTGTAAAGATGATGAGGCAGGAGCCCTGTGCACTGTGATGTACCGTGATAAAGGGACGACTCAGCAGCTTCAAGACACCAGAGGATGGGAACCAGGCTGGGAATGGGACATGGTGACATAGGTGATTTCCCCCCGAGCTGAGCGGCCAAACGATGTTTAATAAGCTGCGTAAACGGTTTAAGGGGGACGTTGAACAAAGAACAAAGCCCCAAAGTGAGAGATATTAAGATTTAATCTAAGTAAGGAGTTAAGATACTTCCAAATACCTAGAACCATAGGATAAGCCAGGTTTATGAGGCCTTCTACAAATCAGTCCCACTAGGCATTCTCCTAACCAGACTAAACTATTTGTGCACCCTAAACATGATGGACTCTCCTGGATTCCCCTGTCCTTGTACAAGATGTGCCTTCTACCTGGGAAGTCCCTTCTGCCCACCCCCACCACTTGTCTAACAGATATTTTCCCACCCATGCTCATTCCTATAAGGCAGTTAATTGCCTTTCTGCGTCTTAACGACCTGGGTCTGTTTTAGCACTTATCACTACATATAATGTGCTTTATAATTTAAAAAACGATTCTCACCAAAAGTAAGATGAGTTTCAGGGGCAAATTACCTCCCAGAAAGCAAACAAGCCAACTCTCTTCTCATAGATGGGGTAAATTCCAGCTGCTGTAAAATCTCCACTTCCAAGGCTTCCGCTGCTATCCCTACCCTGATATCTCTGAAATTCCTTCTCTTAGATCCAGGCTCTCTTCTGAGCTGCAGAGCCATATGTCCCGTTCACTCCTGGGCACTTCCACTTGAATATTCCCTTGGTACATTGACTCAAAACCGAGCTCATGGATCCCTCTTGCCCTTCCTCAATTGCTCCCATGTTCTGTGTCACTGGGAAAAATAAAATAAACTATTAGAAACCTGAGAGTTATCTTGAACATTTTCCACTCCCCCACTCCCTATATCCAGTCTCCTAAATGTTATATAGCTGATGATATCATATATGATACATTTGTATGTATTTATACCATATATACTACATATATATGATTCTATATATAACCTTAATATGTAAAGTTGGTTAGACGTGGTGGCTCACGCCTGTAATCCCAGCACTTTGGCCAAGGCAGGCAGATCACTTCACGCCAGGAGTTTGAGACCAGCCTGGCAAAATAGTGAAACCACGTCTCTACTAAAAATACAAAAAATTGGCTGGGCACGGTGGCTCATGCCTGTAATCTCAGCACTTTGGGAGGCCAAGGCAGGCGAATCACCTGAGGTCAGGAGTTGGAGACCAGCCTGACCAACATGGAGAAACCCCATCTCTACTAAAAATACAAAATTAGCTGGGCGTGGTGGCACATGCCTGCAATCCCAGCTACTTGGGAGGCTGAGGCAGGAGAATCGCTTGAACCCAGGAGGTGGAAGTTGCGGTGAGCCGAGATTACGCCATTGCACTCCAGCCTGGGCGAGAAGAGCAAAACTCTGTCTCAAATAAACAAAAGCAAAAGCAAAAAATTAGCTGGACATGGAGGCACGTGCCAGTAATCCAGCTACTCAGGAGGCTGAGGCATAAGAATCACTTGAACCCAGGAGGTAGAGGTTGCAGTGAGCCGAGATGGTGCTACTGCACTCCAGCCTGGGCGACAGAACGAGACTCTGCCTCAAGGAAAAAAAAAAAAAAGATGATTAGAAAACTGGATGTGTTGTAGATATGTATATGATGATATACAACATAATAAAGTAAAATAATAAACTTTTAATTATTTTATTTCTGTTCATCCTCCTTGTTCCTGCAGCTGCCTCATTCCTTCTCCCTTAGATTACTAGTTAATAAACGTTCAGTATTGCTGCAATCAATTAAGTACTTACCCCTTCAAATCTATCTTCAAACCAACTACTTAAGTCATCTTTCCAAATCTCCAACTTCACCATGTCATCTCCATGCTGACAAGCCCCTCATAGTTCCTATTTTGAAGTTGAAATTCCTTGGCATTCTATAGAAGACTATTTGTGAGGCTATGTGTAAGCTGTATCTACCCTCTGCTGGAAAAAGATTAATACGGGAGATTTATTTTCAATCATGTGGTCAGGGTAGAATTCTCTGAGGAGGGAACATCTAGCACCTTGAGGATCCCCACTTAGCTAGTGCCTTCTGTGTGACCATTACCTCATCTTCTTAGTGGTAACAGTGATAACAATGTCTCTTGGTGGCCAAGAACTTAACTCGTAGATGCATCATGGTCTCCTGGTATCATCACAGCACTTGTCAATGGGTTATCTATTAATCCCCATTTTACGGTTGAGGGAACTAAGGCTCATAGAGTTTGTGACTTGCCTTCGGCCCCCCAACCAGTGTGTAACAGGGTCAGGTTATCAATATAGGCCACCTGGCTCCAACCCCGGAATCCTTAACCACTGTGCTGTGCAACTCCTGCAGGATGCTGCTTCCTGTGTCACTGTAGGCTTGTAGACTCCAGCTTCCAAGATGAATCTAACCTCGTCAACACTCAGCTCCCCACAATCTGGCTCCTGTCTACTTCCCTAGCCTCATCTCCCTTTGTTGCCCCAGCAAACACTAACTGGGCCGCCACTCTTTATCCTGGTCCAACTCCTTTCTGCTCTTGCCTGTCTGTACTTACTCATCCTTCAGGACTTATCTGAAACGTCACCTCCTCTAGGAAGCCTTCCTGATCCACCACCCATAAGCCAGGTTAAGTGACCCTCCTCCTTGCTTCTATAGCACCCTTTGTAGCACCTGTCACACTGCACTGAGTTGCTGGCTTTCTTCTCTCTTAAGAGACTGTGGGCTCCTCAAGGGCAGGGACAAGGACAGCTTCCTCTATTTCCTGGGCCTAGTGTGGAACCTGGTATGGAGTAAATGCTTCACAAATGTCTGCTGACCTGAACTTACTTAGCGAATGTCAGAGCTTCCTGGAAGGGGACTTCCAGTAACTATAATTGTTCACATTTGCAATATGCTTTGAGGTATGCAATATTGCTTTGCCATATACTTTGAAGCTTTGATTTGTCCCCTGCCTTCATAAAGAATTTGATGTGGTACCTAGTAGAATAACAAACAGAAAATTCAGAGAGCCCGTGCCACAATGACGGCTAATGTTTATTGATTGACTACTGTGTGCCAGGCATATTTCTGAGTCCTGTCACATGGATCATTTGCGTAATTTTCACAACCATAGGAGTTGAACTCGGTTATCCTCACTTAACAGATGAGGAAACTGAGGCTGATGAGTGACTGAAGAACTTTTCCAGGATTACCCAAGTAATAAAGGGAAGTGACAAGGTTGACATTAAGGCCATCTGGCCCCGGAGTTTTGTGCTTCTCAAATCCCTTTCACACTGATTATCTTATTGACTCCTCTGAGATTGATATTGTTCCCAGATATTGATATTAAGAAAAATGTGTTTCAGATAAGTGACTTTTCCAAGTTCAGCGTGCCAGGAAGTGGCTGGGCTGGGTTGGTGGTCTATCTTACGCCCAGGCTCGCTCCGTCACTTCCACATCGCTGATTCACACGCGCATTTTGCAAACAAGGACACTGAGGCCAGGAGAGGTAAATTGCCGGCCTAGGGTCATACAGTTTGTACCCCATTCTGTGCTCTTTCCTCAAACAGGAAATACCTAGGAAGCTGATGGGGTGAGGGTAGGTCCTAGGCTT
The DNA here is from genome assembly GCF_000001405.40 of Homo sapiens. Classification (NCBI taxonomy): domain Eukaryota; kingdom Metazoa; phylum Chordata; class Mammalia; order Primates; family Hominidae; genus Homo; species Homo sapiens. Next base: position 122,233,209 of record NC_000009.12, on the reverse strand, counting down.
GGAAGGGGGGTGCTGCCGTGTCTCTTCCCATTGTCCCTTTCTCATTTGTCACAATCTGAATGTTTAAATTTCGTATTTAGTATTTACTCTGAAATGGCTTTCATCTGATTTCCCCCTTGCTCACCAATTTAGCTGTCAAAGTAAATAAATGTGAAGCTGGGTCTCCAGCCTCCCCCAGCTCACATTACCTTCCTAGAATTACTCCCCGGCAGGGTCGAACCATTGCTGGGGGCCTCCCACAGAATTATCCAGTTACTAATGAAGCCTCTTTCAAACTGAACCCTTGGGCCTAGACTCAAATGGGGGAAGATGGCAAAATTCACCCCAGAGGACCAGATGACCACATCCTGTTTAGTGACCGGGAGAAGAACTGCAAAGTGAGAAGATGCCATTATTCATGTAGGGTGCTTAATACAGCTTCAGGGTTGTATAAATGAATAAATCTACAACACTTTAAAAAATATTAGTTCTTTTTTTTTTTTTTTTTTTTTTTTTTTGAGATCGAGTGTCACTCTGTTGCCAGGCTGGAGTGCAGTGGTGCAATCTCGGCTCACTGCAGCCTCTGCCTCCCAGGTTCAAGCAATTCTCCTGCCTCAGCCCTCAGCCTCCCGACTAGCTGGGACTATAGCCACCTGCCACCACACCCGGCTAATTTTTGTATTTTTAGGAGAGACTGAGTTTCACTATGTTGGCCAGGATGGGCTTGATCTCCTGACCTTGTGATCCACCCACCTTGGCCTCCCAAAGTGCTGGGATTACAGGCATAAGCCACTGCACCCAGCCAAAATATTAGTTTTTAATGTATAGTTAGTTGTCACTTCAATTCTGAGAGGTCAGTATCATTATTCCCCGTTTTGCAGGTGAGGAACTGAGGCTCAGAGAAGCTAAGTGACTCAAAGTGACCCACAGTTTGTCATAGGAAGAAATCAAGTATCCTAATGGAAGGTACTATGTTTGCTAATCCTAATTTTGCCAAGGTCACTCCTATCTGGACTCTTTTTCCTGATGGAAAAAGATGGAGTCAGGAGTCATTGGAAGAGAGATTTCTTTTCCAAAGTAATTTCACTTCTGTCCTCTTTGAAGTTAGGCAAGTTCTGGGCTCGAATAATGGTTCTGCATCTTCCTTAGGTAAGTTATTCAGGAGAAGATTTGATTTTTTTTGGTTGATTCATCCCCTGCCTTCATAAAGAATTTGATGTAGTACCTAGTAGAATCACAACCACAAGATTCAGCCGGTCCATTGCCATAATGATGGCTGTTTATCATTTGCTTACTGTGTGCCTGGCATATTTCTGAGCCCTATTACATGGATCATTTGCGTAATTTTCACAACCATAGGAGTTGAACTCGGTTATCCCCACTTTACAGATGAGGAAACTGAGGCTGATGAGTGGCTGAAGAACTTGTCCAGGGTTACCCAAGTAATAAAGTAATAAAGGGAATAGAAAACAGATGCCAAGGTTGGCATCAAGGCCATCTGGCCCTAGAGTCTTTGTGCTTCACTACTGACTTTACTGCCTCTTACTCCAGTTTTTATTATCTGAGCACTTAATCAGAATTCAGGAGCAGAATTGCATAGTAGGTAAGAGTTTGGGTTCTAAAATCTGAGTGCCAGAGCTTCAGATGGGACTCCTGTAAGCTTGTTTCCTCAACTATAAAAGAAAGATAATAATATAACCTTTTTGTAGGGTAGTTGCAAGGATTAAAGAGGATAATGCGTGTAAACAACAAAGGGCTTAGCACATAAATGCTCAATAAATAGTTATTATTGTTATCACTCTAGGAGCACATGCTTCACATTCCCCCTCATTAGAGTGCAGCAGCTTGTTTGTCCAGCCTCTGAACCTTTGTGGTCCTCTCTCTACCTGAAATACTTTCTTCTTCTCCCTGAACCCATCCAAATTTCACCTGCCCTTTAGTTTTAGCTCAAGCCTCTTCCATGGCTCATGTCTAAGAAGTTTTGCAAAGCCAGTACGATCTTCATGGTCTTCTTTCCTGGGGCCCTTCTGCACTCACAAATCTGGCATATGTGCAGCATTCTATAACGTTTATTAACCTTTCAATTCCCCCAGCCACCCAAAGGGGAGGAAGAGAAGGAGGTAAAGCAGGTCCTATTGTTATTCCCATTTTGCCGATGAGAAAACAGGCTGAGCCTATAAGTGGTGAGGCTGGGAGTCACATCCAGGTCTTTTAACAGATAATGTGGAGTGTGTGTGTATGTGTGTGTGTGTGTGTGTGTGCACATGTGTGTGTGCAGAAAGTAAACATGGTCATGTCTGCAGCCTAGAAATCAAGAGTATGAGCTCTAATGTGAGATGAATGTGGTTTTAAGTCCTTGGTTCTGGCAATTAGCCATGTGCACCATTTTGGATATATCACATGAACTCTCTGAACCTCAGTCTCTTGATCAGTAAAACAAGCACGCTGAGAGATGCTACCTCACGGGATTATTGTGAAAAGAAAATGAGATCACGATTGTAAAATGCCTCGTATCATGCCTGGCACAGATTAGTAGCTGTAATAACTGGGAATAATCCCAGTAGTAGCTGAAATTATTATGTGCAAAGGAGATATTTGAGAGGGAGGGGTTGTTCTTCTGTATTCATGTTTGAGAATGCATGTGTATGTGTGTACACATGTGTACCTATGCATACACCTCACCCGCTTTCACATTGCAACTTGTTCTCTTCGTATAAAAGATTAGGGTTCAAAGAGAAACTCTTTTCACTCTGAATTTCTGTGTCTGAGAGCAATGAATGACTGGGATGCAGAGGGCGGGAAATGCCATTAGCTGAGGCTGGGGCTATTTTTGTGTACCTTGATGCCAGTAAAGGAACAGATATTTGTATCTTTGGGGAATATGGGTGTGGATCTTTAGTATCGTGTTGGTGTGCAGGCATCCTCTACTACCTGCGCCTGTCAGAACCTGCCTGTGTGTGTGCAAACTGAGACTATAACTATTGGGAATCTATGGCTGCAGAAGTGTGTGTGATGTGTCTGCCTATAAATGCCTATCAATAGTTGTCTCACCATCTGTAAGGATGTAAGTACATATTTGAGGGTGCCTGAGTAGAGGACATAAGGTTATACATGGGTTTGGAGCTCTGTGAAAATCTGTGCCCTCTTGAGTATGGCTGTGTGTACAAATGGAAGAACAATTGTGTGTGGGGGGGTGTTTACATCTGTAAATGAGGGCAATTATGGAGGTGATGACATGTGTGATGTGGTGAGGGTAGGCTGTCATGGTGTCTGTAGGGCTGGATCTATGTCTGAGTGTGCTTATTTGTTTTTAGATGATGTATGTTTACATGTGTCTCTTTAGGCTCAGTTTGTGTGTGGAGAAGGGGGCTGAGACTCTAAGTGTCCACTTGTGTATGCTGCAGGGCGTTAGTGTGTGTAAGGCTCCATCTTTGGGTTTGAAGGTTCTGTGTCTGTGTGTCTGGGGGCAGTGTCTTCTGTCTAAATGCCTGGGCCTTCCTGCCTTCCCTACCATTCTCATTGTCAGTAGAACCCTAGAGAAGAAGGGATGGGCATTGGACTGTGTGGTTAAGCAAATCCTGAAGGGAAGGGGAATGTGCCAAGCAATCCCTTCCAAGAGAATTCAGGGAAACTACCCTCCCGTTTCACCTCAGTCCCTGGGAGCTGGTGCACTGTCTGGTTCTTATAGAGCAGAGGTATCTGTGCAGGTGTGTGAGAGTAAGTGTGGTGCCTCGTGCCCGTGTAAATGATGTGAACAGGTAATCACTTACATTAGTGTGTACACAAATGTACCAGGCATGGGATTGCATCAACACAGTGTAATAACGTGTGACCTCCTACGGAATCTATCTCCGCAGATGGTATGGCCATGGGTCCCTCCTGTACCTGTGAGTGGGGCAGTGTCTGAGGAAGATGGGTGCCCCTTGAGGGAGGAGCGGTAGTGAGAGCTGGGTGGATGTGTGCCCGCCGGTGCCTTTGTGTACTGGCGTGTCTCCGAGTCTCTCTGTCGGCAGCTCTGAGTTTCTGTGTGTCTCTGTGTCTGTGTGTGTGTCTCTCTCTCTGGGTCTCTGCCTCGTCGTGTGTGTCTTGCTCTCCCTTGGCGGGGAGGGGATTGGTCACGCATGACTCATCTTGAACCGAGCGGGGCTCCAGCGGCAGGGCGGCCGCCGTTGCAGCTGGAGGGGGAGGAGGACAAGGAGGAGGGAGAGGAGGAGGAGGACTACCAAGAGGGGGAGGAGGAGAAGAAGGAGGGGGCGGGGGCCTCTCCAAGTTTGTCGGGACCTTCTTCCGAGGCAGCGGCGGCAGCAGCCAGGGAGGCCGGGGCTGCGCGCGGGCCGGGGGCGGGGGCTGAGGCCGGGCCCGGGGCGGCGGGGCCGGCGCCTCGGCTCTCCTCCTGCTCCTGCAGCAGCCTCTGCTCCCACTGCGGCTGTGGTCCCCCTCGGCGCAGCTCTCCGCGCTGCGCGCCCGCTGAGCCCGAGGTTCCCCGGCCCATGTACTGGAAGCATGAGAACGCCGCCCCGGCGTTGCCCGAGGGCTGCCGGCTGCCGGCCGAGGGCGGCCCCGCCACCGACCAGGTGAGCCGGCGAACGACTGGGTGAGCGGCCCGGGCCGGGGTCGGGCAGGGTCCGGGACCCAGCCGGGCCGAGCAGGGTGGCGGGCGGTTGCAGGAAGGAGGGGTACGAGGGTGCGCCTGTGAGTGTGTGCTTGTGAGTGTGGGAGCGCGCGCGCGAGCGGGGGGGGGGGGTCGCGGAAAGCGGGAACACATTATGCAAATGTTGGAGGAATTTCTCAAAAAGCGATTTAGTAAAGACACAGGCGAATCAAGAGGAGGCGAGGCCGGTATTGTCCGTCTGAATAGGCGCTGATAGCGCCGATGCGCCGGGGGTTGTGCCGGCGCAGCGCTGAGAATCCCGACGCGGGGCCGGTACCCGGCGCGCCGAGGGGCTGGAGGGTGCTTTTTCCTCCCCTTGAGCGCCTCTCTTTTCTCTTTTTGGTCCCGTTTCGCCCCGATCTCGCTCTCTTTTTGCTCCGGGTTTCCCTCCGACTGGCCCTCGAAAGGCGCCTGAATCCGTGTCAATATAGCTGCTTCAATTTCGCCGCGCGTGTCAGGCGGGCGGGCGGGCGGGTGCTCACCGCGCTCGGGGTTTTCTTTTCTTCAACCACCCTCCGCCCCTCACCCATCTCTTTTTTATTTTCTTTCTTTCTCTCTTTTCTCCTTTTTGCATTTTGTGCCGAGAGGAGAAGGGAGCGAGGAAGGGGAGTGGGGTGGGGGGGCGGGTGGAGAGAGAAAAAATTCGATTTTTAATTACTACCATTAAAAAATCAAATTTGCAATTCTTTGGGCGGCCTGATGGATCTCACTGATTGACAGTTGGAATTGACACTCTGGCTACCTCTTATCTTGGGCATTCACGACAATTTCTAATTGCAGGTAGTTTGTGTGTGTGTGCGCGTGTTTTTCTTCCCCCCTCAGAGGCTTGGATTGCAAGGGAACTAAGCGATTACTTCAAGAGCCACGGGTTAAGTGCAGGGAGAGGGGGAGAGAGAGGGAAAAAATCCAATCCAAATTCAAATTGCTTCATTAGAGAGACACCGCTTTTGTGGGGAAGGGCTTTAAATGCCCACTACAAAGTTAGGACTCATTGTTCGGCGCCGGTTTATATAACAGGCGCGGGGAGGCGCTGGGCTCAGGCTGTGCGGAGCCAGTTCAGCAGCCGCCGCCGCCTGCGTTCCCTCCCCCCCTCCCCCAGGTGATGGCCCAGCCAGGGTCCGGCTGCAAAGCGACCACCCGCTGTCTTGAAGGGACCGCGCCGCCCGCCATGGTGAGTCCGTTTGGCCCTGCCTGCGGTGCCCAGTCCTCCAGCGGCCCGGCCCTGGGGACCTGGCCAGGTTTTCCGGCCACGAACTGCTGCTCACGCTCTGGGGGACTCCCGGCGGGCGCCGCCCCTCTCTGAGCCTCGGTTTTCCGGCAGGGAATGTTGGCTTTAACCGCTCCCAGCACCCAGAATGCGCGTGTTAAAAGTTGGGGCCGTCCCTTCCTCTCCAATAGGCCCTTCCATCCCTGTCCTTCAGTCTACGGCGCATTGTCCTGGGGAGATTTCGTTGTCAATTGGTGCTCGGGGGCCCCAGATTTGTCTCCAAGGCAGCCCCAACTCTGGGTGCCCGGATCAGCGCTCCTCTCCTTCTCTCCCCCGCCGCAGGCTCAGTCTGACGCCGAGGCCCTGGCAGGAGCTCTGGACAAGGACGAGGGTCAGGCCTCCCCATGTACGCCCAGCACGCCATCTGTCTGCTCACCGCCCTCTGCCGCCTCCTCCGTGCCGTCTGCAGGCAAGAACATCTGCTCCAGCTGCGGCCTCGAGATCCTGGACCGATATCTGCTCAAGGTGAGACAGGGGTAGGTGTTGCGTGCGTGTTGTCGGGGCGTGGGACGCAGCGCAGGAGACTGCAGGGAAGCACCGCAGGTCCTCTTACTTCCAAATCCTGGCTCCACTGCTGCCCGACTGCGAAGCTTTGGGCAAGACTTAGGGTCTGCCTGAGCCCCCGGGTTCCGTCTGAAAAATAAGAAGAGTTTATTTCCATTTCCCTGAGTCTCAGTATTACGGGAGAAAAATAGGGGAATCGCATGCACCTTCTGAGCTTCAGCGCCTCTGACTGTAAATGAGACCGGGAAGGCTGGGGCCCGGAGTGAAAGAGGCCCGCGCTGAGCCGACCTCCGTCCCCGCCCCGTCCCCAGGTCAACAACCTCATCTGGCACGTGCGGTGCCTCGAGTGCTCCGTGTGTCGCACGTCGCTGAGGCAGCAGAACAGCTGCTACATCAAGAACAAGGAGATCTTCTGCAAGATGGACTACTTCAGGTAGGCTGCGGCCGCCGAGCCAGCAGTGTCGCCGAGGGCAGGCCCCGGGCGCATTCGGAGGCCACTTTTGCGGCGTGTGGTCTCTCCTCCAGAACCCCGGCGTCCCGAGTGCACTTCCGGCGCGCAGCGCTGGTCCAACCTGCCGGCGCTCAGCGGCGCGAACCCAGAGCTCCAGGCAGCGCGCCAGTGCCTGCACAGGTTTGCGCCCCGGATCTGCCTTCGGTCCTCGCGGTCCATTGGGTTTCGGTATCGTCTCTGGCTCTGTCTCGGGTCCTGCCTAAGTCTCAGGCTTCAGTTCTGACCTCGAGCGCCTCGGTGGAGCTCTGAGGTCCCCATTTCTGGCCCGGACCCACTCGGATCCCAGCCGTCGTCCGGCTGCATTTCCAGTGCGTTCGGGCTTCGAGTTCCAACCCTACTCGGACGTCATTCATGGTGGGGTCTCTCGCGGGCTGGACGCTGAGCTGGGCTTCGGACTCTTGCCCTGGCTCTGACCCTCGCTCCGCTCTGGGTTCGAGTCTGGTCCAGCCCAAAGCACCAGCGCCGCAACCGTCTCAGATCCGATCCCATACCCAAGCGCCTCGTCCTGAACCCCAACCTCTGTCTCCGGCTCCATCTCAACTCATTCCCCGGCGTCACTGGAGTGTCGCATTCTGAGCCTGGGGTCATGCGCAGGCCCCCAGCGCCTGTTCCAGTCCCAGCTTCGCTGTTGTTTTGGCCCGACTTTGGCCTCTCCAGGGTCTAGGCCTTGCCTTTAGGCCGCCAGGATGGGAAGTGGGAGAACTGGGCACCCGGAGCCCTGAGTGGGATTACCCCGGGCTGCGCTCTCCCTACTGCAGGCCGCGTCCAGCAGCCGAGAGCAGCCAGGCGCATCCTCCTGTCCTGCCGCGTCTTGGCCACTCGCCTGGGCCTCGCTTCTAGCCATGAAGCCCGGACCTGACCTGATTATGGGGTCGAGGTCACTGCAGGGTCATGGCCTTGTCTGCTGATCCCAGTGGGAGGCATCAACTGGCCTGAGGCTTGGACCACCAGGCCTATAGGATCAGAGGAGAATGGTGGAGAATCACTTCCTGAGAGGGATGCTTGTTCCCAAGTGCTTTCTCAAAAAGTGGAGAAAGCTGCTTCCCTATAACTACCCTCCAACCCACAGACATCTTTCCTATCCTTGCACAGGAAGACGTCATGGCTTCAGTCTTCCTGGCCAGACCCCTGCCCTAGAAAGAGCCTCTGGGAGTCAGGGAATATGGTGGAAGGCGATCTCCTCCTGTGCACTGGCATTGAGCCTCCAGCGATCTGGAAAGAGAAGATCTTGAGTCTAGGGGGAGGTTGGCAGCATTTGGGGCAAGGGTACTCTGAAAACCATGAGAAGCATGGTTAAAGAGACGGACTCTTCCTTTATGGGATGGATGTAGAAGAGTGTGCAGCTGGGGTGGGGTGGGGGCAGCTCAACCAAGTGGCCTAGGACTCAGTGTGCAAGGAGTGCCTGTGTGTCTGTATTGTCTGGGATCTGTGCAGTAGTGCTGGGGAAAGCATCACTGGGCAGGGTTGGGGGTATGTAGATAGCATGTGTGTTCCTTTATGGACCAACGTTTGTCTTTTAGTTCATGTGTGGGTGTCAAGAGTGGGTGTCTGTATGTGAATGTTGAGACTGTGTGTGTGCATGTGTGTGTGCGTGCACGTGCACGCAAAGTGGTGAGGACAGGATTACATCTGGACTAGGATCTGGAGGTGAGAGGGTGAGGTGAGGGGATTCTGAAATCCCATCATTCCACTCCCACCCTCTCCTCTGAGGGGGCATTCCTGCTTAAGGGCCTCCACCCAGGCACTGAGGGATGAAGGGGGTGATAAGAACGTATTTGTGAATCTGGACGGCTGTGTGTGTGTGTGTGTGTAGTCAGACAGGGGTTAATGGTGTGTAACCAGAGTGTGATGTCTCCTCTCACTGTCCCATCTGAGTATTGGTTTGGCCAGGACAGGAAATGGAGGTTACAGTCACTGTCTAGCCACCTCCCTGCTCTAGGCCTGACTCCAGTTGGTATAAAACATGCCAGATGGGCCGGGTGTGGTGGCTCACACCTATAATCGCAGCACTTTGGGAGGCCAAGGCTGGTAGATCACAAGGTCAGGAGATCGAGACCATCCTGGCCAACATGGTGAAACCCATCTCTACTAAAAATACAAAACTTAGCCAGGTGTGGTGGCACGTGCCTGTAGTCCCAGCTACTCAGGAGGCTGAGGCAAGAGAATCACTTGAACCTGGGAGGCGGACATTGTGGTGAGCCAAGATCACGTCACTACACTCCAGCCTGGGTAACAGAGAGAGACTCTGTCTCAAAAAACAAACAAACAAACATACAAAAAAACATGCCAGATGATGCTTGGGGGCTCCTTGGATTCATCAGCTACTAAATTTAAGGTGCCAGCTTGGGAACCCAGCAGAATGGTGTCTGGGTCTCTCCCATAGACTAAGGCACCACTAGGACACCTCTCCTGGCTCTCCTAACAATAGATTTGGCAGTCTTATTCACTACTTGCCCAAATTTCTTTTCTACTTCTCCAGCCCTAGCCCATGCCCATGCTGGACTGAGCCTCCTTGGATACTGTGCTTTACTAGACCTTGAAACTAGTCAAAACACGGATCCTGACTCCACTGTTCAGAGCCTCCCCTTATTCTGGAGTTCTCTTCCTACTGCAATGGGGTAGAGAGTAGGGTGTGCAGCCACTGTGGGAAGAGGCAGGAGACTGGGCCCAGTCTGGCCAGTAGTGACCTTCGCAAGTTGCTGCTTCTCTCGGCCCTTAGTTCGCCCTTTCCAAGGCTGTCTCCCAGAGCTGCCAAAGAGGCCACTGTTGGGGGGAAGTCTCTATAAAGGCTCCCTAAATGGTGGTTGGTATGAATGCCTCGATTATCACTGTTGTCATCATTGGCAGGGTGGATGCTGGGCACAAGCCCATGATGGCATTTCCCCACGCAGCTTGAGGAGCAGAGCCTGCCTGGAGGGATGGGACTGGGCCATTTCTGGGCTGCAGGTTCTGAGCACTAATCTTTTTCCAATGACAAGAGCCCTGAAAGCAAAACTAAACCAGATTTCTGGTTAAGAAAATGGAGGCAGTAAAAGCTCACATTCCCTGGGTTGAGGGTAGAATTGTGGCTCTTCTGATCATTTCTCCCCCTGCAGGCATAACCCATCCCTGGCAGCCCCACCTGTAACAAAAATAATAAAACCCACAAAAAGGGAAAGAAAAAGCCGATCGAGTGCCAGGCAAGGACTATTGTCTGCACTGCACTGCAGCCCAAGCTCTGGGTGGCTGCTATGAGGAAGTTCTTCCTGGAGAGAGTGTGAATGGTGGCGTGGGAGGCAGAATTTTCCTCTAAGGAGCTGGGGCCCAGGGAGGGGTCACATGCTGAGGTTCTCTAGGCTTCTGTTTCCTGAAGCCCGGGGTCAAGGGTCTGGTAGGATGTGGACTGGAGCACTCTGCCCAAAGAGAGGCCAAGAGCTCCCAACGGGGCAAGGGGGAGGAAGGGAGTGGCCAAGGCCCCATGGAGGGGGAGCATGGAGATCCCATGGTCCTCTAACCTCTGGCATTTTCCCCAGGGAAGAGGGTCACCTAGGTTCTATCCCCCACCTTGTCCCTCCTTGACATCATCTTATAGACCCTCCTTCAGTCTCCATTGGCAGAGCTAGCACTGGTGGCTCAGGGAATTAAAGGTTAGGAAGGAACTCCAAGTTCACCAGGGAGAGGGTCTGCAAAGCTTAGAGAAGACATGGAGGTCCAGTGCTGCTCCTGGCTCATTTGCATTGTTGGGAGAGGTTGGTTCTCATTGGCTGCGTGTCCTTGGCCAGGCCACTGGACTCTGCCTCAGTTTCTCCAATTCACACTCTAAACAGGGTCCTTACCAACCCTTGTGCGTTTATCCAGATCTCTACCTCCCCTTACTCCCTGAGATTCCCAGCAGGAAAAAAAAATACCACCAGAAAAATGTGACAGGACTCTTAATTTCTTCACCTTTTGGTGAAGACCATTTTTCTTTCTGTTTTCTTCCAAAAATGGAAGAAAATTCTGGAGGAAGAATAGTGCTCCTTTCCGGGACATTCACATTTCCCCTGCTACCGACAACCATAGCCCCAGACATACCTGCAGCTGCTGCCCTACAATAGGGCATGGCCCGATCTGCAGTGCCCACCTGGCTCCCCCAGCCTGCTGGAACATCATGCCTGCTGTATAGTTGGGGAGACTAATGTCCTGGGAAAGTGCCATTGCTTACAGTGACACAGGACACCAGTCATCATAACGTATGGAGTTCTTGTCTAAGCCAGGAATTGGGCTAACCCTTTACCTGCTTTATCTCATTTAATTCTCAGGTCCACCTTGTGTGTATGATACTCTCATAATCCCACAGTATGGTGGCGTGGGGGTGGGATCGAGGAACTGAGGCCCTGAGAGATGAGGTCACAGGGCTAAGTGGTAGAGACTAGATAAGCCCTATAGCTGCCTGGCTCCGCCATCCCTGCCCCTAAACACCCCCATACTCTTCTATAGGTGAGATATATCAGCCACCCGTCTGTGCATCGTGGGGCCCCTCTCTGCTGATCCAAAGAGTCCCTGCCCAGTTTGGTTGGCACGCCCGCTGTGTTTTCTGATGTGTGGCTCCCTGGGTGATCTTGCAACACTTAGGCAGGAGTGACCTCAGAGGCCTGTGAATGGAGCACCTTTGTCAATATCAGGTCACTGCGGTCCCTGGCCCTCCTGCCTTCTGACAATGGGAGTGGGGAGTAAAGGGTTAACTGCTTCCCCTCGTGTTTATGGGGGTGGGGGTTCAGTGAGTGCCCTGGAGGCTAAAGTTCCTCTTCCCAGCTAGGCCCAAACGACTTCATGCAAGCCCCTAGCCTTCTCTGGCCCTCCGCCTTGAGCCCAAGCTCTGTCGCGGGCTCCAGCGGGAGAAGCCTACCCCCTCCCGCAAAGCGAGGGTCCCAGGGGAAGCGCAGAGCGGGAAGCGGCCCCCCACCGCGGCAGAGAGCGGCCCAGCGGCGGCCAGCTGTTGGGGGACAGATGTTGGGGGAGCCGAGAGGGGAGCTGGGGGAGGAGCCTCGGGGCCGGGACCTCCGAGAAGCGGTCGTTTTAACCTCTTAATTGCTGGTTCTGGGTTTTTTTTCCCCCTCTGGCTTCTTCCCCTACGGGTTTACCTAGAAGGGAAGGAGCAGAGAGAATAGGTAGGGCCCCACCTCCAACCCACCTTGTTCGCCTCACAGGATCTAAAGCCTTCAAGAAGGTCTTGAACCTAAAATAAGTGAACCTCCGTTTGAGTTTCGGCCTCTCGGCTCAATAGCTTGGTAACTAACATTGGCGTTTCCACTCTGAGGTTTGGTTTCCTTGTACAGAAAAGGGGTAGCTTAATAGTGGGAGAAGGGGTCGAGGTGAAACTCAGATGGGCTCTTTCGTTGAGGCTCATTCATCCAACAAATAATTACCAAGCGCTTACTAGGTATCCAGCATAGTAGGCTGGGAAAGTGAGTCTGACTTGGTCAAGGGCGCAGGGCTCCCTTCATATAACCACGAGTACCCAGATATCTCTGCTCTCCTTTCAGGGGGTAGAGGGCACTGCGGTGCGCGACGCCCACCTTACTCTTTTTAGCAGTTGCCAGGATGAGCAGTAACACCTCTCCCCAAAGCGCCGCGCATCCTTTGCACCTAGGTCCTTCACACGCCGGGATCCAGGGACGCAAGGCCCGGACCTCACAGCAAGGCTGGGGTGGCAGTGGACACACCCCCTAATCCCTTTGGTGCTCTGGTGGCAGTTCCTGCACATCTGTTTCTTGAAGTTTCGTTGTCTCCGCCGCCGATTTCGCTGTGTCTGGAATCCAGTGGCTCCGGCCTCGCAGCCCGCCTGGGAAGGAGTCTGTCGTTCTGTCGGAGCCTGGATCGATAAGCCTCCTCGCGCCCTTCGTGCTGCTGACTCCTGTCCTGGGTGAGGGACACGCTGCAGGGCAGTCTGCAATGCAACCAAACCTACATAATCCCCCCTAACCCCACCTCAAGGATCTGGCGCGAGGACGATTTCGTAAACTGAGCTGAGCCACGAGGAGCACAGGAGGATCCTAGAGCTGGGACAGCTTCCAGCATTTCGGGAGACACGCGGAGCATGAGAAAGTTGCTGAGAGTTCACTAGCGGCGCCTACCTCGGACCAAGGGTATGAGGACACTGTGACTGACCTACCTGTGTAGGCGCAGAACGGACTCGGGCGTCGGGGACTCGCGGGACAGGAAGATCGCGGTGCGCGGAGAGTCTTTGACGTGTCCCTGGCCAAGGGGGAAAGAATCCCACGAGCCAAGCGCACAGAAGGCTCAGCCGCTCTTGCCCGGCTTCTGATGGCCATGACCTTTCCTGCTCCGGCTCTGTCCGCTCCCTGAGGACGCACTCACCGCCTTCTCCAGGAGCGTGGGCCCTTGGCCCCGCGCTGGAGATTCCAGAATCAGCGGCCCGGAGAGAGGACGCGGCGCTGCCAGACCAGCCCCGCTTCCTGTTCATCCATGCGGGATTCCAGCTTTCCTCGTCGCCAGTCCAGTTGCTCCGCAGGTTCTAGGTACTTTTTGCACCTTGGAGGGGGTCTCAACCCCAGCCTCATACCCTGTGGAGTTTCCGGCAAATCACTCGCCGGCTCTGAACCTTCGATTCCTCCTATGAAAACCGGATGCCAGAGTCCCCACCTCACCGGGTTGCGACGAAGCCGAGGTGGCGCAACGTTGAGGCCCAGGACCCCGGCCCGTAGTAAGGTCTCTACGCGCGGCTGGGCTCCCCCTCCTCCCGCAGCACAAATAATCGGAAGCCAGCCTCCCCTCAGAGGCCAGAAAGTGCTCCCAATCCGGATACCACCAGCCGGGTGGCGGAACCCGGGGTCGGCTCTTCGAGGGGGAGTAGGCTGGGTTGGGCAAAGCTGTTTCCTCTCCCCTTTACTGCGGGACGGGGAACAGAGACCGTGGTCTGGGCTGGGCACTCCGCTGGGGAAGCCGCGTTTCCGAGGTCCGGAACCGCCTGTGCTTAGGGGAGCGGTGGATTCAACGAAGGTGCTCTGCGCCTCCTGAGGGAACCGCGCCGCCTGCGGAAGGGTCCTGTCGCGCTCCTCGTTGGAGACAGTAGGGTTGGGGTTGAATCTGCGAGCGGAGACTGGCAGAAGCCTCTGGGCTCCTGCACTCAGTCCAACCCAACGCTGTTTTTTTCAACTGACAGTTGCTTGAATTTGCCAAGGCAGGCAGGCTGTAACCAGAGCCTTTTTGCCGGACTGTTTCCTCCGTGCACACACAAGCGATTCCGAATGCTCCCCCGGGTGGAGGGGTGCCCGCCCTGGGGACGCAGAGGCAAATCTTCTTGGTCCCCCACACCCAACCCCGGGACCCCAACTCTGGGAAGGTGGAAGGGGTGGAAGAGAAGAGCCAGAAACGAAACATTTACAAACCAGTGTGGTCAGCGCTGAGAGAGCGGTGCAGGGTGCCGTGGGACTCTGGGGGAGGGTAGGTCAGTGCAAAGGCCTGGGGGTGGGAAAGTGCTTCAGAGGAGGCCATAAAGACCTGGGAGTGACCTTCCATTGTGGCTGACTGGGACACATGCCTGGATGGTGGGGCGGCATATCTTGAAGGTTAGGGAGGAGATGGGCCTGAAGAGGATGTGGTCGCTTGGGTTTTGCAAACCCCAAGGGTTTTGGACCAGATCCTGAGGGTAGAGTGGAGCCACCATAGGATTGTAAGCAAGGCAGAAACAGGATTTCATGTGCATGCTGGAAACTTTGCTTTGACTGCTCTGTGGAGGATGGGTTGGCAGGGGCGAGACTGGAAACAGGGAGACCGGGGAGGAGGTTGACAGTGAGGGTTGCATGATGGGAGCCTGGCCTAGGAGGGCAACAGTGGAGATGGTGAGAAGGAGATGGATCCCAGAGATACTTGGGAAACAGAACCAACAGCATCGATGATTGGCTGGATGAGGGGTTGAGGAGAGAGAGGAGTGCATGATTATGATTTTCAAGCTTCAGGGGCTGGGTAAGTGGTGGCACCATTCTCTGAAATAGAGGGTGTACCAGAGGAAACAGGCTGCTAGGGTTGGGACAGAGTCACAGGTGAGTCATCCACTTTAAAGAACACACTTTCCCTGGTGCCCGGGATCAGGCCCTGGGCTGACTTCTGGGATGGAGTAAACCAGACTCCGCTGCCTCCTGGAGGGGCTTCCAGTCTGGTGTTGGAGGCAGCTGCACCCAAATTGCCAGACTACAAAACCAGAAGGGAGAAGGAGAAGTCGTAGAATCAAGGAAGGCTTGAGGGGCAAGAAGACATTCGATCTGGGCTTTTTATTTTTATTTTTGTCTTTTTAACATTTGGTATTATTAATAGAATGTCACAGGCTCCAGAGGGACTTGCTGGGTACTTAGCCAACTGCAAAGCACTAAACAAACAGTAGTAGTCATTGCTGTTGTCATCTAGTTCAGTGCAGGACAAGGAAAACGAGAACTCAGAGTTAAACAGTTTGCCTAGTGTCACAAAGCCAGTAAGTGCTTATCTGTCTGTTCATCTAAGAAACTGCACTTCTGTACAGCTGGCGCTATAGCTTATATTCATCTCTGGAGCAGGATCGCTAGGGTTCCTATCATTGCAAGCGGTGTGACCTCCTGCAAGTTACTTTACCTCTCTAGTCCCCATTTTCCTCACCTGCAAAATGAGGATTAATTGGGATAATCAATGTAAAACAATTAGAATCTTGCTGGGCAAGTGGTAAGTGCTCAACAACTTGCTTATTATTACTATTATTGTGTTTTTTCTAACTTGTGATGTATTTTTAACAAACAAATTAATATGCAAATATAAGTGACCATCGTAGAAAATTTGGAAAATTCAGAAAAACACCAAGAAGAAAATAAAAATCACCCACCAGTTCATCTCCTAGGTGGGACTAGGTGTAGAGTGTTGTTGCGTCCAAGCTAAGGCTAATGCCTGAGTTGAAGACTTAGAGGCCAGGAGCCTGGGGGCTGGCGGGCCATTGGGTGGTGGAAGGAGGAAGGTTGGCCTGTCTGAGTCTCGACACCCCGTGCCTGTCCTCTCGACCTGCAGCCGATTCGGGACCAAGTGTGCCCGGTGCGGCCGACAGATCTACGCCAGCGACTGGGTGCGGAGAGCTCGCGGCAACGCCTACCACCTGGCCTGCTTCGCCTGCTTCTCGTGCAAGCGCCAGCTGTCCACTGGTGAGGAGTTCGGCCTGGTCGAGGAGAAGGTGCTCTGCCGCATCCACTACGACACCATGATTGAGAACCTCAAGAGGGCCGCCGAGAACGGTACCCAACCTGCTCCGCCTGGCACCTCTGCCCCCAGCCCTTTCCCACCCCACCCCACCCCAGCACCCCAGGAACCACCCACACTCCTCTACCGATTGGGCCCTCCCGGTATAGTCCCGCAGGCAGCGTAGGGGTGGGGCGGCGAACAGATCTTGCACTTCCGGGTCGATCTTTTGCTTAGGAGTCAGAAGTCACTGCCCTCCTTTGTAACTATGTTTCCTTATCAGTAAAATGGCGTTAACAACAGAACACCTTCCCAAAGATAGATGAGCTAGCTGATGTGTTGTAAAGCCAGGAGGCACTCAGTGAACCCTAGAGATGGTTCTCATAATCGGGCAGCCTACTCCACCTTTGGACAGCTCTCATTGGCCTGGGGGCTCATCCCCTCCGGTTGCCTGGGACCAGGCTTGGGCCAGTCCTGGAGAGATGACTTGGCTCCCATTCTCCCATTTCCTATCCTAGCAGCTCCAAGCCAGAGGTTTGAGGAAGGGTTTTCATCCTGGACCAGGGTCTCTAACTATAAGGGGAAAGGACCAGGTTTCTGAGTCTGGAGACCAGGCTCTCCCATACTGTGTTGACATATGAGGTTTCCTTTTCTCTCTGGGCCTCAGTCCCTACATCTGTGCAAGACAGATACTGGACTAGAATGATCCCTAAATCTCTTCTGGCTCTGACATTGTGATTCCCCAGATTGCCCAGGAACAAGATCCAGGTCTTCCACGGATCCTGGGGACAGGGTCACAGATGGGATGGAGCTGGGAAAGGGCAGTGCTTGGCTGTGGGCAGAGGCAGGGACTCTTTCTCTAATTTCCCTGTTAGGGTCTGTGAAAGCTGCTAACTTCTCTGTAACAGGGATTATTTTATGTAATCCTTACAACAGCCCTAGGAAGTAGGTGGCACGGCCCCATTTTACAGAAGAAGAAACAGGATTTGCCAAAAATTACATACTAGTAGATTTGCCTAGCTCCAAAGCCCAGCCTCTTAACTACCATACCATACCATATCATACCATACCACACCACCTTGGCCCTAAGCTCTAGGGCACCTTAATCAGATCTCATAAAGCCAAGGAGGCTTCTGGGATGTAGCTGCCTCTGTTTTAGTTTCCCATCTAAAAAACCAACACACCAATCCTTGCCCTGCCTGCTTTCCTAGGGGACATTAATACCACAGAGTGTCTGCCCAACCCCCAGTTTTTCTGGGGAGGAGTATGAACCACCCTGCCTCAACTTCTAGGTCCCAGCCTGGAGACTAGTCAGGGACCGCAAGAGTGTTCCTGGCCATGGGCATACCAGGGCCATCATTTTCTCCTGCCAGGATCAGGACTAAGTGGGTCTAAGGGGGCATCTAGTGAACTTGGGTTTCACTTGCTGCCTGCTTATCTGCAGTGATGGGCAATGAAATTATCTGCAGTGGTCAGCAAGTCAGCAGTAGAGCTGGGATGGAAACCCAGGAGTCAGAGCTTTCCCACACTGTGGTCCATCAGCGACCACAGGCTCCTTCCACACATGGTCCAACCAGGACCACCTGTAGTTACAACCTTGCCAATTACATCCTAGCTCTCACAGCCACACCTGTCCACAGACTTAACATGCTGAGGAACTTGAAAGCTGGGGCCTCCGATCTCTCTTACTGATCAGCCCTCAGTATTGGCTACTGTTTCACTTTTTAAACATAACACACACACAGATACACACACGTTCATTGTAGAAAAATTAGAAAAGACGGTAAGCAAAAAGAAGAAAATAACGATTGCTCCAAATGCTGCCTTCTTCATATTTTAATGTGTATCTTCTCAGATTTTTTTCCATGTATGTTACAATGTTTGCTTTTTTCCTTCAACATAATTTTTTCCTAATTAAAAAGTTACAATAAATTGTGAACAATGGTTATTTCTGAGTGCTGGAATTACTGGTGATTTTTATTTTCTTCTTTGTGCTTATGGAAATTTTCTGAGATTTTGAGGATATTCAGAACAATGAAGTATTAAAAATAAAATGGGAATATGGTTAGTGTTTTAGTATGACTGTAAAAGTAATATGAGTGGAAAGAGAATATCTAACATATACGCCGGTTAACAAAATTAAACCTTACAGAAGTAAGGCAACATATGATTGTTTTTAAATACCTCAAAAGTTACAGGAATACTGAAAGTAAAAAGTTTCCATAATCACATTCCTGGGAAGTAAACCACTGCCAACACCTTGTTGTATATTCTTACAACCTTTTTTCCTTCCGCTTATTTTTATAAAATTAGGAGCATAGTTCCGTTACTTGCTTGCTTCCTATCTCCTCTAGCCTTTGGTGTCCCCCAGTTTCGCCAGCAGGGAGCCCAGTTTGGGACATTAGGGTCAGCTAGCTTTCGGATTCTAGTTGAAAGGGCCAGGGCAGGGGCTTTCCTTCTCTCTGAGCCTCAGTTTCCTCCCATGTATAATGAGGTAACGCCACCTCTCCTTAGGGCTGTAAGACGTGGTCCAGTCGTGTAAGAAGTGTCCAGTACTAAGCGGACGCTCAGAAACCCCTTCCCCAAAGACTGAGCTCAGGGACTAGGACCCTGGGATCCCTGCTCCCAGCCAACTCCCGCTCCTGACCCTTCCAGGGACAAGCTCCCCCCACCCCCGTCCTTTCCAGGCTGCCACTAGAAGAGATGGGGACGCGTGGTCAGCTGCTTCTATCGCCCCCAGGGAACGGCCTCACGTTGGAGGGGGCAGTGCCCTCGGAACAGGACAGTCAACCCAAGCCGGCCAAGCGCGCGCGGACGTCCTTCACCGCGGAACAGCTGCAGGTACCGCTGCAAGCAGTGGGCGGCGGGGGCGGGGGCCGGGCCGAAAGTGGGCGGGGCCGACAATGTCTCCTGGCTCCGCCCCTCGGGCCGGACCCGGGTGGCGGGGCGGGGCCGCAGCTGCCTGGGGCGTGGCCTGTGGACTGGCGCCGCTGATTGGGCCGGGGTCTCGGAGTCTCTGCGTGCGAGCGCCTCACCGCCCTCCCCGCCCCGCAGGTTATGCAGGCGCAGTTCGCGCAGGACAACAACCCCGACGCTCAGACGCTGCAGAAGCTGGCGGACATGACGGGCCTCAGCCGGAGAGTCATCCAGGTGGGACGGGGGTGGGCGGGGCCTGGGGACCGCGGGCACGCCCCGGAGCTCGTAGCTGGGCTCGGCGCGGAGGGTGGTGCGTGCACGTGGCCATCCTTCTCCAGGAGGCGACGAGGCAGTCCCGCCTGGGGTCTCCCGGCGGCGCGTCCGACTCTTTTCCTCGAGGCTGAGGCTGCCGAGGCTGTCGTTCCAGGTGTGGTTTCAAAACTGCCGGGCGCGTCATAAAAAGCACACGCCGCAACACCCAGTGCCGCCCTCGGGGGCGCCCCCGTCCCGCCTTCCCTCCGCCCTGTCCGACGACATCCACTACACCCCGTTCAGCAGCCCCGAGCGGGCGCGCATGGTCACCCTGCACGGCTACATTGAGAGTAAGTAACCGCAGCGCCGGGAGCCGCTGGGCCTGCGGGGAGGGGGCGCGGAGGAGCGCACGTGGGCGGCTGAGGCCGAGGCGTGGGGTGGAGGGCCTTGGG
Source organism: Homo sapiens (assembly GCF_000001405.40). NCBI lineage: Eukaryota > Metazoa > Chordata > Mammalia > Primates > Hominidae > Homo > Homo sapiens. Next base: position 122,213,503 of record NC_000009.12, on the reverse strand, counting down.
GAGCCTCGTGGGTGAAGAAGCGGGACCCGAAGTCATTTGGATCTAGGAGTTGGGGGAAGAAGGGTCAAATCTTCGGCTCTGCCTCAGTGGAGCGGGATCCTTCATAGAGGCAAGCGATTCAGCAGCCATTCAAAAAATGCCTTCAAAGCACCCACAATGTGCCAGTGCCCGGAGACTGGGGAGAGAACAGGCTGGACAAGGTACCTACTCTGTGGAGCCTGCGTTCTGGTGGGCATGGAAAAATAGGCAGATGAGTGTGTCGTTTTAAGTGGGATGATTCCTGTAGGAAAGGTGCTGGGTAGGAGTGACTGGAGATGCTGCGGGGTGGAAGGGAAGGGGCTGGGCTGCCTTTCAGCAAGCAGAGACTGAAAGGATGGATAGGATTTAGTGAGGTACCTGGAGTGGGGGAACGGAATGCACGCAGGCCCTGGCCCAGAAAGCATCGTGGCATGGGTGTGTTCTGGGGAGCAGAAGGCCAGTGTGATGGGAGTGTCCAGGGCTGTGAGGCCTTAGGCAAGTCACCTAACCTCCTTGAGCCCTGGTTTCCTCATCTGTAACCTGGGATGTCAATAATGCCAGCCTCACAGGGTTGTGAGACACCATTCATGCATTCAGTAGCTATATCTTGAGTGCCTTCTGTGTTCTTTGCACTGGGATACGACAGTGAACACAGTAGACCAAAGCTTCTGTGCTCCTGGGGTTTGCACTCCAGCATGGGAGATGGTGGAGATGATAAAGTAACAGGGAGGGAGCAGGCATGTCCGTGGCAGGGAGTACTGTGGCGGAGATGCAGGGGCAAGCGGGTCATGGTGAAGTGACTTGTGAGCGGGAACCTGGAGGAGTGAGGGAGGAGCCCCGGGGATTTCTGGAGGATGAGTGTTCAGTGAATCTGCTGCTGAGCAGGTGCCTATCACAGATTGTCTTTCCCTTTGAAGTTGTTCCCATCAATTGTTTCCTCTAAGCTGGGCATGACCAAAAAAATGTAAATGACTGCGATGCACACAGACACAATTCCTCCCTTCTCTGGCTCCATGTAAGAGGGAAAAAGAAGGGAAATCAGACAGAGAACTGCTGCTTACTGACCATATGCCATATATTCTACTGACTGTGTCTCTAAACATCAGAGGCCACCATCTCCTTGAATAGATGAGGAAACCAAGGGCCCACTGTAAGTTAGTGGGAGCCGGTATGCCTTAATGATCGAGTGTGGGCTTTGGTTTCAGATTGCCAGGCTTCACATCCCAGCCCTGCCATTTACTAGCTGTGTGACAGTGGGTGAGTTTCTTAGCTTTCTTGCATACTCATTCCCTCATCTGTAAAAATGAGGACAACAGTATCTCAAAGCAGTGTTCTGAGCATCAAACGAGGTAACTGAAAATCCTCAACATTCAGCAAGTGCCGCATAAGTATTGGCTGCTCTTGTGATGGTGGGAGTGGTTTTGGTTGGCAGAACTAGGAGTGCAGAGCCCTGTCTTCGCACCAGGCTGCCAGTTGGAAACCATGTCTCTTTATATAGTTCCATTTCTGAACTATCTGCTCAATAGGAGCGACATTTTCCCCCTTTCTTTTCTAAACAATAACTATATTCAGGCTGCACAGAGCCTGTTAAAGGTGCCAAGGATCAGGGGCGCTATAAGTACCAGGGGTCTGAGCTACCTGCTAATACTTGGTGTAGAGTCAATAAGAAATCTAGATGATCCCTTTGGACTTGGGGCCATGACCTCCAGAGTCCCTGCCAGGACTCTGTCCATACACTCTGTTGACCAAACTTAGATCTGTCTTTGCTGCTTAGAGAAGAGGCTGAGGTGCCCTCTCCTCTTACCCTTGTGGTGGAACTCAGCTTGGGGAAGAAGAGGTTGGGGGTGTGTGCACCTGCACCTCCTGCTGCATGACTGACTGAGAGTCACCACAGCAGTTTGCTCTATGGTAAACTACAGTCATGGAGTTGTGAATTTTCTGAAGCCTTAAGCTGGGAAGCTAATGAAAGTGTTAGAACCAGACCCCAGAAAAATGAGTTTTTCTGTAGAGTTTGCTCTGCGGTTAACTAAAGTCACAGAATACTGAGTTTCCTGGAGGCTTCGAGCTTGGAATCTGATAAAAGCTTTGGAACCAGACCCCAGAAAAATGCAGATGTACATACATTTTCCAAGTAATCTGAAGTTGTATATGGACTCCTTGAACACCCCAGGTGAAGAACTCCCAATTTAATATAACTCCTTTATTCTACAAATGGGAGAACTGTGGCTCAGAAGGGCACAGTGAATTGTCCCGGTTTATATATCAGTTGTAAGTGTCTCTACAATGCCCTTTCCCTGTGACCAAAGAGAATGAAGCCTAAAGAAGAGACCAGCAATGGACTTCTCCGCTGTAGTGATAAACAGGCTGAAGCATGAGAAATTTGGATCCGACCCAAAGGTGGACTTTCCCCAACAGTTTTAGATGTTGGAATATGGTATAGAAATTCATTCAGCACATACTTAAGAGTACCTACTAAATGCCATGCCTCACTCTAGGTGCTGGAAATCCACAAAGATCTAGAATCTAGAAAACATACAAAAAATTCCTGCCCTCGTGGAGCTTTGCATTCTAGTTGGCAAAGACAGATAATATCAAATAAATAATAAAAATATGCAGTAAGTCAGGCTGGGCGTGGTGGCTCACACCTGTAATCCCAGCACTTTGGGAGGCCGAGGTGGGCAGATCACTTGAGGTCAGGAGTTCAGGACCAGCCTGGCCAATATGGTGAAACCCCCTCTATACCAAAAAATACAAAAATTAGCTGGGCATGATGGTACATGCCAGTAGTCCCAGCTACTCAGGAGGCTAAGGTGGGAGAATCACTTGAACCCAGGAGGCAGAGGTTGTACTGAGCAGAGATGATGCCGCTGCCCTCTAGCCTGGGTGACAGAGTGAGACCCTGTCTCAAACAAAAATGCAGTTAAGTCAGATGATAAGTGCTAAGGAAATAAAGCCGGGAGGAAGACAGGGAGGGTAGGAGATAGGTGTTGGTGTTGGTTGCAGTCGTAAAGAGAGAGGTGACATACGAGTACAGAGTCCTCTAAGAGGCATGGGTAAAGTCATGGTGATACCTAAGAGATATGAACTTACTGAGGGAGGGTCTGAATAGATGGGGCACAGCCTTGCTTGCAGGGCCTGAATAGGCAGGGTACAGACTTGCTTGCATGCGCATGAATATGAAAACACATATTTATTTAGGAGTGTTTATCAGTGAGCTAGATGGTTATACCTCACTCTCACGTAGCTCTTTATAAAGAGCATCACAATTGGCCGGGCACGGTGGCTCATGCCTGTAATCCCAGCACTTTGGGAGGCCGAGGCGGGCAGATCATGAGGTCAGGAGATCAAGACCGTCCTGGCTAACACGGTGAAACCCCATGAGGTCAGATCAAGACCATCCTGGCTAACACGGTGAAACCCCGTCTCTGCTAAAATACAAAAAATTAGCTGGGCGTGGTGGTGGGCACCTGTAGTCCCAGCTACTTGGGAGGCTGAGGCAGGAGAATGGCCTGAACCTGGGAGGCAGAGCTTGCAGTGAGCCAAGATCGTGCCACTGCACTCCAGCCTGGGCGACAAGGTGAGACTCCGTCTCAAAAAAAAAAAAAGATCATCACAACCAACCCTACTGAAACCTTGCCCAGGGCTACCCAGGAGGTAAGTGGCAGAGATGAAACTGGTTTCAGGGCTCCAGTCTGTAGAGAGCACGGGGCAGGTGGGATCCTGTGTGCAGCCTGGGGGATGAGCTCCAAGGCATCCTCTCGTCCACAGGTCAGGTACAGTGCGGGCAGGTGCACTGCCGGCTGCCTTACACCGCACCCCCCGTCCACCTCAAAGCCGATATGGATGGGCCGCTCTCCAACCGGGGTGAGAAGGTAAATGGAGCCAGGTTGGGTCTGGTGGGTCAGAGCCACCCTGCTGGGGATGGGTTTCTGGCAGCATCCTCTGTTAACCATTTGGTACCATGCTGCGCTGTGGCAGACCCTGTCTGCCCGGCCTGCTGAGACCCCCACCGCACCCCCACAGCAGTCACTGGAGCGGTGGTTGCTAGTGTGTTCTGTGTGCATGGCCACTCCGAAGGCCTCCTTGCAGCTCCCCACTGGCAGTTTGCCCTGCTCTGTCTTAGATTTGTGAATTTCCTTTACTCAAGCTTTAAGTTCCAGGGAGGGCTTATATCACTCATCACCCCACTTCCCATCATCTCACTGGTTTCTCCTTTTCATTCTTGTCTGTTGGGAGTGAATATCCTGAGCTGATGGGGTTCAGGGATAGCTGGCCAGCCAGTGACCTTGGTCAACTGGCAGGGCCTCCTCTGTGGAGCCAGGATTTCTGGTTGTCTCAGGCTTTAGGACTGCACTTCTAAAAGGGTGCTTAGCTGTCCCCATTCCAGGGCTTCAAGGTATTATTTCTGAAGCAATGCAACCCTTTGTTTAAACTTGTCCATAGTGCAGATGAAGGTGGATGGAGCTGCTCTGAAACCATGGAGAGAGGAGGAGACTTACCTCCCTCCCAGCTCCAAGACACCTCACAGTTAGCCTCGAAAGCCAGTGCTGTCAGACAACCCTTCATTTTAGAAATGGGAACGTTGAGGCCCAGATAGCTCAAAGTCAGAGATTGGATGAGAACCTTGCTTTTTTTTTTTTTTTTTTTTTTTAGACAGAGTTTCACTCTTATCGCCCAGGCTGGAGTGCAATGGCGCAATCTCGGCTCACTGCAACCTCCACCTCCTGGGTTCAGGTGATTCTCCTGCCTCAGCCTCCCGAAGTAGCTGGGATTACAGGCGCCTACCACCATGCCCAGCTAATTTTTTTGTATTTTTAGTAGAGATGGGGTTTCGCCACGTAGGCCAGGCTGGTCTTGAACTGCTGACCTCAGGTGATCCACCCGCCTCAGCCTCCCAAAGTGCTGGGATTACAGGCGTGAGCCACCGTGCCCGGCCGAACCTTACATTTTTTAATTCACTGACTTGTTTATTTGGAGACATTTCCTATGTCTTGTCTGTGCCCAGCATCCATGAATCTGTTGCTAGGAGTGGAAACAAGTAAAGTGTGGTCCCTACCCTTGAGGAGGCCAGAGTCTGGAGGGGGAGGCAGATCCCAACAGTTACAATACAGTGTGACAGGGGAAGCCATGGGAGCTGGGGAGGGGGAAGGGGGCAAAGGAGAGAGGCAGGGAAGACTTCCCAGAAGAGGCAACCTCTAAGGCCAGGCCTGAAAGCTGAGGCATCAGGGAAGGCATGAGACACCAGAGCTCTCAGGGAACCCTGAGCCATTCAGCATTGTTGGCAGGCATGTCTGGGAGGATGAGAGGAGGAAAGCGAGAGCCTTGAGGCTGCCAGGTGGAAGAGTCTGTATTTTATGCTGCGGCAGTGTGGGGTCCTGGAGGGCCTGCTGCAGAAACATCACTGTAGCAGTCTTCAGAGACTGCTGGGTTGGAGGACACCCAGTAGGAAGCAGGGATCCCTGGAGGTCAGTGGGTGTGGCAGTCCCTCGGAGGGAGAGGGTCAGAGCATTAGGGCTGGAGTCAGGAGCCCTCCAGTTCAGCAGATCCCGGTCTTGGTGTGCTCGGAATCACCTGGGCAGCTTGTAAATATACAGAGATTCCTAAGCCTCGCTCTCAGAGAGTCTGTTGGGGTGGGATATAGGGATCTGCGAGTGTAATACTCAGCCTGTGTGATTCTAACGGGCAGCCGGGGTGGGGACAGCTCCTTTAGGATGGTACCTCTGGCTCAGCCTCCTGATTGAGCTCAGTACACCTAGTATGTACTGAGCTCTCTGTGCCGGGCACCACAGGAGAATGTGTATGGTGTGGAGGTACAGACAGCCCTGGACAGATACATTTGTAAATAAATGGTAGTGCCTAACGTAAAATCCTGCAGAATCTGTAGTGAGTGAGCATGCCCCAGGAACACCATCGCCGCTGAGACTGTCACATCCATAGGAAGAGCTGCCGTTTGCTGAGCTCCTTCTGTTCAAGGCAGCTACTTCTCACATGGCATCTGGTTCACACCTCCCAGCCACTTTGTGGACATAGAGATGGCCTTCTCATTGTAAAGAGATAAACAGATTCCGAGAGGTGACATGACTTGTCCAGGGATGCAGCGAGTCTGTCGGACTCTGAAGTCTGCGCGGCTCAGTAATCACTTCCTTTTGTGCAGCACTTCATTGTGTACACAGCCCTCTCTCCGACCTCATCCTTCATAGTCTCCCTGGGAGGGTGATTGCGATGACCTCCATTTCACACTTGCAGAAACGGAGGCTCAGACAGAGCAGTGCTCATCCAGAATCACAATGTGAGCATGGGCAGAACTGGCCGGGATCCTAGAGCCACCTGCCTCAGAGCTGTCCCTTCCTGTGGGAGGGGATTCATCCTATTAGACCTGGCTCTGGGACTGCAGAAGTGAGCTGACATGATCCCTGCCCTCAGGGAGCTTGTGGCTTAGCACAGGGTGTGGGCAGTTACATTGCAGGGGAATGGGCAGCTGGAGTAGGCGAGAAACTTGACCTTAGAGGACCCAGAAGAGGAGGCAGTGAGCTCTAGGGGAGAGACAGGGGACAAGAAGAAGGGTGTTCCACATCAAGAGAACCGCATGTGCAAAGGCCCAGAGGCATGGAGGAGCTTGGGCCGGAGGGGACCCTGGGGGACGTTCAGTGTGGCTGAGGTCCAGGGAAGTGGGGAGAGCCGACAGGGGCCACAGAACAAAGGATCATGGAAAGAGGGTCTTGGACATTATGTGGAGGGCAGGGATGGGCCCTGGAGGTACAGAGGGCTGGGCTCAGTGCTTGGAGAGGAGCCTTTGCCTCCTGGTTGCTCAGCTAAGCTTGTGGTTCTGTCTCATTCAGCCTGGGGGATGAGCCATGCTGGGGGCTGTCAGATTTGGCTATAGACAGTTTCTGGCTTCTGGATTTGGCTGCTGAGCCAGAGTTTTCCCTTGCTGGGCTGTGTCCCCAACTTTGCACCCAGAAAGTCTGCATTAAAGTGTCTCTCCCTCCTTCATGACCTTCTGTCCTCTCACTGTCAGGCCTTTCCGCCAGCTCCTAGGGACTTTTCTTGTCCATAACTCTCAAATTCCTGGGGCTTGGTGGGCGGCAGGGTGTGGTATGTGTGTGGCCAGCACAGGATTGTCTGGGCTTTCTTCCAAGTCCTTCCAGGCCTGAGCCTGCCTAGCTGTGAGGAGACTCAGTGTCCCCATGGGGCTGGCCCCTGAACCCACTCATCTAGACCAGCACTGGCCTGGCCAGGAGAACAGTGCTCTGAGCACTCAGGGGAGCATCCCCTGCCTCCACCGCATCGTCATTTGGCCACACACACCTGTGAGGTTCCAGAGCCACATTTCTTCCTGGTTGTGTCCCCTGATCCCACAAATCCAACACTTGGAAAGTTCTTAGAAATCAGGGCTAAGCTGTCATTGATCAGTGGAGGAGACTGAGACCCATGGAGGGGAAGGGTCCTACCAGGGTCGCCACTCTTGAGAGAGCTTTTCCTAATAAGGGCTAAAAGCCAGGCATTCTGGAGGCCAAAGTGGAGCAGTGGCCAGGGTGGGGAAGGAATGCCCACCCTGGCCACTCTGGAGTTAGGCCAGCTCGGAATCCCAGCTCTGCCACCTCCCCTGTGAGATCTGGGAATGCAATTAGTTTCTCTGAGCTGCGGTTTCTACATCTGCAAACTGGGGATAATAATAGTTCCCACTCCGTAGGGTTGCTGCAGAGAATAAATGCATAATGTGTGTAAGGAGCCCAGCACAGAGCCTGGTGCACAGAAAATGCCCCCAGGTGTTGGTTATGATCATGATCACTATTATGGTGATCATCATCATTGCTTTCCTCCATCACCTCCTTGTGATAACCAGTTCTGGGCAAGTAACATTCCTGATCAGAAAAGGGAACAGCCATGTAGTCATGCCCACCAGATGCCCCTCACACTTTACTGTGAAATGACACATTGCCATTGACCAGCCAGCCAGTGATCCTTGACCTGAACTTCAGGGAACTGGCTGTGTCAGCAGCAGTGAGATGTCAACCAAGTGCTAGAGGTGGGAGTGGGAGGGGGAAAGGGACAGACAGTCCTGATCTCCCACTGTGTATCGGGCACCCAGTGTGTCTGAGCCACGCACTTCTAGGCTTCGTGCATGTGAAGATTAAGCGCATGTGAAGTGCTTAGCCCGTGGCCCTGTGGGTAATAAGCAGTCAGCCACTATGGTCACGGTGACCTTGGAAAGGTAGAGGCAATGTGCTTTGGTAGGGAGAGCTTGCTGTGAGCCAGGCCTGGCCTCCAGTGCCAGGTCCTCCTCCTCGCTGTGTGCCCACGAGCTCACTCGCTTCCACCTCTTTGAGCCTGAGTGCCCTCCTTGTAAAACAGAACGTTGGAACTCCCTCACGGGGCTATGGTGCGGCTTCCGTGAAATCAGGCACAGAAGGTGCAGGGTGAAATGCCCAGAAGGCTTTTGCTGCTGCTGTTGTATCTCATTGAATCTCTCTGATTCTCAGAGAGAGATTTTGTCATCCTTGTTTTAAAGATGAGGAAACAGGCTCAGAGAGGTGCAGTGAGTTGCCCAAGGTCCCACAGCAAGTCAGTTGACAGAGCCAGGATTTAAACTCAGATCTGGGCCCTGAGTCCACCCTTCTTCTCTGTGCCTTTGAGGTTCTCTGGGGGGCAGCAGGGTGGGGCAGGCCCCCAGCTCAGCCACCTCCCATGCCCTCCTCTTGCAGGTCATCCTTTTTCAGTACTAACGCTGCCGGCACTTCCGCATCTGCCCGTGGGCGCCCCACAGCTGCCCCTCAGCCGCTGAGATCCAGTGTCCAAGCTGCGGCCAGGAGTCCACCCACCTCCGCATCCACCCCCGTCCGCCATCCTGCCCACCACCAGGTCGGTTCCCGAGGCCTGGCCTTTCCCTCTCCTGCTGAGAACCAGAACCCACCAGGAGCACCACAGAGTCCTCCTCTTGGAAGGCAGAACTCCCTGAAATCTGGAATCAGGGTGGAAACAGCCTGTTTTTCCCATTTAAACAGGAGTCCTCTTCAACTTCAGCTGATTACAATAACAAAAGGCGGAATTGAATTGTGCGATGCCAACGGCCTTCTCATTTACAGGTTTTTTTCCCCCACATTGGCCTTTATTTACTACTTCCTTGGAACCATCTCTGAATTCTGAATAGCTGACAACCCCCAATGTTATCCACTCTGTTGCTTTTGTCTGGAAAACTCTACAGTGTTTGTGGGATGTCCCCAAAGGAAAGCTATGTTCTAATTTTATCATTTCCATCTGTCTGGTTATGTCAAGTTAATTCAGAAAGAGAAGAGACAGTGACCAACCCTGAGAGGCCTAATAGGGCAGAGATGGAGGCCTGCCCAGACTAGGAGGCAGCGGGGATAGACAGGGAATGGGGAGAAGAAAGACCCCCATTGGTTTGGAAATCAAGGAGAGGGCGGTGACATATTGGACCAGAAGAGGCACTAGCCATTTTAAGGAGAGGAAAGAGAAAACTCTGGGGTCAGGGAGAGACCCTACCCCCACCTAATTATCCAGCATATATGTAAGAAACATAGCAGCGATGGTATTCGATCTGTGCCATGACTCTTCTGAATGTTTGGACAGGTTAGAGTTGGGGACCCCTGTTGGCCACTTGTTGACCTCTCATAGTGGTGCTTGGGCCAGGTCTTCTCAATGGAAGGGGAATCCCTTATAGGGGAGAGGGAACAGAGCCCAGTGAAATGGCAGTCAGAATGTTAACCCTGGATCCATCTCTAAGTAGAGAGAGGGTGCCCATTGCCTAGGTGAGTGTGCCAAGCTCAGGATTCCAACTGGTGCCTCTGAGCTTCCCAATCAATACTTCCTGGAGCCAGCCCCACCCACCCCTGAGAACAGAGGTCAGACACAGCTGCGTAACATCCATCCTGCTACAACTCTTCCACCCCAAACAAAAGGGCTCAGGCTACACACGACCATGATTTATGTTTTCAGGGGATGCCCATTTGTCCCAAGCTTATCCTGTAATTCTAGAATTACCTGGTGTCCTGATGCATTTTCCACTAGAGGTTGCTAATCAGCATGTTTTAGCCCAAGTCCGCCTTCCTGCTGTGGTTAACCTGTTATGTTGCTTTTGGAAGGAGACTCTAAGACAGGGAAAGCAAGTTCATGGTACATACGCAGCCATTGTCTCTGTTTTTACCCATGGCAGACATTGCTAATCAATGGCAGCTCTATTTCACTGAGTCTGGATAAGGTTTCAGAGTTCAAATGCTTGACGTTGGCACTTAACATGAAAGCCTATAGGTCATTCTTGCTCTGGGATCTACAGGCAGGGTAGGCACAGGTGCAGCCTAAGAAGGGAACCTGCTTCCTCTCCCTTCCAAAGACAGTGACAGCTGACTGAGGGCAAAGAGCAGGCACCACTCAGAACGTGGTGAGTACAGCTCAGCTCAGCACTCAGTCAGTGGTAACTTGTGCCCAGCCCTGTGCTAGGCGCTGACATTAACAGGAGCAACCAGGGCCCAATTCCTGGCCTTGGAGCTCAAATCTTTCCTTTGATTTTTGCTCCTGATCATCAAGGCCCCAGTGGCAACCATGTGGTAAGTGGCCAACCAAGCCCTACCCAGGGTCACCCAACACACTCTGCCTTGAGCCTCTCCTCAGGGTCTATTCCTTGCGTGGATTATGTGGCCGTAGCATGTTACAGTTCAAACATGTCTCCACTACCCTGTTAAGAGCAGCCTGGGAACGTACAGGCCATCAAGACTATTTATTTAAATACAAAAAAAGGGGAAAACACACACACGGAAAAAAAATTGTAAGCACTTTTTTTGTAAAACCAATGTCTGTTTTGTTACATACCTTTCATGTCGTGCTTTGTAAATGTCTTATTTGTGTAATAAAGTTAATGCAAGTAGAAGTGCTGGCACTGAAATCCAGAACATGATGGGATTCCATTTCTTTCCTGCTCTCTGGTGAAGGGCTTAGGTCCCTGGCTCCCAGAATATGTGGGCTGCTGGACAGTGTAATCCTCCTTCCTGGGAAACGGGTACCATTTCCCAGTTAGTAAACAATGGATTGTGGAGGCCTGACGATGGGTTTCTTCTGTAAGTACTCAGTCACACCTGCTTCTTATCTAAGCTTTGGAGGAAATCAGGCTGCTTGATGCCCTCTGTTCCAGTCTCTGAACATACACTCTCTGCTGGGCCCTGTGCTGGCTCTGCACACTGAGAAAAGGCTCCCAGCCAGACCTTGTCCTGGAGGAGCTCTCAGTCTGGCAAATACTGTGGGAGCCAAGGGGGTGGGTGTTAAAGCTGGATCCTATCAGATGAGAAGGTCACAGAATAGGTAAGCAAGAGGGTGGGGCAGGGAGGGAGGTGCAGAGGAGCGTGTTTGGAAGATGGGGAAGAATTTAATAAGGTGAAGTTAAGGGAATATGGAACGGGCAGCAGGGCCCCAGGTTCTGCACAAGACTGGGTCTTATAGTGGTTTTGTCAGGCTCCAGAGCCACCACCTCATAACCTGAGGAGTGAGAGAGCGCATCTTTTTGGTGGTTGTCAAATTTCTTTCAGCAGCAGAGTCATTTGCTCAAGCCAAAGCTCCTGGTGTGGAGAGCACAGCTGCCCTGCAGAATGCAGAGGCTTCCCTGGCCTGCTGTGGCCCTGCACAGAAATGAGTTGCTCAGAAACCTCAGCTCATGGTGCACATGAGTCACTGACTGCAGGGCCCCTCTCTCTATTCTACTAGTTTTTAAATCTCCCATCCCTGATTCCATTTCTGCTCCTCATACATCTGCTCTTCCAATCCATTTTCAAGTGTTTAGATATATGTGTATCTTTGAAAATATATGAGTTTAGTTGTGTGTTTCTTTACATGAATGTACCTTCTGTTTTCAAAATACAGTTTGGAAACCACCGGTGGAGCACAACCCTATCTACCAAGGTGACTGGCGTCTTGGGGAGAGGTGATCCTCCCAAGTCTGCTCCCTAGCGCAGCTGAGAGTGAGCCCAGGCCTCCCTTCCCGCTGACTCCTGGCTCTGCCCCAGCATGACGCCTCTGGGTCCCTAGTTTGAGATCCAATTTCCTCTCCTGCCTTCCAAGCCTGACTCACTGTTCTGCCTCCACTGGGCAGCCCTGGTGAGCCAGGGGACAGAGCATAGGGGGTAACAGGATCTAGCAACCTCTAAGGAGGAACAGTTAGACAAAGATCCAGGATGCATATGGCCCATATGTGGCCCTGGAACATGTTGTCGCTTCCTCTTCTGATTTTTAGCTGACAAATGTGACCTCTGGGATGATTTTGAGGAATGATTATATGCACCACTAACAAGTTGTTCTTTAAAGCAAACACATATTGAATACCTACTATGCGCCAGGTCCCCTACTTGTATTATCTCATTTAACCACACGGCTACTGTATTGTTTTAAAGCATTATTATAACCATTTTTTATATGATGCCAAAGCCACATTCTTTTTTTTTTTTAGACAGAGTTTCACTCTGTCACCCAGGCTGGAGTACAGTGGTGAAATCTTGGCTCACTGCAACCTCCACCTCCCATGTTCAAGCAATTCTCATGCCTCTGCCTCCCAAGTAGCTGGGAATACAGACGCATGCCACCATGCCCGGCTAATTTTTGTATTTTTAGTAGAGATGGGGTTTCACCATGTCGGCCAGGCTGGTCTCGAACTCCTGGCCTCATGTGATCTGCCGGCCTCGGCCTCCCAAAGTGCTGGGATTATAGGCGTGAGCCATCACACCCAGCCTCCAAAGCCACATTCTTTCTATGGCACCATGCTGATTCTGTGCTTAGGATGTGAGGTTCAAATGGGGGAGCTGGCAAGAGGGAAAGACAGGCCTGAGTAATCATTCTTGGGCCTAACAAGCTTGTCCAACCCACCTTATTTTGTTGTTGTTGTTTTTGTGTTCTGTTTTGTTTTAGGCTTTCAGCAGCCTGAAGCCATGGTTTTTAGTTTCTGTCTCTAGTGATAAGCAGAAAAGAGGGATGAGGAAGGGGCTTCACTGGCCCAACCAGAAACAGAAACTAAGAACCCATGACTGCTGCAGGACTGGGCACAGTGATCAGGTCCTACTGCCCTCTGAGACCAAGCAAGTCACTCTGTCTCTCTGAACCTCAGATTCCCCATCTGCAAAAGCCTTCCCCTTGCAAGGCTGTTGTGAGGAGCAGAGATAATGCACACGCACTACCTGCGCCGGTTAGTGCTCAATTACATCTATCTATTATTATAAAGAGATGGTTCTCAAACGTTCAGATGCATGAGAAATGCTGGGAATGCAAATTACTAGGCCCCATTCCCAGAGATTCTGATTGGGAGGTCTAGGGTGGGGCCTGGGAATATCTATAGCTCACAATTTTGTCCAGGTTAAATGATGCCCACTGAGGAACAATCTTTTAAGGAAAATACACCTGGGGCCACTGACCGCAGAAAGTCTTTATTCCTGAGTTAAAATCAGGTTCTAGAACTACAGCCCGTCCCCCAGGGCAGCCAATGCTAGTAGGGCAGATGGAAACCTCTGGTGGAGGCAGCCACAGAGTTCACGGCTCGGGCCTGTGACCCACGATCTCATCCTAGCCCTTTCGACAGGTACGGGTGATCCACTCATGCTCGTCATCATCTGCAAGGAAAGAGGAAGAGCTGGTCATGCTTGGTGCTCGCTGGGACCTTTCCTGGCCTGGGGGGTTCCCCAGGTGGGGCGTTGGGACTGGGATGGTCCGTCGATGGCCAGTCTGTGTAGTTTTGTGTGGGGAGGAACAGACCTTTCATTTACACTGAATTCCTCGGAGTGGCTGGTCTTGGGGAAATTGAACACAGAAGGGTTTCTAACTGTGGGTGCTGCTGGCGGAGGCAAGCATGAGGAGTCTGGCCACCCTAAGCTGGACTCATCCTGACAGGCAGAGAGCAGCTGCTTCACAGTCGGGCACTTGCCTGGTCTGACAGCCCACGCACGACAGCCCCAGGACAGTGGGTCTAGGCCTTGCCGGTGGTGCTAGGAGACAGAGTCCTGAGATCTTCATTTCCTTTCTAGGCTCTCCATTCTTGACCCTTTCAAGAACCCATGGTTTCTCCAGGGGACTAACACCCTCTTGTTTACTCCAGGCCTTTCAGTGGGGAACGGAGAGGGGCAGGAGCTCGCCGCTGTGCCTGAAAGCCCTAAACGCAGTGTCTCCTTAGTTTAATCTTCGTGACCAACCACGCAATGGGCAAGCCTTCACCACCGTTTTACAGATGAACAAACAGAGGCTCACAGAGGCCGAGGCACTTGTCCACAGCCACAGGGTCAGTATGTGGGAGAGCTCAGACTAGAACCTAGGATTGTCCAGCTATAAAGCCTGTGCTGTTTTTTAAACCTCAAATAAAGAGACTTGAGTGAATCACATTCAGTCCACAGCACGCTGCCATCATCTCTCTGTGCAAGACCCCTCCGTGGATTTACTTTATTTTCATTTTTCCTCCTTTCTCCTCCAAACCCATACCGGGCCCCTCCTCCACCACTGCAGGGACCTACACCAATGGTGGGATAGAGACCCCTCAAAATGCATGTTGCTCTGTAAAATATGTGCTGTTGTTTTGTGTACAAATGTGTTTTTAATTTACAGAAATGGCATTGTGCTGTGGCTTTCATTATGTCTCACAGCTTTCACTCAAGATCTATTCTTGTTGCTGTGTGTACATCCAGCTCTTTGCTTCTTACTGTTGCCTAATATTCCATGCTTGGCTTCCGTCACATTTTCCTCTCCATGCCGGTGGTGGACGCGGAGGTTGCCTGCAACTCCCACTACCAGGAACAATGCTGGGACAAGCGTTCTTGGCCACACTCCTTCACAGATACGTGGAGAATGTCTCTGGGGTTACGTTCCTTCCAGGAGGAGGGTCAACGAGTCCTGCTCATCCTTCCTGCACCGTCCTTCCAGCTGCCCATGCTTTTTTCACACCACGCTGCCTTCTCCCTGCCTTCCTGCCTCTCCACCTTCCTGCCACTCCTCCCTTCCCTTGGTGCCACTCCCTGCCTTTAACCAGTTCTCCTGAGGGCCAGAGTACTGGAGGAGTTCTTGCCTCCTCTCCTTACCCTGTGTCTAGCCCAGTGCCTCCTGCCTAAGAGATGGGAGGATGGGTGTGTCCACCCTCCTTGGGTGACAAATGGCAGATGCTTGGGAACAAGGGCACTCCCTGAGAGCTGAAATACAGAGGGCTGGCGGAAAGCTTGCCTGAATCAGATCCCCTGCCAGGGATGCCTTCCTTTTGTGTGAAAGGCACCAGACCCAGGGGCAGAGAGATGGAGGCTCACAGACAGCCTATGTGTGCTTGGTGCTTTGCAGACACTGTGTCTCATTGGATCTTTGTAACAGCCCAGTCAGGTAGGGGAGAGCCTTGTCCTAAGTCCATCGCCAGTGGATTCCAACCAAGGTTCACCAGGCTCTGCAGCCTGACCTCTCACCCCAGGGCAGATGTGAGCACGCCAGGAGCTGAGGCTGCCTCCACATCACTAACCACCTGCCCACCATTTCTTTACATGAGACCTAAGGAAAACGGCTTGCTGCCTGGCACACTCTGGCAAGCAGCCAGTGAGCCTCAGTTTCCTCTGGGGAGGCTGCCTGGGAGTCCCTGCTGCGGCTGGGAAATCCAGGGGTGGGGAAAGCAGCGATGATGTGTCAGCACACAAGGAGTTAAGCGCTGGTGGAGCCCACTTTTGCCACACTGTGAGCAGCCTGGTTGATAATTACAGTTCTGAAGTCTCCAGGCTATTCGAATCAGTGCAGCTGCAACCTCTTCAGCAGTAACCCCTGAAACCAGACAAACTGGGTGTATTGTGCTGAACCAGTCCTCAGGCCCCTCCCTGATCGTTAAAAATTGACAGCAATGGACTTAACAGCCCTCTTCACTACCCCTTTCACTCTCTACCTGGCTGTACAGCCACCAATTTGAATCACAGATGCCTCCCCTCCCAGCAGCTGCTCACCAACCCCTCCCTCCGCCTCCCCTGCGCCTCTCTGCGGCTCCCCTGGCCCTGCCACGCCAGGGTGAGGTTGCCGAAGCACATTTCATCAATATTTAAAATGGAATTAAACCTGCAGCTTTGATTAATGCCTCCCAGATCCTGGGAGTTGTGATTACTATTTTGCAAATTGCGATTGTTGGAATATGTTAATATGATTGTCTGAGAATATCTTCACCTTCTCAGATAATTTCTCCCCTTTTTTGGTAGGAGGGGGAGAGGGAAAGGAGGGAGAAAAAAGATGGGGGAAAAACACCCCACAAACTCTTTAATCAATTGTAAATTATTACCCTTGGCACAACTGCCAGTGGTGCAGAGAGAAGGAAGATTTCTGGTTTGGTGCATTTATCTTAAAAATTTTTGGTCCCTGTTGGCCCGGTAATTCCACTCTGGGACACTATTCTTAAAGGGATAATCTATTTGTCTCGGAACTATTTAGAATCAGGAAAAAGGAAAATGTACATTTCTAAAAATGAGGGAATGATTATTTTGTTGTATATGCATTCATTTAACAAATAATTATGTGCCAGGCATTGTGCTAGATTCGGGGAGGTGGATACTATAAGACACTTGAGGGGATATTTAGCAGCTACTGAAAATAATTGTTAGGAAGTTTGTATAGCAACATGGGGGAAATGTTTTTGATGTGATAATAAGCAAAAGAAAAAAGGCAAGAAGAGACAAGAAATAAAAGTACACATAGTATATCCTATGTCATAACTGTGCACAGAAGAAAAATTAAAGATAAATTGAAATGTGAATAATAGCCCTGCACAGTGGGATGAGAGAGTTTCTCTTTCCGCTTTTATTTCCCAAATCTTCTTTCACTAATGGGTATTGACAATAGAAAAATAATTAAAATAATTATTGGCTTTTGCCGGGCGCGGTGGCTTACGCCTGTAATCCCAGCACTTTGGGAGGCTGAGGTGGGTGGATCACGAGGTCAAGAGATCAAGGCCATCCTGGCCAACATGGTGAAACCCTGTCTCTACAAAAATACAAAAATTAGCTGGGCGTGGTGGTGGGTGCCTATAGTCCCAGCTACATGGGAGACTGAGTCAGGAGAATCACTTGAACCCAGGAGGCAGAGGTTGCAGTGAGCCGAGATTGCGCCACTGCCCTCCAGCATGGTGACAGAGCAAGACTCTGTCTCAAAAAAAAAAAAAAAAATTATTGGCTTTTTTCCTACCCTCCAATGTAATGTCTTGGTAATTTCACGCATTTTGTTAATTGAAATAAGATATTTTGGCTGGGCGTGGTGGCTCATAACTGTACTCCCAACACTTTGGGAGGCTGAGGTGGACAGACTGCTTGAGCCTGGGAGTTTTAATCCAGCCTGGGCAACATGGCAAAACCTCCTCTCTGCAAAAAATAGAAAAATTAGCTGGGCATGGTGGCAAGCACCTGTGGTCCCAGCTACTCGGGAGGTTGATGTGAGACGATCACCTGAGCCTGGGGTGGTTGAGGCTGCGGTGAGCTGTGATTGCCTGGGTGACAGAGTTGAGAACCTGTCTCTAAATAAATAAATAAATAAATATAAAACAAAATTTCTAGGTTCCTAGAAATACCAACAGGGTTCTTGAACTCCTGAAAAGCAAAAAGACCTTGCATAAAGATACTGGTAAAAATGCATAAAAATCAGAATAGACAAATCCGTGCAGGAGAATTCCAAGTAATTTATGTACTCTGCCCTCAAAGCGTTGCAGCAAAAATCCCCACTTCTGAAGCGTGGCTGTGCATAGTGACTTTCAAAGAGTACAGTATGGAAAGGGAGCAGGGGAAAGTAACTTTATAATGGAGAAACCTCACAAACACTACCTCAGCCAGGTGATCAATGTTAACAGCAACATTGGTAAGTCGTGGTGACAGTCTGGACCCTTGATAGGATGGGATGAAAATGACACTTTACTTCTGTGATCTTCCTCCCAAACCCACAACTCCAATCTAATCATGAGAAAAAACATCAGACAGATTCCAGTTGAGGGGCATCCTACAAAATATCTGACCGATACTCCCCAAAACTGTCACCAAAACCAAGGAAAGCCTAAGAAACAGCTATCCCCCAGTGGAGCCTAAGGAGACAGGATGGGATCCTGCAACAGAAAATGGACATTAGGAAAAGGCATCTGTAAAAAGTATGGGCTTTAGTGAATCATAACATCAATATTAGTTCACTAACTGTGACAGATGTACCATCCAATGTAAGACAGTCATAACAGGGAAATTGAGCGTGGGGTACATTGACAACTCTGTACTATCTTTGCGAGAATTCTCTTAATTTAACTGCTTTCAAATAAACAGTTTAAGAAATACATGAAAACCCAGTGTGCTCCCTAAAAGGTGAGATCCTCATGTTCTCTAAGAGGAGTGGACATCCCTTCACAGACCCAGACATCCAGATTGATGTCATTCACTCCCTTTTCTTTCATGGTCCCCTCAGATCACAATTTTTGAATCTATACTTATTTGCCTTTTTTTTTTTTTTGAGATGGAGTTTTTGCTCTGTCACCCAGGCTGGAGGGCAATGGCGCGATCTCAGCTCACTGCAGCCTCCAACTCCCAGGTTCAAGCAATTCCCCTGCTTCAGCCTCCCGAGTAGCTGGGATCACAGGCCCGTGCCACCACACCTGGCTAATTTTTGTATTTTTGGTAGAGATGGGGTTTCACCATGTTGGCCAGGCTGGTTTCAAACTCCTGACCTCAGGTGATCCGCCCACCTCGGCCTCTTAAAGTGTTGGGATTACAGGTGTGGTCCACCGTGCCCGGCTTGCATATTTTTTTATATAATGTTTTTCTCTCCCATTAGACTGTAAGCTCTCAATGCAGGGACCATGTTTGATTTGTTGACCACTAGACCCAGCATACAGTAGGTGCTTAATAAATACTCTCCCAGATGAAGTCTGGAATAAGCCTTTTTCATTCTGACTTGTGTCAATTGCCATCAACAAATATTCCCTATGCACCCCCTTCTCGGCATCCAGGTCTCAACTCAAATGTCACCTTCTCAATGACCCTAATCTAACCGCCTCCACTCACAGTCACCCCATCTTGTCTTCATTTTATTTTCTCCATAGCATAAGCCACTCCCTGCATATGTATTTGTTTACGTGCATGTTGTCTGTCTCCCTATCCAGACTGTAAGCTCCAGTGAGACCAGGAGCCCTGCCTGCTTGTTCACTATGATATCCCAGTGCTTAGGGGAGTGTCTGGCACATAGTAGGTTCTCAGTTGATAGCTTTTGAATTAATGAATGAATTGGCAAGCCCAATCCTGTGGCCAGCCATGTGGCCAGTGTTAGGGACAGGTGGGACTGAGACCAGCAGTGAGCGCTGCCAGGACCCAGGTGCACTTCAGGTTTAGGTCTATCTTTGGGGCCGAAAGATGTCTTTATTCCGGTTCTGAAGCTTTGGAAGTGACCTCGCTGCCACCTGCATGCCCTGCCCTCATAGGTCATTGGGATAACTGGGCTTTTTATAGAGAAGAAAAGAAACATATTGCAAGAGACACCCCAAATCTGACCATGGGCTACCCCAGTGAAAAACTTCCCTGAGAAGGCTCTCCACTCCTCAGCCTGGCCTTCAAGGTCGCCAGGTTCCCCTGCTTCCCAGGCCTGCTTCCCTCCCCGCTTCCCTCCCAGCTCCCCTCGCACTGTAAAATGCAGCCACCGGAGGAACTGCAGTAGTCCACGTGCATGCTCGCCAGTGCCTCTGTGCCTTTGCACTTGCTATTCCCAAGGGACCACCCTTCCTCCTTCAGGACCTGGTTTGGGTTCAGGGCCTCTCAGAACACAACAGAGACCCAAGGTACTTTCCATTTTGTAGTATTAGTGTATATAAAATTGAAAACAGGCCTAAGCAAGGTGCTAACAATTACAGTATAGTTTAAACATTTACATTTGACAAATTACTTTTTTTTCTTTTTTGAGACGGAGTCTCGCTCTGTCGCCAGGCTGGAGTGCAGTGGCGCAATCTTGGTTCACTGCAACCCCCGCCTCCCGGGTTCAAGCGATTCTCCTGCCTCAGTCTCCTGAGTAGCTGGGACTACAGGCATGCGCCACCACGCCCAGCTAATTTTTGTATTTTTAGTAGAGATGGGATTTCACCATGTTGGCCAGGATGTTCTCGATCTCTTGACCTCACGATCCACCCGCCTTGGCTTCCCACAGTGCTGGGATTATAGGTGTGAGCCACGGCGCCCGGCGGACAAATTGCTGCTTTTAACACAAACAACCAAATGTAATATGAGTGTATTATTCTAGGATTTCTTCCAAAAATGTATAAGTTCATAGTGTGCTGAGGCACTATGGTCAGGAAAGGGGGTGTGAATTTTGAGTTGTCTGATGAACAGGGTCACAATCCATACTTAAAGGCCCCATGAATGTGTGGGCTGGGCTTCATACTCTCTTGGCTGTCCCCTACCCCCACAGACCCTGCCCGGATGTTAGCCTTCCCTGAGCCGAAGTCACAGTGTTCGTTGTAGTCACCCCCTCCAGCCTGTACCATTTACTTTTGATGGTCAGGGCCCAGCACAGATCTAGCACTTAAAGTATTTCATAAGTACGTGGTGAATAATGAATAAAGAAATGTAAATTTGGGGACATAAAAGCAACAGGTTTACCCTGTGGGGTTTTGACAAAGGGGGAGGAATTTCTTCCCCACCCTGGGCAAACAGAGCTTGTGAGAGGGCAAGGCAGGCACGCCAAGGGCAAGTCCAAGACCGCCAGCTGCTGGTTCCTTTTGTGATTTGGGGCAATAGATTGGGCAGCCCTACCACATGGAGAGGCTGGGTTGTGTGGGGTCATACCTGGGCACTAACCCCACTCAGGAAGCTCAAAGCCTGGCTGGCCTGGGACTTGCCTCTCAGTGAAGGCAGGGAGGAGCTGACCTGTACAGGGCACAGCTGTGCCGGGTCTGCTGAGCTGTGCCCAGGTCACCAGGTGACATTAGTGCAGCCTGCAGGTCAGTGCACAGCTGGGGGAAAAAGAGATCCTGAAAGTCTCAGAACAGCTGCAAGGAAATATCAGCTCTTCAGAGGATTCGCAGGGAGGGGGCAGTGTGGCATGATGGTTAAGAGCTTGGGCACTGGAATTCTGTCACTAGCCCACAGACCTTGAGCGAGTGGCCTCACACCTCCCTAGGTCTCATTTCCTCATCTACAAAGATGCCTGTCTTGAAGGCTTGCATGAGGACCAAGTGAGATCATTCCTAAAAAAGGTTAGCACAGCACTTGGGGCACAGGAAATGCCAAAAACCAAAAGAAACGCCAGAAGTTAACTTGTGAGGGTAGGACTTCAGGGCTCATGTGGCAACACAGCAAAGACTAGAAGGAGTTCTGGAGCCGAACAAGCCTGGATCCGATGCTGAGCCACCGACTCGCTGGGTGATTTTGGACACGTCACTCCCATCTCTGAGCCACCCTCCTCGTCTTTGTAGCAGGTTTCACCAGACTTTCTGCAGAGGGCAGAGTGAGGACTGACCAGGATGAACGGCCCTTGGTGGGCACCCAGGAATGGAAGCTACAATCACCATTGTGATAGGTCTTTCATTCCCAAAATGGATGCCTGTAAGGGAGCGTCCTTAAGGGACTCGCTCAGGACACTCCCAGGACTTCTGGTTCCCTGCCAGGATGGAGGGGGAGCCTGCGGGAGGAGGAGGTCTTCACACGAGGATCAGTGCCCTAGGATCAAGGGCCACAGCTCAGCTAATAATTTTTGTTCAAAGCCAGCAGGGCAAGCCAGGGCAGGCGAGCCCAGGGAAGGCAAGCAGGCGGATTGGGGTCACTGCACACCCACAGGCTGGGCTCTGCCTGCTCTTCGCACGCCTTTGGGCTGCGCACACCTGCGGTCACCGCTGCTATGCAGCTTCCATCCTGTGTGAGTGAGGGGGCTGGTATGGGGAGTAGGGAAGGGAAGAGACCAAGATGAAACAAAGCGTCTGCCTTGGGAGAGTGGCAGAGCTCACAATGGCCGGGCACTTAGGAGGTGCCCAGCTCCGCGTGTATGTGGGGGCTACACTCGTCCTCTCCTCAGTGAGTGAGATGGGGCTGTCTCCACTTAAGATGAGGAAACTGATGGGAGAAATGATTTGCCCCAATTCCTTCCATCAGGGCAGAGGGAAGGGCTCAGTGTGTCTGGCACCAGAGTTACGCTCAGTGAAGCTGCGAGTGTGTGCACAGACACAGGTGTGTGTGTATTCCCATCCAACTGCTCTCACACCAGCATAAGCGTGAAGAGATGTGTGCGTGAGTGTGGGAGTGGCTGCAGCTGAGGGGAGGCGTGCACATGGTGTGTGGCTCATGTGACTGGCTGAGTGTGGCAGGATGTGAGTCCCTAAAGTCTCAGTGTGTGTCATCACGTGCAGAGAGCAGAGGCACTTCCAACCCACAGAGACAGCCCAGGGCTTATGCCGAATGCCAGGGTGGCAGTGAGCACAGGGCTGGACCAGGACCTGGAGGAAGGAAGCTTCTGTCATAGGGGCTGTCGTCTTTTGGGGGGGTCTAGGCCCATCCTCAGAGGACTCCAGGCTGGGATGGGGGGTGCACTGCAAAGCAGGCTCCCCAGCTTGTGGGCACCTATGGGTCCCATTCACCGCCCTGCCACACCCTCTGTGCAAATGCAGCCTACGTGAGCTGGTGGGGCAGGGCCATGGCAGTGCCACAGTGAGGGCAGCAATGCCCAGGCATCCCCATCACCACTCCTGACAAGAAAGAGGCTTTGAACTTTGCTGGCAGTGGTGGCCAGAGGCCAAGGCCACAGCATTGTCAATATTGACTGAGGAGTCATTGCCTAGGCAAAGCCTGCCACAGGGCGGGGAGGTGGAAGGCCTTGGGCCTGCTCCGGCTTTTCCCCATAGAAGAGCATCTTCTGGGCTGGGTGGAGGGCTGGGCCAAGCACCCACAAGCTTCTCAAGGCCTATTCAAATGTAAAAGGCTTAGAAAAAGATGATTGGCTCTAAACAGAAAAAAAGAGAAACTACAAAACTGAAATTAATAAATGTTATAATTAATGCATTCAGACTTAATTATTAAATTTAGAAATCAAAACAATTTTATTACACTTGAAATCCAATTGTAGGCTCAATTTCCTCATTTTTCGAGAATTCTCCAGTATGCATGACTCTCAGGAAATCATGGCCAATTGTTAAAGACTCGTAGTAAAGCAGTTTACCAAGCAACAGCAAAATTTTTATATTTAATGTGGGATTTATATTTCATGTGGATACACTTTGTTTTAATATGTGGAAATAATTGAGGTGGGGTCTCCAAAGTTAGGCCTAAGGCTGGATTTAGGACTATCCCTGGGATGGGGCTAAGTCAGGGCAAGGAATATAGCTGCCTCATATTAGGAAGCACTTCCGTGTGCAAGGGGCCATGCCTGGCACTTTGCATGCCTGCCATCATGCAATCCTCATTAACATCTCTGTGTATGGACAGCTGGTGTTGTCTCAGGTGGGAGCCGTAGGTGCTTCAGTTGATGGGTGAGGGGAAAAGTTCCCATAGTCATAATGACCCTTGGAAATCTCTTAGGAAGGTCCCATGCTGGAGATGGACATCTCACTAAGTGCCACACAGCCAGACTTCTTATTTTTAAAAACTTTTTATAGGCCGGGTGCGGTGGCTCACGCCTGTAATCCTAGCACTTTGGGAGGCCGAGGCAGGCAGATCACGAGGTCAGGAGATCGAGACCATCCTGTCTAACATGGTGAAACCCCGTCTCTACTAAAAATACAAAAAACTAGCCAGGCGTGGTGGCGGGCACCTGTGGTCCCAGCTACTCAGGAGGCTGAGGCAGGAGAATGGCGTGAACCCAGGAGGTGGAGCTTGCAGTGAGCCGAGATCATGCCACTGCACTCCAGCCTGGGCGACAGAGCAAGACTCTGTCTCAAAATAAAAAAAGAAAAAAAATTTTTATAGACAGGGGGTCTCATTCTGTCACCCAAGCTGTAGTGCACAGTGTGATCATGGCTCACTTCAGCCTCTGAACTCCTGGGTTCAAGAGATCCTCCTACCTCAGCTTCCCAGTAGCTGAACTCCAGGTGTGCCACCACCCCTGGCTAATTTAAAAAAATCTTTTTTTTGTAGATATGGGGTCTTGGATTGTTGTCCAGGCTGGTCTTAAACTCCTGGCTTCAAGCAATCCTCCCACTTTAGCCTCCCAAGGTGCTGGGATTACAGGCACACCAAGCCTGGCCCACATAGCCAGTCTTCTGACAATTGTTAGAGAGTTTGTCTTGCTGTTGAGGTCCAGATGCATATGAGTAGTGTTTATGGGTGACACTGATCAAAACATACATATCTTTTTTTTTTTTTCCTCCAGATGGAGTCTCGCTCTGTCACCCAGGCTGGAGTGCAGTGGCGTGATCTTGGCTCACTGCAACCTCCATTTCCCAGGTTCAAGTGATTCTCCTGTCTCAGCCTCCCAAGTAGCTGGGATTACAGGCACCCGCCACCACACCGGGCTAATTTTTGTATTTTTAGTAGAGACGGGGTTTCACCATGTTGGCCAAGCTTGTCTTGAACTCCTGACCTCAAGTGACCCACCCACCTCAGCCTCCCAAAGAGCTAGGATTACAGATTTGAGCCACCGTGTCCAGGTACATATCTTTAAATGCTAGAATCATCCTCTGTAGCAAGGTGCTCCCCGGACAGGAGGCACACAGGGATGGAGAGGACTGATGCAGTGTCCTCACATTCACTGCAGAACGCATGTGTGCTGAATGGAGAGGGGATGCAAAATCACCAACACTGTTGATGTTGCTGTTCCTCCTGCTTCCTGGTGCCCCCTTTTCTTTTTGAGCACTTATAATTGAATCCATGTTCACTAAACATGTTCATGATGCCTAGCTGCTGTCCTAAGGCAGTTCAGAGGAACCAAGTGCCATGGCCAAGGTCACTCTGTTGGCCTGACCCCACAGCCTCTGCGTTGACCCTCTGCTTCTTTTGGCCCCTAATCCCTGGCTGCAAGTGGACGATGGACCGAAGGGGCCCCGGCAGGCGGGAGCCTGTTGTCCAGTTGGCAAATGTTGAAGGCTGAATTAAGACTAGAGCAGTGGCAACAGTCAGCAGGGGTGTTAGGCAGGAATCTGCAGAAGTCTGTGACAGACCAGAACTCATTGAATACTCACAGCAGTCGTGGAAAGACAATGTCATTACCTCTTTTACAGGGGAGGCTACTGAGGCTCAGAGGTGAAGGTGTCTTCCCGAGCTTACCCAGCTCATGTGAGTGGGTGCAGAGTGATAGCCAAGTCTGTCTTCAGAGCTGCAGCCTTGACCGCTACCCACTTCCCTGAGGAACTTTTCTGCAACTCCCGTCTTTACTCCTCACCGTCTGAAGGACTGAAGCTAAACTCCCTAACCTGCTATTCAAGGCTCTCTCCAGCCCACACTGGGTCCCTCTGCCTTGAATGCCTCACTGAGACCTACTCCTCCATAATCATCAAAGTCCAGTCTGAGGCCTCCTTGACACCTTCCCCATTCCCCAACACACAAGCCTTTTCAGCTGCTCCATCTGGAGCACCCTGTACCCCTGCATCTCTCTGGACCTTTGCCCATATTGCTCCTTCCCTTCCATGCAGCAGAATCCACCTCTCATCCTTTTAGGCCTAGCCAAACTCCACCTTTTCCAGGACATCATCTGGATAGCTTGGGACACACTGATGCTCTTCTCTGTGTGTGTAGCACACTGTGAATGTAGCTCCTGGCACCACTGAAATAGGGATACTCCCAGTTTTCTGGAAAGAATCTCATATTTGATATTTAAAATTAAACATCGTAGGGAATACAGAATTGTGTTGGACTGCTTCCTGTGCTTTTTTTTGGTTTATGTTATTTTGATTCCTAAGCTATATTTCGAGGGGTGGGAGTTTCTTCACAGTCTCTTGAACATTTAGGCTCCCTAAAGGGCCCAGGCCTCTATCCAGAGAACACCCACCCCAGTCCTGTGACTGTCTATTTATGTATATGTTCCCTCTAGCCCTGCACTGGTTTTGGTGGGGGCCAGGCCCTGGGTCTGATCCCCAAGTGAAACCCTGGTGGATGCAGGGACTCAACAAAGGCCTGTGTCTAGGGGGAGCTTAGGGGGCCTAAGGCTCTAGGTGCATAAGAAACGATGAGGATGATGGGGACACGTCCGTAACAGAATGCCAGGGGCTGGGTAGAGAGATCAGAAAACCACAGACCTCTAGTCCAGTCTTGAAATTAGAATTAAAAGCAGATGGGAGGAGGCCAGACTTCAGTTTGCCATGGTAACACTGGCTCCTCCCTTTGGGATGTGGAGTTAAGGAGGCCCCTGCTTTTCACCTTTTCACCCTGGGTGTAAAAGGATCACGACTGTGATTGTCAACATGCACCGAAAGGTGCTTCTTTAGGGCCAGCCGCTGTTCTTGCTGGAGTGTGTCATCTCACCTCATGCATGTCATCTCACTTCAGGCCCCAGCCCTGGAAGGGGGGTCTATTTCTGTCCCCATTTTTTCAGGTGAAGAAACTGAAGCTCAGAGAAGTTAAGGGCCTAGCTCAAGGTCACACAGCTGGTGAGTGGCAGAGTTGGGATCTGCTTGCAGATCTGGCTGGCTCTAAATACCTGCCTGTGACCCTGTCCGCCTCTCCTGGACCTGAGGGGTTTCAGTCAACAGTGCTGAGTTCCAGAGCTTGGGCTGAGAAAGAGAGTAGGCTCCGGCCTCATAGGGTCTGGCTTTCCACTCACTTCTATTAAAGGAGACAAAACAAACCATTACAGTGCTGGTCCAGGTTGACTCCAGCTACTGAAGGGGAAGCTGTGTCCTTCGAATGCCTCCAGGAGGCTGCCGTGGGGGAGTCGGGGGGCGGCAGGGGAGGAATTGTTACCAGAATCTGATGGGCACCATGGCTGGAAGGGGAATTTCCAGGGCCTTTGGAACTGGGGTGGGGAGAGAGGATGGCAATGGGCAATTCCTGCAGTCCAGGGAGAGGC
Source organism: Homo sapiens (assembly GCF_000001405.40). Lineage (NCBI taxonomy): Eukaryota > Metazoa > Chordata > Mammalia > Primates > Hominidae > Homo > Homo sapiens. The sequence continues at coordinate 122,186,560 of NC_000009.12, read as the reverse complement.
GGCAAGCTGGGTAGGCTGTTATTCCTAGAGCAAAGGTCCTGACAGGGCTGTATGGATGGCTTCCAAGTGGCCAATCCCGCCCTCTGTAGGCAAAATTCTGTTTGTGAATTCAAGTGTATTTCTCTGGGGAGAGGTCCGTAGCTGGGCCTAGATTCTCAGACAGGTTCATGGTTCAGAAAAGGCCACAGCATATTTCATCAGTTCAGAGCATGGCCTCTGGTGTCAGAGGGACCTGGGTTCATACCCTGGTTCCTCCCTTTACTAGCTGCTTGATTGTCAGTAAATAACTTACTCCCAGAGCCTCAGTTTCTGCATCTGCCAAATACGAATAATGGTCTATTCCTCAAAGAACTGGGATGTGGTAAGTCCCTGGCACCATGGAGGCGTTCAATACTCATAACTTTCTTTCCTACCCCTTTTGCTTACAGCAAATGCGCGTCTGCTGGCAGGGATGTGTGATTGGTGCGGGCATTTGATTTGGCAGTTACAGCGTATTATCCCTCCACAAAGCCTTCATTACGGTGCTGCTAACAACACCGCAGATAAAGCATGGATGTCCCCGCGTGCCAGCCTCCAGGTGATTATAACATTTCGGTAAATTGCCTTTTGTCTCGCTGGAGGGATGACAGCGGGAGGAGGCTGTGGGGGAGTCTCACTCGGCCATTTTGCAGAAACTGCAAGGAAAGCACTGTGGCAAGGTAGCCTGGGTTTGCAGAAGGAGTTCCGGCCAGCAGTGGGAAACCAGGGTACCAGCCCTGGCTCTACCACAGACAGTCTGTGTGGGGTTGGACATGTGATTTGCCCTCTCTGGGTCTCAGATTTCTCATCTGTCAGGGGAAGGCAGTGGCTTCAAGATTAGGGGAGTCTTGGTTTGTCAGTGGCACTGAAACACTTGTTCATTGGCCAGGCGCAGTGGCTCATGCCTGTAATCCCAGCACTTTGGGAGGCCGAGGCGGGCGGATCACGAGGTCAGGAGATCGAGACCATCCTGGCTAACACGGTGAAACCCCATCTCTACTAAAAATACAAAAAATTGGCCAGTTGCAGTGGCTCACGCCTGTAATCCCAGCACTTTGGGAGGCCAAGGAGGGCAGATCACGAGGTCAGGAGATCGAGACCATCCTGGCTACATGGTGAAACCCCGACTCTACTAAAAATACAAAAAAAAAAATTAGCCAGGCATGGTGGTGGGCGCCTGTAGTCCCAGCTACTCGGGAGGCTGAGGCAGGAGAATGGCGTGAACCCGGGAGGCGGAGCTTGCAGTGAGCCGAGATCGCACCACTGCACTCCAGCCTGGGTGACAGAGCAAGACTCTGTCTCAAAAAAAAATACAAAAAATTATCTGAACATGGTGGTGGGCGCCTGTAGTCCCAGCTACTTGGGAGGCTGAGGCAGGAGAATGGCGTGAACCCAGGAGGCAGAGCTTGCAGTGAGCCGAGATTGTGCCACTGCACCCCAGCCTGAGTGAAAGAGCGAGACTCCGTCTCAAAGAAAAAAAAAAGAAAGACTTGTTCATTGGCCAAAGTTTGAGCAAGAAAGTGGGCAGAGAACTGTCTTGGGAATAGTCATCTGCAACCTTACACTCTTTGGATGTATACTTTTTATATCTCTATAAAATATAGGGCTGCTAGGCAGGCCCTCGGTTCTTTCTTTCTTGCACTAGTAAACTCCAACTTCTCATTCAAAGTCAGCTCTAACATTGTCTTTAGCTTTGAAGTCAGCTGGACCTGGCTTCCAATTCCAGCTCTGCCACTTGCTATCAGTTTGACTTTGGGCAGGCATTTCACATTGCCTCAGTTTCATCATCTGTAAAGTGGGAATAACAAGGATAATGACTTTGCAGGGTTACTGTGGAGATTAAATAAAATGAAATAAAATAAAATATATGTAAAGGGCTTAGACCAGTGCCTGGAACACAGTAAGCAGTTGGCAAATGCTGGCTATTATTATTATCCTGCTTTATCACCTGAAATAAAATATGGATACCTTTGTATATCAGTAGATCTAGTTCTTCGCTGCCATTTTTAATGATTGCATTGTATTCTGTAGTAAGAATAAACTATATGTTATTTAATCAGTCCTCTCCTATTGGACACTGAGGATGTTTCCAGTTTTCAACTGTCTAAAAAACACCAGAGAAAATTTAGAAGACAAAAGTGATCTTTCTTCTCTAGGTGTTCACTGTGCGGCTTAAATTTCGCCCTTTTCTAAAGCTGGGTGGGGAGCAGATAAACATCATGTCTGGGAGCTTTTCACCCATGCCTTTTTCAACAGATGATCTTGGAGCTGGCCAGAAATGGAAAGCGGGAAACCTGGGGAGGCAGGCGAGCCTGAGTGTGAATTCGGGCTCCTGCCAAATTTCCTGGGGAAATTCCTTAACCCCACTGAGCCTGTTTCCTCATTGTCAAACAGGGACCACATGAGTACTCCCTACCCCTTGGTTGAGGGTCTGGTGCATGGCAAAAGCTCAGTCATGGTTAGCTCTCACCACCACCATCATCGCCATCTTCCTCATGATTCTGGTGGTGGCAGCCGAGTCACATAAGCCAGGTTACTTTTCAGACCCCAATTCACACCCCTTATTCCCATTGTCCATTTAATGGAGTGTGCATTCAAATGAGGCTTGTGGTTTTGATTTTAAATTCTGTCTGGAACCCACAGGTTCAAATGCAAAAGGGCCCTCTCTGCAAATAATCACTGGTGTGTGATATTTTTAAGAAGCCAAAGCCATTGTTTCTGACTGAAGGAAAGTTGGTGCTATTTTGAAGAGCAGCACGATTAAGCGGTGGCGTTATCTCTTTAACCATTGGGAATTATATGCTGTTTGAAAGATTTGTGAGCTCTAGGACATTTGCCAGATGTGCTTGATTCGACATTTCAGACAACAAAGGGGATAATGTTGGCGGGAATCTTGACGGCATTTCTGATGATCAGGATATTCTTTGAGGATGGTACTGAGACCTTTCGGGGAAGAATTTCAGCTTTTACATAAACTAATTTGGGATGCTCACTCTCTGTCTTCCACAAAGCAAATTTAGTTCATTGTTAGTTGTATATGTTAAAATGGTTACGAGGGTTTTTTCTTTGAATATTAATAATGTGTCTTTCATCTGAGACACTCGCATGGGGTATCATTAATTGGGAGGAGGGAGTAAAGATTAGTGGTACAGTTATTTTGCAGATGATTACTACTAGTAACACTGAGGCAAGCAACAGCCCCATGAAAGAGATACTCATACAAACTGCCAGCGAGGCTCTAGCTTATCCTTCCTAAGAGGAATGACAGGGACGTGTAGGAGGGGGAAGGGCTAGAGTTAGTCTACCAGTTTCCCATCATGGTAAAGGCCATTTGCCCAAATAGCTCCAAATGCTTCTTTATTAGCTCACAGTGTATAAAGGACCCTTTTTCAAATGAAGTAGCATCTGATTGTGAGGACTGTGGTGTTTTTGTCTTAAAGCTCTAAGATGGACCTTTTCATTCACTTGGGAACCTTACTGAGCTCCCACTGGGTGCCAGGAACTGTGCTTGGTGGGGGAACAACTATAAATCAGACATGCCCCTATCTAGAGAGGAGATAGAGGAATACAGAATAAACCAGAACCATGACGCTGGCAAGAAGAATGAAAAGGACAGGCTTTGGGAAGATTGGGACTTGAATCTGACTGTATCACTAGTTGTGTGACACGAGCAAGTTTTTAACCTGAGACCAAGTGTCTTCATTGCAAACTGCAAACTGTGTCTCATGCAAATTACCCACTTGGGGTGGCAGGGAAGACCATGCGAGGTAAGCTGTTTTTTTGTTGGTTTTTGAGACTGAGTCTTGCTCTGTCATCCAGGCTGGAGTGCAGTGGCACGATCTCAGCTCACTGCAGCCTCTGCCTCCCAGGTTCAAGCAATTCTCCTGCCTCAGCCTCCCGAGTAGCTGGGACTACAGGTGTGCGCCACCATGCCCAGCTAATTTTTGTATTTTCAGTAGAGACAGGGTTTCACCATGTTGACCAGGCTGGTCTTGAACTCCTGACCTCAGGTGATCTGCCAGCCTCAGCCTCCCGAAGTGCTGGGATTACAGGCGTGAGCCACTGCACATGGCCAAGGTAAGCTGTTAAAGTGCTTGGCACAGAGCCTAGCAAGGATCCTCCACAATAAGCTTTCCTTTCCCAGCTGAGCTGTGGATGCACAGGCAAAGCCACATGCCCTTGTTTGAGGGTTGCAGGCAAAGACTTCATGGCCTTCTGTTATGTGCTAAGCATTGACAGATGAGGAGGACTGAGATGGGCGGAGAAAAGAGGGAAAGGCATTCTGTGCTGGGGCAATACATGAGGTGAGAATAGGCAGTAGGAAGTGCTGGTTGTGTTTATCAATGAATGCCAGCTAGTCCTGTTTGACTAGAACATGGGGCAGAAGAGACAGCAGGATGGAAGGTAGACCTTCAAAGTTAGGCTGGGGCTCTGAATGCCATAATCAAGCATTTGCAGATCCCAAAGTTTCAGCAGCACCTCATTTTCCAAGCAAAACCATTGAGGAGGCAGAAAGACAGCATATCCAGGCACATCTGTCTCCCTAGAGACTCCTCTCAGGCACCTAGAGAAAGCTTAACAAATCCCAGGCTCTAACTCACTTCTTTCTCTCCAGCCTGAGTCAATAATCATCATAATGATAACAGCCACAAGTACCAGTCACAGGACACCTGTCTTGGGCCAGGTGCTGTCCTATGTATTTTGAATACTTAATCTTTTTTTCTAACCATAATTTCTCCAATAGGTACTACCACAATGCCCCTTTTACAGATGAGGAGACTGAGGCTCCAAGGGGAAAAGTAACCTATTCATGATCACAGAGCTGGTCAGTGGTAGATCTAGGACTAGAGGCCAGCCTGAGGCATGGATTCCAGGCCCCAGGCTTTTAACCACCACACCACGCCATCTCTCTCACCTCTCTCAGCTCCCCAGCCTCTGTGGGGCAAGAGATCCTAACTCAGTCTCTCTTTTGTTTTGTGTTTGCAGTATTGATTAGAATATGTAATAACTGTCTACAGTTGCTATCATTTAAGGCTTTATGGTCCCAATGTAAGCAGCAGTAGAGGGTAGCGGAGAGACCACTGGGCTGTGGTAAGATGGGAGTGGGTTTGAGTTCCAGCTTCACTATCACATGTCTGTCATTCATCGCTCCAAGACCTAGTTTCCCAATCTCAGGATGAGCCCATTCCCAGCTCACTGGATGCATGAGAAGTCTGAGATGGAAGGACCCGGAGCTCAAAGGCTTTAAGGCGGGTACCAGAAATGACTGATGCTGCTAGGGTCACACAGAAGGGAGTGGGAGGGATCTGGGCAGTGCATGGCCCCACCTAGGTGCTCGAACCCAAGCAGCTTCAAGAATTGGACCAACCAAACAAAAACTGCAACCAGATTTGTCCTGAGAGCCACTGGGTTAAGACCTCTGACAGATGTTAAACTGCTTTGAAAACTTGGATGTGCATAAAAATATAATGGATTGTTTTTATTATTCAAAATCATAAGTTGTCTATCATGTGCCAGGTATTGAATTTGGTGTGATTAGTTGAACAATACGAGGGACCTAGGAGCAGGTGCTCTGCCTGCCTGCATGCTTTGTCTTTTACAAACATTTAATCAGCTCCAACTCATGGGACTCATGTGAGATGCTGGGAACACAGTGATGAATCAGACGTAGTCACGTGGTCCCTGCCCTCAAGCTGCTCCCAGACTTGTGGGGGAGATAGGCTAATAAAGATACTTCTACTGTCCATGGCTAAGTGCTAAGAGGTAGGCTTGGAAAGCACAGAGGAGGGACGCCCAACCCAGGCAAAGCAGTGGAGTGGAGGACAGAAGAGATGGTCAGGGAAGGCTGCCTAGAACAATGGTCCACCAACAGCTGGTCCCACCTTTGAAAAGGTTGTGAAATCAATTTAGTGCCTAGCAACCAGCATCTTAAAAAATAAATAGGATAGAAAATATCGGGCCGAGCGCAGTGGCTCATGCCTATAATCCCAGCACTTTGGGAAGCCGAGGCAGGCGGATCACCTGAGGTCAGGAGTTCGAGACCAGCCCAGCTAACATGGTGAAACCCCATCTCTACTAAAAATACAGAAATTAGCTCGGTGTGGTGGTGTGTGCCTGTAGTCCCAGCTACTCGGGAGGCTGACACAGGAGAATCACTTGAACCTGGGAGGCAGAGGTTGCAGTGAGCCAAGATCATACCACTGCACTCCAGCCTAGGTGACAGAGTGAGACTCCGTCTCAAAAAAAAAAAAAAAAAAAAAGAAGAAAATGTCATAGATTGTTGCATGTACAAAGATACATACATCACACGTGTGCACCTGTGTGTATCCTGGGTCATGATGTAAAACATTCCTTACTGCGGGTCGAAGGTTTGAGAGCTATAGTTAGAGAGAATATGTTGCCTGCCCTGAACCCCAAAGCCTGGCACACAGTAGATGTTCAAAGAATTTTGATACATAGAAGGATGGATTTAAATTCTCACAGCAAAGGTGACTCTTCTGCTGGTGGCCCAGCCCGTGACCTGCTGTACAATAAGCATTCCCAGCTCTGACCCACCCAGGTGGTATATGCTTCATAATAGCAGTGGCTGAGGCCCCTGTGTTTACTCTGGGATGGCCTCAGTCACCCATCTGAGGCCCAGAGGCCCAGCAGCCTGCGCCTTCAGGATGCCAACAGGAAGCACTGTTTGTGGGGGTAGATTGGAATGCAGCAGAAAGAGGTCCCTGGGGAAAACAGAAGAGGGACAGAAGCCTGAATCAGTCCCTCACAGGGTGAGGTGAGTCAGGGGTAATGACTAGGTGGCCACAAACAGAGACTCCTTTTTAGTGGTTTTCAGGACACTCCAAACTTCATCTGTCCTATAATATCAGGACCAAAATACTCCTTGGCTACCTTTCTCCTCCATCATAGACTCTTACTTAAGGTTGGAAGGGCCCTAGAAATTATCCAGTTCAACTCTCTCATTTTAAAGATGAAGAGAAAGGGGCCCAGAGAGGGAAGGCATTGGCCCAGGGTCATCCAGCAGGCAGCCTGAGAGCTGGGGCCAGGACCAGGATCCCAGGTCACCTATCCCATCACCCTGAGCCCATGCCCTTCACATGCTCCTCTCTCCCATCATCTTACCAGAAGGATCTCCTACCTAATCTGATCTCCTTTGGCCTCTTCTCTATATGTAATCAAAGAAGTCTTTCTAAAGAACAAATGAGTTACTATGTTACCTGCCTAAAGCCTTCCCTTGCTCCCCACTGCCTTAGGGTGAAAGACAACCATAACCTTTGTCCTCACCCCGCCCATCTCTCGGGCTTCGTCTCTTGCCCTTTGTCTCCTTTCATACTGTTAGCTCATGCCCCTGAATTACTTGGAGCTCCCTATTTATGACATGTCTTCTCCCAACTGTAATCCTTTTGCACATGCTGTCCCCTCTGCCTTTAACACTCTTACCAACCCTGCTGCATTCGTCTGTTCTTTTTTAGGTTACCGAGTAGATCTTTCTTTTTCCAGGAAACCTCCCTGGCTTACTGGCCTCCAGGGTAAAGTAATCCCTACTGAGTTCTCTGGGAGCAACTCTATGCTGTTATGATCTGTGTTACCACCAGTTTCTCCTGGCTCCTGAGAGAAGGCTGGATATAGAAGATAATGCTGCCATCCATTAGGAGAAAGGGAACGCTCTATGGAACCCAGCAGTTCTCCAGGACACCTCTTGGTACTTCCACTGACCACAGTAAAAGTTCATAAAAAACTAACCCAACCAACTAAATAACCAACAAAGGCAGGACCACTAAGGGTTTGGACCCTTCAGGAATGAAGGTTTTGATCACCCTACTGGTAAAAAGCCAGAACAATGGAAGGGTGGGCTCAAGGCAAATGGAACCTGGGATGAATAATGGAAGAAGGAATTTATGAATATTAACTACAGCCTTGTGACCAGTTACAGAAAGAGAACTATAGTAGTGATACAGTTTTTTCTCCTTGCTTGTATGTGTATGTCTATCTGTATCTATGTCATCTATCTTTCTATTTATTAATCTATATGCACATTTTGTTTTGTTTTGTTTTGAGAGGGGGTCTCGCTGTATCACCCAGGCTGGAGTGCAGTGGCGGATCTCGGCTCACCACAACCTCTGCCTCCTGGGTTCAAGCAATTCTCCTGCCTCAGCCTCCTGAGTAGCTGGGATTACAGGCATGCACCACCATGCCCAGCTAATTTTTGTATTTTTAGTAGAGATGGGGTTTCACCATGTTGGCCAGGCTGGTCTTGAAATCCTGACCTCAGGTGATCCGCCTGCCTTTGCCTCCTAAAGTGCTAGGTTTACAGGTGGGAGCAACTGCACTCGGTCTGTTTTGTTTTAAGAGATAAGGTCTTGCTGTGTTGCCCAGGTTGCCCTCAAACTCCTGGGCTCAAGAGATCCTTCTGCCTCAGCTTCCCAAGTAGCTGAGGTTACAGGCGCAAGCCACCATGCCTGGCTAGCATATTTGTTTTTATTAACTAATTTTTTCTTTTGTTTCCTCTTTTATCCTTGTTATTTTATAGAAGGATTATTGGCAGGAGCTTGTAGGTTATAAACTCTTCAGGCAGAACTGCCAAGGAATAACCTCACTCAAAAGATGGGTGCAGTGTCTGTTGGGGCTTCCTATCTCCCCTCTGTGGGAGAAGGGGAGAGGGCCTTGTGTTAATATGAAGGATGCATTGAAACTTGTTATACAAAAAAATATACATTTGTTAATGTTGTACAGAAGACTTAATATCTGTAGAAGAATGTGTGTGGATGCTGAGCAACAAAAGGGGTGGCTGGGCCAGTGAGAAGCTATTGACACCTGGTTAGGTGCAGTGTCAGGTAATTCCAGCACTTTGGGAGGCCGAGGTGGATGGATCACCTGAGGTCAGTAGTTCAAGACCAGCCCGGCCAACATGGCAAAACCCCGCCTCTACTAAAAATACAAAAATTAGCTGGGCATGGTGGCAGGTGCCTGTAATCCCAGCTACTTGGGAGGCTGAGGCAGAAGAATCACTTGAACCTGGGAGGCAGAGGTTGCAGGGAGCCAAGATCGCGTCATTTTACTCCCAGCTGGGCAACAAGAGTGAAACTCCATCTCAAAATGAAAAAAAAGAAGCTACTGACTCTCAGCTCCAAACTGAGACTTCCATACTTAACTTGGCAATGGTGGGACTGGAACTGTCTGAATTACATTAGTTTTGCCAGCCGGCTCCTTGTTAGGGGCTGTCAGGCAGACAAAGATACGCCCCTTTCTGTTGTCTTTGTTGTTCATGCCAGTGTCATCTCAGCAGTGTCATTTCACTTCCAGTTTCCAGTTTTTTCCACACTCCTAGAATCAGCTTCATCTCTCTCTTCAGAGGCTCCACTGGCAGTGCTCCCCCGCCAGAGGTCTGGGTCCCAGCTCTGCAGAAGCCCTGCTCTGAGCTCCCAGGAGCAAGCCCCAGCTGGTCTCTGCTCAGGGATCTGGGTTGCAGGTCCTGGGGGGTCCCTCTGTTGACCTTCTAGGTTCTCACAACCTAATCTCTTACTATTGTCCCCAGTCCTTGAGGGGGTACCTGCATCCTGCAGTTACTTTCTCTGTTACCTCAATGTCTTCCTTTGCTTTTCTAGTTCCCTGGTAGCCATCAATTTCCTGATACTAAATTCTTTCCATTTTTCTTTTTATTTTTTGAGATGGAGAATCACACTATCACCCGGGCTGGAGTGGAGTGGCGCTATCTTGGCTCACTACAACCTCCGCCTCCCAGGTTCAAGTGATTCTCCTGCCTCAGCCTCCTGAGTAGCTGGGATTACAGGCACCCACCACCACGCCCAGCTAATTTTTTGTATTTTTAGTAGAGATGGGGTTTCACTATGTTGGCCAGGCGGTCTCGAACTCCTGACCTTGTGATCTGCCTGTCTTGGCATCCCAAAGTGCTGGGATTACAGGCATGAGCCACGGCGTCCTGCCTCTTTCCATTTTTCTAACTGAACACTTACTGATACAAGATAACGCAGAGTTCCTTCTCACACGGATCCTACAGTCCAGTGGGAGAGACAGATATTAAGCAAATAATTACATTTAATTATGTTGAAATAAGTGTCATGAAGGAAAAGTACAAAGTTTATTAGCATATTAAAGGCCCTGAGGAGTTCTGCAGTAAATAAGCCTGGTTAGCATTGTTTAGGGCAACATCTCCTTATTTTATTTGACCAAGAAACTTCATGGTAAACCTATTAGCACCCAGCAGAGTTAGCGTGCTACATAGTAGTGCATTGTGCAAATGGAAAAGGGAAGTCATTGAAGAAATGTGAGCTGGGGGACTTGGAGTGTGAGCATTTGCCATGTTCCTCCAGTAGCATCCAGTGGGTTACGGGCATCTTAGCTCCAGGATTCCAGTCATAGGATCAGCTGACAATTCTCCTTGCTCTTTTTTTTTTTTTTTTTTTTGAGACGGAGTCTTGCTCTGTCGCCCAGGCTGGAGTGCAGTGGCGCGATCTCGGCTCACTGCAAGCTCCGCCTCCCGGGTTCACGCCATTCTCCTGTCTCATCCTGCCTCCTGAGTAGGTGGGACTACAGGCGCCCGCCACCGCACCCGGCTAATTTTTTGCATTTTTAGTAGAGACGGGGTTTCACCGTGTTAACCAGGATGGTCTCGATCTCCTGACCTCATGATCCGCCCTCCTCGGCCTCCCAAAGTGCTGGGATTACAGGCATGAGCCACCGCGCCCGGCCTCTCCTTGCTCTTATTCTAGCCCCATGAGGCACCTTTCTGGTCATCACTGACTTACTGAGTAAATTTCCCTATAGGGAGAGGATGCTCTCATTCACCAGCACAGATGTTCTGGTCTACCTGGCAGTTTCTTTCTCATTATAGAGCAAGGTTTCTTGACCTAGGTCTTTAGAGGGACCATTCACCCCTTAAGACTATCTGCAAAATGTGTGTGTGTATGCATGTGCGCGTGTGGGTGCACGTGTGTGTGTGTGTGCATGCATTGGACATTTTTCTGGCAAGAGGGTCCGTATCTTTTGATATTCCTAGTGGGAGTGTGACTTCAGAAAAGGATAAGTTTAGGAATCACTGCATTAAAGGAAAATGTTCTATTATTTGTGTATTGATCTCCTGTGAGTTTGGTCACTGTAAATGGGTTCTTCTCAGTCTGATCAGCCTTGTGTTGACTCACCAAACTGAGGTTCTGGATCCTCCAAGGTACCTACTCCCCTGGCTAAAGGATGAACCAACCTTCTTGCACCTCAAGGGATCACTCCCCTCTAGGCCGTTGCCTGTGCCATTTCCTCTCGCTGGGAAACCCTCTCCCCAGGCCTTGTGGTCAACTCCCAGTTATTCTTCAGGTCTCAGCTTAGAAGTCATTTCCTCCTTGAAACCTTCTCTGACTAACCGCTTCGGGATTTGATACCCCTTATTTGTGCTCCCACAGCATCCGTCCCACCTCTCTGGGGCCCCTACTTTCCCTTCCCACAGGACCATGTTTTTCCCTTCATTGTGTTTGTTCCATGATACAATTAACTGTTTATAGTACTTCTCTGCCACTTTTAGAATGCAAGCTCCACAAGGAAGGGGGGCTGTGTCCAGCTTTGCTCTGCTTTTCCCCCAACACCAAGCACAGTGTCTAGCATATAGTAGGTGCCCATTAAAATCGAAGGAATGCATACAAAAATAAGTACCTTAATCCTTTCAGTGCGACATTTATGTGCCGTCACTGCTAGACCACGAATGTGCTTTTACCTCACTCTAGGACTATGTACAGATTTGCCAGCCACGAGAAGTCCAAAAAATAAAACATCCAGGTAATCAACTTTCATCTTCTATCAGCAAAAGCTTCTTTCTCATCAAGTGTGTGCATACATTTGTACATACAGATGCACATACTCATATGTGGGTGAAGAGAAAACGTGCTGCAGTGTCGGAAGAAACCTACCTGCGTTTCTTAGAAAGCGGTTCCTATAGTCCTTGACTACCCTCGTGACTGGGTTATAGAAGCCGTCTCCACAATCGTAATAGCCCTTGGGGATTTTTCTAGGTGGGTCCATATTGGTGAGTTGAGCCATACCTTGAAAGAACATAATGGGCAATTAGTTCACCATGAAGGCCAAATCCAAACCCAGTGTTCCCATAAGGTCCACTTGTGGCTGGTGGCTCATGTGACTATCTGGCTCCCCTGTTGAACTAAATACCCCCTACTCAGGGCAAGAAGCAAACCCAGCAGAAACGGTGCCCCAAAGGAACTTTCTGAACATGGCTCTTGGGAACAGGGTCTTGGGAACGAGACCCTCTGTCTTCTTCTTCCTTTGACCCCATCCTCCTCCATTTCTTCGGATACCATGACAAAGGGCACAGGTTCTGAAGTTAGACAGACCCTGAGGGTAAGTCAGAGTTGGCAAATGGATAGGAGAGCATCAGATCCAGAAGAGGGGTGGCATTCAAAGCGTGGGCAGAGGCCAGAGGCATGGATCCTTAAGCCCCACTCTGGAAACCTTGTAGAGCAGAGCACGTATGAAGGAGAACAGCAGAAAAGAAATGGATCAGGTGGACAAGGGGCAGGTGGTGGAGAACTTTGACTCTTGCCAAAATTACCACGGTGGCTGCCACTCATTGAATGTTTATTATGTGCCAGGCATTGTGCTCCTCTTTTATTTAATCCTGAGAGCAGCTCTGTGGCTCCATTTTACAGATAAGAAAACTGAGGCTCAGAGAAGTTAAAGTAACTTTCCCAAGGTTATCCAGCTAGGAAGCAGTCCAGCTCTGGAACCTGTATGTTCAGCTGCCAACATCAGGGGAGGAGACAGCCTAGGTGCAGCCACAGGACCAGGGACACTGAGACCTCTGGGAGAGAAAGAAGATTGAGTGCACCTTTTAGGTCATGCACGCTAGGTATGTGTATCTTGAAACGCCATGGCTCAAGTAAAGGGAGAGGTTGGAATAAATAACTTCTCAGGTTCCTTCTAACTATAGTTCCTGTAATTCCTTGTTCTCTAGACTGAGAGCTGGATGCCCACTGAGCACACAGCACCATGCCCACAACTCAGTGTCTTGCACACAGTAGGTACTCTTGTGTTGCTTAATGACATACCTAACCGTAACCCTGACACTGACCCTGATCCTAAACCTAACCCCATATGTACTGGCTAATGACTACTGAGCACTTACTCCATGTCAAGCACTTTACAGCCATTCTCTCACCAAAGCCTCATGCCAATGCCCATCTCACAGATGCTCGAAGAGGTCGCGGGGCACTTTTAACCCTCACCCTGCCTTGCAGGCAGGGCGAGTTGCCCTAACAATGCCAGCCCCAAGAGGCAAAGTGTGGAGTGACAAGGGAAGGAAGTAGCTACTTAGAATCAAGCTGCTCTTCTGAGGGTCACAGGAGAAGTAGGGGAGAGCCAGGCATGTTCGGGGAGAGCCAGGCAGGTTCGGGAAATGCCACCACGAGACTGGCAGAGGCTTAGCTTTAGCATAACCAGCCATTGTGTGAGAGCTAAGGCTTAAGGCTGAGGGCTTTTTGCCTACAGCCTTAATTGGGGTGAAGAGCCCATGGCAAAGTCCAGGCCTCCCATCATAACTAATTCGGGAGGAGTGATTTGCAAGGTTCTCAAGCTGCAGCTAGACTGGCAGCTCTTTGAAGGGAGAGATGATGTCCTCTTAACTCTGGTCTCCCTGGGTCCAGCCAGCGTCTGACATACAGTAGGAGCTTAGGAAATATTTCTTAATGTCATTGCCTTAACTCCCCTAAGCACATACTTCACCCTGCACTGTGATGTCAGTATCATTATCCCTGTTTGACAATAACTCTTTAACGAGTACCCACTGTATGCCAGACAATGTGCTAGGGCCCTGCCCTCATGTTGCTCACAGCTTGGGAAGACGAGCTGAACACTCACGATCCAAGCCCTGGGAGGAGGTCATGGCTGCTGTGATATGCCACAGGGAGACCTTACCTAGTGTGGGAATTCAGGGAAGGGGCTCCCAGCTTCAGGACGTTGAGCTGAGAACTGAAGTACGGGAAGGAGTTATTTGGGTGAAGTAAGAGGGTTAAAGTATTCCAGGCAGAGAGAATGGCAGGAAAAAGTGTGGTCTCTTTGAGAAACAGAAAGAAAGCAAGTATCGCAAGAGGGGAGAGAGAAAAACCGAGAAGGGTGGGTAGCCTAGGATGAGGCTGGGACATGAGCAGGAGCCAGAGAATGTCACTGTTTCTGAGAATTTGAAACCTTATCTTGAGGGTATAGGGAGCACTCAAGGGGCGGGGCGGGAGGGAGGCAATCAGATTCACACTTTAAAAGATGTAAGCGGCCGGGCATGGTGGCTCACGCCTGTAATCCCAAGTTAAGGAGGGAAGGTTGCTTGAGGCCAGGAGTTCTAGATGAGCCTGGGCAACATGGCAACACCCATCTCTACAAGAAACTTAAAAAAAAAAAAAAAATTAACCAGGAGTGGTGGCGCATTCCTGTAGTTCCAGCTACTTAGGAGGCCAGATCACTTGGCAGGAGGATCGCTTGAGCCCAGGAGTTCAAAGTTACAGTGAGCTATGATCATACCACTGCACTCCAGCCTGGGCAACAGAGCAAGACTCTGTCTCAAAAAAAAAAAAAAAAAAAAAAAAAAGATGGAAGTGACTGCAGAATGGAGAATGACCTCAAGGGCGCCAAGTGGGGATCTCCGGAGTCAGGTCATCAAGGGGAAAGATGATGGAGGGCTGGAACAGGGCAGTGGCAAAGAGTATGAAGAGAATGCTGCCTGGCACATGGAAGTGCTCAATAAATATTTGTTGAATAAACAAATAAAGTCTATATTTCAGAGGTAAAATCCATAGGACCATTGCACTTAGGGGGCAGGGGAAGGGAGGATTAGGCTTACCTAGGTGGATGGGCATGACATTCAGTGAGGCAGCCATCACGGTGGGGGTGACAATGAATTCAGTGCAAACAAGTTGAGAACGACCAATACAGGTGTCAGGGAAGCTTGATGCAGGGATCTTAGGCTCAGGGATTCTGATTTCAATTTAGAAGCTGATGGTAGTTGAAGGCTTAGAAGTGTATCAACTTGTTCAGGAAGAGCATATAGAATGAAAACAGAAAATGCCTAAGCCAGAGAGCCCCGGGAACCTCAACGTGAATAACTGGGGGTGGGGGGATGTTGAGGAGGCAGTGGCAAAGAAGCCTGGGGATAGGAGGAAAATAGCAGAGTAAGTGTCAGGAGGGCAAAGGGAGAGAAGGCGGCTCACCCGGTCAACTAACTGACCCAAGGTCATGAAGCTGGGAAGGGAAGGAGATGGGGGTTTGAGCTCAGGTCTGCCTGACTCCAGTGCCTGAGTGCTTCCTGGAGGCTTCTGCCCTGACGGAGGTTGACTTGTGCAGGCTCATCCTGCTATAGAGAGAGAATGCTAGGACTCAAACCCACAATTTCTGGCTCTATGCTCTGTCAACCACAGCTCATGGTCTCTCATAAGCTAAGTTGGGATTGTTTTTATAGTATACAGAGTTGTTTCCCCATCTGTCATTTTGGATATATTATCTCTGCTGTGCCAAAAACTACACTTTTCTTTTTTTATTTTTTTATTACTTATTTATTTTTTATTATACTTTAAGTTCTGGGGTACATGTGCAGAATGTGCAGGTTTGTTACATAGGTATACACGTGCCATGGTGGTTTGCTGCACCCATCAACCTGTCATCTACATTAGGTATTTCTCCTAATACTATCCCTCTCCTCCCCTCGTCTTGAGGCTCACCTGACCTGGAACACGTCTCAAAATTTTAAGGTGCCACTCTCTGAATCCAGACTTATAGTCCAAATGTAGCCCTCCATGATGAGACACGGTTTTTGCAGGGAGGTAGCATGATAAAGAGGACCTCAGAGAGGAAGACTGGGCTACCAGTGTGAGCTCTGCCACAGGGAACCATGTCTGAACTCCACAGCCTCAACCTGGAGTGACATGGGACTAGGAAGGCTGACTGGGCAGGGTCATCTGGACATTAGGGAGACAGGGATTACAGAGAGCCTCCCCCAGCACCTGATACACAAAGCACATGCTCTGTCAGTACTGCTTTCGTCCTTAACTCTTTCTTTTTAAAATATTTACATAATTTTAGTGTTATAGTAGGTACCACGAATAAGAACAGCTGACATGTACCGTGCACCCACATGCATTCAAGGCACTGTTCTAAACACCTGACATGAATTATCTTATTTACAACAATCTTGGGAGGTAGATGATGCTATTGACCCCATTTTGATTTTTTTTTTTTTTTTTCTGAGACCAGAGTGTCGCTCTGTCGCCCAGGCTGGAGTGCAGTGGTGTGATGTCAGCTCACTGCAAACTCCACCTCCTGAGTTCAAACGATTCTCATGCCTCAGCCTCCTGAGTAGCTGGGATTACAGGCATGCCACCACACCCGGCTAATTTTTGTATTTTTAGAAGAGACGGGGTTTCACCATGTTGGCCAGGATGGTCTGGAAGTCCTGACCTCAAGTGATCCACCCGCCTTGGCCTCCCAAAGTGCTGGGATTACAGGCATAGTCACCACGCCCAGCTGATTGACTCCATTTTGAAGGGGAGAAACTGAGGCGCAGTGGGTAAAGTCCCTTGCCCATGGTCCTCTGGCTAGCACAGTGGAGCTGAGATATGAGGACTGGCCTTCCTGGCTCCAGGACCTGGCTCTTTTGCATTCTTCTACGCCTGCTCAGTTCCTCTTCCCCTTTAAGTTACTTTAGTAGGACACAGTCCACTTATCCGAAACTGTCTTAGTTTCCCTCTCAGTTTGGGTATGAAGGAAAGGGTGGGTGCCTGGGTACCTGCAGGCTTCAAGCCATTGAGGATCTCTGTGTAAAACCTCCGATCATAGCCGTCGCAGTAATGCCAGTTTTTCTCATCATAGTGCAGCCCATCTGAGAACGTATATGTGCCCTGGAAGACAAGGAGCACACACGTGCATCTGAGGAAGCTGAAGGCTTTTGGCCAAGAGGTTCAGATGTCAAGGGAAGTGGGGGCCTTTCTGATGGCTGCAGTAAAGAAGTGGTAACTATCACAATTATTATGGTTGTGACGACAAGAGGGAATGGGTATAAGTGCCGAGCCCTGTCCCTGCCGCTCAAAGTGGGTGAACTCACTTTGGCAGATGAACTTGGGCAGACGACCCACTCTCTCTGGCCCTTCATTTCCTCATTTGTAAAATTAAGTTAATGATAGTGTACATAAAATAGGGTTGATTGAAAATTCAATGAGATAGCACACGTGAAGCATTTAGCACAGTGCCTGGCTGTGATGGTTGATTTTGTGAGACACCTTGACTGGGTTAAGTGAAAGGGATGCCCAGATAGCTGGTAAAACATTTCTGGGTGTGTTCATGAGGGCGTTTCTAGAAGGGATTCACATTTTAATCGGTGGGCTGAGCAAAGAAGTTCCACCCTCACCAAAGTGGGTGGGCACCATACAATCCGTTGAGGGTCTGGATAGAACAAAAAGGCAGAGGAAGCGCCAATTCCCTGTCTCTGCTTGTGCTGGGACATCCATCTTCCTTGCCCTTGGACATCAGCATTCCTGGTTCTCAGGCCTTTGAACTCTGACTGGGACTTACACCATTGATCCCCCTGGTTGAGGCCCTTGGGTTTGGACTGGAACTACACTAACAGCTTTCCTGGGCCTCCAGGTTGCAGAGGGAAGATTGGGAGGCTTCTTAGCCTCCATAATCTTGTGAGCCAATCCCTAATATAAATCTCTTTCCATACATCTCTATATATCCTATTGGTTTTGTGTCTCTGAAGAACCCTGACTGACACACTGACACAAAGTAAGCACTCAATAAATGTTATTATTCTTTTATTATTATTATAGCTGGAAAGGTCAGAGCCATCAGCCACGGCCCTTTGTCCAAACACATACATTCTGCCTTTGCTGCCTTACTGCTAAAGGAAGCCTCAGGATGTAGAAATTGCATTGGCCTGGGCATCAGGAAACACGGGTGGAAATTCCAATGATACTATTAATTCACTGTGTGACCTCGGGAAAGTCACATCCCCTTCCTGGGGCTTAGACTCTCCAAGCTATAAAACAAGGAGCCTTTCTTAACCTTTTTTAGGTCATGAGTCAGGCCCCAAGATGCTCTTAGTGAAACTGATGAAAGCTATAGATGCTTTTCCTGGAGAAAAACTTAGTCCCCTTTACACAGAAACTTCTGTATATAAATCAAGAGGTTTCAGTGACTCCCTGAATTCTATTCATGACTCACAAATACCAGGGGGTAAGAATCCTTGGATTAGGTAAGTTATAATGATAGTAGCAGTGATGGTGGTAATAAGAGCTAACATTTATTGAGTGCCTCTTGTGTGCTGGGAACTTAGCAAAGTGTTCACATATATATATTGAGGTGCCTTGTACTATTGTGGTAGGCTGAATAATGGTCCCCCAAAGATGTCCCTGTCTGCTGCAACCTGTGAATATGCTACTTTACATGGCAAGAGGGATTTTGCAGATGCAATTAAATGAAGGATCCTGAAGTGGGAAGATTATTTGGATTATCTGGGTGTGCCAAATATGATTGCAAGGTTCCTATGAGAGGGAAATAGTAAGGTCAGGGTGAGAGAAGAAGAGATGACGATGAAAGCAGAGGGACGAAGGGTGACGTGATGATGAAAGCAGAGGTCGGAGTGATGCGTGGCCATGAGCCAAGGAATGCAGGCAGCCTCTAGAAGCTGGAAAAGGCAAGGAAACAGGTTTTCCCGTAGAGCCTCTGGATGGAATGCAGGCTTGCTGACTTATTTCAGACTTTTGAGCTCTAGAACTGTAAGATAATACATTTGTGCTGATTTCAGACTAAATTTGTGGTAACCTGTTATAGTACCAACACATAACTAATGCAACTAACTGTCCCGAGTTGATAGGTGAAGAACTCTCAGGGAGGTGAAGTCGTGGGCCTAAGATCAGGCAGTAAGTGGTGTAACAGATGCAAACTCATCATGGCCTCTCCACAGATCCTTCCAGATCTAGAGGGAGAGGATTCTAGAGCCCTGGGAGATCCAGAAGCAGGGAGAAATTAGCCGGGCATGGTGGCACATACCTGTAATCCCAGCTACTCAGGAGGCCTAGGCAAGAGAATAGCTTGAACCCAGGAGGCAGAGGTTGTGGTGAGCTGAGATCACACCACTGCACTCCAGCCTGGGCGACAGAGACTCGTTTTCAAAAAAAAAAAAAAAAAAAAAGGTCAGGTGCGGTGGCTCACACCTGCGCACCTGTAATCCCAGCACTTTGGGAGGCCAAGGCGGGTGGATCACAAGGTCAAGAGACTGAGACCATCCTGGCAAACATGGTGAAACCCAATCTCTACTAAAAATACAAAAATTAGCTGGGCATGGTGGTGCACGCCCGTAGTCCCAGCTACTCGGGAGGCTGAGGCAGGAGACTCGCTTGAACCCAGGAGGCGGAGGTTGCAGTGAGCCGAGATTGTGCCACTGCACTCCAGCCTGGTGACAGAGTGAGACTAAAAAAAAAAAAAAAAAGTGGGGGGAGTGGGGGAGAAGCAAAGAGAAGAGTGAATGGAACAAGGTGGGCACCAGACAGGGAGGATGGGGTGCCAGAGGGTGAGGCTCTTCTTGCGTGAGGATCTCTCCTCCACAGCATCCGTCCCCCCAGCTGATCACCTTTATGGCCAATCCGTTTTCCCAAATGGCGTCGTATTGGCTTCCGCTGGGGAAGTACAGGGTTCCCTCGCCGTGAAACATGCCATCCTTCATTTCCCCAACATATATTGTTTCGGTAGGGAGGATGTACTTGGCTTTGCCCTCCATCCTGTAAAGACACAGGGAAATCACTGAGCCCTGTGTGACAGCTGGAGGATCAGAGCTGGCAGGCAACAGAGTGAGCAGGAACCCCGTTCTCAGCATTCTCATCCTTCTCATCCCAGCAGTACTCTGCTGAAAACAAAATTTTTGTTTTGTTTCCCTCAAAAGCTCAAAAACGAAAAGAGGGGAATAGAGTTTGCTCTGTTCATTCTCCCCTTCACCTAGAGGCTCACTCTCACCTTGGAGTTCACACTGCTCCCTGAAATAAACCCCCCTAGTAGGCCCAGAGAGCGTAGAGATGTGCCCAAAACCACACACAGTAAAAACTGTGGACACTAGAGCCCAGGTTTTCTGGCAGCTAGTTCTGTGATTTCTCTGTCCCCCATGACCAACCCATCCTTGCCTATTATGCCACAAGTGGAATATTAGGGAAAATATGAAATTTAGAGACAGGAGTAAGGGTTTGAAGCTTACCACCATTATATATATATATAATCTTGGATACTAATATTGTTTGGCTGTGTCCCCACCCAAATCTCATCGGGAATTGTAGCTCCCATAATCCCCACATGTCATGGGAGGGACTCAGTGGGAGGTAACTGAATCATGGGGGTGGGTTTTTCCCATGCTGTTCTCATGATAGTGAATAAGTCTCATGAGATCTGATGGTTTTATAAAGGGCAATTCCCCTGAACATGCTCTCTTGCCTGCTGCCATGTAAGATGTGCCCTTGCTCCCCCTTTGCGTCCACCATGATCGTGAGGCCTTCCCAGCCATGTGGAACTGTGAGTCCATTAAGCCTCTTTCCTTTATAGATTACCCAGTCTTTGGTTATGTCCTTACAGCAGCATGAGAACAGACTAATACAGATACTTTCCCAAACCTCTTTGCTTGTGCCTCCCTCCCTTCCTTCCCTTCCTTCTTTCCTTCCAAACAGGTATTTACAGAGCACCTACATTTTGTCAGGGACTATGCTGATGGTCCAACTTGCTGAATACAACACAGATTCAACAGTGATCAAGGCAGATGCGGTCCCTGTCCTCGGGGGGCTCACAGTCTAGTGGGGGACAAAATTGAGTAATTATACAATGTGTGATAAGTGCTATGCAGGAGGAAGACAGGCTCATACAGGAGAACAAGGCAGGGACACCAGCTTGACCAGTTGACTAGCTTCTTTGTTTTGTTTTTTGTTTTTTTCCCAAGACCAGATCTTGTTCTGTCTCCCAGGCTGCAGTACAGCTGTGTGATCATGGCTCAATGCAGCCTCAATCCCCTGAACTCAAGTGATCCTCCCACCTCAGCCTCCCAAGTAGTTGGAACCACAGGTGTGCCCCACCACGCCTGGCTTATTTAATTTTTTTTTTTTTTTTTTTTTTTTTGTAGAGACGGGGTTTCCCTATGTTGCCCAGGCTGATCTAGAACTTCTGGGCTCAAATGATCCTCCTGCCTCAGCCTCCCAAAATGTTGGGATTACAGGTGTGAGCCACTGCACTGGGCTGACCAGTTTCTTTATGGGTGAAATGGCTGCAATTAATCCAGGTAACATATAACGATTTTCCTAGTAAAGGGCCTGACATATATATAGTGAGTGCTTAATAAATATGCTTTCATTCATTCCTTCTCCATTCCTCCTAACAAGCTGAAGGCTCCTCTCCTAACTCTGACCTTCTTTAGGCTTTTGCTAATACCTCTGTCGGGATGTGTAACACTTTCTATCTTGTTTTGTAATTAGGTATCTTATCTCCTGTATTTAAGAAAAGCTTCTTTAAAGGAAGACTTTGGTATCCTCAGCTCCTAGAACCATTAAGCAGGTGCTTCATAAACGTCTCCTGAGTAAAGAATGAAGGAAACAGAAAGAGTAGTCAGTGAACAGAGTGGATGACAAAGTTGTTGAGATAACTGAGTGAGACGATGGTTGTGAAACTATAGCAGAATGCCCGGCATAGAACAAGAAATTGAAAACTATTTCACTTTTATTCTAGTGCAAGACATGGGGGGAAGGGAGAATTCCTCTTCTCCTTCCCTCCTGTACTCTTTGCTTGAGCTCACATCTATCATTTCTAAGCACCATCTCCATATTCAAGTTCTACACCCTTCTCTGAGGTTAGACCCCACCCCTTTTCTTACCTTGAACTGGACATCACTGTTCAGACCTCTCACAGACATCTCCAACTCGCCTAAAACAGAACTCATCTCCTCCTCCCCTAAGCAGCACCTCCTTAGAGTTCTCTATTTCCATGAATGGTATCAGAATCCTCTGGTTCAAGGCCAGGAGCTGGGCCCAGGGCTGGGGCTGTAAGCCATCTCTGGACGGGACTGGAGCCAATCAGCTGCCAACTCCTGGCAGTAAAATCCCCAAACCTCTCCTACATTTTTCTCTTTCCTGCAGCTTCACTGCTTCTGCCTTGGCCCAGGGTTCTGCTGCCTCTTACTGGGACAACTGCAGTGAGCTCTGAGCTGATCTCCCCATCTTCACTTTTCCTGCTTCCCTCCTCTCTGTCCCTCCTTCTCTCCTTCTCCTCCCTTCTTCTTTTTCTCCTTCACTCTCTCTCTCTCTTTCCCTTCCTTTCTCCCTCCTTCTCTTCCATTTTAAAAAATTCATTCAAGGTGAAAAGCCTGCCTTCTAAATTCAAAGTAAGTTAAAAAGAAGAAAAAAACCACTTTATAGTGAAGGCTTCAATCCATAATAAGGATATGATTACCAGATCTCAAATACCTATCAATTAGCTGGGCATGGTGGCGCATATCTGTGGTCCCAGCTACTGGGGAGGCTGAGGTGGGAGGATCGCTTGAGTCCGGTGGGGTGGACATTGCTGTGAGCCAAGACTGCACCACTGCACTCCAGCCAGAGCACTCCAGAGTGAGACCCTGTCTCAAACAAACCCCTCAAAACCTATGATTCATTCATTCATTCATTCAGCCAACATTTACTGAGTCTCTACCACACATATGCATTATGAGGAGAGTTACAGAGATGAAATAAGTTTTATTTCCTGATGCTTGGCCCTACCAGGATCTATCAGTGGTTCCTCCACCACCAGAATTGTGCACGGTATTGAAATTTCTTTGCCAGAGCACAGACCGCCTGTCCAGCTTCCCTTTGCATAACTCCTCTGGGCACAACCCACTCTCCTGCCAAACTGAACTGCCAGCTCTACTCCATACGTGCCCTCTGGGCTATTGCTCATGCTGTTCCCTCTGCCTAAAAACTTCTAGAAAAAGAATTCTTCACCTTGCATCTCCAACCACCTAAATCCTACCCAACCTTCAAGGCCCATTTCAAATACTATCTCTTCCACGAAGCCTTTAAGGACGGCTCCGACTGTATGTGGCCTCTGAAGGGCCACAGCAGCAGGGCTCTATTGTAGGAAGCCTGTGGGCTTTACAGTCTGATCGACCTGGGTTTTAATACCTGCTCTGCCAAATGCTAACTGGGTGACTTTGGGCAGGTTTACTCCGAGCCTTACTTTTCCCATCTGTAAAATAGGATAATGATATCTATCTCAAAGAGTCCCTGTGAAGAGAAGATGCAGGCAAAGCCACCCAGAGCACAGTAGTTACTACATAAATGCTATGGGCGTCCCTTCCTCCCCTGTGTCTGTAGGTCTCTTCTGGCACTTACCTTGTGGTGCTTTGGAGTGGAGTTATCTAGAACTCAATTGTGCGACTACTCCAAAGAAACCATAATATTGAGGTCAGACAGATACTACATTAACCTTTTTTTTTTTAATATTCACACGTGGTACAGGGAAATCATGTCTCTTTTAAGGTTTTTTTTTTAAGTAGATACATTGAAGTGTAATTGACATACAATAGGCCACGTGTTTAAAGTGTACAATTTGACACGTTTTGACATCACCTGGGAAAACATCATCACAATCAAGACAAAATATCTACTCCCCACAAAAGTTTCTGCATGCCTTTCTGTAATACTTCCTCCTTGCCCCTGCCCACAATCCTCATCTCTAGGTGACTACTGATCTACTTTCTGTCACCATAGATTTGCATTTTCTAGAATTTTACATAAATGGAATCATACAGTATCTACTCTTTTTTTGTCTGGCTTCTTTCACTTAACATAATTTTTTGAGATTCATTCATGTTGTTCTGTGTACCAATAGTTCACTCCTTTTTATTGCTGAGTAGTATTCCAATGAATGGATATACCACAATTAGTTTCTTCATTCCCCTGTTGATGACATTTGGGTTTGTTTCTAGTTTTGGTTATTATAAATAAGGCTGCTATGAGTACTTGTATACATGTCTTTGTGTATATATACACTTTCATTTCTGGGGTAAATACCTATAAGTGGAATGGCTGTTTAACTTTTCAAGAAACTGCCAAACTTTTCCAAAGCAGTCGTACCATTTGATGTTCCTATCAGCCATGGAGAGTCTACATAAACTTTTTAAACCAAACGTTAAATATCAACTTCCTACTGTATAGAGAGGTTACTCTATTCATTTAAACTCCAAGAGGAAAATATCCCCTCCCTAAATTAAAAAAAATTGATTGAGTATCTACCATTTGTAAATAACATCCATATATGATCATTACATATTCCTTGGAACACTGCTGCTGAATGTGCATTGCTTTCCCATTTTACAGATGAGGAAACTGAGGTATGGATGGTTAATTAAGTGTACAACAAGCAAATGGCAGACTTGAGCCCAGACCTGTCTCATCCTCTCATTACATGCTGAAATTTGAGATGCCCCAAATAGAATTCTAGTTAACTGTTGTTAAAAATACAAAATCAGTACAGAACAACACATGTCCAACTTATGAAAAGAAGTATAACAAGTGAAAAACTGCTGACTTCTTGCTAGTTATGGGAAATTGGGAAGCCCTGTTCAGGTCTGGGAATCCCTATCGTGGTTACAGAGGTACCAGACAACCTCAAGCAAAGCCCAAATTCCTAGGGCCAAAGCATGGAAATGGCTGATTCAGCACACAAACCCAATGAAAATACACAGAAGGCCAAAGGCAAATGGTTGAAAGCCTTCCGTCTTTTACCTTGTCTGTGTGTTTCTCTCTCACCCATATACAGCCCATCGAAAATTAATGTAGTTTCTCAACTTTTTGTGCCTAAAATGCCCAATACCCCATCTCTATCTGCCAAAATTCTACCACCTTCACTGTAGCAGAGCCTTGTGAAAAGTAAGAATGTGGTTTGGACAGAGGATTGGGTTCAAATCCTGACTCTGTTACTTCCTAGCTGTGTATCCATAATGGTGGGCCAGTCATTTTGCTTCTCCTAACTTCTGTTCCTTTATTTGCAAGGTCAGCCTGAACTATCTCACTGAGTAGTGAGAGGGAGTACACACCAAGCACCTCTGCCACTTACCTGCTGAGTAGGATAAGTGTCTCAAGCCCTGTAAGGGTCACCTTTCTTACCTGGAAAGATAATAACATCTTCCTTGCAAAATTGATGTAATGATTAGAGAGATAGCATCCCATAGCATTCCTACCACCCTCTCTAGGAATCTATCTCCTATCCCTGTCCAGACCACAGATCCCTCTTTCCTATTAACTCAGAATGCCCTGGAATTCCACCAACTTGTGAATACAGAGCCCCAAGGTGGGAGTGCTTCACAGTCCCGACAACTAGCACTGGTTCAGCAAACCACTTCATATCGTCCAGCCTTGGTTTCCTCAGCTATAAAAACAGAGATTCCACTTTCTTCATCCAGGGTGGTTGGCAAAAAAGAGTGGCCACCTCTGTGTTTCCTCTGCTTCTCTCTACTACAGCTCTTACCACACTGAATCGCAGTTATCTGTTATGTCTACTTGTCGCATCATGTTTGAATGAACTTTCTGAAGACAGGGATTGTGCCCAGAGTCAATTACAGGGCCTGGTACTCGGTAGCCACTCAACATTGTTGAATTGCTGGGCACGGTGGCTCATGCAAGAGGATCACTTGAGCCCAGGAGTATGAGACCAGCTTGGACAACATAGCAAGATGCCGTCTCTACAAAAGGCGTTGAAAAATTTGCTGGGGGTAGTGGTGCACACCGGTAGTCTCAGCTACTTGGGAGGCTGAGGTGGGAAGATTGTTTGAGCCTAGGGGGTTGAGGCTGCAGTAAGCAGTGAACAGGCCACTGCACTCCAGCCAGGGCAACAGAGCGAGATCTTGTCTGAAAATAAAACAAAAACGAGAGAGAAAGAAAGAAAGAGAGGAAGGTAGGAAGGAAGGAAGGAAGGAAAAAAGGAAGGAAGGAAGGAAGGAAAAGAAAAGAAAAAAAAACTGTTGAATTGTTTTTTACTACTAGTCCACTACAGTGATTTGTGTATATAATCCTCTATAATAATCCCTAGATCGTGAACTCCTCCTGGAAGGAAGCGACCGTGTAGATTCAGATTAGCCAGTCTCTCTTCCCTAATCTTCGTGTTTGTTTTTATAGCATTTACCATTATCTGTAATTATTTTATCACTTATTTGTTTATTGGCAATACATCTCCAACTGGATTATAAACTCCATAAGAGCAAGGATCTTGACATTTTAAATATTCTTATTCCTATGTTTAAAACTGGCAGATAGCACACACACACAGTCAATGCACACACACATATAAGTATATATGGAATGAATGCATCTTAGCTTTGCTGCTTATTAGATATGGTCCTTGAAAAAATTACTCGGGCAAGTTTGTGAAAGTGCCTGGCACAAGGTGTTTCGCAGAAGCAAAAAGCCGTCTTTTTCCAGTCACAGCTATTCAAGGTATAGTAAGTGAATCAAATGAGCCCCTTACCTCCCATCTACATATTCCCCGATATATTTGCTCCCTGTGTACTCCATGGCGCCTGTTTTTAGCTTCCAGCTGTTAGGATCCGGAGTCTCAGTGGATACGGCATCACTATGACAACCTGGAGGGGTGGGCGGAGCCGAATCGAAGCCCCACCCCGCTGGAGGCTGAAAAGTTCTTGGTATTGCGCACGCTCCCTCGCTCGTGGTTGGGCAGGGCAATACGCCTGCGTGTTGCCGGATGCGCATGCGCAGGCGCCGTGTGGCACTCGGCGGTCGAAAGGGGAGTTCAAGGAGACGGGGGCGACGCGGCTGAGGGCTTCTCGTCGGGGTCGGGGCTGCAGCCGTCATGCCGGGGATAGTGGAGCTGCCCACTCTAGAGGAGCTGAAAGTAGATGAGGTGAGGCTATCCGGAGGACAGGCAAGGGAGACATGGGGCTGCGGCTTCTCGGGCCTGGGCCTAGCCCCCCTTGGGCTCCGCGGATCCTGGGACCCGGGCCCCCCTCCCCAGTCCTCCAACGCATATACAGGTCGACCCCCGGAGGTCCCCTCCGCAGCTTTGGGAGTCGCCTCCCCTCTCTACCCCACCCTGTCGCATCTTGCAGTGGCTCTAGAATCCTCCCCCTTTCGCCCTCCACAGCGACCTATTTCTCCTTCCGTGAATAATAGTGATACATTTTATTAAGCACCAACCAGTCATTTTACTTAGCTTATGTCGCTTAATCCTCAAACTTGCATGCGAGGTGAGTATACAACCCTAGGGGCTCACAGTCGAGGGAGACGGTCATCTACCTTAAAGTGGTATCACCGGTGCAGAGTGCATAGAGTGGGGTGACGAAGCCGCGGGAAAATGAGACAATATTGGAGCGTGCATCTACTCACAGCCTTGGGAAGGTGTTTGGTAACAGGACCCATTTAAAGCATTCGTTTATTCAAGAGATATCATTTCAGTAATTAACGTGTACACATAACGCTGGAAGAGATATACTTCGTGCTTTCATGGACTTTACAATCCAGTAGGGAGACAGACACATAAAGAGGCAGTCACAGTACAATGTAGTTAGTGCTGTGAGGAGTGAAGTAGAAACATACCCTACTAATTATAGCTAACATGATCAAGTCCTTTCTAGATACCAGGCAGGATGCTAATTACTTTCCATGCATTAATTCATTGAATCCTCCCAGCAACACTATAAGGTAGGATATATATATATATACACACACATACACATATATATACACACACACAATTGGTGTGTATATATATATACCATATATATATATACACAATTGGTGTATATATATATATGTATATACCATATATATATACACACACACAATTGGTCATATATATATATATACACACACACACACAATTGGTCGTAGCGTTATAAATAAGGAATTAGTCCCCGAGAGTAGAAATGATTTGCCCAAGGTCACGGAGCTCGTAAGTAATAGAGCTGGAAGTGAACCCAAGTCTGATTTTAAAACCAATGCTTTTCCACTATATTATGGGTGAAAACTCACAAGAATGAGACGGCCTAGCAGAACTTGTGTGTTTAGGGAGCCAAGTACAGTTTGATGTGACCCTAGTGGTGGTGGTGGGAAGCAGCAGGTGCTGAGCCTGGAGAGGCAACTTGGGCTGAGATAGGACTTGGAAGCAGCTTCTACAAGGCCAGACCAAACAGTTTGGACTTGATCCAGTAAGGGAGGTGGTGGGAAGAGTGGAAGGTTTTAAGGCAGAGGAGTGTCATGGCAGGGCTGGATAGTAGAACAGGCTATATTAAAGGAGAGGAAGGCCAAGACTAGAAATGATGTACCAGCAATGATATACCCGGCACTATGTTAAGTGTTTTGTTTGTTTGTTTTGTTGTTTTTGAGAGTCTCGCTCTGTTGCCCAGGCTGGAGTGCAGTGGCGCGATATTGGCCCACTGCAACCTCCGCCTCCCGGGTTCAAGCGATTCTGCTGCCTCAGCCTCCCGAGTAACTGCGACTACAGGCGCTCATCACCACACCCGGCTAATATTGTGTATTTTTAGTAGAGACGGGGTTTCACCGTGTTAGCCAGGATGGTTTCGATCTCCTGACCTCGTAATCTGCCTGCCTCGGCCTCCCAAAGTGCTGGGATTACAGGCGTGAGCCACCGCGCCTGGCCGTATGTTAAGTCTTCTACCTGCAATGCTTCATTTAATCTTAGATGCCTGTGAGAGTGGCAACTGTTATTTTCCTCAGAGGAAGAAATTATTAGCTATGTTCAGGGACTTTATTATATTAAAGTGACATTTACTCTGAGGTGGCAGAGGGGAGCTGCCATGTGGCCCCCACTCTTTTGTTCCCCCCGGCGAACCACCCCCCTGCCCCCACCCCATGTAGCTGGGTTAATCTTGAGTTGCTGTATTTCTTGTTGCAATTTTTATTAGGTTCAACAAACATCTGAAGTTCTACTTCATACAACTGATGTATCTGAAATACATTTGCCTTTAGTCTTCACACAATTGAATGAACATACGAATAATTACATAAATAACTAAAATACAAGACAAGGTGTGATTAAATACTATGAAAGGGGGAAGATGTGGTTTAGGAAAAGATTTGAAGTTGTATCTAAATTCTAGGCCTACCTGCCGGTCACCTTGATTACTTGATTTTAGCATTTGCAGACATGGTTATTTGTAAGATGAGGTGATCCCAGCTATAAAATTCTCTGAAACTATAAAGGGAATAGAGAAAGCACTTTTTGGACATAATGTAAGACATGACTAAATGGCATATGAAGAATGGCATTTATGGGCGGAGATGAAGAGAAGACCCCTCTAAGTGAGGGTAGGGTCTGAGCAAAAGTAAGGAGATGGGAAAATGCAGAGAGTCAAAAAGGAGTTCAGTGTTTTGAGAGAACAGTAAATAGTCAGTCCCTTTTTGAAATGTTGTGGTGAGAAGGGTGGAAAGATAGTTTGGGTCCAGAAGCCTTTCAGTACCCGTTAAGAAGTTTAGGCTTTATTCTGCTGTTAAGGCTGAATGAGAGTTTGGTTGCTAATATAATAGCAGAGTAAAATAAGAATTGTCATTTAGGGAGATCACGGTAGCAGCTGTGTGAAGAATGGATTGAAGAAAGAAAAAGAAAAGCAGGGAGACTAGTCTCAGTGGCTCTTAAAATTATTGAGAAAGATGTTAATGATCCCAGTGTAATTGGTGCTTACAGAGACTGTGCTTACAGAGAGCAAAGAACAAGTATATCTAGAATTGATCAGACTTAGCAATGGATTAGATATTGGAGGTAGGGAAGGTTGAAGAATCAAAGTCAGATTTGCAGCGTGGCAATAGTACTGGTGAAGCCAGAAAAAGGAGCCCGTTTGGAGAGCGAGTTAAATACATTTTGGACCTCATTGGCTTAGGAGTTATGACACATCCCCATTGAAAAAGCAGTCAGAAGCTTTGGACTGGAAAGTCCTTGGACACATTTGATAATTTTGAGTAAAAATAAAAATAGCTAATATTTATGGTGTGCTTTCGATGTGATAGGCACTGTTCTTATTATTTTTATATATATTAACTCATTTAATCTTCATAACAGTTCTATTAAGTACTATTCTCTGTTTTACATAAATTTAGGAAAACTCAAGGCATGGTATAAATAAAGTACTATAAAAAGAGGTACAGACGTAGTTTAAGGAGACAAGGACAGGACTAGAAGGTTGATTGGCTCTAGATGGTGACTTTGTCTCAGTTTCCACACCTGCAGACTGTGTAGCCCTGCTGTGCAATGAGGCTGTTGTGAGAATAAATGAGAAGGATGTTGAAATTCTGTGTTGTTTGAGACAAAGAGATCTGAATGAATTTGAGACGGTATTCATGGTAAACAGCTGTGAAAGGATGTTGTTTCTGTTGGAATTCATCAGTCTCAGTGAAGAAGCAGGTGAGGGGATATGGTGACATCTCAGGCTCATCCACCTCAGTGATGGTGATATAATGGGAAGAAGCCTGGTTGGAGGTCACAATCTCTGTGTTCTAGTTCTGGGGTTGCCACTGACTCACTGTGTTGTCTCTAGCACATCCCTCTTTTTCATTAATTACGAAACAGACTCAATGTCTTCCTTTATTTTCCTGTGACAGGGATGGTGTTTTATATGCTCAGCAACATGTGTATACCTTCATTTTGATAAGATTTCCACATTTGTAGGGAAATAAATAATGCGTCAGTCTTTTTGGGCCGTATAGTTTTGGGCCTTTGAATAATTGAATCAGCCAGTTAAAGCTCTTTTAAGGCATATGACAAGTAAATATAACTGACTTAATTATTAAAATATATTAAGCTTTTAAAAAAGTTTGAGTGTTAGTTTTTATTCTCCTAGCTGTTTATAGGTAATAAAACAAGCAAATGTGTGCCAGTTTACCTAAATAAATTCTTTTATTTTCAAAAACTTTAATATGAAAACTTTACAGATTTTAAACATAAATTTATTAGAGTCATCATGGCAGATTTCACTTATGTCATAACTTTATCTTTGATAATTATAACAGTTGCACTATTAATAGACATAGTCATAACTTTATTCTCCTTTCTATAGTGTATAGATTAATTACTCTTGTCATCTTTCCTTGCCTTTTATTAATAACCTAGCTGCATAAAGTGCATAAAAAATAAAATTACAGCTGGGCGTGGTGGCCCACGCCTATAATCCCAGCACTTTGGGAGGCTGAGGCGGGAGGATCATCTGAGGTCAGGAGTTTGAGACCAGCCTGACCAACATGGAGGAACCCCGTCTCTACCAAAAATACAAAATTAGCCGGGTGTGGTGGCGCATGCCTGTAATCCCAGCTACTCAGGAAGGCTGAGGCAGGAGAATCACTTGAACCTGGGAGGCAGAGGTTGCGGTGAGCCGAGATTGCGCCACTGCCCTCCAGCCTGGACAAGAGCGAAACTCGGTCTCAAAAAAATAATAATAATAAAATAAAATAAAATTACAGACTGTTCTCACACAACAATTTTTAATTTTACAAATCAAATTCAGTAGAGTATTAAAGCATAATACACTGTGACAGACTAGATTTTATTCTAGAAATACATTGGATCAGTTTTACAAAATCTGTTAATGCTCTATGTTACATTTATAAATTAATGAAAACGAAGCCTAAAAATTTTAGTCTTTTCTGGTATAGAAAACAACAGTAAAGCAAAACTAATTAGAATTAGAAAGAAGCTTTCTTAACAAGGAATATCCAAACAACTATATTCCAGATACCAACAGCAAATATTATACCAAACTTGCTTTTAATTTTAGAAAAAGGGAAGGTTGTCTGCTGTCATTGCTCTTCGTCTGTATTGTCCTGAAGGGGTTGGTTAAAGCAATAAAATAGGAAATGAGAATAAGAAGAAAAAAATAAAGTAGCAGAAGGGAAAGAGACAGTTTTTATTTGTAAATGGCAGTTTTTCTGTTAATCTTCTTGAGTTTTGTGTCAGAACTAACAAGAGTTCAGTAAGATGGCTGGAGAGAAAATACAGTATACAAGCAAGCAGTAAACAGTTTGAAAGTCTAATAGAAAAACTATCCTATTTAGATAGTATCAAAAGTGCTAAAATACTGAGGAATAAACAAGAAATGTTCAAGGTCCCTATAATGAAGGAAACTAGTTTTAACCAAAGGACAAGAATGACTTGAATATGAATAAATGGAGAGAAATACTGTGTTGTGGATGAGAAGGTGTGATTGATGTATTCATATCTGTTTTCTAATTATTGTATCCCCATTTTCTAGCAAAGAGTGGGTGCTCAACAGCTACTTGTGCTAGACACTATTTTGGGTGCTTGGTGTGTACCGTAGTCAACATTATATTTAATTACCATAGCTTAATTTGGGGAGAATTGATATCTTTACAGTAGTGGATCTCTGTTGAAAACAAAATCCCTTCCCTCTGGGAGCTTATGTTCTAGTCACACACAGACCACTCAGGGGCTCTTAAAATTATTGAGAAAGATGTTAATGACCCCAGTGTAATTGGTGCTTAACACAGAAACTGTGCTTACAGAGAGGAAAGAACAAGTATGTCTAGAATTGATCAGACTTAGCACATGAATGCTAAGACCAGACCACATGAGTGACCACTGATGATAGCTTATATAAGATGATTAGAGAGAGGCTCTCTGAGGATGTGAAGTTTGAGCAGGCACCCAGTATTATAAAAACTGCCCATTGTTCCCTAATTTAACATATAACTAAATTTAATACAATTTGAATGCAAATTATTGGGGGAAGGTGTTCATCTGAAAGAATAGCCAAAAAAGTTTTGAAAAGGAAGAATGAGGAGGATGGTTCTCCCAGATAACAAAATGTTATCTTCAGTGACAGTAATTAAAACATTGTGGTATTGGTATAAGAAAAGGTAGTACAGAAAAGGGACCACAGGTCTCTTGCTTAAGCAGCTGTTTGTAGGCCCTGGACAGTTTGCAGTTCTCTCTGAGCTGGCTATATCTACACTGTGTATCTTCTCAAGAAAATATCACTAAAATACTATTGAGCAAAACTGGTGGGCATAGTTAAAGGGGTGGCAACCTTGGATACGCTCTGATTTTTAAAAAATTTGCAGATTTTAGTACTTTATTATTAGTTATTACTAGATGGACTATTACTAGATGGACTATTACTAGATGGACTAGATGCTCTTTGTGATCTCTTCCAGCCTCATCTTCTGTGACTCCGTAGTCCTCTGGGAGTTTTATTTATCCTTTAATTTAATTTAATTTAATTTAATTTTTTTTTTTTTTGAGACAGAGTCTTGCTCTGTCACCCCGGCTGGAGTGCAGTAGCATGATCTTGGCTCACTGCAACCTCTGCCTCCTGGGTTCAAGCAATTCTCATGCCTCAACCTCCCTAGTAGCTGGGATTACAGGTGTGCACCACCACGCCCAGATACATCTCTAGTATCTTTACTAAAGACAAGCTTTCACCATGTTGGCCAGGCTGTTCTTGAGTTCCTGGCCTCAAGTGATCTGCCTGCTTTGGCCTCCCAAAGTGCTGGGATTACCTGTATGAGCCACTGTGCCCAGCCTTATATATCTATTAATTTTATTCCAGCAGCAGAAACTCAGCAAAGCTCTCCAGAGTTGGTTCCTCTCCCTGCATCCCAGAAGACTCCATCCTTCTCTACACCCCTTTTCTCTCTACCATAAATAAAGATTCTATTAGGGGTGCCATTTCTTCTGCTCTAAAATGGGAATATTAATCTCTTCATGAGACTATTGTAAAAGTGAAGAAAATAATATATGTGAAAGAGCTTTGCGTTCTCTAAATCACCATAGATTTTAAAGAATCGCTGGGCGAGGTGGCTTATGCCTGTAATCCCAGCTACTTGGGAGGCTGAGGCAGCAGAATCGCTTGAGCCTCGGAGGCCGAAGTTGCAGTAAGCCGAGATCGCGCCACTGCACTCCAGCCTGGGGAATGGGAGTGAAACCCTGTCTCAAAAAAAAAAAAAAAAATTATTATTATGACAGTGTTTAATTTTCTTGGTAAAGTCAGAACAGTGCTACTTTTGTGTTCTCTATTCTGACCCGCATGAGGTAAAGCTGAGAAAGTGGTATTCTGGTTCACAGTCTGTGGCCTTTGTCCCATCTTTCCTTTCCTAGGTGAAAATTAGTTCTGCTGTGCTTAAAGCTGCGGCCCATCACTATGGAGCTCAATGTGATAAGCCCAACAAGGAGTTTATGCTCTGCCGCTGGGAAGAGAAAGATCCGAGGCGGTGTTTAGAGGAAGGCAAACTGGTCAACAAGTGTGCTTTGGACTTCTTTAGGTAAAAATCTTTGGTATCAGTGCCTACTTGGTTGAAGCATAAAGGTTTAAATGAATAAGTGAACAGCCAGCTAATAATCTGGATTTTATTAGGAAGTACATAGGCTTTGAAATCAGACCAAGGTAAAACATTCAAAGGATGATAATTATTTTTGGTTTTGTTTTTATTATCTGGCAAGTTCTTTTATCTCCATGAATCTCAGTTTCCAAATTGTAAAATAATACCTATCTAGGTTTGCTAAGCAAGTGACTGGTGACCATTTTTGCTACAGCAAGGGGAAAGTCTTTTTGCTGTGAAAAATTTGAAAAGGCACGTAAAACAACCTATCACAGTCCTTTTTAAGCAGGCATTCACTAGGTTGTTGTCATTACTACAGAACACAGGTATGATGGAAAGAAAACTGTATGCGGAGTTAGGTTTTACGTAGGTCATTGTGCATGATACTTAAGTAAAAAAAAACTAAGCTGTGTAATTGTAGGAAAATGTTTTAACAAGCATATTAGCACTCTATTTAAAAGGAGAGAAAGTCAACTCAAAGGAAATTGGCTCTTGTAACTCTGAAGTCCAGAAATAGGCCTGGCATCAGGCAGGGCTGGATTCAAGGGCTTAAATAATTTCACAACTACTTGATGTCTTTTTGCCTCTCCTCTTTTCACAATCTCTTAGTTCTGGTTTTCTCTGTTGACCTCATTTTGGAAAGACTCTCACCTTGCTGTACCAAAAATGGCCACCAGCCACTCGAGTTGCTGTTCTGTTGATACTTGCTTAGCAAACCTAGACAAAGTGTGCCCTTTATCCAGAAGTGAGCAGAAGCTCCTGGACTGAGTCTAATTGTCCTGGCTGGCGGACTTCGTATACATATCATTGCATCACTTGTGCTTCAGGAGATAAAAAGCTCTGATTGCTCAGGCCTGAGATGGGGAGTGGACTTAGCTTCATCCAAACCACATTGCTGAGAGACAGGGAGGGGTTGTTCCCAAAGGAAAATTAGAAGGATGTTACGGAAGAATGGGGAATGACTGCTGGCTAGGCAGAAACCACCGATGTCCACTACAATGAAGTTAGAGAAAAAAAATAGATACCTTAGCACAGTAGCTGCTTTCCTCCTTTCTTGCTTCTGCTGTCTCTGTCCCTATGCAAAGATATTTTTGTGGTTATAATCATAGTATGTATACATTGAGAAATTCATTTTTCACTTGATATTATTGGAAACACTCTTCGAAGTTGCTATATAGTCTTCATGATCATCTTTTTTTTTTTTTTTTTTTTTTTTGAGACGGAGTCTCACTCTGTTGCCCAGGCTGGAGTGCAATGGTGTGATCTTGGCTCACTGCAACCTCTGCCTCCTGGCTTCAAGCGAGTCACATGTCTCAGCCTCCTGAATAGCTGGGTCTACAGGCCTGCGCCACTATGCCTGGCTAATTTTTTTGTATTTTTGGTAGAGATGGGGTTTCAGCATGTTGGCCAGGCTGGTCTTGAACTCCTGACCTCAAGTGATCCGCTCTCCTTGGCCTCCCAAAGTGCTGGGATTGCAGGTGTGAGCCACCGCACCTGGCCGTGATCATCATTCTTAATGGTTATATATTATTCCATCAGTGGATAAACCAACCATAACGTACCTGACCAATTCCTGTTATTGAACATCATTGTTGATTTCAGTTTTTGATTATTTTGGATAAATCTGCAGTGATTACCTTTGCGTATAGATCATTTTCATCAGTTAATAATTCCTTGGCATAAATTTCCTAACAGTGAGTTTACTCTATAAAGGGCTTTGAACATCATTATGGCTCTTGAACTGTATTGCTTTTTTTTTTTTTTTTTTTTTTTTTTTGTGATGGGGTGTCACTCTGTCGCCCAGGCT
The DNA here is from genome assembly GCF_000001405.40 of Homo sapiens. NCBI lineage: Eukaryota > Metazoa > Chordata > Mammalia > Primates > Hominidae > Homo > Homo sapiens. Next base: position 122,150,380 of record NC_000009.12, on the reverse strand, counting down.
GGAGTGCAGTAGCACGATCTTGGCTTACTGCAAGCTCCGCCTCCCGGGTTCGCGCCATTCTCCTGCCTCAGCCTCCCGAGTAGCTAGGACTATAGGGCACCCAGTACCACGCCCAGCTAATTTTTTGTATTTTTAGTAGAGACGGGGTTTCACCATGGTCTCAATCTCCTGATCTCGTGATCCACCTGCCTTGGCCTCCCAAAGTGCTGGGATTACAAGCGTGAGCCACCGTGCCCAGCAAATGCTTTTGTTTTTTAAATGTTGGATCAATTTATGCTGTCCTCAGCGCTGGATTCTGGTATGCATAGTATTTAAATATTTGGGAGGTGCAAATATTTTTGGATGTTTCAATTTGCATTGATTTGATTGCCAGCGAGATTGAGTCTGTGTGTGTGTTTATTTAAACAATTTTTCTTTTTTTTTTGAGACAGAGTCTCACTCTGTCACCCAGGCTGTAGTGCTGTGGCGTGATCTTTGTTCGCTGCAACCTCTGCCTCCTGGGTTCAAGCGATTCTCGTGCCTCAGCCACCTGAGTAGCTGGGATTACGGGTGTGTGCCACCTGCCTGGCTAATTTTTGTATGTTTAGTAGAGATGGGGTTTCGCCATGTTGGCCAGGCTGGTCTTGAACTCCTGGCCTCAAGTGATCCGCCTACCTTGGCCTCCCAAGGTGCTGGGATTACAGGCATGAGCCACAGCATCCAGCCTAAACAATTTTTATTTTCTAAGAGAACTTTTGCAAAGCATTTTTTCCATGGTCCAGTGGTAGTACATTTTAAGCGGGGAATGTTTGGATTTCACAAATTCCCAAGGTGAATCCATAGAGGAATTTCTCACTGCTGAAGTTGCTGGTTGTAGGCATTAGTAGATAATTGTTAGGTATGGGTAACAGGGTCCAGAACAGGGATCCATGCTACTAGAGTAGTGGCTTGCAGCCCGTCTGCTGCTGCTGCATTTTGGAGGAATATAAAACTCCCATTGGAAATGGTTGCTTTCTACCAAAGTGATTCTTGAGTAGAAGTTATGTGGGTGCAGGTTATGCTTAGTATACCCGGAAGGGAAACCTAAGAAGCTGGTGACATTGGTGGACCTCTAGGAGAGCAACTGAGTGGCTTATTGGGCAGGGTGGAAAGCAGATTTTTCACTGTATACTTCCTTAAGCCATCTCTGAGATCCTTCCTTCCTGATCCATGTTAAACAAGATTCATGTGAGAGTGTAGCTAGATTTCTGGAGTATGACAGGTAAGCACTTAAATAATAAAATTATTATTTCATTGGGAGAAAGAGGTGTTCTGAATTTCACTGCCTCAAGTATGGCTTTTACATAAAATGATGATATTTTATTCTTGCTTGAACATGCATACTAGTAGGGTTGAATGATAAGATAAGGAGGATTTTGCAAAAAACTGAAACTTATTCTTTTTATACACAGAAGTTAAATTTTCTCTAGCCATTTTTGATGGCCACAGAATGAATTATATGCTACCCTGCTTCTTAGCAGAGAATACCAAATATAATATAACTTTGTTCTTGATAGCAAGGATTAATATCTATTTTTGTTCAATGCGTAAATAAAATGAGGACCTTGAGCTTTTGAGGAGTGGAGTACAGTTTGTCTTTATACTGAATGATCCCAGGATCTTCTGCTTGTTAGTTTGTGTATTTGCTTTTTATAATTCTGTCTCTTCCTTTGCCATTGTCTGTCACGTTTGACTTCTATCAGCATGTCCATTATTTAATTATGCCTCCTCCTCTTCTAAATTTGCTAAGCTGATACCCTTAGAGGAATTGGATCTAAAGAAAAGAATAAATAGGCCCCAAGTAAGGAGTTCCTCTCTGAGTAAAATAGGCGTGCATTAGGCTACACTCTTTTCTTCTTACTATATAAAGAAATTAGGTTTTCTACCTCAGAAATCTTTTTTGTTTACTAACTTGTTCTCAACTTGAGGATCCTGAAGTTGTCTTGTAAGTGAGATAAGAATATGTACTCACATACCTTTCAAAAAGCAAGGCTATGTATTTGAGATCTGTACCTATTTTTTTCTCACTTTTCTGTTTTTCATTGTTTTGCAAAGAGATGCCCCTAACCCAGCTTTCTTTTCCAGGCAGATAAAACGTCACTGTGCAGAGCCTTTTACAGAATATTGGACTTGCATTGATTATACTGGCCAGCAGTTATTTCGTCACTGTCGCAAACAGCAGGCAAAGTTTGACGAGTGTGTGCTGGACAAACTGGGCTGGGTGCGGCCTGACCTGGGAGAACTGTCAAAGGTAAAAAGGCTTCTGCTGGAGGTCTCACTTTCTGATTCAGGGGTGGGATAAAGGCAGGAGGTGGTCAGCAAAGGGTCTCTGTAAATACAGATATGATGTAAGAACTTACCAGATTTACCAAACATATTAATTAGGCAGTGATTATACACAATCCAGAAAGGAATTTTTAAAAATAGAAATATTTCTGGCTGGGCGTGGTGGCTCACGCCTGTAATCCCATCACTTTGGGAGGCCGAGGTGGGCAAATCATGAGGTCAGGAGATCGAGACCATCCTCGCTAACATGGTAAAACCCCGTCTCTACTAAAAATACAAAAAATTAGCCGGGTGTGGTGGTGGGCGCCTGTAGTCCCAGCTACTTGGGAGGCTGAGGCAGGAGAATGGTGTGAACCCGGGAGGTGGAGCTTGCAGTGAATGGAGATTGTGCCACTACCTCCACTCCAACCTGGGCAACAGAGCGAGACTCCGTCTCAAAAAAAAAAAAAAAAAAAAAAATTTCTTTAGGCCTTCTAGCATGTGCAGGTTTGTTTTTAGTTAATTAGCTAATTAAAGAACAGAAGGGAGTAGAGAAAGATAAAGTATTAGTGAAACACTGTCAGTTGAAAACATTGTGGAGGTTATTGTGGAATTCACTGGGGAAATAGGATCAGGCTTATGCCACATTTTTCAGGAACATATCTAAGATTTTTTTTTTAAAACTACATTCTTGTACTTTTAAAAGTGTTTCTCTTTCTCCTATATTTCCTATCTTAGTTTTGACACCACCATCTGTTGAAACATCAGAGCTAGAAACCTGAATTCTTCATTCCCTACTGATTCCATGCAGTCATCACTTCCTTTAGATTAGCATCTTCTGGAATTTTTTTTTTAATCCTCTCATTGTTCCTGCTGCTGTTATCTTATTCTTGGACAGGAGTTCTTAACCTGGGGTACATGAATTTCTGGGAGAGGAGGGTGGATCAATGTGGGCTTTAGATGAAATTGAAGAATTGAGGATTAAATTACACCTCCACAAGAAGAGTGATCTGTGTGGAAAACAAATCTTATGTCACTGTGTTTTTAAAAACTGTACGGGGACTCTCCATTGCTGGTGAGATAAAGCATCTTCTCCATAACATGGCATGCAGGCCCTTTATGATCTGACCCATCCCTGCTTCTTCAGCCTCAGCTCCCTCTGTTCCCTGTGGAGCAGCACAGGTAGCAAGGCATGGAGGAAAAAACTCAGGTCTTACTCTCTCTCCTAGGCTGGAATGCAGTGGTGCGATCACAGCTCACTGCAGCCTTGACTTCCTGGGCACAGGTGATTCTCCCACCTCAGCCTCCCAAGTAGCTGGGACTACAGGCACAGGCCACCATGCCCAACTAATTTTTGTATTTTAGTAGAGACAGGATTTTGCTATATTACCCAGTCTGGTCTTGAGATCCTGAGCTCAAGCAGTCCTCCCACCTTAGCCTCCCAGTGTGATGGGATTACAGGTCACCATACCCGGTCTAGTTCCCTTCTCTTTGTGTATAGCATCTGTGAATGGTTGGATTATAAGCTTGGTGTCATGAGTAATAACTTAGCAATTTTTTTGTCTTTTATATCTGGCTTGATTATTTTCAGATACTTTTTGATGTACTGAACATATTATTTTAAATAGTTGATAATTCTAGATTGGAAAGTGGTAGAACTTATACATGTAACAAATAAAACTACCTTTTCTCATTTCTGACTTATGAAAGAAGAAATAACAAGTCATGCTAGTAAGAAAGCATATTTATTCTTGAATCTTTGTATTAACATTTTTTAAAACTCTGTGAGATAAAAAAAAAATTCTCTTAACTCTTTTCAAAAGTGTATTTCTCGATCAGGTGCCATGGCTCACACCTGCAATTCTAGCACTTTGGGAGGCTGAGGCAGGAGGATCGCTTGAGCTCACGAGTTCAGGACTAGCCTGGGCAACATTTTTTTTGTTTTTCTTTTTGAAGTGGAGTCTCACTCTGTCACCCAGGCTGGAGTACAGTGCCACGATCTCTGCTCACTGCAACCAGTGCCTTCCGGGTTCAAGCAATTCTGCCTCAGCCTCTTGAGTAGCTGGGATTACAGGCACCCGCCACCATGGCCAGCTAAATTTTGTATTTTTAGTAGAGAAGGGGTTTCACCATGTTGCCTGGGCTGGTCTTGAACTCTGACCTCAAGTGATCCACCTGCCTCAGCCTCCCAGAGTGCGGGGATTACAGGCATGAGCCACTGTGCCCAGCCAATTTCATAAATGTCTTTAATTCCTTAAAGGAGCTGCAAATACCAAGGAACCACTAGTGGATCATTAGGAACCATCTGTACTTATGACAGGGCGGTGGGATAACTTTCAAAAGCAAACAAACGAAACTAGTAGACTTGAAGACTTAGGTTCCAGCTTTAGCTCTGACATTAGTGTGTATCTTATCTTAGGCATGCCAACCTCCCTGGTCTTCATCTGTGCACTAGAGATAATAATGCCTCATAAGGTGGTTATAATAATAATTGGGTGATTGTATACACAAAAGCTCTGTTCCCAATAAAAGGTTTCTGAATTTATACATCTAGGAAGATGAATCTGGTCATTTTACATGAGGTGACTTAAGAGTTCAGCCCAGTAGAAGAATAATCAGAAGACTGCTGACAGCTGTGGCCTTATGTCTTCTTACTTCTCTGGGCCTATTTCTTTATCTTTAAAATGACAGCAGTTTCTGCTGGCTTTCCAGTTGAGATTTTTGTGACCATCAGGGGATACTGTGAGTGTAAATTATCTCTCTCCCTGTTGCAGTTTAGTACTTCACCACTCTCCTGGCTTATTGGCTCAGCTCCCCAATTTGGGTCTTGCCTCTCTCCACTTTAGCTTTCACACTTCCCAGCCTACAGAGATGGGATTTAGTTACTGCCGTGCTTCAGTGGCACCTGTTAACCGTCAGGTTAAAACGCAAACACCTTTGCATATCATTTAATACCCTTTATCATCTGGCCTGTCCACCACTGTAGTGTGGTATTAAGAAGCACAAGCTTTGGAGTAGGCATATCTGGCTTTGTGTACAATTTCTTCCACTATTAGCTAGGTGGCCTCAGTGAGCCCCTGCAGAATGACCTCCTAAGAGTGAAAATGGAATGGAATCATGTGCTCAGCATCATTTCTAGCAATAAGTTCTTGGTGAGATGCTTCATCTCCCTCCATTCTTCATGCAGCCTTTGATTCAGCCATTCTGAAGACATGCCTGCCTATCTTCATATGTAGTCTTTCCTTGGAATGTCTTTTCCTCCCTTGCCTTTCTGACTGGCTCCTGCTCAGACTTTAAGCTAAGTCTTACCTCCTTAAAAATATTCCAGACCCCCAGCCTTCAGGATGGGTTAGATGTGCACAGTCCTTGCTCCTATAGAGGCAGTTCCTGTCTCCATCATTGCCATTAGCCATCAGGGTGATTTGGAAATCTTGGTTGTTATTCCTGGCTTTCTCCCTCACTAGACTGTGATCCCCTTGAGGACAGTATCTTGTTCCCTTCTGTATCCCTAGTTTCTACCACATGGAATGACATAAAGTAGGCTTTCCTGAGTGTTTGTTCAATGATTAAATACGTCTGAATGTGATTTGCTGGGAATTTAAGTCGGGGAGCAGTTGTAGCAGCGGGAGCAATGAGGAGACACCAGGAGGCGCATTGATGGTTACAGATTCCTCCACCCTAGCTTTCAACTTTGCTTTTGCCCTCTTCACCCTTCCCAGGTCACCAAAGTGAAAACAGATCGACCTTTACCGGAGAATCCCTATCACTCAAGACCAAGACCGGATCCCAGCCCTGAGATCGAGGGAGATCTGCAGCCTGCCACACATGGCAGCCGCTTTTATTTCTGGACCAAGTAAAGATGGGTCCGTGGCCCACACTCGGTCATGTGCTCAGACAACGACTGATGAAAACGCCCATGCGGTTTGCATCGACTGATAGTGTGTTCTTTCCGGGATCACAAACATTAACAAAAAAGTTAACTTATGTGACTTGGCAGTTATTCTATACCATTTCCTGTCCATTAAAATTTTTAAAGGAAACGGTTGTATTTTATTATGTTTTATGTGACCTTTTGGCCTTTAAAGATGACTTCCCCTTGCTTTTTTCTTCTTGTGGTCCTGCCTGTTCCTCTTGCTTTGCTTTAGGCACTCGCTCATGTGGCTGGGGATCCCTGTTAGAACAGGCAGAAGTGGCCATGTGAAGGAAAGGCTTTGTTACTTTAGGCAGCTCCTTGGGGTGTGTCTGTGTTCACACATTTTGAAGTCTCAGCTCTCTTTCCTTCCATCCAACGTCTTAGGCAAATAGATTTCTCTAAAGGTCATACAAGGGGAGCCTCCAGGATAGAAGTGCAGAAACTTCTTTGAGGCATGACTCGGAATGGGAGGGGCCCCTAGCAGGGTCTCATGCAGTCTTGCTCAAAGTTTCTTGAAGAACCGAACTTCCACCACTTCCCCTTGATATCCCATCCTCAAGCATTATAACCCAGATGTTTTTCCTGATAGACAAGGGAGGTGGAGGCTGAACTTCCAGCTCCAAAGCCAGGAAGTCTGGAGGTCTGAGTGTCAATTCCAACCTTGGGTGTGTTCCTTAACCTCTTGCAAGAGGTTGAGTTTGAGGACAAACTAAAGGGCACATGCTTATCTACCTCCTGGGCAGGTTAAAGCCACAAGTGTTTATAAAGCTCTTTGGTTCAAAGCACTATTATGTCTTTTTTCCCCTTTCATTCAATTCTTTTTTCACTACTAGGCTGTTTCCTCCACATCTGACTGGGTCATTTTATGCCTTCTGGTTATGGCTTTAAATTGCGTATGACCCCGCATAAGTCTTCTCAGCTCCCTGGGCCTTGGTTACCTCTTTGCGGCACTCTAAAAAGCAAAGCAGTTGGACAAGAGTCTTTGTAAAGGCCCTTCGAGCTCATTCTAGATTTTCTAAGTGGGGAGATTGCTGTGAGGCACCAGGCAGATGAGGTGCAGGGTCTGTTGCCTGACGTGCTAGGACAGTTCAAAGAAAAAGCACTGTGTGATCTGCCATGGCCGCTTCTGCACCTGGTGCTGACCCCACATCCGGAAGCATTTTGGATGCTTCCAGCAGAACCCCCACGTGTTCTGCAAAAGTTACTTGCCAACCAACTTTTGCCTCAGATTCTCTAATGAAAAATAAGACTTTTTTTTGCATTTTTTTCAATAGCTGAGGCAAAACCCACTAACGTTTTGGTGGCCAAGTAATTGGAATTCCCCTCTGGTGGGTAAGGTATGAGCATGGCTGCAGATTGGTGTTTATATGATACTTCAACCCACATGTTGCTTCCTAGGTTCCTTCTGCAAAGGAAGCTGGGCCTTGCATAAATAATAATATTGTGCACTGTGCTAAGTGCTTTACATGTTTCACCTCCTTCAATGCCCAGAGTCCTTTGAACGAGGTACTACAGGTCATATTCATTTTACAGATGAAGGAAGTTAAAGTTTAGCGAGAGGTTAAGAAGCCCCAGTCTCATATATAAGAAGTGGTAGATACAGGATACAAGTAAAGATTGTCTGGTTCCAATGGCCACACTCCTATTCTTCAAAGCCATGCGTGGTTCTCAGCTTTGAGTGCACATTGGAATCACCTGAGAGGCCTTTAAATCCTGATGTTTGGATCCTACCCGCAGAGATTCTGTTGTAATTGGTGTGTAGTGTGGCCTGGGCTTGGAATTTTTGAAAGCACTCCCAGCCTATTCCGATGTGAAGCCAAGGTGTAGAACGACATACTGATTTTAGACATGAGGAAGCAAGTACAGGAGGCTACCTGCTAGTAAGTAGTAAGTGGCTAAGCTGAGATTTAAACCCAGATACATCTGATTCCAAAGCCCCTACTCTCAAAATAAATGGGTGTATATGGAGATCCTAGTAAAATGATTTTGATTCAGTAGGTCTGCGGTAGGTCCTGAGATTTCTAATAAGCTGTTTCTTGGTGCTAAGGGCACTGGTCCATAGATCACACAGGTAATGAGGGAATAAACCATACCGTCTTTCTGAGAAGGATCTATGACTAATTTACCTGCTGCAACTTCTAGCACTGTTCACTCCCCAAATGTTAATTCACCTCTTTAGAACCAGAGCAACGCGTCTTGAACTGTTAATGGTTTCAAATTCAATTCTAGGATGTAACTTTTGCCCAAGTTGGACAGCAGTTCTTGCCTCCCCCCTCCCCACCTTGCTTTGAATTCCTTGAACAAAGAAACTGACTTTTGGCTTTCCTGTACTCGCGATGGGATTACACGACATCATAGCCTTCTAGGACAGAAGAGTCTAAGTAATTAAATATAATAATTTCTTAAGTCTCTCACAACAAGTGCCTGTCTCAATTTCAGTAGGTAAAAGGTCACAGAACAATTGGAAAGCAGTTAGTGGGAAGGATTCCTGAACAGGACTTCAAATAATAGAAAATCTTCCTGGTGGTTTGGCTTGAGAATAATGAGATGAATTCCTTATATCCCCAAAGGAAATTTATCTGACTCCTTTCCTCTGCCAAGCCTGTTCCTGTCTTCCCTATCTGAGTTAATGGTGTCTCCATCCTCCCAGTGTCAAATAACCTGAGATGCATCTTTGACTCTTCGGTTTACTCCAAGTTCCAATCCAACATCAAGTCCTGTTGAGTTTCTTCTGTAATCGCTCTCATTTGCTACTTCCTGTTTTATCTCACTGTCACTTTCCTAGGCTGTTTTTGTTCCCCTTGCCTGGATTATTAAATGACTTCCTAAGTGGTCTCCCATTGCCATCTCCCTCTCCAGTCCATCCTCAAGTTTGCTCCACGTGCCTCTGCTACTCAGAAGCCTTCAGGGGCTCACGAATGGCTGCTAACTAAAGCCCAAATCCTTACTGGCATTCTGACACTCCATAACCTGGCCCTAGCCTAGCCCATTTCCCCATCATTATCTTACTTCTTCTTATGTAGCCTATACTCTACAGCATGCTATTCATCAAGAATTTTTAGATCTTCACGAATGCTATCCCCTTGCCAGGAAACAGTCCTTCCCCGTAGCTGCCTCTTGAAAGTCTACCCATCTCTAAAGGCAAACACGAATGGTGTCTTTCCCAGGAAGTATCCCCTTCCTACAGCCAAAAATGGTCTTTCCTGCCCCTTTGTTCCCGTGACACAATGTAGTATGATGGTTGGGCATGAGGGCTCTAGAGTTGGGCTGTCTGGATTTGAATCCAGGCTCTGGTCATTTAATGGCTGTGTGACCCTAGAGAAGATACTTAACCTTTCTGTACCTTATAGTCCTCATCTGTAAAATAGAAGGGGAAGGAGATGACAGTAATAGTACCTGCCTTCTGGGATGGCTATGAGTATATAGTGAGTTACACACACAAAATGCATAGTAGAGGGTTGATAAATGGTAGCATTGTTATAAGACTGTATTTGAGTAACACCTGTCGTGACCCTGGCTGTGTCTTACCTCTCCTGTTCTCAGTGCTGCAAGAGTTGGACTTCTATCTTATTTCTATTTCTATATCCTAGTGCCCAGTATATGACAAACATCCAGGAAATGATTAACTGTACACGAAGTTTACCTTTCCAGAGGACTTCCAAACCCTTTACGTGCTGTAAAACCACAAACAAAAAATTACTTGTAGGTAGAAATGCGAGTAACTCTTTGAGGTTACATTGCCATCTTTGTAGATATCAAATCCTAGCTGAAATGCTTTGGATATAATAAAGGATTTTTTTTATGCCCTGAAATGGATCATGACATACTTGGGCTTTAAAAAGCTGCTTCTCCTATTTAGGAAGTCTCAGTTTGAGGTTGTGATGCCTTTATGTGTCTTGATTATTTGTGATGTGTGTCACAAGTAATTTAAGTAAGATATTGAAATTTGCAAATTTATTTACTTCTAAAAAATAAGACAGATTCCAGAGACTAGGGAGTAGCTAAGTAAGATGTCCCAGGCTTCATGTATGAAAACTGGTAGATCTGGGAAACAAAATGAAGATTGTCTGTGTGCTTGTCCTTCAAAAGTATTAGAATCTCAGCATTGGATACACATTGGAATCACCCAAGGGGATCCCGAAATACTGATGTCTGGATCTCACCCCCAGAGATTTGGATTTAATTGGTCTGGGGCCGGGCGCGGTGGCTCACGCCTGTAATCCCAGCACTTTGGGAGGCTGAGGCAGGCAGATCACCTGAGGTCAGAAGTTCGAGACCAGCCTGGGCAACATGAGGAAACCCTTCTCTACTAAAAATACAAAAATTAGCTGGGCGTAGTGGTACGTACCTGTAATCCCAGCTACTGGGGAGGTTGAGGCATGACAATCATTTGAACTTGGGAGGTGGAGGTTGCATTGAGCTGAGATCATGCCACCGCACTCCAGCCTGGGTGACAGAGTGAGAATCTGTCTCCAAATGAAAAAATAAAAATTGGTGTGGTGTGTGGCTTGGACATACAGGCGCTGTAATAAGTACTATCACTCTTGCTCATTCATACTCATAAATACTTTGTTCAGTTGGAGAAAAGGGGGTGTAGTTGCAGCTAGAACTCTGGAAACACATTAAGTAGTTAATTCATTCAATCAACGTTGGTTTTGCAGCCTGCCTTTCTAGACATGGGTAGTGAACAAGACAAGGGCCCTTCCCTCATGGAACTTCCATTCCATTGGTGGAGGCAATAAACAGGCAATTCAAAAACAAGATGATTTCAGGTTGTGATAAATCCTGAGAAGGAACCAAACAGGGTTAATATAATAGTGACTAGCTAGGGGGTGAGGGAACGTTTAAGAAGACAGGCCACAGAAGGACTCTCAGAGCAAGCGCAGTTTGAGCTTCCTCCTGGAGTGTGAAAAGGAGCCAGCCAGTGAAAGAGTGGATGGAAGAGTGTCCCAGTCTGCAGGAACAAACCTTTTGGCAGGAGCAAAACCCCAAGGCAGGGCAGGGCTCGCTGTGCTTCAGGAACAGAGAGGAAACTCGTCTGCCTGGAATGTGGTTTTGTGTGGAAGAGCCTAATGCAGGTCACAGCCTATCTATAATACTTCCACCTTTATTCTCATAGGGACGTTTCCTGCCATAGGTGTCTCTGCAGTCTGCTGGGTAAAGTCCAGCCTCCCCAGTGTGACAGTCAGTCTCCTCACAGTGTGACTCAGAGCGCTCCAGCTTCATCTCCCACTACTGTCCCCCAACACTCCATCCGTGTTGAGCCCCACTCTGTGCCTTTCCTCTTGCTGTGTCCTCTGCTCAGATGGCCCCCCCCCCACCTCTTCTTGGTGATCTCTTTCTTGGAGATTCAGCTCACATTTTGTCTCCTTTGTGAAGCGGCTGTCAACATCCCCACCCCCAGCAAGAGAATCACCTCTTCCTCCGTGTTAGAAGCACCCTGCGCATGACCTGCCTTGTATAACACTCCTTGAGAGCAAGAACTGCATCTCCTTTGCAGTTGTATCTTCTCCTTCATGTAACAGCAGCCGACACATAGTGCCTGATAACTGTTTGTTGAATGAATGCAGCACAGCCATCACCTCTGCAAAAGAGAGTAGCCTAGTTAATCGTTCAATGTATATCAGGTCTATACAGAATAAACACCAGGGCATTTTCTATGCAAAACGAGGCCCGGGATTTTACCTTAATGATTAACGCCATTGGAAAAGATGGGAGACTTGCAAGCTTTTTGCTTTTGTTTTCTCAAAAAGGAAAAAAAAGAAGCCCAGAAATCCGTGTCACAGTCTCAGTAAAAATGCTGTCTGTGAACTGAAGGGAGATGGTTGCATAAAAGGTCAAATTAGGCTGCGGTAATAAGAAATATAAATTACATGCAAGAAATATAAATTGCATGCAAGAAATATAAATTGCATGCCAGTATTCCTTTAATTTGAGGGTTGAATGCAAATTAAGCAGGCATACCCTTTCTGGAAGCCTTGTTTTAATCAATTCTGCTGCTCTGATGGAAGAGTTGATGCTAGAAAGAAAATGATAATACTGTTCCTTTCCCTTGCTCTCCAAAACTAAGGTATTATGTCATATGACAGTGGTTTGACTTAAAGGCTTTATTTATTTATTTGATTGTTGAACACACAGCACCCTTGGGCTGCTGTGGTTGTTTCCAAGGATCCTAGTGGTGAATTCATACCAAAGAACTTTCCAGAAAGTCCTTTAGCATCTTTTCTTCCATATCACTGTGATGGGCAGCCGGGCAAAGAGGAAAAGCAAGCTGGGCTGCTATGCTGGGCTCCGTCTGTGACCTTGTTATGTGGCCTTGGCAAGCCACTTTCCCCTTTCAGCCAGTTTCTTTAGCTGTAAAATAAAGAGTTGGACCAAGTAGGTATCCAAGCTCTTTTCCAAGTCAAGAAATATATGAAACATAGTTTCTCTATTAGCCAGCTTGCTGGGGGAGACAGTGGAGTTTTCATGTTTTCTTGAAATAGACCTAATCACCTGGGCAATTCATTCTGGGAATTTCATTAAAATGAGAAGAGCATTTTGGGCTTCTGTTTTAAATAGATCACCCACACTGACATTTGAAGGACAAGATATGGAAGAGATTCTAAGATTTTGTCAACCACTTCCCTCATTAGAAATCATGTGGCTAGGCGCGGTGGCTCACGCCTGTAATCCCAGCACTTTGGGAGGCCAGGGCAGGTGGATCACTTGAGTTCAGGAGTTTGAGACTAGCCTGGCCAACATGGTGAAACCCCATCTCTACTAAAAATACAAAATTAGCCGGGTGTGATGGTGCACACCTGTAATCCCAGCTACCCCAGAGGCTGAGACAGGAGAATCACTTGAACCCAAGAGGCAGAGTCTGCATGAGTGAAGATCACTCCACTGCTCTCCAGCTTGGGTGAGACAGAGTGAGACTCTGTCTCAAAAAAAAAAAAAAAAAAAAGGAAAGGAAAAGAAATTGTTTCATGTAACTTTGTTGCCGTTTGAGGCTGAGTTTGTTTAGAGGATTATTATGAGGGCTTTGATCTTAAAAGTTAGAAGAGAAACCTTTCGGAGATCATCCACTACTTGAACTGCCTTTTGATTGGGCCAAATTCGATCTGAATTTCTGCCCTCCTGCATTCAGGCTGGCTGAAACTGTGGCTAGTGCTATTGTGTGGAGGAATGGATCGGGAAGATTAAACTACAAGAGTGGGGAGCAGTGCTTGGGACCTTGGAGGAGACCTGAGCATCAGAAGCCTAAAGGGCAGGAGTGGGATCAAAAAGTTGACAGAACCGAAGCAGAAAGTTGGGAGATAAACACCCAAATACAAATAGCTGCAAAGGCAGCCGGGCGCGGTGGCTCACGCCTGTAATCCCAGCACTTTGGGAGGCTGAGACGGGCGGATCACGAGGTCAGGAGTTTGAGACCAGCCTGGGCAACATGGTGAAACCCTGTCTCTACTAAAAATACAAAAATTAGCCAGGCTTGCTGGTGGGCGCCTGTAATCCCAGCTACTCAGGAGGCTAAGGCAGGAGAATCACTTGAACCCGGGAGGCAAAGGTTGCAATGAGCCGAGATTGCACCACTGCGCTCCAGCCTGGGTGACAGAGCGAGACTCCGTCTCAGAAAAAAAAAAAAATCTACGAACGCTATGAACTGACAGTTTGCAGAACAGAGCATCAGAATGGCCAATAAACATGTGAAAGATGTTTAACCTCAACAGCAATTAGAATAATGCAAAGTAAAACCATAAAAGATGCCATTTAATTAGTTCAGCAAATGTGTAAAAAGTTGATAATATTGAGTATTGACCCAGAAGTGGGAAAGTGCATACTCTCCTATGCTACAGGGAGGAGTATAAATTGTTGTATTGATACATTATGTTTGGAAGGTAATTTGGTACATCTATCAAAATATAATGTGTGTACCATTCCTGACCTGTAAACATTCATACCACAGAAGCACTGATTCAAGTACGTTAAGCTGTGTACAAGGATGTTCATTTGGCATTGCTTGTAAAAAGTGAAGAGAGAGAGAGAAAGAGAGAGAAAAAGCTTCTGTTCATTAGTAGTGAACAGTAAATAAGTTGCAATAGAGCCACACAATGTGATCCCGAACAGCTGTGAAAAGGACGAAAGTGACTCTATTGACATGGGAAATTTCTATGAGGTACAGCTGTCTTGTATGTCAAATTACATGGCGATTATTTGTTTACTGTTCTATTTACCTCCCTTTCTTGACTTGAGCTTCTCAAGGCAGGGACTATGTGTATTTTATCTCTGGCAGAAGCAGAATTAAAACCCAGGGCTAGGCCGGGCATGGTGGCTCACACCTGTAATCCCAGCACTTCGGAAGGCCAAGGTGGGAGGGTCACTTGACCCCAGGAGCTCAAGACCAGCCTGGGCAACATGGTGAAACCCCACCTCTCCAGAAATGAAAAAATTAGCTGGGCATGGTAGCACGTGCCTGTGGTCCCAGCTACTCGGGAGGCTGAGGTGAGAGGATCCCTTGAGCCCAGGACTTCAAGGCTGCAGTGAGCTGTGGTCACGCCACTACACTGCAACCTGGGCAGCACAGCGAGATCCTGTTTCTAAATAAATAAATAAATAACCCATGGCTGTTTGGCTGCAGAACCCGGGCTCTTTGCTTCCCTCTTAGTTATCAGTTTCGAGTTGGTGAATTGGATGATTGGTAATGGAAGCATGAGGAGAGACAGGAGAGAATATGGAGAGTGAAGTGTCTCGCCCAGGCCATGCAGCTCTAAGCATATTATGGTCCAAAAAGCCACTCTGTCTGGTGACTCATGAGACAGTTGAGTCTTCTGTCAGACTTGAGAAACACACTTCACTTCTCTGAAGTTTATTTTTCTCCTTTGAGAAATGAGAATAACAACAGTGCTGCCCTTCTGGGGTGGTTTTGTAGATTCCGTGACAAGATGACTATACATTGCCTTGCACCAACTAGGTGTGCGGCCAATGGGACCCCTCAGACTGACAAGTGCCCCCAGCAGGGGGTTTTGAGGCAAGGTGGACAGGCAGAGAGCTTTTCCAGGCAAGAGGGAGGGGCTGGCAGAACACAAAGCCCCAGCCACAGGCTGTCTGAATGGAGGCCCCCAGCACGGGGGCCCCCTGTTGAGTCAGCCTTGGGCTAATTGGTGGACAATGGCATTAATGAAAAGACCGTGTTTCTTGACAAAAACATCCACCCAGCTTCCAAGCCTGGACACAGCTTGAACCCGTTGTGCAGCTCTCCGCATTTGGGGAGGATTCCAGCCTGCTGGTGACGTCAGCAGGCAGTCGCCCTCTCGTGCCGGGTGAGGGCTCTGACCCATTGCCAAGTCCAGTGTCAGGAATGGTCCGGTGTCAGAGGACTGAACTAACTCATGGAGTGTCGGAATTGTGAGACCCCCAGAGAACCATAAATTCCCTTTACTTCACAGATGGGGAAACGGAGGCCCAAAGATCGGAAGGGTTCAGATAGTAGTGAAATTAGGATTGAGCCTAGACTTCTGACTCCCTCACTGTGGACTACCTGTGTGGCTGCAACTCAATATTAAAAGTTGTGCAGAGTTGGATGCCTGCACAACTTTTAGAGAGGATGGGCTCAGAGGCAGGGGAGCTGTGTAAGCAAAGATATGAAATAGGCCTGTAGAAGGCCATGGTGGAAATGATAATTACTGACGCTTATTAGGTACTTGCTGTTTGCCGAGCACTGCACCAAGTTTTCTACATTTATTGGCCCACATATTTCTCACGATGACTTCATGAAATAGGCGTTCCTGTTATTCCCGTTTTATGGATGAAGAAGCTGATGCTCGGAAAGGTTATCTCATTATCGCGGGTCACACAGCTATATATAGTAAGTGGTAGAACTGGGATTTAAACCCAGTTTTGTCTGATTCCAAAACCGTAAGTCTTAACCTACCATACGGAGATAACACATGCGGAAATGCTTGACACTTAGTAGGCATTTGGAAAAGGTGAATTGACTCTGAATCATGAAAACTGTCAAATCACATTTTTCAAGCCTACCACGTGCCAAGCGTTTCCACGTGAGTTATCTACGTGTGGTGTGTTGGCCACCAGCCCTACTACTGTTATCACCTCCTTTGATCGATGTGCCAGCTCTGCTAGGTAAGAATCTGTTCCCCAAGTTTTAGATGGAGAGCTCAGGCCCAGAGAAGTTAGGTGGCCTGCCCGCAGAAACACAGCTGGCTGGTGGCAGAGGCATCAGACTCAAAGAGATAAGCATAAAGGATGGCCTGGCCGGGTCTCAGGAGGTGGGGAGGGATGGGGTAGGACCAGGCGCAGGGCACCAGCCCCTTCCTGGCTTCCTGACAGCGCTATTGTTTGAAGCCGGTTCTTGGACATCCAGGAAATGGGCGACATCACTCCCAACAAAGGGGAGGAAGCTGCTTGAATGTCGCAGCTCCACCTCACGCGCTCGCCCTGGGGCTGGAGATGGGAGCCTGGCCAAGGCTGCCTGACCCTTCAGCTCAGCCAAGCCACCCAACCCCCACCCTCAGATCTGGCCTGTTCCCTCTCCTCTCTGCCAGTCCATTCCAAAACTTCAAGCCCTGACCAGCAGACCTGCCTGCCATAGAACGCATCCCCTGATGCGTTCTCCACTGATTCCCCTGTTTCTGAGAGGCTCTGCCTCCTAGAATCCTGTTGGGTGAGATTCACCTTCCACCATGCCTCATGGTTGGATAGGAGATTGCACCTTTAATTCTAGGTCTCAAGCCTGGCCTCAGTTTCCTCATCTGTCTGGAGGCAGAGCTGGTCAAGTGGGACTGGTCTGAGTCCTCTCGAAGGGCTCTTTGCCTCTGTACTTCTGAGTCTAAGCACCTTTCCTGCCTGGATAAGGAGGAAGCAGTGCCATGGACAGTACCTGGGGTCCCAGAAAGAGGAGAGAGAGGAGTTCCAGGTAGCAGAGCTGTCACTGAGAGGGGCACCAGGCAATTAGGTAAAGCAGAAATCAAGAATGGTCTTTCTACTGGCATCTGGGATCGGAGGGACCTGGGTTCAATTCCCAGCTCGGCCACTTATTTATTAGCTGTGTGACCTTGAGCAAGTCACTCCAATTCTCTGAGCCTTCATTTCCTCACCCATGAAATGCAGGAAGTAAGGTCTACTTTGCAGAGTGGTTGTGAGGATTAGATGGAACCATGGGCATGAAAGGGGCCCGAGGCTAGTGGCAAACGTGGTGCCTTTTCCCTCGCTAGGGGTGACTTTCCCAAGGACTGGAGAGAGATGGAGAAATAGACACTGCAGCATCATGGTGAAGAAACTCAAGCCCTGGTGGAGCTGGGAGAACAACGACACTTCTATTTCCAGTCTCTCCAAGAGCATGCGTGAAGCCAGGCCCATCTGTCTGTGGGAGAGGTCTGTGCCATGGTATTGGGCAAACTCACAGGTCACCGTAGCCCAGGATTGCAATGTCCCAAAAGCTTGTCTTGATCTAGACTAGAAACCACAGCCCAGCCCATGCGAGCAGGATGTACCCTTAGGGTCATCTGGCTTATCCTCTAATCTAGGGGGCTCAGACACAGCAAGTGACCCCTTGCCCCAGTCCCCCTCCCCCAGGTCACACAGCCAGTCAGGATTGGAACACAGGCCTCCTGCCTCCAGTCCAGGGCTCTTTCTACTGAGGAGGGACCTGGGATTTAGGAGGCGCCCCCACCTCCCCAGCTCCAGCCTGAGATGAAGGCCAGATTCTTGTCAGCAAGTGGAAGGGAGGCAGGGTCACCTGTGTGTGCTGGCAGAGAAAGAACCATCCCAAGCACCATCCTTCCCAGTCTTTTCCGTGGAGCTCCCCAGCAACCCCAGCCTTCTCCCACCACCTCCTTCTCTCCACCTCTCTGACCTTAGGCTCTTCTGTCAAATTGACATGAAAAAGCTCACCTCAAGGGCTGTTGCAGACTAACAGATGGGAGAGCGCCCTAAAACTCGGTAAAAGCAATGGATTGTTTCAGACCTTCAGTTTCCATGACAGCATTAGCTGAATATCTAATACATGCCACATTATTGCCCCAGACCCCACAGAGACCCTGTAAGAGAGGCATCTCATGGGTGAGGAAACGGAGGCTCAGAGAGAGGAAGGGATCTATCCAAGGCCACACAAGTTGTTATTTGGGACTGGAACTCAGTCCCTGCTTCCAGTCCAGGGGGCCCCTCTCCCAAACACCACACCGTTCCAGCCTGGCAGCCCTGCCATCCTGGATGGGAAGAGAGAGGACCAGGGTAGGAAGGGTGGGGGCCAGGGGGTTAAGAGATTCCCCCATGCCTCTTCCCCCCAGCCTCAAATCATAGGGAACGAATCTCCAGGAAGCCCAGCGGGTGGCCGGGTCCCAGCGCTGATTGCAGGAGATGGCAGGAGGGCCCGGCGGTTGCCATGGCGACTTCCTGAATCGCAGCGCCTGTTCCCGCTGAGGCTTTAGGAAGTCAGACATACCTGGGCAGCCCCTGCCCCCGACTGGGCCTCTCCGAGGAGCAGGAGCACGCAAGGGAATGCGGCGTGCCTGCTCACAGAGAATGTGCACACACGTGTGAGAGCTGTGGCAGTGGCAGGCGTGTAGCTGCAGCATGCACACAGGTCTAGGACATGGAGACCCACATGTGTGGGCGCAAACCTGCCCGACAGTGCGAGGAGCCTTTAAGGGTGAGAACAAGCCTACTGACATAGGAATGTGAGAAGGGTGTTCTTGGCAGAGGGAAAGGCAGGCTGGTGCTAGAGAGCATGCCGGGAGCTGCTGGCAGGAAGATGAGGTTGGCAGGGCCAGATCATGGGGATGCTCTGCATACCGGGCTGAGAAGTTTGGACCTTCACCTGGAGGCACTGGGGAGCCAGTGAGGGCTTTGAAGCAGGGAAGTAGCATGGTTGGACCTGAGATCCCTCCAGCAGCCCACGGAGGATGGGTCAGAGGTCAGCCTAGAAGCAGGAGGTCAGTGTGGTGCTGATCTTCCCTACCCAGCTCTATTCTGTTTCCCCATTAGCATTTACACCTTCTAACACATACCATATACTTGTCTTCAGTTTCTTGTTTATTCTCTGTTTTCCTCACTGGGATGCCAGCTCATGAGAGCTGAGGGGTTTGCCTGCCTCGTTCACTGAAGCATATCAGGGACCAACAAGAGTGCCTGGTACACCGGGGCTCAGTAGATACCTGCTGAATGAATGGATGAGGCCTGGACTAGAGGAGTGGCCTAAGGGAAGGAGAGAAGTGCTAGGGGAGAGTGAGGTGTGGAAGGCGAATTGACTGGTTGGGGTAAAGTGGAAGTGGTGGACACACGGCTGAGCCCCCAGGGACTTCTGAGTTGGTGGCTGTGGCCCTATGCAGGTGCCTTTCTGGCTCAGGAATGAGACCATGGGGTGATTCCAGGATCCAAGAGAAAAGCATAAAGGATGGCCTGGCCAGGTCTCAGGAGGTGCGGAGGGATGGGGCAGGACCAGGCCAGATGCAGAACTGGGGGCAGGATAGGGGAAACTGAGGCAGATGCCCCATCCTGTGCACTAGATCTGAGTGCACTGGGAGAGACTGGAACTCAGTCCCTGCTTCCAGTCCAGGGGATCCCTCTCCCAAACACCACACTGCTCCAGCCTGGCAGCCCTGCCATCTGGATGGGAAGAGAGAGGACCAGGATAGGAAAGGCGGAGGGTGGGGGGCTGGGGTCTGTAGTGTGTTCCAGACCTCTGCTGTCTAATAGAAATGTAGCACAGGCCACAGAGGCATGCCACGTGTCATTTTACATTTTCTAGTAACACATTACAAAAGTAGACAGAGATGGGTGAAGTGAGTTTTAACTACATATTTTACTGAACCTCGTATGTCCACAATATTATTTCAACCTGTTATCAATATAAAAATTAAATAAGATATTTTACATTCCTTTTTTAGGGGGTACAATGTCTTCAAAAACTGTTGTGTATCCTACACTTACAGCACACCTCAGTTTGGACTTGCCACATGTCATGTGCTCAGTAGCCACATGCGCCAGTGGCTGCTGCATGGGACAAGGCAGCCCTGGGCCCTGGGTCCCACCCACCAGGAATGAGGCACTGGGAGGGGCTGAGTCTGCAGAGGGGCCTCCAGGGTACCAGCTGATTGAGGTTGAAGTTGGGGAGAAGGCAACCACATGGGCGATGGAAGGCCTTTTTCCTCTGCTTTCTCTTTTGTCAGTTCACTCACTCACTCACTCAACAGACTTTTAATGAACACTTACTATGTGCAGGGCGCTATGCTAGGTGCTAGTGCATTGGCGTGGAGTAGTAGTTCTTATTAGGATACTATTCCTCTCTCATAGATGAGAAAGCTTAGGCTCAGAGAAGTTCTGACTTTCTGGAGGTCACGTAGCTGGTAACCCTCTGAGCTCTTTCTCCTGCTCCATGTTGCATAGATAACTGAGATATAAGTAAAGCCTCCAAGAGGGAGGAGGTTGGGGATGAGGTAAGATCTACAGAGGGATGTCCCCAAGGAAACTCATGTCTCTAGGTCTCTACACCTCCTTAGAGACCTGGTTCCTCCCCCTCCCACTCAGTTTTCTCTCCGCTTGAGCTTTGATGCTCCCCGGGGGCCTCAGAACCAAGACTTCCTAAGGAACTTGAATTTAGACCATCTTCTTCCTAGATGACAGTCCAGCAACCCTGCAGGAGGTGGAGTGACTGGTTACACTGCTGACCTGGCAGCTCTGGAGGCTGGACTCGGAGCAGCCCAGGTGTCCCCAACTGGAAGGCCCATCCCCACCAAGGCAGCAGAAGAATGGGAGCAGAAACAGGAGTACTTGAAAGAGTGGATTCAAGTCCTGACTCTTTTTCTTCCCAGTTGAGGAAGAACCTTGGGGAAGAGGCTTTGACCCTCTGGGGTCAGTTCTGTCTCCATTACATGGGCGGAGTAACCTACCTCCCAGGATGAGGGCCCTGAAAGCAAGTGGTCCATTAAGGAAAGGTCAAATAGGGCTTGGAAAGGGACTGTTTTTCAAGAATGACAAACTCGTGTGAGTTTCGCTTAGAAACCCTGACTCGGCTGCCTCCAGCAGGTGGGGGCCTGGCAAGGGTTCCTCATGCGTGAAAGCTCTGGAACGTTTCTGGGGTCTAGGGTCTGGGTTTAAGTCTGGCCTGCAGGTGGGAGGGTCTCTGTGCCTTCCTTTCCTTCATCCTATTGTTTACTAAGCACCAAGTACCGACTGGGTGCCCAGTGAGTTAAATAGCTCTTCTTTCCAGATGAGGAAACTGAGGCACAGAGAAGTCTGGTGACTTGCCTGAGGTCAACCAGCCAGAAAGTGGCAGAGCTGGGTTTTAAACCTCGGTCTCCTCGTCCAAAGCCATTGCCTCTGGCCTCTGCCCAGCACTTGGAGATGCCAATGGGCTGTTCACCAGGAGTCACTCATGGCAACTGCCTCACAGATGGCCTGGGTCCCTCACAGGCAGGGGTCAGCTGTGCATCATGCATTGGGACACGCAGGAGCAGGGAGGCTGCCGGGCCGGGGAGGCTGCAGGGCCAGGCGCGGCCGGATTCACAGGTTGAAGACTGTTCCTCTGGGCTTCCGGACTCCGTGCCTTCCCCCACAGCCCCTTCCCGGGCCGCCTCCCTTCCTGGCCCGGTGCTGGGGGTGACTAGCGGGTGGGGTGGCATCCGGGCTGGGGCTAGAACTGTGAAGAGGGTGTCTGGGTAGAGACTGATGGCCTGTCAGTTGGCTGCCAGCACATCCTCAAATTCTTTGTCTCTGTGTGGAGTGGGGACTGTGGAGGGGGCAGGGGTTGGGCACAGCAGAGGAGGAGGATGCCGGGGTGGGGGCAGGAGAGGGGCATGGCGGGTTGCGGGAGGCCTCCGTGGTCTGCTGGTGCTTACGCTTGTCGGCGGTGTGTGTCTTCGGGAAGTCAGGTCCTTGCCCCCTGCTTTGGGGCCAGAGACAGGAGTTCAGATCCTAGCTCTGCTCCCCACTTGCTGGGGGTGGGGGGGTCCCAGGCCTGTATCGTTCCTGTTTCCAGTCCTAGGCCTCTGTTTCTTCATCCATGCAATGGGTCTATCCAGCTCTGACCTGCTGTGATCTCTGTAAATCTGAGCTGATTAGAACATTTGGCCCTGAAATTCCAGAGGCCTTTAGGCTTCCCTGATGGAGGGAGCATGGGGCTGAGTCTTGGTGCTGTCAGGGAGGCACTGAGGGGGCTGGGGGTGGGGTCAGAGAGGTGGGGAAGGTGAACCCTCCCCACTGCAAGGCCTGGCAGTAGGGCAAAACCAGGCTGCTTATCTCCCCAGCCTGGGCACCCTGGATGACTGTGCTGGGGACATGGGGCTGATGGAGGGGTCGCCAGGGAGGAGGCGGAGAAGACAGAGATGTCATCTGTCCTGAAAGACACAGCCCTTCAGGGCTTCCTGCCCTCTCTGCAGTTCTTGCCAGGTCACCTGGGCCCCAAAGACCCCACAGTTCTGTTCACCAGCCCCCTTCAGTCCTTGTCACCTGGCTACTGCTAGGCAGCCACACTCAGCTCCATGATCTCACCAGCAGCCAAGTAGCTGAACACACAGTCACAGCGCCCCCGCCCCCACACACACACATAGGCACAAAGCCTGTGGCACAGTCACACATGGGCTTGTAGAGTTATAGGTGCCCCCGCGTGCACAGCCCTCCTGGGAGCCAGCACGGGAGATCACGCATGCGTGCCCACCCCAGCGTGTGGGTGAGCCCAGGGCTGTGCCCAGCCCAGCTCTTAGAGAACCACTCTGAGGCCTCCCTAGACAGAGTCGCAGGAGCCGTCCTAGAGGGGTGGGGGTGGTGATGGGATGAGAAGCTCTCTGTGGGCCTCTGATCCCCTCCTTTAATAAAAGGAGCTAGAAGGCCCCCTCCTCAGCACCCCACCCCCCAGCCTCAGCACCCAAAGCATCCATTATTCCACCCGATGCCCCCTCTAGTTCTGCGGGGTGAGTGCGCTGAGCACATCTTACAGAGGGCAAACTGAGGCTGGGGAGGAGAAGGGGGGTTGCCCAAGGGCAGAGCTGGTGAGGTCAGAAGCAGAATTGCAAGCCGGGGCGGTGGGCCCCCAAACCTGTGTTCTCTCAGGCCGCCCACCCCCATCTGCCGGGCTGGGGTGTGGACCCCGAAGCGTGCCCCGGGCCCCCTCCACCCCAGCACCCAAGGGCCTCCCGGACACAAAGCCACCTGGCGGCGCTCGAGGGGGCGCGCGTGGGAGCGCGCACGGTGGCCCGCGCCTCCGGCCAAGATGTTCCCTCTCCGCGTGATTGACAGGCTCGAGTGCCGAGAAACAAAATTGTTTATGCGCTAATGAATAAGGCCCTGATTGCAAGATCCTGTTTGGAAAATTATAGTGCGGCGGCGGCGGCGGCGGCCGCGGCGGCCCAATTACAGCCCGCGCTGCATATTCATTTCGTCTCTCCTTTGCATCGAGATGAACGGGCGCCCCGCGCCCTGCAAAGGCAACGCCAAATTTAGTCCCAGGTTCCGCACTCCTCCGCGCCATTGTCTGCCCCGGACCACCTGCCTCCTGCCGGCCTGATTGCCCGGGAGGGCGCGAGCAGGGAGGCCAAGAAAGTTCTCCCTACCCCTCCTCCTGGCAACCCCTTCCCTCGGTTCTCTCCGCTCCCTCCTCCGACTCCCCGTCTCTGTCTCCCTTCCCCTCCCGGTGTCTCTTTCTCCCTCTGTTCTCTCTCTACTTATTCTGTGCCCCGCACTTCCTCTCCTCGCTCTAGGCCTCTATCTGGGTGCATCACCGGTCTAGAATGTCAGTCGCTGTCCCTCCCCCTCCAGCTTCACATTCCCTGCGTTCCTGGGTCCCTGGGTACAGCAGGGGCAGTAACGGGGACCGTCTGCTCCTTGGAGGTCACAGAGGTATGAGGCGGGTCTCAAGACCCCTGCCTTGGCTGTGAGCATGGGGTGGCTTGGCTCGTCCCCGCAACCAAGCTGCTGGGGAGAGAGGCCCCTCCCTGCCCGCTGCCTCTGCCGCCTCCCGCATGCCACCAGATCCACTTATCCTGCGGCTCAGGCCCCTTGGCTGCCCAGGCTGCGCCCTCACACCTCCCTGCCCTGCACATGCTGTTCTCTTGCTGGCACGCCCGTCCTGTCTTCCCAGACGCATCCCAAGTACAGCTCAGAGCAGCCTTCCCCTGTCCCCACCACCGCAGGCAACAGGACAGCTCCCTCCCAGAGCACGCTGGTGTCCAGGCATGTCCTGCAGGTACAGCAGCAGGCAGGGTACACTGGCGTCCTTCTCCCGGGCCTGACCAGCCTGGGGGCTGCCGGTGAGTCACCAGGAAGCTCTGGTGTCCAGCTCAAGGCTGATCAAACGGACACCTCCACTGTGATATGGGGGTATAGTCTCCCTGTCCTTGTTGTATGGTGATGGTGGGCAGGAGGGGAGAGGAGGCTGGGAGGGAGGGACTGGGGCTTTGCAGCACCTGGACGCCACAGACCAGGACTGGCCCTGGTTCCAGACAGTGACAAGGACAACTAACTGGTCCTTGTCACTGGGTCATTGACTTAACTGACAAGTACCTGAGGCCCAGTCTGGCTGGAGGCTCATGGTGGGGGTGATGGTGGCGAGGGCTCTTCAGAGGATGGCCGTGCTCCTCCCCGTCCTGCCTGGGGCCCCACTGAGTAACCAGGCATCTGCACCCCTTCCTGGGATGGAAATTGGGGTATTCAGACGTGAGCAAAAATGGACAACCACATATACCAACTGGCCTAGACAACCCCCAACCCTGCCGCCAGAGACACACAAAGTAATAGACTCCCACAGTCACATACACACAAACATAGACACGCAGCCTCTCCTTGAAAGACCCACGCAGCCTGAGACACAAAGGCAGGCTGGCCCCTGGGCGTGTGTGGGGCAGCACTGCCCTCTGGCGGCTGTCTTGGCAATCTCTCTGTCAGGCTCTGGCTAGCTTCCTAGAACCACAGCTGAGCCACGATGCGGGTGCCCAGGCCCAGACCCAGAGAACTGGGACTCCCAGGGATGGGATTTCAGGGAGGAAAAGGAATTTGTGTTCCTAGGGTCGAGGGTCTTTTGAGTTCCAGTTCCCTACCCCAATCTGCATGTAATGCAGAACATGTGAGCAGAACTTGCTCACAGAAGGACCAGTCCAGGGATGGTGAGGGGGCGGAGCTCCTTATCATGGGAGGAGTACGAGTTGGGCTGGGACCACTTGCAGATTGGTGGTCTTTAGTGGCAGAGTGGACAACTTCATAGGTCATCACCAGCTTGAAGAGCTCTGGGAGGTATGTCTAGTCTTCTCCTACTTCACCCCAGCCCAGCCACTCTCCTGTTTGGTTTGTTTGTCAGTCATCAAACTCTGACAGCATCTCAGCACCTCAAACAGCAGGGGAGATCCTGGGTGGCGGGAGATGAGGCTGTGGAGGGTGGCCAGGCCACCCCTTGGAGGTCTTCGAGGCCAGTATTAGGTGTGTGGGCTTTATTCTGGGGGACAGGGATCTGGAGACAGGCCCAGACAGGGAAGCGACTTGGTCAGATGGGCATGTGAGCACCAGCTAAGGAGAAGCTTAAGGAGCACCAGCTAAGAAGCGACTTGGTCAGATGGGCATGTGAGCACCAGCTAAGGAGGCAGGAGGGCCAGACGGGAGGGATGTGGTGGCCTGGACCAGGACAGGGGCAGGAGTGAGGTGGCAAGAACGACGCAGATCCCAGAGCTATTAAGGAGATGGACTCGCCAGGCTTTGGTGAGGAATTGGCCATGGTGGGCATGGAGCCGGAAGATGAAGTTACCTTGGGGCATATCAGTGCTGACAAAGGGGCCTGGGGGAGAGATGATGAGTCTGATGTGGCTCTGAGAGCCTGAGAGCCTGAGAGCCAAGGGGATGTCTGGAGAGGATGTCTGGAGAGGTATCAGCCTAGAGCCTGAGAGCCAAGGGGATGTCTGGAGAGGTATCCAGGAGGCAGTTGAAATCAGGCCTGGAGATATTCACTTGGGAGTTGGAAGGTTACTGACAGGTGGTTGAAGGCAGTGCACAGCTGAGGCCACCCAGGAAAGGTCCTTGGAAGCCCTAAGCACCAAAGATATGGTGTTCACCTCACCCCCATGAGTCAAAAAGGAGTCTAAATTAAATTATAAAATGTAACACTTACATGCCTTACAAAACTCTTGGACTGGCACGGTGGCTCACACCTGTAATCCCAGCATTTTGGGAGGCCAAGATGGGCAGATTACCTGAGGTCAAGAGTTCGAGACCAGCCTGGCCAACATGGTGAAACCCCGTCTGTACTAAAAATACAAAAAGTTAGCCGAGCATAGTGGCGCATGCCTGTAATTCTAGCTACTCGGGGGGCTGAGGCAGGAGAATTGCTTGAACCTGGGAGGGAGAGGTTGCAGTGAGCCGAGATCACACCACTACACTCCAGCCTGAGCAACAGAGTGAGACTCCATCTCAAAAAACAAAAATAAAAATAAAAACAAAAAACGTTTGCAATCATCACATCCATGGGTTCACAGAAACACATTTTCCTCCTCATCTTCCTTGTTTGATGCTCCTGGTCTGATGGTGCCCTGAGGTGTCTACCTGCTTGCCGGCTAGGTGGCCCAGCTCCAAATCCAGGCAAAAACAAGAGGCTCAGGGGGCACCAACAGGCTGGGACCGAGGGGAACAAGATGCCCACAAAAGAGAGAAGGAACACCCAGGAAGACTGGAGGAAACCCAGGAGAGTGTGGCATCACTGGGGCCAAGGAAGGAGGGGGTTCCAAGAAAGAGGACATGATTAGTCATGTAGAAAACAAGAGGAGGCACGGAGATGAGGACTGAAGAGGGGGCCCGGATATGGCTGTGGGGCTGCCAGGCAGGCTCAGTAAAGCAAAGCTGGTCACCTCTCCACGTATCTCTGCTCAAGGGGGCCAGCCTTTGGTGGGGACACTCGGGTGCCCTTTGCCCTTGAGGATCCTCCGGACCTACAAACAAGGAGGGAGTAAGACCCTGGGGTAGGGTTGAGGCGAGCTGACCTCAGAAGGAGAAAAGGAGACCAAATATTTCAGTGGACTCAAGGCAGGGGGCGCCTCTGGGTGGCAGTCCCTCCTCTGACCACAAGGGGGCAGCATAAAAGCAGGTCCTGCGTGGGCTCAGGCTTCTGTAAGGAGTCGGCTTCCAGATGCTGTTTTCATCTGTGATGCGTCCTTGGGCTCTCTGGGCCTCAGTTTCTTTCTCCGCAAAATGGGGCAGTTGGACATCATATTCTCTTGGACCCTGTTGGGATCCCCTTCATTCTGCATCCCCTTACCGCCTTCCCAGCTCAATGTGACACCCCCCATCTGACCACAATAAGTGTGTTAAGTGAGTAAGGTCAATGGCACAGGTATAGCATGTGGTGAGAACACAGAATGCTAGCCCGAGGAGGCCTACAGGCGTGTGCAAGGTTAGCTGAGTGAGGACAGACCATCCCATGAGCTTGGGTTAAACCTGCCTGCAGCGACCGTCTGTGAAGGTGGCCTCTGCTTCCTCTTACGGGGAGTACTGGGGTGGGGGTGGGGCTGCCTCTGCCTCTTCTGTCTGCCCCCAGGGCAGAGCTCTGGCTCTTTGTGCAGGCTCCTTGTCCTGCCACTGTTTGCCCTCTCTGGGACATGTCAGCACCTGTGCCCTCTTTGGGCCTCAGGGCTCATCGAGACAAGGAGGGAAAGAGCATGAGAGTCTCCTCAGCACTGCTGGTCCTCAGGTCTCTGAGGCAGCCCCACCCTATCCTGGGATGCCTCCCAGTGCTGCCCTGTGGGTCTGCAGTCCTTTGGTGCCAGTTGGTGGGAGGGGCAATGTGAGGGTCACGACAGTTGATTCCTGGCTCTGGGCCGCCATCAGATCTTCAGAGGGGCTGGTGTGCTGGTGGCTGCTGGTGGCCTCAGCTGGGGACAAGGAGTCAGGGTTGGAGCCTCATTCCATGTCTGACAAAGTGTGGCTTTAGTTGATCACTGCTGGTGGGTGGCAGGGAAGCTGAAGCCAGGGCAGGAGCAAGAGGTGGCCTGGGGAGACAGTACCTCTGTGGAGGGCCCCTTCCCCTCAGAAGCTGGGCCAGCCCAGGGCAGCCGAGGACAGTGACACAGGAGAACACCCACGGGCCAGTTGTCCGGTGCCAGCTCCCCGGCTGTGTGATCTTGGGCAAGTGGGCAACCCTCTCTGAGCTATGGTAGGGAGACCTATCCAGAATTCAGGAAAGCATGTTATAGGCCCAGGGCAGTCCTGGTATTGGGGCAAAGAAGGGCAGGCAACCCTGGGTCACCGACTTGTCCTAGGGGTCCAGTCCCCGGGATTTGGCCTCTTGGAGCCCACTGGGTGGGTGTCTAGGGGAAACTGAAGATGGATCTGACTCAGTTGGGTCCTGGTACCAGCATTTTGGCTTGGGAGTGGGAAAGGGTAATAAAGGACTCTACAGTCACAAGAGCTTGGCCGCTGCCTGGACAGGCAGCCTATGCAAGTCCCCTCCTATCT
The DNA here is from genome assembly GCF_000001405.40 of Homo sapiens. Classification (NCBI taxonomy): domain Eukaryota; kingdom Metazoa; phylum Chordata; class Mammalia; order Primates; family Hominidae; genus Homo; species Homo sapiens. Next base: position 122,121,765 of record NC_000009.12, on the reverse strand, counting down.
CTGAGCTGCCATTTCTTTATCTTTCTGAGTTCCACCTGGGGCAGGACCTTCAGCTTCCCAAGTCTCACCAGACCATCGCCTCCCGGGTGCCAGGCTGAGTTGGCTCTCAGGCCCTCTCTTTCCCAGGCGGGCCTCGGGTGGTGCCAGGTGCCGCAGGAGCTTCCGGTTGGTGCAGGGAGCTGGCTGGCGTGGGCTGTCTGAGGGCAACTGTCTCGGTGCTTAGCTGAGGCCTCATCGAGTGGCACCTGTGGCCCGGGCCAGCTGGGATGGGAAAGGGTGGTCTGGCCTCCACCTGCTCAGCTCACTTGCCCTCTAGCCACTCTCACTTGAGCCTCAGCCTCCTGTATCTGCTGCTGCTGCTGGAGCCCAAGGGGCTGGGGCCATGGCTGGGTGCCCCAAAGACAGGAGAGAAGGAGGTGCTGGGGCTTTGCGCCCTGGAGGGGACAGCTAGAGACTCATCAGGCAGGAAGTATCTCCTCTTCTTGATTCTGATCCTTCACCCACCTATGTCAGCCTCACACCTGTACCTGTACACCTGTGGGGCAGCCTTCCCCACCTGTGGTTTTCCCCACTTCTGGAGCCCTAGAAGAATATGTAGAGCAGGCTTGGGGTGTGGCCCCATGGAGCACCCCCAAACTGCCTCTGGTCCCCAGGCTCCGGCTTGTGCTGTCCCTTCCCGCTGTCTGGATTTTGGCCTGTCTGTGGGACCTTGAGGAGCCTGGAGCCTGGAGCTGCCAGCTCGTCTGGGCCCTCCAGGCTCCAGGATCTCTGGAGGCCATGGGTGGGGCTGGTGCTGGCCTTGTTGGTGTTGCTCCTGCTGGAGTAGTGGTGCCCTCTGGCATCTGTGCCTTCCACGGCAGGTCACTGGTGCCATTTGCCATGTGCAGTGGGTGCTGGAGTCTAAGCTCGTGGAAAACTTCCAAGGCCTGGGCTATGGTCCTCATGGCCGTGCGGCCTGCCTTGACACACACAGAAGGGACACATGCACTAGTGTGCGTTCAGGGGACACGTGAACACACCCCTCATATTCAGACAGGTGTAAACAGCTCAGCCACACAAGTGCTGAGCTCCAGCAGACTCACGCACGCAGCCACACATATAGACAAGGTACAGGTGTAGCCAGTGTGTGAACATTGATAAGTCTGTCAAGGCAGATATGTGCACAGTCCAGAACACAAGACGGGTAGAAAGGCAGACCTACAAATGTGCACAGATCCCTGCCAACAAACATGCATATCCATACATGCACATATGCATACACAAGCTGTCATGGGCACACTTACAGGGGAACATGCCTTACTCAGAGCACAGAGCATTTCTCCAGCCCTCCCTGCATCCACTGCAAATGGGGACACATGTCCTATCCCTCAGCAGGCAGGGAAGGGCTGGGGGAGGGAACTTCACCTTTTCTTAGACCCATGGCAATGGAAAGTGGGCACCATCTTGGGTGATGTAGCCAAATGTCTCCTGTTCTGGGAGTCTCGGCACACATAGAAGATTCTGGAGAGGAGGGGGAGGTGCAAGGCATGATCCACTTCAAGCAGCCACCAAGCCCAGTGGGAGCTGGGTCTCTGGGCTTAGCAAGACAAGAGCCCAGGGGCCGAGGCTGAGCTGAGGAGCCTCCAAACCTGTAGACAGGGTCATGCAGTACTAGGGGCGAGCCTCATCCCCTGCAGCCCTGGCCTCTGCAGGGACAAGGGAGAGGAGAGGGTACGTCTGCAGGAGGGATTGTGGATTCAGCCTCCCATGTAGGATATGAAGCGACTCAGGCTGGGAGCAATCAGAGATCCCTGGGTTTGTCATGGCGCTGGGGTCTCCTTAGGACATCAGAGCCAGCTGTTACCTGCAGGGAAACCATCCAGATATATTTAGATACACACATACTTAGCATTGCATTACAATTGCTGACAGTATTCAGCACAGTACCATGCTGTACAGGTTTATAGTGTAGGAGCAATAGGCTATGCCATGTGGCCTAGTTGTGCAGTAGGCTACACCATCTAGGTTCATGTAAGTTTGCCCACCAAAATTGCCCGGTGACACATTTCTCAGAATGTATCCCCATCTTTTTTTTTTTTTTTTTTTTGAGATGGAGTCTCACTCTGTCGTCCAGGCTGGAGTGCAGTGGCACGATCTCGGCTCACTGCAACCTCCGCCTCCCGGGTTCAAACAATTCTTCTGCCTCAGCTTCCTGAGCAGCTGGGATTACAATCACGTGCCACCACACCCAGCTAATTTTTGTATTTTTAGTAGAGATGGGGTTTCGCTATGTTGGCCAGGCTCATCTCGAACTACTGACCTCAGGTGATCCGCCCACCTCGGCCTTCCAAAGTGCTGGGATTACAGGCATGAGCCACTGTGCCCGGTCGTATCCCCATCATTAAGTAACGCATGACTGTGTTCATAAGGTTGTGCAACCGGTTCCACTATGGCGCTCCAGAACATTTTTGTGACCCCACAAGAAACCCTGTGGCCATGAGATGTCACTCCCCATTCCGTCAGCCTCTGCAACCACTAATTCACTGTTCGTCTCCATGGATTTTCGTATTCTGGGCATTTGGTAGGAATGGAATTAGACATTATGTGGCCTTCCGTGTCTGGCTTCTTTCACTTAGCATAATGTTTTCAGGGCCCTGTGCCTCTGGTTTATAAGTGAGGACACTGGCCCAGACAGAGGGAGTGACTGTCCAAAGTCACATAGCAGCCAGGAGTCAGGCCCCTACACAGTGTTGGCTTTTTTAGGACCTCAGCCTTGGTCCCTGGGGTTGTGGGCTGTGGACAATGGAAGAGGTCACACTTCATCTAAAGGGGCAGCTATTACTCAGCTCTGCCTGGGACAGAATCCAGGGGCAGCACTGCCTAATACTAAACACTGTAAATAATGATACAAACGGCCAGGCACGGTGGCTCAAGCCTGTAGTTCCAGCTACTTGGGAGGCTGAGGCAGGAGGATCACTTGAGCTCAGGAGGTCAAGGCTGCAGTGAGCCATGATTGTGCCACTGCACTCCAGTCTGGGTGACAGAGAAAGACCCTGTCTCAAAAAAAAAAAAAAAGTTACAAATAACACCAGCTAACATTTTGCATGCTTCTTTTGTGCCTGGTGCTGTTCTAAAGAAGTGCTGTATAGGCACTTTCTTATTTAATCTCCATGACAATCTTGGTGAAAGTGCTGTTATTATCCCCGTTATGCAGACGAAGGAAGCAGAGCACAGAGAGGTTAAGTAACTCAGCCAAGGACACACAGCAAGCTAGTGGCAGAGTTAGGATTGGAACCCAGGTAGTCTGACTCCAGAGCCCCTGCTCTTACCCACCTATACAGATGCATTCCTTCTTCCAGATTTGTAAAGGAAGGCAGTAATACAGATTTTAATGTGAAACCTCATAAGTTTAAATGTTTCCAAGTGTCGACAACTTATGACAATTGTTTTTTGACACCGTACAGGCTGCAGGGCCTAAGCCTGGAAAGTTTCGTTTAATACAAAGGGAGAGGGCCCTCACCTTTGGTTTCTTCCTCAGCATCACTGCCATTCTGTCCAATACCACTTGGTCATCTTCTCCCTGACATTTCTTGCAGAGGCAGAGAGAGCCTGACATTGGGCACCCAGGTCCCGCTGAGGGTCGTGCTATAGCAGACAGCCCCATGGCCTGGTGCTGGCCTTGTGCCTGGCAGTGTGACTCTGGGCCAGTCCCTTCCCCTCCCTCAGTCATTCTTTTCTCCTCTGCAACCTGGGCGGGGAAATTTCTCATGGGATTAAATGTGATAACTGGCACAGACTAGTCATTCAATAGCCATGGTTTTTTTTTTTTTTTTTTTTGAGACAGGGGTCTCACTATGTTGCCCAGGCTGGTCTCGAACTCCTGGCCTCAAGTGGTCCTCCACCCTTGGCCTCCCAAAGCTCTGGGATTACAGGCATCAGCCACTGTGCCTGACTGCCATAACCATTAGCTGACCCAGAAACAACGGGAGATACAACCTGTTGTATCTGCATAAAGGGCCAACATTTGGGTTGCAGAGGTTTGTTGAGACTAATAATACCATTTATTGAGCACTGAGATAATTCCAGATACAGTGCACATTACATGCATTGCCTCATTCAGTCCTGAACTTTTTAAGCCCTGGAGGCCAGCCATTAAGGTTATGGGCCTAAGGTTTGAGCTAGGCGGCTGATATGGTTTGGGTGTGTCCCCACCAAATCTCATCTTGAATTGTAGTTCCCATAATCCCCACATGTTGTGGGAGGGGCCCGGTGGGAGGTAATTTAATCACGGGGGTGGTTACCCTCATGCTGTTCTCATGATAGTGAGTGAGTTCTCACGAGATCTGATGGGAGGGACTTTCCCACCTTGTGCTCAGCACTTCTCCTTCCTGCCATCATGTGAAGAAGGATGTGTTTGCTTCCCCTTCCATCATCGTTGTAAGTTTCCTGAGGCCTCCCCAGCCATGCTGAACTGTGAGTCAATTAAACCTCTTTCCTTTATAAATTACCCGGTCTCGGGCAGTCCTTTATAGCAGCGTGAGAACGGACTAATACAGCAGCCTTCTTAGCTGTCAGACCTTGGAGAATTACTCAGCTTCTGAGTGTCTTTATTTCCTTCCCCAGAATATGGGGAGAATAATACCCACCTTTAGGGCAGCAGCAATGATACAATGAATTTAAACTTAAAACATGTGTAGCACTTAGAACAATTTCTCACATTCAGTAAACACTGCAAGTTAGCTTTTGTCCTTATCACAATTAATTCCCATTTTACTGATGGAGAAACTGAGGTCAAAGAAAAATAAGCGACTTGTCCAAGGCAGTGGTTCTCAACAAGGGTGATTGTACTCCTGGGGGGCCATTTGTCAATGTCTGGAGACATTGTGGTTGTCACATCTCAGGGGTGCTGCAGGGATGCTGCTGAATACCCTCCCGTGCACGGGACACCCCTGCAGCACAGATGTTTCTAACCCAGAATGTCCTGGTGTTGACGTTGAGAAGCCCTGATCTAAGGTAACGCAACCAAAAAGTGACATAATCAGGGTTTGAACCCAAGCTAGGGGCTCCAACCTTGCACTCTACCGCCCTTGTCATCTCCCTCCAGGGTGAGTCCTGGGCAAGGCCAGCACTGTCTGTCTGGGGCTGAGTGCCAGCTTCTGGAAGGCCAGGACTGGGGTAGTCACAAATCCTCAGCGTAAGTCCTCACTCACACGCATCGCTTCTGCACACAGGGGCTTCGGTGAGGCAGGAGGTGGGTATTTAGGATTGATGTTACCAGAGGGCAGACTGTGGGGAGTCCAGGTCTCACAGCCCAGCATGTCAGAGCTGCAAGCATCAGAGAGACCATCCGGTTCTCATGGGACAATGGAGAAACAGAGCTCCAAAAGAAGGTCACACAACCCAAGGTCAGCCAAGATTGAAACCCAGCTTTGGAACCCTGCCCCAGACCTTCCCCTAAAGCCCCTTCCCTTTCTACAGTGACCAGCAGGTACCAGGAAGCAGAGATTCATGGAATGCATGAGGTAACCTACCCCATTGTTGGCAAACCCCACCCCCTCTACCATGTATCTCAAACCCAGTCATGTGGAGAGAGCTTTGCACAGCAAGAGTGATGCTTTTCCCGCAGGCCCATTGACTCAGGGCCTCTGTGTGGGGCGTGAGTGGCTCTGAAGGGGCTGCTGGCTAAATGGTAGCCCTGGGGTCACTGGTTGGACAGCTGGCAGGGAGAAGATGCCTTCCTCCCGTAAGCAGCCTGGGCCACAAGCCCCAGAGAGCTGGCAGAGGAAAATTGGCCTGGCATGGTGCTTCTGTCCTGGGCTGGCTGGTGGGAGGGCTGCAGACAGACCCCGCAGGGTTCGGTGGGCTTATCTGTCCAAGCGCTGAGTGCCTCCTCTGTGCAGCCCCAGGAACAGGGAGCTCACAGTCTGATGGAGACAGACCAGGAAGCAAGCCTGAGGGACTGGGGTTATGCAAGGGGACAGCCAGGGTTTGGGGAGCACAGAGCTGAGAACAACTCACGTTTTCCTGAGGAGAGGCCACTGGAGCTGGCTTGAGGGGCAAGAAGTGGCAGTGGAGCAGAAACACCAACTGGAAGGAACGGCAAATGCTGAGACAAGAGCCAGGAGAGGGCGGAGCATGTTTGGGGCAGCAGAAGTCTATTATGGCTGCACAGAAGGTGGGCAGCTGGAGAGGCAGGTGCTGAAGAAGGCTCCAGTGAGCAAGTGTGGGCTTATTTTAAAGGAGGTGGGAGCCACAGGAGGTTCTTGAGCAGGAATAAGCAGGTCAGAAGCTCATCCTGTGATGGAGCAGGCTAGGATGGGTGGGAGGCACCAGCCCCAGGCCAGCAGGGCAGCGAGGAGGCTGGCACCGCACATCGGGCTGGGAGGATGAACCCTGACCCAGGGCAAGGGCAGGAAGAGGGGAGCTGAGTTCATAGGATGTACGACTCAAGGCCGCAGCAGGGGAGGATAGGAGCCTAGAGTGCTTCTCTATCAGGCACATGGTGGCTGTGCAGAAAATGGTCATATCCAGAATGGAGTGCTCTCTGCTCTCACCAAGACCTGGCCTCTGCAGCAGAGGGGGCGAGGGGTCCATCCTCCCCCAAACTTCAGAGGCCAGGAACCATGGCCAGGACTGGGGTAGGGGTTTGGAACATTTTGGAGAAAATGGTGGTTTTCCAATCACTAGACTCAGGCAGTCTCTGCTTTTTTGGCTGAACAGAAGGTGACAATAATGAGAAGAGAAAGAATAAGAGAGAAACAGAATCTGAGGCGGAAACAAAGACAGAGACAGACACAGACACACTGGGCAACACAGTGAGAAAGACAAGTTGCTCAAAACATTCTAGAGCACACCGAGACAGAAAGACACAAAGACAGAAAGAGACGTAGAGAGAGGGAGAGGCACACAGACAGAGATACACAGACAGAGATGCAGACAAGGATGCAGATGGAGACTCTGCTGAGAGAGGCAGAGACTGGGCTGCTGTTTGGCCACTCCTCCAGCCAAGGATGCTAACCCTGCCGGGACCTCTGCATCGGGAGTATGTTGGTGGGTGGTGACGGGGACTGCTGTCTCCTCTCTGTGTTGTGCTGAGCTAGCCTGTGCCTCCTTAGGTACCTCTTCCCCATCAGGACCCTCTCTGTCCAGGACAGCCCCACTGAGATTTGAAAATGGAGATATCCATTGAATGCCCTGTCTTTTCAACTGCAAATTTATTGAGCACCTACTGTTTGTTAACCTCTATGCCAACTTTGTCTCCTTAAGCCTTCCAAATAACCTTGGTCAGGAACTTGAGACTCAGAGAGGTTAGGCTGCTCACCTGAGGCCACACAGCAAGTTCATCCTGAGATAAAACTCAAACTCACATCTGGCTGACAATCCAGGGATTTTTTTTTTTTTTTTTTTTTAAGACAAGGTCTTGCTCTGTCACCCAGGCTGGAGTGCAATGGCACAATCTTGGCTCACTGCAGCCTCGACCTCCCAGGCTCATGTGATCCTCCCATCTCAGCCTCCTAAGTAGCTGGGACTACGGGCATACATCACCATGCCTGGCTAATTTTATTTTCTGTAGAGAAGGGGTTTCACCATATTGCCCAGGTTGGTCTCGAACTCCTGGGCTTAAACAATTCACCCACCTCACCCTCCCAAAGTGCTGGGATTATAGGCATGAACCACCATGCCAGGTGTGATCCAAGGATTTTTTTTTTCTATTGCTCCACTGCCCCATGGATTTAAATGCCTCTGCCTCAGAATGCTTTGGTTTGTCTCAGTATTTTTAGGTGTTTTTCTCCTCTCCCATTTCCCAGGTTTAGTTGGAAAGGGGGGGAACATGGAGGGGTTAGGAGTAGGTGTCTGAGGTCGAGGGGCCTCCTGTGCCTTCCAAATTGTGCCTGGATCCTTCCACGGAAGCCTGGCAGCTTCTCCAGGCGCCCCCTCCCTCCCTGCAATCCCCTGGCCTCTTAAGAAGCTGGAGGAACAATTGCTAATCAGCTTCTGAGAGAGACAGGAATGAATGGAGGAGCCAACAACGAGCCTCAATTACTGGCAGCTGGTCCCCTCCCCATGCGGCAGAGCCTGGCTCCTAGCTCTCCTCAATTCCAGTTCTTCCTTCCTCTGCCTGATTCCTTCACATCCTGATGGAGCCACAGGGGTTGAGAGTTGACTTCTTAGGCCCCCTTCCTTCACTCATCTCCCCATAGTGAGGTCTCCAGAATGCAAATCACATTCTCATCTCTGAGCTTTTGGATACCCTACTCCTTCAGCATGGACAGCCCTCCTCTATCTGGCAAACTCCTACCCATCTTGCAAAGACCGGCTTCCATGTCACCTCCTCTGTGAAGCCCTCCTGTCAGAGGTGTTTGAACCAGAGCAACTCCATCTTGAGTAGGGGCTACGTGAAATGAGGCTGAGACCTATTGGGCTGTATTCCCAGATGATTAAGGCATTCTAAGTTACAGGATGAGATAGGAGGTCGGCACAAGATACAGGTCATAAAGACCTTGCTGATAAAAGAGCTTGCAGTAAAGAAGCCAGCTGAAACCCACCAAAACCAAGATGGCAACAAGAGTGACCTCTGGTCCTCCTCACTGCTACACTCCCACCAGCGCCATGACAGTTTACAAATGCCATGGCAACGGCAGGAAGTTACCTAATATGGCCTAAAAAAGGGAGGCATGAATAATCCACCCCTTGTTTAGCATATCATCAAGAAATAACCATAAAAATGGGCAACCAGCAGCCCTTGGGGCTGCTCTATCTCTGGAGTAGTCATTCTTTATTCCTTTACTTTCCTAATAGACTTGCTTTCACTTTACGAACCCTCCCTGAATTCTTTCTTGCGTGAGAGCCAAGAACCCTCTCTTGGGGTCTGGATTGGGGCCCCTTTCCTGTAACACTCCTAGACCTTTCCCACTCTTTCCAGGGAAACTTCCCTCCCTGGGCTCTCATAGCCATGTCCACACTGTAACACTCATGGCATGTTGTGCCCAGGACAGGGCATGGCCATACAGGCGGTCAGCATGGCAGCATGACGTTATGGGAAGAGCACTGGGCCTGGAGCTTAGTGAGTTCCAGCTGTGGCTCTCACTTGGAGTTGGGCAAATTGCTAGCTTGTGCTGCTTCTCCATCCTGACCCACCTCTATCTGGCTACCATCCCCTTGTCCTCCAGGTCTCCGACCCTCCCCAAAGTCCACCTTCCCAGGGTTCCCTTTCCTCTCGTCTGCTCTTTAGGAATGACTCACTCAGGGTCCCTGGGCTCCCTCTGGGCGGTGGTCCTGAGTGCATGGTCACTGCTGCATCTCCAGCACATGGGGACAGATGAATGACTGAATGGAACGTTGAATGCCTCATTTGTTAACTGGGGATAGTAATAATTCTGCCCTCCCAGGGCAGCTGTGGGTACGATCAAAGTTTGCTTTTTGCTGACTCTCAGTACACGCACTCTAACTATGCTTGTAAATGTTTATTGAGGGGAACTGAATTCCCCCAAGGCTGTTCTAATGGGATTCCCTCAGGCAGAACACCTGGAGAGTTCCCCAAAGGAGCAGCCTGCATGTCAGGATGGGAGGAGGGGAAGGATGGGGAGGTGATGAAGGCCCCAAGATCCAGAGAGAGCAGGCTGGGACAACCCAGAACTCCAGACTGAGCCCCGAATTACAGCTGCTGCGGATGATCAGAACAGGGGAGATGGAGGGCCCTGGCAAGTGGCAGCTCCCACCCACACCAGGCCAGGAGACAGGCCGGACTGGGGCCTCTGTGCTGTTTGGGCACCCGGTGCCTCCCCCAGCATGGCCCTGGCTCTTCTCCTGGTGTCCTCTGTCTTTCCCAGTAACTCCCTGACCACAGGGCCTGGTATTCTGGCTCGTCCAGCAGAAAACCCTGCCCATGGCGGGCAGCCAGCAAAGGTTCCTGAGTTGACTGGGTGGAGGACTGGCCAAGAAGGATGGAGACCCCAAAACCTGGGCAAGGGGAGGGGCCGCTTGGCTGGGACAGAAAGGACAGGGTAGGGATGATAGAGTCTGTCTCAGGGTAGCCCCTGGCCTAGGGGTGCTGCCGCCAAGAGGGGTCTCCCCCACAATCCGAAATGCCTCTGACAATCAAAGCACAATGCGAAGCGGGAATCAGAAACCAATAGTATTCCTAACAGTCATTATAATAAAAATGTGTGTGTCAGCAATTGACATTTGCAGGACACTTTGTGTTTTATTTCCATTTCCTCCCTTGATAAAAACTACTCAAGGTAGGCATGGTTGGTCCTATTTAACAGGTGAAAGAACTGAGGCTGGGGGAGGGTAGGGAAGGGTTGTGATGGGGAAGCAGAGAGGAGGCCCTCACCCAGGGGCCCCAATCCCTTTGCCAGGCCTGGACCACAGCCCACTGGCCAGAGGTTCCCCCTCCCTGAATTCTGTTCAGCTTCCTCGGCAGCTGTGGTCTGGGGTTCAGCCTGGAATATCGTTTTTTTTTTTTTCATGGGGGCTCAGGCACTTTCCTCTGAGTCATTCTATGGACTGCAGCCAGAGGATGGCACCGGCGGTGGGCCAGGGTGCCAGGTGGGCCAGGGTGGGAGATGTAGCCTGTGGAATCAGACTGACCGAATTTGAACTCAGGCCCTGCTGCTAACTGGGCCAGCTTGGGCAGGTCGTGGAACCCAGCCAAGGCTCAGGTCTCTCACCTGCTGGGGACCACAACGGGGCCCCCTCATCCCCTTGCCCAGGCTGCTCCCTTCGTCAGGAATGCCCTTCCTGCCTTGCCCACCTGGGTATGAGCTCAGATGCCAGTCCTGTGGGCTGCTTTTTCCAACCTTCACTTAAAAGTGTTCTCTCCCTCCCTCCCAGGTGTCCCAGGAGCCTGAACATCCTGTCCTCAGCATGGTTACTGTGTGTCAGGCACTGTGCTGGGCTCGGAGCAGGAACCAGTGCCCTGTTTCATGGAGCTCACTCTCATGCCAATGTGGGAGGCTGTTCAAATGCCATGTCAAGTGTGATGAGGACAACAAGAAGGCCCAGGGTGCTGGGAGATCTACTCTGGGGTTCAGGGTTGGCCTCCCTGAGGAGGGGACTTTGGAGCAGAGACCTGGAGGATGATGGAGTTGGCCAGGGAGGATGATGGAGTTGGCAAGGGAGGATGATGGAGTTGGCCAGGGAGGATGATGGAGTTGGCCAGGGAGGATGATGGAGTTGGCAAGGGAGGATGATGGAGTTGGCCAGGGAGGATGATGGAGTTGGCCAGGAAGAGGAAGCTTTGGGTGTCATGACCTTGAGGAGAGAAGCCAGCATGTGGGAGGAAGTGGTGCTTGGAGCAATGGCTGGGAAATGGAATGTGAGGATGGGGTTTGAAGAGGGTGGGGGAGCAGATCATCCAGGGCCCATGGGCCACCTTAAGGTATTTCTGGGGGCCAGGGTTGTGACCAACTGAACTTGGGGTCCTCAAAGCACAAGCCGTTTGAAGATTGAAAGCAGGTGGCAGCTCCAGGGCCGGGCAGCGGGGCATACATAGATGTGGGGTGGGGGGGTTGCAGCCTGGCCAGCCACCTTGGCTGCCACGGGTCAGGTCGGGTGATCCTGAAACCCCCAGACCCAGTCGTCCAGGACCCCAGCTGAGAGGAATCCCAGGTTATACCGTGCCCTGGGAGGGAGGCTCCTAGCTGGCCAGGGGCCCTTCAGAAAACAGAGGCTGAAGCTTGGAAGGGCAGGTGGAGCAGAGCTGGTGGCAGCAGAGTGGGTTCCGGGCAGATGGCACTGGGCAGAGCTGCAGAACAGCTGGCCGGGCCCCGCTCATTCTTATTTTCTCTGGGCGAGGCAGATACAGTCCCTGCTCCCATGACTGGCTTGTCAAGCAGTGGCCTAGTTTCTCTATGGTAGAATGGCGATGGTCTCAGTGCCCACCTCACAGCACTGAGCGAAGGGTCAATGTCAATGAGGTGGAGCACGTCACACTACCACAGCACCCGGTGACCAGGAGGTGCTCAAAAAGCATCCCCTGTTGCTTCAAACTGGGTCTGCTCTCAGAGCTCATGGCCTCTTGGGGGAGCCTGTCCTGCCATGAATAAACCTAAGACCAGGGTCAGAGAAAGGGATGCAGGAGTTCAAAGGAGGGAGCATCATTGTGGCTCAGGCAGACATAGGGAGAGAAAAGGAGGTGCAGTCAGGGTAGGCTTCCTGGAGGTGGTGTCCTTGAAGCCCATCCTTGCAGGATGGATAAGACTCCCAGAGGCAGACATTGGTGGAGGCAGCCCAGGAGAATGGAAGTGTGATGCTTGGGGGTCAGTGTGGGCAAGAGGATTTGTCTGTGTCCAAGTGCCTGGCTCAAGTCTGTGCTTGCTGAATGCAACAGAGGCCTGGGATGCTGGGAGGAACCTGAAAGGTCTCTCCTGCTGCCTCACCTTGACCTCCAAATAGATTTGACCCTCATGTTAGAACCAGAAATGGGATGAGGTCAGGGGAGTGGAGAAAGTGAGAGGCATTAGCAGACACAGGCCCCTATGTCACTGGTATCCCCCGTGCAGAGGGCTCCTCTGCAAGCCCCGCCCACACTCCATGGGGAGTGACAGGTGGGCAATAGCATGGGGCTGGTTAGAAACCCCAGCCCTCAAGCACCTTTCCCTGGGGACCAGGCCAAAGCCAGGCCCAGGAAGCCAGTGGCCAGCTGTCTCTATTCACTTGTTGGGGACGTGTCCTGAACTGGTTTGGGGTGGTTTTCTTGGAAAGGCTGTATTTTTGAGGTGGTGGTGGTGGGTTGTTGCTGACCTGGCCTATCTTTTTGGGACTCTGGGACTGGGTATCCCTGAAGGTGGTGGTGCTGGGGGATTAGTCAATTCCCCCTGCCTGAGGGCAGCCTGCCTGAGGCAGGGCCAGGTGGGACAGGCCTTGGTTGCTATGCAGTTCCTCGCTGGACCTCTTCCTCCTGGTGCAAACACGGGGCCTTCACCCCTGGGGTGCCCAAGCTGTCCCCTCACCAGGCTTCCTCCCTCGCATGCCAGTGCCCTCCAGCTGTGTTCCTCTTGCCGGCCTCTGTTGCCTCCTGGCCAGTACACCCTGCCACCTCCCTGCCCCACCCTGCACAGGTACCTGGCTCCCAGATTCAGGGGAAGAGAGGATCGGTGGTAGCATGCAGCCTGAGGCCCTCACCAGGGGTGGGGTCTGGGGATGGGGGGTGCCCAGCTGATCTGCTCTGGCCTTCCTGACTCCTTCCCCCTTTCTCCTCGCTCCCTCCCGGGACACCTGGCCTTTTAAGATTCTTCCTGGCCTTGAGCTGAATATGCATCCCCAAACCTCTGGGCTTGGGCCCTAGCTGCATCCAGGGCCCAACAAACTAATAAAAACATCAGTCACTTAGAGATCGGATGTTATGGACCTGGTCTCTTGCTAACAATTTTACCTGAACTGTCTGGTTTAATCCTCAACAATTTTATCAATCCTATTTACAGACAGAAAATCGAAGCTGGAAGGTCAGTCTGTTCCCTTGCTCCGTGGCTTCCTTTGGAGGCATACAGGCTGTCAAAGATCCTCTCCTCCCCGAGATTCCTCAGCCACACCCGGCTTCCTCTCTCTCCCATCCTGTCTCCTCTGAACAAGCAAATTCCCACAGGTTTTCCCCACTCCGCCTGGGCATTTCCCTGGAGCTTCTCTGGCTCCAGAAATATAGACCAGGGAAAGTTGAAGACAGGGACAATATCTGACAACTCCAACATCCAGGCTATTGTCACACAGCACTGAAGCAAATGTAGGCTGGAGAGGTCTCCACTGCTCCGCAGACATCTCAAACCAACACTCCAAGACTGAGCTCACTGTTGTCTCCCAAACCTGCTTCTCCTTCTGGTTTCATTTTAGCCAGTAACACCATCCATCCATCAGTTGGGCAAGCCACAGCCAGAGAGTCCCCTGGACTTCCACCCCTTCCTCACCTCCCACCTTACTTCCCACATCTCTAGGTCTGTGCCCTTCTGTCCATCCCCACAGTCCAAACTACCCCACACTGGAAGCAGTGCCTGGCACGCAGTGGATGTTCCATGAACATGTGTTGAATGAATGAATGCCTAGTTCAGGCTCTGGCCAGCTGCCTCCAGACTCCCTCCCTCCAAGTCTTTCTCTACTCAGTAGCCAGAAACATATGGAAAAGCTCGATCTAGTCCTGTCCCGCTCTGCTTCCAAACCTGCAGTGCCCTGCCGCTGAGCACAGGCTTTTGCTCACACTCACTCTCCAGGCTTGCAAGACCCTGTGTCACTCGCTGGCCCTGCCTGCCTCTGCAGCCTCCCCCATCCACTGCTTTATATGGATGTCCCACATAACACTGTTCTTTTTGGCCACCTGCACCAGGCTGATTCACACTTCTGTCTTTGCACGAGCCAGCCCCCCTGCCTAGAAAGCCTCCCCACCCCTCCCCATCTGCCTGGTGAGCTCTCCCTGCTGCAGATGCCCATTCAAAGGTCACCCTGGCTAAGAGGCCCAACTTGACTGCCCTGTTTGTCTATTATATCACTTCAAGCTCTGCCGTTATTTATGGATGCGCCTGGCCTCTCGGTGGACAGAGAAAATCACCAGGCCCCGGGGGCCTTGTCTTACTCATCCCTGTGTGGAGCTCCCAGCACAGGCCTTGGCACAGAAGGCCAGAGTGAAGGAAGCATCAGTTGAGCCTGAGGCACCTGGAAGGCCAGGTACTGGTGCAGGAGCATGCATTATGTACCTTTATCTTGTCCATCCGGTTCGCCCCTTAAACCGAGAAGGAAAAGGATTTCTTCTCAAATTGGGCCACTTGGGAACACTTGGATTGATTTTCCTTTGTTTATTTTTATTTTTACTTTTAACTTGCTTTCCAAAGTTAGGTTAGAATTGAGCTATCAGTGGTGGGTTTTTCCTAGCACAATTCCACTGACACATTTCAACAGCCCCTGCTTCTTGACCTGAGTGAGGCATCTCTCTTGATGGCATGCAGATGATTGCTTTGTAAAATATTTTTAAACCCTGACAGCTCTCCAAGAGAGAAGGCTGTTGTTAGGAGAGTGCGGTTACTTTCAATTTCTCTTGACCTTTTAGGAAAAGTTGTTTGAAATGTAATGTTTATTCTCTGCCTTCACAGAGTCCTTGGAGAATCTAAGATGGTATCGTGTTGTCAGTTATTTTCTTTCCAGCTTACTGCTGCACAAGCCTGGCCTTTATTTTGTTACCTGCAGATAGAGTATGGTGCATCTCCTCTTCTTCCAGTGGCTGGCACGTGAGTCCAGTGAGGGAGACAGGAAATCATCCCCTAGGCTTAGTGGTGATGGCACAGGAATGCCTGGTGCATGGAGCCTGGCCAAAGACGCCACATTTCCCTATCATCTTCTTTACCGATTTGTAAAATGTCGGTATAGATAACAGAGCTCTTAAGGGGTGATACAGTCTGGCTGTGTTCCCACTGAAAATCTCATCTTGAATTGTAATCCCCATAATCCCCACGTATCAAGGGAGAGACCAAGTGGAGATAACTGAATCATGGGGGCAGTTCTCCCTTGCTGTTCTCATGATAGTGAGTGAGTTCTCAAGAGATCTGATGGTTTTATAAGTATTTGGTAGTTCCTCCTGAGTTCATTCTCCTTCCTGCCACCTTATGAAGAAGGTGCTTGCTTTCCCTCTGCCTTCCGCCATGATTGTAAGTTTCCCGAGGCGTCCCCAGCCATGCTGAACTGTGAGTCAATTAAAACTCTTTCCTTTATAAATTACTCAGTCTTGGGCAGTTCCTTTTTTTTTTTTTTTTTTTTTTTGAGACGGAGTCTCACTCTGTCCATCAGGCTGGAGTGCAATGGTGCGATCCCGGCTCATCGCAACCTCCGCCTCCTGGGTTCAAGCAATTCTCCTGCCTCAGCCTCCTGAGTAGCTGGGATTACAGGCGCCCGCCACCGCACCCAGCTAATTTTTGTATTTTTAGTACAGATGGGATTTCACCATGTTGGTCAGGCTGGTCTCGAACCCCTGACCTCGTGATCCACCCGCCTCAGCCTCCCAAAGTGCTGGGATTACAGGTGTGAGCCACCACGCCTGGCCTTTGGGCAGTTCTTTATAGCAGTGTGAAAACAGACTAATACAAGGGGCATCTGTGCCAAACTCTTCATTTGGCATGGGAGAAATGAAAGGCCAGAGGGTGTAGGGCCAGGCCACGGTCTCTCAGTGAGGTTAGGACATGGCCAGGAGGTGACTGTATAATACAGTGGTGGAATGGAAAAAACACAGACTTAGCACTGGACAGACTGAGGCTTGAACTTCAAATCTGTCACTTACTCACTGTGTGGCTGAATAAAAGCCTTCCTTTGTCTCAGCCTCAGTTTCCTCAGTTCTAAAATGGAAACCATAGTAATCACCAGCATTTGTAGAGCGTTTTTGTGCAGGCGCCATCTGTATTTCAACTCACTAACTTTGCACAACATCATTCTGAGGTATTATTGTTATCACTACAATTTTAATTTTTATTAACAACAATTTTTTTTAAGATGAGGCCTCCCTATATTGCCCAGGCTGGTCTTGAACCCCAGGGTTCAAGTGAACCTCCCACCTTGGCCTCCCAAAGTGCTGGGATTATAGGTATGAGCCACCACACACCCGGCCCCACTCCACTTTTTAGACGAGGAAAGCAGGGGACAGAGAAGTTATAAAACTTGCCCAGGGTTGTAAAGAAGAGCGTAGATTCCAACCCAGGCAGTCTGACTGCTCCACATCGGGGGTCAGCAAACTTTGGTGGATGGACCAAATGTGCCCCAGTGCGTGTTTTTTTTTTTAAACAGTGTTATTGAGATATAATTCACATACTATACAATTCATGTGTTTAAAATATACAATTTGTGGTTTTTAGTATAGTCAAGACTGTGTATCCACCACCATGATCTATTTTCATCATCCTGAAAAGGAAACCCTTTACCTCCATTTTTTTTTTTTTTTTTAGACAGAGTCTCGCTCTGTTGCCCAGGCTAGAGTGCAGTGGTACGATCTCGGCTCACTGCAGCCTCTACCTCCTGGGTTCAAGCGATTCTCCTGCCTCAGCCTCTTGAGTAGCTGGGACTACAGGTGCGTGCCCCCACGTCCAGCTAATTTTTTTTTTTTTTTGTATTTTTAGTAGAGATGGGGTTTCACCATGTTGGCCAGGATGGTCTCAATCTCCTGACCTCATGATCTGCCTGCCTCGGCCTCCCAAAATGCTCGGATTACAGGCATGAGCCACCGTGCCCGGCCAACCCTGTACCTCTTAACCATCACTCTCCATTTTCCCCATGCCCCCCAACCCTAGAAAACCGCTAATCTACCTTCTCTGTGTAGATTTGTCTATTCTGGACTTTTTATATGAATGGAATCATCCAATGTATAGTCTTATGTGTCTGACTTCCTTTTACTTAGCATAATGTTTTCAAGGTTCATGTATCAGTACTTTATTCCTTTTTAAAAACAATTTCCATGTTTGCTATAAATCTTACTTTCCGAATCCCAAGTCTTCCTCTTTCTTGTTTTACTCCCTCATTTTGGGAGAGCACATTCTCAGTTGTTCCTCAAAAGTGTACTTGGAATATAAATTTTTGAGGCCTAGAATGTCTGAAAATATTATTCTAGCTTCATACTTGATAGTTTGGTTGGGTATAGAATTCTCCATCACTTTGACTTATAATTTTGAAGGCACTGCTCTACTATCTTCTAGATTCTGTGTTGTTGAGAAATCTCATGTCATTCTGTTTCCCATTCCTTGTGTTTTCACTGTCCCTCCTACTTTCTTTCTCTGGATATATTTAGGATTTTATCCTTCTCAGTCTATCAGAATTTAACATGATATGGCTTGGTATGTGCCTATTCTATTCACTGGGCTGGATACACAATAAACCTGTTCAATTTGGAAATTAGTATCATTATATACTGATAAATTTCTTACATTATCTATTATTTCATTCCTTTTTATTTTTATTTTTTTGAGACAGAGTCTCGCTCTCTTGTCCAAGCTGGAGTGCAGTGGTGTGATCTCGGCTCACTGCAACCTCTGACCCCTGGGTTCAAGTGATTCTCCGGCCTCACCTTCTGGAGTAGCTGGGACTATAGGTGCGCACCACCATGCCCAGCTAATTTTTCTATTTTTGGTAGAGATGGGGTTTCACCATGTTGGCCAGGCTGGTCTGGAACTCCTGACCTCAGGTGATCCACCTGACTCGGCCTCCCAGAGTGCTGGGATTAAAGACGTGAGCCACTGCACCCGGCCTACTTCATTCCTTCTTATTGCTAAATAATATATTATTGAATGGATGTACCACCTTTTATTTATCCATTTATCACTTGATGACATTTGGATTGTTTCCACTTTTGGGCTATTATAAATAGTGCTGCTATGCACATCTGTGTACACGTTTTTGTGTGGACACGTTTTCACTTTTCTTGGGTTTTCATTCCACCTGGGAATGAAGTCACTGGGTCGTATGGTAACTGTATGCTTAACCATTTGAGGCACTGCCAGACTGTTAACAAAGCACCATTTTGCATTTCCACCAGCAGTGTGAGAGCTGCAGTTTCTCTACATCCTCACACTTACTGTCTTTTTGATTCTAACTATCCTAGTGGATGGGAAGCACTATCTCACTGTGGTTTTGATTTGCATTTCCTTGATGGTGAATGATGTGGAGGATCTTTCCTGCTTATTTTTATTTTTATTTATTTATTTATTTATTTATTTGAGATGGAGTTTTGCTTTTGTCACCCAGGCTACAGTGCAATGGCGCGATCTTGGCTCACCGCAACCTCCGCCTCCCGAGTTCAAGTGATTCTCCTGCCTCAGCCTCCCAAGTAGCTGGGATTACAGGCATGTGCCACCATGCCCGGCTAATTTTGTATTTTTAGTAGAGATGGGGCTTCTCGATGTTGGTGAGTCTGGTCTCAAACTCCTGATCTCAGGAGATCCTCCCACCTCGGCCTCCCCGAGTGCTGGGATTACAGGCATGAGCCACCGTGCCCAGCCTCCTGCTTGTTTTTGTAAATAAAGTTTGGAACACAGCCATGCTAGCTCATTCATTTACATGGTGTCTGTAGCTGGTTTCTCATGATAATGGCAGACTTGGGTGGTTGTGACAGAACCTACAAAGCCTAAGATATTTATTATATAGTCCTTACAGAAAAAGTTTGCTGATTCCTGCTCTACACTACAGAGGCTTATAATCTTGCTGTGAAGGTTTGTTTATATCAAGTTCCCAATATACTGGAAGTGTTAAGCAAATGTAAGTTTCTTCCTTTCCTCCATCTTTCCCTCCCGCCACTCCTCTCTCTCTTCCTTTCTTTCCTAGGGCTCTTTCTCAGAGCAGACAAGATTAGGCCTCCATCTGCAGCTCCAATTTCTCCCTAAAGCTGTCTTCACCTCCCTCCGGCCTGCCCCTCCAGGTATGTCTGTCCACCAGGTGCCAGGTGTGGCTGCCCAAAGATACCTCTGTCTTCCATCAGCCTTCTCCAGGAGGCTTCCCAGGGCAGGGGCTCCACAGGAGGTGTTGCTAGTCTGGAGGTCTCCTAGTGACCATTCATCCCCCCAAGACAAGGGGGTGCTATCCTTGAGGCTGATGGCAGCTTCAAGCTAATCTCCCAGGGACAGGGATGCCCTGGAGGAAGAGGCCCAGGGGGAAGGAAGCCAGGATCACCTCCACTCATCCTCAGGATAATAACTAGAGGGGGCAGGCTCCCCAGTGCTTCCAGAGACCCTTTCATGAAGTTGTTGAGCCCCAGGGTACAGACCAGGGCTGTGGGACCCCAGACTTACTGCCATCTCCTAAGCTTCTTCCTTGGCAAAGTGAAAGCATTGGAAGGATGAGTCTTTTGGGGACAGTGAGGAGGGAGGAGGAGGAAACTGGGAGTCTCTGAAATTTGGCTGGTGAGAGGGGAGCCCAGTCCAAGCTCCTGGTGCCTGAGGAAAGGGCAATGCTGATGAGCCTGAGCAGCAGGAAGGGCCCCAGTTCCCTCCTATCTCGGTCCCCTTCCCACAGCCGCCCCCCACCACCTCTGGGCTGCTTAACTGCAGTAGACTCCTCACTGGTCTCCTCACCCCGATTCTGCCCCCAAGCCCTCTTCCAAGGTAGAATAAAGTTAGGGGTCAGGCTCTGGGCCCGGGTTGGCATATGAGCTCCAGAACTTCCAGCTGAGTGACTTTGGGCACCCACTTACTTTCCTTGTGCTGCTTCCTGATCTATAAAGTGGGAGACCACTGCTGTCTACCTCCTTAGTTGCTGTGAGCCATAAACTCAATAATCCACGTAAAGGGTTTAGGACAATAAATGTTAACTTACTTTTATTTCTCAACGTGCAGAGCTTTATTTCTGAAATAGAAATCTGACCAGTCAGTCCTCTGCTAAAAACCCTCCTAGGGACCCCTGAAGCTATGGGAAGGAGCTTGTTTTGTTTTTGTCACCAGGCTGGAGTGCAGTGGCACGATCTCTGTCACCCAGGCTGGAATGCAGTGGCACGATCTCCACTTACTGCAACCTCTGCCTTCTGGGTTCAAGCAAGTCTTATGCCTCAGTCTACTGAGTAGCTGCGACTACAGACATGTACCACCACGCTGGCTAATTTTTGTACTTTTAGTAGAGATGGGATTTCGCCATGTTGGCCAGGCTGGTCTCGAACTCCTGACCTCAAGTGATCTGCCTGTCTCGGCCTCCCAAAGTGCTGGGATTATAGGTGTGAGCCACTGTGCCGGCAGTGAAGGGGCTTGTTCTGACCCTGAGCTTGCCAGCCTCTGCATGTCTTTACCACACCCCTCCTGCCCACACCCAGCACCCCCTTACGTTCCCTAGTTCACCTGTCAGGGCCTTTCCCTGAGTGATCGGTTCTGCCAGGCGCCCTGCTCTTGTCCCTGTCCCCTCTTCTGGGACGTCCCTCCTTGACTTCCACGCACAGCATGGACACATGGGTGTGCAGAAGTGGAAAGGGGTACTCGGTGCACAGATATCATATGGCATTTTGCAAGCCATGAAGCAGGGCCCCACCCCAGTGGGCTGTTGGTCACTGTGGGTCCCACTGTCTGCTGTTGTGTTTGAAAATAGCCTCTGGCCTTATGCCTCTCCACCTAAGCACATAATGTATGACGTGGGTTCTTAAAACTTGGAATCAGTTAAAATGTATCTTATTTTAAACAAAACTAATCCATGCTATTAGAAGTCAGGAAAGCAATTACCCTAGGGTGGGGCTTCCAGGGTGCTGGGGATGTTCTGATTTTTGATCTGGGTGTTGGTTTCTTCGGTCTTTTCAGTTTATGAAAATCCATCGAAGTTTTCTGTGTGTATATTACCCTCCAATAAAAATGTCAAAACTGTTTTGTTTCGGTAATTTCCTCTTTCACCCCTATATCCCTTGACATACCTGTAGATACAGAACTGTAAAACCTAAGGCAACAATGCCCAGGCTAAATAATTCATAATCCAATTCCATAAGTGCCATTTACTCTGTGCTGGGCCCTGTGCTGGGGGCCCAGGGGACTGAATCAACCACAGCCCAGTCCTCCAGAAACTCCTGGTCTGTGGGGATGGGGAAATGCAGCCTAGCATGGGGTGGAGAGGTCATAAAAGCAGATCCAAGAGGAGGGGATGTCACTGCTTTCTAGAGAATCATAAAGCCAAGAGGGACATAGGGGCATAACAGAGATCAACAGGTTACTTGAGGGTTTGGTATATGCCGGCCGTTTCTGTTCTAAATGCTTTTCCATGTGGTGGCTAACTTAATCCTCAAAGTAACAGGAACACCGGGAGGTAGGTACTATCATTTTCACCTTTTCACAGTGAGGAAAGAATCACAGAAGAGCCAGGTAACCTATCTAAGTATAATCAGCCAGAAAGTGGGAGAGATAAGACTTGAACCCAGGCTGTCAGCTTCAGAACTCAACTCGTGCTCAGCCTCCAGGCTAAACTGTGCTGTGGGGAAAATAATGTTCAGTTAAATGCCCAAATACACAACGAGGCTCGACATACAGATGTGCTCCATGAACAATGGCTACTACTGACAATAAGAAAGAAACAACCTATTAGAGAAAAAGTTAACCTGAAACTGAACATGACGCCTTTTGCTCATTCATTAAGATCGGCCACGCCGCCTTCCGGGAACTGGATGCCCCCGGGAGCTCAGCCATACCCTAAGAAAAGGAGATTTTGTAGCTGGGCCTGAAGGATAAACTGAGCGGATTGGGTCAGGTGAGCTGTGAGGGAGGGTGCACCCAGCAGAGAGAGCAATAGTGGCAAAAGCCCAGAGGTGCAAAAATGTGTGTGTTTGCAAGCTTAGCTGGGCAGAGCTCGCGATTCAGAGGCGCTTCAGCCTTCTCCCTCTTAAAAACTGGACCTCGGGCGCCACCTGGTGGCGACCTCTGATACTAATAGGGCAGAAACAACCAGCTGGGGCAAAAGTTCCCCACACCCTTCTCTCCTGGACCATTTGTTCCTCCTGTCTCTTTCCCCACAAATGGATTTGCTGTAAAATGGACTTTTACAGCTGTTAACGTCAATTTAAAAATTTAAAAAGTCAATTGACTTTGACAGCTGTAAAAGTCCATTTTACAGCAAGTCCATCTGGGGGAAAGAGACAAGGTGTTGGGATGTGGATGGGATGGGAGTGGTGAAGACATGGTGAGGTCAGTGTCAAAACAAGCCCCTTCCCGGCCGATCGCAGTGTCTCACGCCTGTAATCCTAGCACTTTGGGAGGTCGAGATGGGTGGATCATTTGAGGTCAGGAGTTTGAGACCAACCTGGCCAACATGGCGAAGCCCTGTCTCTATTAAAAGTACAAAAATTAACCCGTGTGGTGGGGAGTGCCTGTAGTCCCAGCTACTCGGGAGACTGAAGCATGAGAATCGCTTGAACCCAGAAGGCAGAGGTTGCAGTAAGTGGAGATCGTGTCACTGCACTCCAGCCTAGGCAACAGGGTGAGACCCTGTCTCAAAAACAAAAACAAAACAAGCTCTTTCCCATATAGCTTCAGGGGTCCCCAGGAGGGTTTTAAACAGAGGACTGACATGGTCAGACTTCTATTAGAGAAAGAACACTCTGAGCATTGAGAAATAACAACTAAGGTAAAATTTTAATTTAAAAGTACATTGATTTTCCAGTTATTAAGGCAACGCGTGCTCATTGTAGAAAATGTGGAAATTATAGAAAAGAATAAAGAAGAAAATAAGTCACCCTTAATTCCATCACCCAGAATAACCACTACTAATATTTTGGCATATCTGCCTCCAGTGTTTTTCCCTGCATATAATTTTCACAGAGCTGAGGATTAAACTCGCTGGTGTTTAAATGTATGTTGAGTATTTTTGTGGACAAAGTCTTGGTGTGTGAATAAGTGTGGGTGTTGGGAGCTGGTGCTGGTGTCAGACCACTCTGAGTTTGAATCCTGTCTTTGCCTTTACTAGCTGTGACTTGGGCAAGCGCCTTCTCTTCTCGGAGTAGTAGCCATTTCCTTCACCATCTGTAAAATGTGATTAACAATGGGACCCATCCCAGAGCTGGTTTACAGATTAAATGACATGATGTATGCAAAATGCTTAGGACAGTGCCTGTCGCAGAGAGGTTACTCACCAGTAACAGATTACTACCTAAAGCTTTGTCTTTCCGACTCTTATCAGCAGTCTCTAGAAATGAGATTGATTTCAAGGTTCAAGGATATGAAGAGCCACAAGGTTGTTACGGTTTGCCAAAACTGAGTGGAAAATTTTAAGCAAGATCTCGTGTCTCCGGCACCACAGCTGTTCTCATTTGTCTCTATATTCTTCCAGGCCCTGTTTACGCAGAGCACTTTTTAAGCATTGTAATTGCAATGCTTGCACCAGTTCCCTTAATGTTACATCATCAACATTTTCCTAAGCGGCTGAAGCTGTCATTGACAGCGTTTGCTATCATTCACTTAACCATTTTTTAATTGTTGACTATCTGGGCAGTCTAATTTTTCATTCATTCATTCATTCATTCATTCATTCATTCATTCAACAGTTCCAGAATGCCTACTCTGTGCCAGGCACTGAACTAGGCACTAGGATATTGTGGTCAGCAAGAACAACACACCCTTTATATTCTGGCACCCAGACTCTGGCTGGCAAGACAGGCTATAACAAGTAAACAAACAAGTAACACTCCAACTGTAAACTATGGTGAGTGCTGGGAAGGAAAAGGAGAGAACTCCCGGAGAACTTTATTTTCACATTTGTGTATTTTTTGGAAGTAATCCTAGTCCTGAAATCTAACCTGCTTTTGCTTCTTAGCAGACACAGCTAAAGCTTTTCTTGAAGAAGTCTCATGTGGGTTTGGATTTTCCACTAACACATTTTAGAATTTCCTGAGAAGTCAAGGGTGCCATGGTATTCAAAGACCTGACAGTCGGGCTCAAGTGGGCCTTGTTTCCTTTCTTTTCTCCCTTGCTCAGAGGCTTGTATTTCAACTGGTCCAGTCTGCTCCCTGCCCTCTTGAAGAAGCAGATGATTATCCCCTTCTTAAATCTTGCTTCACCTTTTCTTCATCTTCCCTCTCAGTACAGGGCCTCCATGAGCCCTGGGAGTCTTTAAGCCAATGGGCAAAAGCACCCCCATCCCATGGCCAAAGCCATGATGGGTGAGGCTTTGCACACATTGGATTTCAACGCCCGCAAGGCCTCTTGCATGACTGCAGCAGCCCTATCCATAGCTCTTCAGTGACCACCCCACCTAGCTTTCTATCAACCTGATTCCTACTCCACCTCGAAGACTCAGCTTATAGTCTCTCTCTTATAGGAAGCCTGGTCTAGCTTTCTAATTCACAGTAAATTCTCTATTTCTTGAGCTACTGGATGAATTTTATTTTTTACTCTTTGCCTCATTGGCACTTAATCATATACTCCCTCATGACACCTCCTATTTTCCTCTCTTGCATAATTATTTCATCTGAATAAGTCTGACTTAGATGAAGAGATCAGAGGTATCTGTGCAGATGTATCATTTACACTGAATAATGAAGGAGCAGTAGCCAGAGATCTAAAGAAAGGCAGAGGGCATGTGCAAAGGCCCTGAGGCAGAAGAGGTCTCGGGATGTGAAGCCAAAATGAATATTTCTATATGGGATTGTCCTTACAGATTTGACATATGAGGCTGAAAATGACTCATTCATTAATACATCCATACTACTTTGTTCATACTACCATGAACAAAGCAAGGGCCACTGTGTTCCAAGACCCAAGAGATGGGGATACAGAGATGAATCAGACAAGATTTGTTCTTGCCCAGACTAATGGTGGAGGCTGAGATGATTTCTAGATAGTGTGACAGACAGACCAGGGTTGAGAGTTGTGGATGAGAATTATGGGTGTGAATAGAAGAGCACAGAGAGTAACTATTTCTGCCTGAGGCACTGGGAAAAGTTTGTCTAAGAACAGACATGAAGGAAGGGAAGTCCAGACAGAAGGAACAATGTTTACAAAGGCATGGAGGCAGGGAGAGGGGTTGATTTCAGAAATTGTAATCAGGAAGGGCCTCTTAGGACAATCAATGTTCTTGGACTTTATCTGTAGATGGTGACAAACCAGGGGAGGTTTCTAAGCAGGAGAGTGGCAGGTCTGGTGTGGAGAATGGGTGGGTGTGTGGCAGAGCTGGAGGTGAGCTATCAGCAGAAGCCTGAATTGGGGTGGTGATGATAGAGATAGATAAGAGAGGAAAGAGGAGATCTCTCTCTCTCTCTCTCTTTTTCTCTCTCGAATGAGTCTCGCTCTGTTGCCCTAGGCGTGCAGTGGCGCGATCTCAGTTCACTGCAGCCTCTGCCTCCTGGGTTCATGAGTTTTGTGCCTCAGCCTCCCGAGTAGCTGGGATTACAGGCATATGCCATCATGCCCAGTTTTTATATATATATATATATATATATATATATATATATATATATATATATATGTTTTTTTTTTTTTTTTTTTTTTTTTTTTGAGACCGAGTCTCACTCTGTCGCCCAGGCTGGAGTGCAGTGGCGCGATCTCGGCAAATTTCAAGCATGGATGACTGAATGAAGGTAGTGCCACTTGCTGAGATCAAGGACACCAGGAGGAGGGACAGGATTTGGGGGGTAGGTTTGTGGAGAGAAATGGGGGGACAGTGAGGCCTTCTTACTGATACCACGGACAGCTCCAAGAATTTCCAGAGGACTTGCATCAGACTCTATGAGTGGTTCTTGCCTCCGCTGCCTTAGAATCAGCGGAGGAGCTAATTTAACATGCAGATTCCCAGGTCCACCCAGATGTGCTGCATCACAGTCTCTGGGGGTGGGGTCCAGGAGCCTGCATTTTAAATAAACACCCCGGGTTGTTCCCATGCAAGTGGCCAGACGACCATGCTTACAGAAACTCTGAAACAAAGTCATGAAGGGAACAGATGCGAGCGCCCTCTGCTGCTAAAAAGGAGGTTTGGATCTCTTAAGTTTATGACTTGGACATTTCAAGGCAGTTTATTCAGCAAGTGAAACCCCTGGACTAAAGCAAAGAAACAAGACACCTGGAGAGATGAGAGAGGAAGAGGGGCCACGTTCCTTGACAACTTCTGTGTTTCTTTCACCCTGTAGTGTCGAGCGAGGCAAAGTTCCCCTGTGTGCAGTCGTGGCCGCTGTGGTCAGTCTGGGGTGCTGTTACACCTTCTCAACCCCACTTCCTAAAAAAACAAATGCGGCTCCCTCAGGTGGGAGGGGAGAGCTTTCTCCTTGGTTTGGCTTTAAAATGATGGCAACTCCCAAAAATGGAAAGCAGGGGCTCAAACAGGTATTTGTATACCAATGTTAACCGACATTCTTCACAATAGCCAAAAGGTGGAAACAACCTAAGTCCATTGACAGATGAATGGATAAAAACGAGGTGGTGTATGCACACGACGAAATATTTTTCAGTCTTAAAAATGAGTGAAATTTGGACTCATGCTACAACATGGAGAAACCTTGAGGACATTATGCTACGTGAAATAAGCCAGACAAATACTGTATGATTCCACTGACATGAGGAACCAGGAATAGTCAAATTCATAGTCAGAAAGTAGAAATGGTGGTTCCCAGGGACTAGGAGAGAAGGGAATCCCGACTTATTGTTTCATAGACACAAAGTTTCAGTTTGGTAAGATAAAAGAGTTCCGGAGACCCATAGTGGTGCTGGTTGCACAACAATGTGAGTATACAGAATGCCACTGAATTGTACACTAAAAATGGTTAAAATGGCAAATTTTGTTATATTTTACCACAACAAAAAAAGTGATATAAGTAAAAGCAGTCAGGCTGGACGTGGTGGCTCACGCTTGTAATCTCAGCACTTTGGGAGGCTGAGGCGGGTGGATCATCTGAGGTCGGGAGTTAGAGACCAGCCTGGCCAAGATGGTGAAACCCCGTCTATACTAAAAATACAAAAAATTAGCCGGGCATGGTGGCCGGCTCCTGCAATCCCAGCTACTCACAAGGCTGAGGCAGGAGAATTGCTTGAAGCCGGGAGGCGGAGGCTGCAATGAGCCGAGATCACACCATTGCATCCCAGCCTGGGCGACAAGAGCGAAACTCTGTAACAACATCAACAACAACAACAAAACAAAAACAAAAACAAAAAAGAAAACAAGAGACGCGGTGGTTCTGCTTGTAATCCTAGTACTTTGGGAGGCCGAGGCTGGCAGATTACCTGAGGTCAGGAGTTTGAGAACAGCCTCGGCAACATGGCGAAACCACGTTTCTACGAGAAACACAAAACTTAGCCGGGAGTGGTGGTACATTCGTGTAGTCTCAGCTACTCGGGAGGTTGGGGTGGGAGGATCCCTTGAGCTCTGGAAGTTGAGGCTGCTGCAGTGAGCCGGGATCGCGCCACTGCACTCCAGCCTGGGCGACAGAGAGAGACCCTGTCTAAAAAAAAAAAAAAAAAAGAAAAAAAGAAAAGAAAAAGAAAAAATCGTTAATATCCTCAACTCGAGTGGGAATCTATAGGGGGCTTACCCATGCCCATGACTTCCCCATCCCATCGGGAGCTCCCTGAGAACAGGGAAAAGTGCCTCCCCTCTTATCTGGGGGCGCTCAAAGGACCAGCAGAGGGTTTCTTCAGCGGAACACTCTCTGCTCCCCTAGGGCCTGGGCTGCTCACATCCATCGCACTGAGGAGGGTCCCATCCATTGCACTGAGGAGGGTCCCATCCATTGCACTGAGGAGGGTCCCACTGGGGGGCTCCTCCTCCGTCCTATCGAGAGTTATCCCAGCGAGTGTTGGCGGGGACTGAGCCTCCTGCTTGAGGTAGTTGTTTTTACTCCCAGTCCCCAGGCTCACGAGCCCCACGCGCGCTCAATCTGCCCTCCCGCTTCTCCTCGCCACTCCGAGTTCTGCGCCCTCGAGATCCAGCGCATCCGCGGGGTGGGCGGGTCCTGGCGGCTCTTTGCCCTCTTCCAACATGGCCGCCGCTGCCTCTGTGACAGGCAGGGTCACGTGGGCAGCCTCGCCTATGAGGTCGCTGGGGCTCGGCCGGCGATTGTCCCTTCCCGGACCCCGTCTCGATGCGGTGACTGCCGCTGTCAACCCGAGCCTGAGCGATCATGGCAACGGGCTCGGGCGGGGAACGCGTGGCAGCGGCTGCAGCGGCGGCAGTTTGGTGGCGGACTGGGGCGGCGGAGCGGCGGCGGCGGCGGCGGTGGCACTGGCACTGGCCCCGGCCCTGAGCACCATGCGGCGGGGCAGCTCCGAGAGCGAGCTGGCGGCCCGGTGGGAGGCGGAGGCGGTGGCTGCGGCCAAAGCGGCGGCCAAAGCTGAGGCCGAGGCCACAGCGGAGACGGTGGCGGAACAGGTCCGCGTGGACGCGGGCGCGGCCGGGGAACCGGAGTGCAAGGCAGGGGAGGAGCAGCCCAAGGTCCTGGCCCCGGCCCCGGCGCAGCCCAGTGCGGCTGAGGAGGGGAACACCCAGGTCCTTCAGCGGCCGCCGCCCACGCTGCCCCCGTCCAAGCCGAAGCCGGTGCAGGGCCTCTGCCCGCACGGGAAGCCCCGGGACAAGGGCCGAAGCTGCAAGCGGAGCTCGGGCCACGGTTCCGGCGAGAACGGCTCCCAGCGGCCGGTCACCGTGGACAGCTCCAAGGCCAGGACCTCCCTGGATGCCCTGAAGATCAGCATCCGCCAGCTCAAGTGGAAGGAGGTGAGGCCCGGCCCGACCCGGCCGCGTGGGCACAGTGGGGTGGACAGGACGACCTCAGAGGTCTCGGCACGGCCCAGGTCAGGTCGGCGGGCGAGGGCTGAGCTCCTGCGGTGCACCACGCTCGGGCCTGCTTGTCAGCCGCAAAGTGCTCATCCTTCAAGGCCTACCCCCCAAAATCACTTCCTCCAAGAGGGCCCCCCAGACCCCTCCAGGTCAAGTTAGCCACTCACTCCTCTGCCTCCCTGCAGCTCTTTTTATGTCTCAGCCATCAGCATTTGCCTCTGCTTGTAGATATGTGTACGTCTGTCTCCTCCACCAGCTTGTAAGCCCCTGGGGCCCCGGACCCGCTCTCTCACTTCTTCATTGAAGTTATATTTGTTTAGCACTTGCTGTGTGACTCTTGGGCAGAGGAACACTTTTTATTTTGGAGGCAGACAGGCCTAGGGTCTCACTACACTTTGCTACTTAGCTGTGTGACCTTGAGTAAGTTGCTTCACCTCTTCAGCCTATTACCTTCTCTGTAAAGTGAGGCCAATTATACTTATCTCATCATCTTGTTAGCATTAGAAGACTCACTACTTAGTGTTTTATAGCACAAGTCTGCAATAAATGGTAACTTACGTTACCACCTTCTCCTTTCTCTCTTCTTCCACCATCATCACCATCACCACCACCAGCACCACCACTGTCCTCATGATCAGTGGTATAAAATCAGGCACTGTATTTTATATTCCAGGCTTGGCTTACGGCATGTGTCAGTAAGCAGTGAATGAAAGGGTGAATGAATACATGAGTTATCATCCCTGAGCCCATTTTAGACTGGCAGGGGATGGAATGTAGCACCAGTGACTCTAGAGGTGTCTGTTGCAATTGGCTACGTGGATAAAGCCATTTGACTTTATTTGCAGCATATAAGGTATTTAATGTGCTTTCAGGAGTGTCAGGAGTTTGATTAAGGATAGCTGAGTGTGGACACAGCCAGTGGTAACAGGGATCTGCTGCGGGTAACAGAGGACTCAGGTTCTTAGCCCTGTGCCTTGGCTATGGTAGATGCTCGGTAATGGTTTCATTAAGTTGGAACATACAGAGAGATGGCCACAGAAAGGACTGATGTGGTCAGAGGGTTGATGTCCCAATAGGAAAAAGTGCATTTGGTTTGGAGGGAAGTCAAGGATCAGGCAGAACCGACTTCCAGGTGGATAGGGTGTAGCCGTTGGGGAAGTTTGACTCCAAGTGTCTGGGCCCCCAGCCTTGGGGCTTGGGATTCAGAGGGGAACTTTCATGCTGGGGAAACTTGGGGAAAACAAAGGCAGGCTCTCAGTTCTAAAGTATCTGGGTTTCTAGGCAGGGCCCCAGGTCCAGGCCAGAGATATGAGGGCTAGAAAAGGTACAACTGGACAACTTGTCAGTGCCGTGGTCTTAATGAAGGGAGAATCCAGCAAATAAAACCAGGCTATGGAGTCAGGCTAGGCAGATTGGCCCAAGTGGGGCCTCCACTTAGCTTATCCCTGTGGGAGAGAGAGACATAAAGCAGGCCAGATCTCGTTTGCTCGGAGAGATGGGGCCAGATGGACTAATACATCCCAGCCCAGGTTCGTTCACTCATTCCGTAAATGTCCACTTTGGAGGTGCCAAGTTCTTTGCTGGGCCCTGGGAACCAAACATACTTAAGATGTGACCCTTGCCCCCAAGGACTTCATGGTTCAATAGGGAATAAAACACAAGTAAAGGAATAATTGCGGTCATTACAGGTCATTACATTGCTGCTGCATCCTGAAATTCTCCCTTTTCATTTATTTGCATGGCTTACTCTTGTCACTTCTTTAGATGATACCTTCCCCATCAATCTCCAGCCCTTGGTATTTATTTTTTTTCCATAGTACTAAACTTCGCCAGGCATTATATTATGTATTGCTTGTTTATTGTCGTTTCCCTCACTAGAATGTAAGCTCCATGAGGGCAGGGGCTTTGTTTTGTTTATTGCTGTACCCGCAGGTACTTGGCACACAGAAGTTGCTCAATAAATATTCGTTGAATGAATGAATACATTATGTGATGAGTGTTTCTGTGTGAAAGGAGAAATGCTGCGGGAGGTAGAGGAGGGGCACCCAGGAAGGACTTCCTGGAGGAAATAAACCCGAGCTGAGTTGTGAGTGCTGAAAATGAACTGGAGTTATTTAGGGTCATGGACTTTGGATCCCTGGTTGCAGGAGTGGTGTGGGCAAAGCAGAGGCCCTTTCAGGACTTTGAGTATGGCCGGATCATAGCGTGGGAGGTGGAGTGGTAAGAGATGGGGCTTCAGAAATGAGCAGGGATCAGATCATGTGCCATGCGATGGGATTTGGACCTGTTTTGGGGAGGAAGGCTATGTGAGCCATTAACAGAATTTTGATGTTCTTCCATTTATCAGGGCAAGTCAGTTAAACCCTTGAGGCCTCAGTTTGCTTATCTGTAAAGTAGGGGTGGACAGAGCTAATTCAGCAGTTTCCAGTCTTTCTACTTCGGTAGCCGCATAATGGTAATGTTGATCTACTCTCTACTTCGGTAGCCGCATAATGGTAATGTTGATCTACATGAGACTGTTGCACTGGTCACCCCCAGTGGGTAGGCTTTTTCCAAGGCACTACCTGTAACTGCTTCTTCCACCTCCAACCCTGCCCTTTTTTTCCCACTCAGAGAACACATTGGCATATAGGTGGAGATGTTTATTCTAGTATATTTTAAAACATAATTCACTGAATGTGGTGGCTCATGCCTGTAATTCCACCTACTTGGGAGGCTGAGGTGGGAGGATCACTTGAGTCCAGGAGTTCAAGGATGCAGTGAGCTATGATTGTGCCACTGCACACCAGCCTGGGTGACAGAGCAAGACCCTGTCTCTAAAAAAAATATTGAAAATTAAAAAAACAATTCACTTGCAACAATAAGACTCTACTATTAGGCTTGTGATTATTACTGTCACCCTTCCTCATTACTGCATGAAGTCCTGAGGGCAGGGGTGGTATCTGACTTATGTCCCTAATGCACAGCATATTCTAGGTGCTCAATAAATATTCATCAAATGAATTATGGAATATTTGCAAGAGAGCTTACATCACATCTTGACACCCTAGTGTGGAGGTTGAAAAGTGCCAGAGTAGCTAAACTTTAAAGTTCCTTCCTGCTTTAAACTATGATTATAGTATTCTTAGTACCTCCTACAAAGTTGACTGCATGAAAACTAACATATATATATATCCCTGGTACTAACAAAGTGCAAACACATGACCTTTCTTATGCCTGCCTTTCCCCATCTGTTATGAGGTGATATTGGATGAGATCATCTTGAACTCCCAGCGCTGTTTTAGGAGCAAGAACTTCTACTGGGGGCTGTGGTGCAAGGGTGTGAGCAACAGTATCTCTTGCAGCCCATGCTGTGTTGCTGTGGGTTTGGGGAGTACTCAGGTGGCTGGCTTTGGTGGGAGTGGATGAGTAGCCCAGGTAAGAAATAAGGTCATGAACACCAACCAGAGTGAGAGCTGTGTCTCCTTTTATGGGTGCATAGTGAGGAGCTATATATCACCGTCCACTTTAACAGGGTAGGACTGAGCCAGCATGTGAATTCAGAAGTTTGCTCAGCTGCAGGGCACACAATCTCGCTTCCTTTTTCACTTTTTTTTTTTTTTTTTTTGAGACAGGGTGTCGTTCTGTCATCCAGGCTGGAGTGCAGTGGTGCTATCTTGGCTCACTGCACTCTCACTACAACCTCTGCCTCAGAGGTTCAAGCAGTTCTCCTGCCTCAGCCTCCTGAGTAGCTGAGATTACAGGCATGTGTCACCATCCCTGGCTAATTTTTGTATTTTTAATAGAGATGGGGTTTCACCATGTTGGCCAGACTGGTCTTGAACTCCTGACCTCAAGTGATCTGCCTGCCTCGGCCTCTCAAAATGCTGGGATTACAGGCGTGAGCCACCACCCCTGGCTCCTTTTTCACTTTTCCTTATTCCACATATATTTAACAACAACAACAACATGATAATAAATCTTTATATAGCTCTTACTCTGTTCCAGGTGCTGTTTTAAGTGCTCTACATATATACAATTGTTTGATTCTCCCAACAGCTCAGTAAAGTAAATGCCTTATTGTGTCCGTTCTACATATGAGAACATGGAAATACACAGAGGTTAACTTACCTGAGGCCACATAGCTAGTAAGGGACAGAGCTAGCATTTGAAATATGCATTCCATTTGAAACCAGGCTTCAATTCTGTGCTCTCTATTGGTAAACACTGGGCTGGAGGTCGCAGATGTAGATGTGAACAGGATACACTCCTTGCCCTCCAGGAGCTCCTGGTGT
Organism: Homo sapiens; assembly: GCF_000001405.40. Classification (NCBI taxonomy): domain Eukaryota; kingdom Metazoa; phylum Chordata; class Mammalia; order Primates; family Hominidae; genus Homo; species Homo sapiens. The sequence continues at coordinate 122,088,349 of NC_000009.12, read as the reverse complement.
AGGAGGAGGAATACATGCAAACAAACAGTTACAGTTTGGTCTGGGAGGTGAGTGATTCAAGGATGTTCCATACAGAGTAGGAACAACAAGGCAGGCAGTATGGACCAGGTTTTACATGCAGGATGGGATGATGGCAGCTGAGGGAGCATATGGGGGAGTGGAGAGCGATGAAGAAGCCAGATCACAGAGCATGGTGAAGGCCATGCCAAGAAGCTTGCGCTTCTGACTGAATTTAATCACAGATTGCTTGCCATATATAGACCCGGCCTCCCTTGCCCACTCTCCTTCAGTCCCAAGTGAACCATGCCAGCCCTCAGATGATTCAGTTTGCAGTCATACCCGTTCTGGCCAGGTCTAATTTAACTGCGTCCACAATGTTAAATTTGTTTCTGAAAGGGAAGGATCACAGATGTTAGCTCTGTAAACTTGTAGACAAGACTGGAGTTACTCTCAAATAGCAAAATCATGTTTACAGAGTCACCACTGATGTTGCAACATGAAAGAAAGGCATGGTTTCTGGTTCACCGCAGATGCTCAATGTTTATGGATTTGTATGGTCTTCTTCCCATCCTGTGAAGACTCCCCATCTCCCATGGATGCTTCTGTCATTTTGCTACCCTCATGAAAAAACACCTTAGAGGAAAGACACCATAGAGAGTAGACGCCACTTTTGTTGTGAGCTGCCCTCTTTGGAGATGTAGGTTGTGTTTATGTGCACAGTGGTGCCATGGCCACCAGCTAATGTGAATGAGGGCCCTGAGAGATTTCATAGCGGGACCTTTGTTGATGATAGTTTGAATAAGCCCCTGTCCTGAGATCTATTATAGTATAAAGTCTTTGTTTCAGAGACTCCAAATCATGCATTGTTCCCTGAAATTTATCCAGCCTTTCTTTAGAACAAGTATACACTTACTATATTGTCCTACTTACAACTTGTATAATATTAGTTACTGTTTATTAAATAGGGGTTATGTGCAAGGCATTGTACTGTTTTATGCTCGTGAAAAATTGTATTGAGAGGCTGAGGCACGAGAATTGCTTGAACCCGGGAGGCGGAGGTTGCAGTGAGCTGAAATCGCACCACTGCACTTCAGCTGGGATAACAGAGTGAGACTCTGTCTCAAAAAAAAAAAAATTGTATTGAGTATTTACTATGCATTATTTATTTAATCCTTGCAAAAACCCTCTAAAATAGACTGCACTGTCATCTTCAACTTACAGATGAGGGAACTGAGGCTTAGAGAGGGGCCGGTACAGGGCCAGCCCATGGCCACACAGATAACCAGTGGCAGAGCCATCCAGGGCCTGGGCTTGTAGCCAGTTTTCAATCATATACCTTCTTCTTTGCTAATCCTTTGCAAAAACCATTCTGCAAGGAGTTATTCTATTATCATCACTATCATCATTACTATTCTCAAGTAACAGCAGAAGAAACTGAGGTGGGCACAGCAAGTAAGTGAGAAAGTCAGGGTTCAAACAGTAGCCTTTTTTTGTTCCAAAACCCACTTTTAAGTGTTTTATGATTCTCTACTTCTTAACCCTCCCATTCCTCATTTGACCCATAATTCAAGTGACCTTGGAGTTGGTCAGAATCAGGAGAGCAATAATGCAAATAGGACTTAAAATAAAACACACTGAAATATATCCTGCCTGGCAGAGGGAGCATTTGGTGCCTGCACCTTCCAAATCCTGTCTTGCTGCTGCCCACAGGGGAGATGCAATTCCTGTGCCATTTGACTAGCTGGGTTGCCTTCCTCCTCTGTGGAATGTGAGCCTGCTATTTGAATCTTTCTGTCTCAGATTCCTTCTGGAAGAAGGTAGAGTATAAAATGAAATATTGGGTAGTCTAATCTTTCCTCCCTTTCTATTTTCAATGACCGCCATTGCAACTTACTGCCCATTTAAAAAAAAAGCACCATATTTAAAAACACTATATGCCCTACTCCATCAAATGTTCTCCTTCCACAGATACATTATTTTAATGTCTAATCTATTGGAATTTTTCCTTTGCAAGTTAAACTTGTCATAACATAAAAATCACAATTCACTACCATTGTTATTTGAACGATACAATTCGGGTAATAGCTTCATGAATCCACACCAACTCCTTAAACAGTCCTTTAAAAGACAATAAATTCAAGGGGCTCACATTCAAGCTCTATAACTCCTATAAATTAAAATCGTGTCTGTGTGTTTTTAAGCAGGTGTTGTAATGGTTAGGCTGTTTTCTGTGTTATAAAACATACAGTGTATTGTGCCACAATTTTGGTAGTGTTTTGGATTCTGGTTTTGTATCAGCAGAAGTTTAAGGCAAAAATTTAATCATGCATTTTATTTTTTATTTAAATCTGTTCTTGAACGTATTGTAAAAGTAATCGACCACTGTTTAAGTGCCTTCTCTCAAGGGGAAGTGTTGTATTTTGTAGTTGGCATGGGCTTTGAAATCAGACAGATGTGGGTTAAAATCCTTGCCTCTGATTGCTTGTGTGACTAAACTCTGTACTAAATACAGAACCTCTCTGAGACTCAGTTTCTTCAGCTGTAGCAATGGGCTAGTGCTATCTATCTCACAGAATTTTTGTGAGAGTAAATGAGGGAATGTATGTAAATTGACTTAACCCAATGCTTGGCACACTGTAGGTATTCAGTGTTGATTGTTTTCTTTCTATCATGTAATTACAGGCTTGGTTATTTGATCTATTTTTTCTTAAACAGGGGGAAAATTTAATATAAAATGTAGTCCATATATGTATGTTATTGGTTAGTCAGAGCAGGTGTGACCAGCTAATTTGACTTATCTAATAGATATTTTGAGATCTACTTTGTGCCAGGCTGTATTTGGGATCTTGGGGATACAGCAGATGACACAGCCACTCACAGATGGCTGCAGCGTAAGGGACAGTTGCATTTTGGGTGAATGTCAACTTGATGTAGTCTAGGTTTAAGATGTTAAAAAATAATACTGATTTCATGTTTTTTTCTTTTTAAATCAATTATACTTCTAAAGTTTCCTAAGTCTAATTGAATGTTTTAAAGTCTCCATTCTGGACCTGGTGCCTATGTCATACTTTGTTTTTTGTTTGTTTATTTGAAATGGAGTCTCGCTCTGTTGCCCAGGTTGGAGTGCAGTGGTGCGATCTCAGCTCACTGCAACCTCTGCCTCCTGGGTTCAAGCGATTCTCCTGCCTCAGCCTCCTGAGTAGCTGGGACTACAGGCGCCTACCACCATGCCCAGCTAATTTTTGTATTTTTGGTAGCTATGGGGTTTCACCATGTTGGCTAGGCTGGTCTCGAACTCCTGACCTCAGATGATCTGCCCGCCTCAGCCTCCCAAAGTGGTGGGATTACAGGTGTGAGCCACCGCGCCTGGCCTGTCTCATACGTTGGTATGTTAATTATGTACATCGCCACGGGAAACTCGTTTTAGCCGTTTAAGTGACATCAGTATCTTGACTTTGGGTTTCACAGGGAAAACAGATGTTATTCTACATGAAAGTACCCACCAGCTGTGTGGAAAAGATACAAATTTTCTGGGTCACGCAGTGGCTCCGTGCCCCTGGACAAGTTGCTTTACCTCATCTCTAAGACTGAGTATAAAATACTAGCTAGTTGTTGTGAGGATGAAGCCAGAAAATCTTAAAAGCGCCTGGCACTTTAAAGTAAGAATACATGTTGGTTTGACTTTCCCTCTGGTGAATCTCTATGACATCTTAATTAAATTTTGTAACAGAAAAATGGATGATGTGAACAGGCAGATCAGCTTGCCATCCTCTAATTAGGTTTGAACCCCTCCTTTCCTTGTGGTTGTTCCTCTGAAGCCGAGTCACGTCCCTGAGATTCCTCCACAGAGGTTATTGTTTTGCTGGAGAGAACGATTAGGTTTCTCTATTCCAGGAGGACTTGCATCTCTCCTTCCTCCTCGTATCAAATTGTGCCTTGCCAGCTGCTGCCGCTGCCATTTGCATGCGTGTTTGTTTCCCTGGGTGTTTCTGAACCATTATCTAGTAATTTTTATAAATGCTTTATAAGTACTTGCAGGCATTTCTGGCGGCTTCCTTCCCTCTCCCATATGCTTCTCTGTCATCTGAATAAAACCTTCGCACCCTTAATGAAGCTGGAAGAATAGGCAGTTTATCTCCTGTGTAGTCTTCCCTGGGTGCGGTTTTGCTTTTCAAATAAGTTCCTCAGTACATCTGCCTAGAACTCTGATGAAGGCCAGTTTTCCTATTTTGTTCTTTATACTCATAGGGAGATTCTATTTCTCATTGTGTCAGAACTGTGGGTTATTGGAATTTTAAAAAACAACAGTGGACCATTTTTTGGACATCTTAGATTATGTATAAATAACTTCGTTCCAATTCCAGAAATAATATATGCTTATAAAAATTTACACTGTTCCCAAGCATATAAAATAAAAACTGAAACAAACCACCTACCCCATCCCCCTCCCTTTCCATCCTCCCCTCTAATTCCACTTCTGAGAGGTGACACCAGAATCCCAATTTGATATGTATCTTTACAGACTTCTTTCTTTTTTTTCGAGATAGAGTCTTGCTCTGTCAGCCAGGCTGGAGTGCAGTGATGCAATCTTGGCTCACTGCAACCTCTGCCTCCCGGGTTCAAGCAATTCTCCTGCCTCAGCCTCCCAAGTAGCTGGGAGTATAGGTGCATGCCACCACACCTGGCTAATTTTTGTATTTTTAGTAGAGACGGGGTTTCACCATGTTAGCCAGGCTGGTCTCGAACTACTGACCTTGTGATCTGCATTCCTTGTCCTCTCAAAGTGCTGGAATTACAGGTGTGAGCCACCGTGCCTGGCCCAGATTTTTTTCTTATTCTTGTACATATCAGGATGGCTAAATTGTGCTATGGTAAGAACCATAAAATAGCAGTGGCTTAATACAACCAAAGTTTATTTCTTGCCCATGCTTTGGGTTCAATGTGGGCTGGTGGGGTTGGGGAGCAGGGGTCTCTCATCATCTTGGTTATTGAGATCGTGGTCTCCCATTGTGACACCTGCTTTCATGAGTCACTGAGGGAGGGAAAGAGCATGTGGTGGTGAATTTGCACTGGTTTTTAAAACGTCTACCCAGAAGTGATGCATCACTTCAGCTCAGATTTGATTCGCTGAAGCAGGTTACATGGTCATGGCTAACCTCAGAGGGATGGGGGATGCGCAGTCCCACCATGAGGGTGTAAAGAGGAGAATCAGGCTATTTGGTAAACTGTGCTAATTACCATCATGATATCATATGTAGAGATACAAATATATACTGTATATAAATATAAATATACACATATTTTATTTTTTCTTTCTAGAGAGGGTCTTGCTCTGTCGCCCAGGTTGGAGTATAGTGGCGCAATCTCGGCTCACTGCAGCCTCCACCTCCTGGGCTCAAACCATCCTCCCACCTCAGCAACCCTCGCCCCCCAGGAGCTGGGACTACAGGTGCACACCATGCCCAGCTAATTTTTTATATTTTTTTGTAGAGACAGCATTGTGCTATGTTGCCCAAGCTAGTCTCCTGGGCTCAAGTGATTCTCCCGCCTCAGCCTCCCAAAGTGCTGAGATTACAGGTGTGAGCCACTGTACCCAGCAGATATTTCATTTTTTAAAATGCTGCAGTTATACCACGTAGATAGTGTTTGGCAACTGCTGTTTTAGCAGTACCTCATATACATCTTTCTCTGTTAATATATATAGATTCATTTCATTTTAACAACCTAATAGTCCATTTTATATACCATAATTTATTGACGGATGTTGTTTCTATGTGTTTTCTTTGCTATTACAAAGAGTGGGGCAATAAACATCACTCTTCAGATTCTTTTTTTTTTTTTTTTTTTTGAGACAGAGTCTCGCTCTGTCACCTAGGCCGGAGTGCAATGGCACTATGTTGGCTCACTGCATCTTCCGCCTCCCAGGTTCAAGCAATTCTCGTGCCTCAGCCTCCAGAGTAGCTGGGATTACAGGTGTGTGCCACTATGTCTAGCTGTTTTGTATTTTCAGTAGAGACGGGGTTTCACCATGTTGGCTAAGCTGGTCTTGAACTCCTGACCTCAAGTGATCTGCCTCCCTTGGCCTCCCAAAGTGTTGGGATTACAGGCGTGAGCCACTGCACCTGGCCTTTTCAGACATTTTAAGTGTGTATTTGTGCAAATACTTCTGTAGAATAAATTCCTAGGATTGTTGGGTGAAAGGGCATATGTACTTTATATTTTGATTGTTACTATCAAATTGCCCTCAGCAGGGTTTGAGACTGCCTGTTTTTGCATATCTGCTCCAATACTGTATACTATTCATCTTGTGTATCTTTGCCAGACTGACAGGTAAAAATGTGTTCTTTTAATTTACATTTCTCTGATTGTCAACAAGGTTAAACTTTTTGCATAAGTTAATTTGTCATTTGTCTTGCTTCATCTGTGAAATGACTGAATCTATTTTTTGTTCATTTTATCTTTTGGATTGTTTTGTTTATGTTTTTTCTCATTGGTTTGTAAATATTATGGTTACTTTTTATCTCATATGCATTGTAAATATTTCCCCCTGTTGGTTATTTAAATGTCTACCAAATAATCATTTGCCTTGCATGATCCACATTACAATTAAAAAATTTCTTCTTCTCATTCACTAAAAACAGTCCTTAATTACTTTTGACTTGTTAGCTCAAGAAGGCAGAAGAAACACAGAATTCTGCCTTCAGGTGCTGTGAAATACCCAGTGAATTAAGAGATTGTGTGGAGAGGCTTAGAGTTTTACATATCCATGGAACTGGATATTTTATATGAAACTTTCACATAGATTTATCTAACATGACTTTGGCTTTGTGCAGTAAGTATGGTAGATTTCATTATTTCTGTTGTACAGATGTCCCTGCATCTATAGATTTGGGTTTGAATCCCCACCACATATTAGTTCTGTCACATGGGGCATCATGGTACTTAGGGGGTTATTCCATGTTAATCATATAGGTAACATGTATGGCAAAGTCAGTACGCAATCAGTGTTTGTTCTCTTTCAACTCTTCCACTCTTCAGAGGTGTTAAGAGACACACAGCTTAGATCTAGAGGCTGGCTCTCCTGGCTTGTAGGCCAGGTCTTGTTCTAGTGGACCGTATTGCTCCTCTGAAGAGAGCGTGAGTTCCTGGCCCCTTTAGAAATAAGAACATCACAGTTAGTGTTTACATAAGTCCTTCAGTGCAGGACTGGGCTTTGAGCCTGGACGTTGGTTTTATTTAAAAAGCACATTTCTCACTTATATAAATAATCCTTGTACATTGCTTAAAAATTTGGAAAAAATATTTTTAAAACATTTATAGTCCTACCATTGAGATGGAATGACTGCTTTCACGTTGAAGCATTTCTTTCCAGTATTTCTTCTGGGCATATATATTTTTTTGTTTTACAAATCTGATACAATTTTATTGTATCATTAACATTAATGTCCACATTATAATTTAAACATTTTTCCTTGCTATACAACTTTTTGTTAATGTCATTTTAATTGCTGCAAAATATTTCATTCTGTGGGTTGTATTTCATTATTTATTTTCCTGGTATTAAATGTTTAGATTGAACCCTCTATTAAAAATTATTCAGGAATGTGCTTCCTTCCTATATTTCATGTTCTTTTCTTTTTCTTTTTTTTTGTCTTTAGAGACAAGGTTTCACTCTGTCGCCCAGGCTGGAGTGCAGCAGCATGAACATAGCTCACTGCACCCTTGAACTCCTGGCCTCAAGTGATCCTCCCACCCCAGCCTCCAAACTAGCTAGGACTAAAGGTGTGCGCCCCCATGCCAGCTAATTTTTGTATATATATATTTTTTTTTGTAGAGATGGGGTTTCCATATGTTGCCCAGGCTGGTCTTGAACTCTTGGCCTCAACGATCCTCTGGCTTGAGCCTCCCAGATTGCTAGGATTACAGGTGTGCGTCACTGCACCCAGCATATTTCATATTACTTTCTTAAGCTAACTTTCCAAAAATGAAATAATTAGACCACACGGAATATACATTTTAAGGCTTTTGGAATATATGGCCAAATTGCTTTCCAAAATAGTTTTAGCAATTTATGCTCAGCTCTGAGGGTTCCTATAAATACTTACTTTTGAAGAATATAATGACAAATACTGGAGAAGAGAGTGAAACAAATGAATCTTCTCCAACCTATGGGCCCTGTCTTCACCAAATACTTAATTCTAATCATAAGTGCATAGTTCAAAGTGGGGCATTTTGATATGGCTATTTTGGTGTGGCCATTATGCCTAATTTGAAACAGCCATATCACAATGTAAACTCACTCTTTTTAATATTCAAATAATGTATTCAGTAGACATGCTTGGCTTTCTCTTTATCCTTGACCTTCTTTTTTTATTTTTAAAATAAAAAGAGGTGGTGTCTCACTATGTTGCCCGGGCTAGTCGTGAACGCCTAGCCTCAAGTGATCCTTCCACCTCGGCCTCCCAAAGTGCTGGGATTCTAGGTGTGAGCCACTGTGCCTGGCTCATCCTTGACCTTCTCATTAGTTCTAACTCCTTATGTCATCCCTGATCTTCTACCCAGAGGTAGGGCTTAAGCATTTCACATACTTTGGCAGTTTTATTGCCAAAAGTTTTGATAGGTGATTTCTTTTTTTTTTTTTGAGACAGAGTCTTGCTCTGTCGCCCAGGCTGGAGTGCAGTGGTGCGATCTCAGCTCACAGCAACCTCCACCTCCTGGGTTCACACCATTCTCCTGCCTCAGCCTCCCGAGTAGCTGGGACCATAGGCGCCCGCCACCACGCCCAGCTAATTTTTTGTATTTTTAGTAGACGGGGTTTCACCATGTCAGCCAGAATGGTCTCGATCTCTTGACCTCATGCTCCACCCACCTCAGCCTCCCAAAGTGTTGGGATTACAGGCATGAGCCACTGCACCCAGCCAGTTTTGATAGGTGATTTCTTAGGTTTTGTCAAAATATTTCTGGAGTTAAAAAAAAGGGGGAGGGGGTTACATTAAGAGCTGCATTAAAATGTCATATGCCATCATTAGCTATTAGGGAAATGAAAATCAAAACCACAGTGAAATACCACTTCATACCTATTGGGTTATCTATAATAAATAAGACAGATAGTACATGTTGGCAGGGTTGTGGAGAAATTGGAACCCTCATACACTCTTGGTGGGGCTGTAAAATGGTGCAGCCATTTTGAAAAACAATTTGGCAGTTCCTCAAATGTTAAACATCCTAGCAGTTCTCTCCTGATATATACCCAAGAGAAACCCAAGAGAAACGAAAACATATGTGCACATAACAACTTGTACACTAATGTTCATAGTAGCATTATTCACAATAGCCAGAAAGTGGAAACAATCCAAATGTCCACCATAAGGTAGTATGCAACCTGATGGAAGCTGTAACAGTACTCTAAACTTTCTTCGTAAGAATGAGCTTTGTTTTTTTCAGGGAAATTTTGAATATTTTCCTGAAGAACAAAGTTCAGACTCCTTATGAAGGCTCCATATGATGCTTTTCACAACCCAAGATGCATTATGTCTTGGTGGGTGTAAGCATGAGCTTTAGACCTACACAGATAGGGGTTTGAAACAACTCAATGTGTAGCTTTTGGCATATTTTGCTCTGAAACTCAGTTTCTTTTTCTGTAAAATGGGCATAATACAACCATATTTCATGGAGTTATTTATTGCCAGCATAAAAAGCTATAATCATGTAAAGTGCCAAGTACATAATGAAGACTCAGTTGAATATTTAAAAAAATTAACACTTGGCCCTAACCTTCTCTAGGCTTATTTCCCATATTCCTTGAACTTTATGCACTACTGACACCACACTGCATGTGGTTTGCTTGAGCCTTCATGCTGTGCTATTCCTCTTGACCTTTGTTCATGTTTTTCCTCCTCTGAATGCTCCCTCCCTTTGTTTGGCTACCTTTTTACGTATCCTTCAAGAATTAAGTTTTACCTCATCTTTTCCATATATCTTCCCTGACTCCCACACACATGCCCCAGGCTAGGCTAAGTCCCCTTCCTTGGGTCATTTAGAGTATTTTATATGTATCTCAATTTGATTAGTTTTTTCAAAGAAGCAACTTTTGACTTTATTGATCATCTCCATTGTATCTTTTTTTCTATTTCATGGCTTGCTGCTCTTTATTACTTCTTCTCTTCTACTTTTTGAGGTTTATTTTGTTGTTCTTTTTCCAATATTAAGTTGGCTGCTTTGCTAATAAAAGCACTCAAGACTACAAATTTGCCTCTAACTACTGCTTTAGCTACACCTATGAGTTTTATTATGCAGTATTTAAAAAATCACCTTGTAGTTCTATGTATTTTACATTTTCATGAAGATTTCTTCCTTGACCCATGGGTTATTTAGATTTGTGTTTCAAGAACATTTCTAAGCAAATAAGGTTATTTCTACTTATCTTTTTGTTATTAATTTCTAACTTAATTTCATTGTGGTTAGAGGATGTTTTTTCTTTCCTTCCTCCTTCCTCCCATCTTTTTTTTTTTTTTTTGCAGGTTTTTGCTTTATGGTCTAATACATGGTCAGTTTTTGCAAATGTTCCATGTATGCTTGAAAACAACATGCATTCTCTAGTTATTGAAAGCAATATTTTACATATGTATGTTAGATTAACTTATGAATTGCATTATATAAATTTTGTAGCCCTGATTTTTGTCCAATATTTTACATATGTGTGTTAGATTAACTTGTGAATTGTATTATATAAATTTTATAGCCCTGATTTTTGTCTGATCTATTAAGAGTTATGTTAAAAATTTCTTCTGTGATTGTGATTTCATATCTTTTTTAATTGATTTTTTTTCTTGTTCATTTTCTCCCTGCACTAGTCTGGAAGTTACATATTCTATTTTTATTCTTCTATTGATTACCCTAGAAAATTTAATATGTGTGTATAATTTCACAAAGCCTAAGGTTACTGTCTTTATTCTCTTTTTAACAATGCAAGGATCTTTAGTATGCTTTTTCATTTTGGCCACATCACTTCCAACATATATGCGTTTGTTGTCCAATATTTTAGTCCTATCTTATTCTTTTTTGAACTTCACAAATTAGGCGTTATTGGTATTTTATATAGTCTGTGTCCTTTTGAGTTACCCACATTTGCCATTTTCTTTGTTTGCTATTCTATTTTACAACTCAGACCTACCTTCTGGGGTCATTTCCTTTCTCTTGGAAGTATGTTTTAATAAACTCAGTTTTTATTTGTCCAAAATTACCTTCATTTTCTCCTCGTTCTTGAAAAATAGTGTTGCTGTACATACTGTTCTAAGTTGATAGCTATAGGGTCTCAGCGCTTTGAAGATATGCCACTGTTTTTTCATTTCCATTTTGCTGTTGAGAAGTCAGTTGTCAGTCTAATTTTTTCTTCTGCTAGTAAAATGTCTTTCATTCTGGCTGTTTTTAAAATCCCTTTGTCTTAGATGTCTTCGCTGTCAGTAAGACATTTCTAGGTGAGGATTTCTTCTGATTTATTCTTCTTGGGATTTGTTGGGATTCTTGTCTCTGAGGTTTGGTGTCTTATCAATTATGGAAATACTGTCTCTCATCCACTCTCTTCTGTCTTTTTGGAATTCTGATTTAGGTGTTAGGCCTTTTTTTTTTTTTTGATGGTGATCTTATGTTCCTTGGAACTTTACTTGCTGATCATTCTTTGAGGCTTAGGTTTCAAGTTAGAATCTTCCTTTTATACAGATGCCTCAGGGGGCTCTACTACCCAGAACACTTAAAACTACATTTTTTGGTGTTAGACTTTTCTTTTGGTTATAGGTGTAGGATGAATTCTGACTCCATACTTGGATAGGAAGGTATCATGGTTAGACATTCTGAGCAGAGACTTATTCCTTTTATTTCCCCTTTCCTGAGGCAAGGCCAAAACACAGAAGGTTTGCTTCCAGTTTCACCCACTGAGGATGTGGCATTTCAGAGGGCCTGGCTTGGTATGGGAATTTCCAGTCTGATTCTTGCCTTGCCAGCAGACACTCGGGGGCCGGACCACATGCAGAGGCCAGACCACTGCCAACATGTACAGGGAGCAAGATAACTACACTTTTAAAAAGATCGCTCTGGTTGCCTTATGGAGGATGGCTTACAGACGGCTTGAAGAGTGGAGGCAGAGAGGCAAGTTAGGATGCTATTATAAACCTCAGGAGAGAGGTGTTGGCCCTGGGACAGACAGAATGGTGGTGGATGGGGAAGATTATTGATTAAGATGATCTGTCTCTTCCCATAGACTGTAAGATACCCAGCCTCAGGGTGAGTATCATCACAAAGATGTTGTTTTTCATCTCTGAGTCCTTCCAGTGCCTGGCACAGAGAAGGCATTCACAGATGCTGATTGAATTGAACTGTGGAATCAATAATGGTTCTAGAGCTGATTTTTTTTTCTACCTTCTAAATGACTGTTTTCCTTAAAGGGAAATGACATGAAGGGATTCCAGGCAGTGAACTCATGCCTGTCTCTGGCATTGCGAAGCCCAGTCCAGAAATAGAGAGCCAGCTGTTTGTAAGCCCAAAAGCCTTAGGTTTTGGAAGGGTTTACTTTCCATGATAACATAGCTTTCTTTAGCCTGTGCACTTGTTCCTTACTTAAGGAGTCTCAGACTCTGCTTGAGATTACTTACACAAAACCTTACCATCTTACTGGATTTTTATGGCATTTTCTTAGAAATTACTAAACTTTATGACTCTCTAGGCAGGTTGCAAAGATGTTCCTCTAATGATATATTACAGCTATGAAAACTTCTTCCTCCTAAGGCGTTCTTTTTGGAAAAATGCTCTGTGTTTAGAGAACGAAGGGAGAGGCAAGTGGTTCCTGCTGTGTGACAGTTTAATAAGCTTTAGCTGGTCACTAAGAACTGTTATTCTAAGAATGTATGCAACACTTTTCCATTAACTGTGCAGAAGTATTTCTAGAAGGTATGGTAAAATAAAGCATATATATTGAGGCCTGGAAGTTCTTTATTATTCATTCAACAAATATGTGTTGAATGTCTGCTGTGGCCCAAGGCCTGTGCAAGGCACGGGTGATCACTATCAGACACCATCCCTGTGATCCCTACTCGCCCATCATGTTTTGTGTGAATTAGAAAAAGGGACCCATTCCTCAAGGAAAGAATATTAAATTCATCAATATAGTACTTACATATCAATAGCAAATTTGTTACAATAATGGATTATTAATGATAAATGAATGTTGGTTATTAATATTTATATAGTATTGTTGATTTGAACTTGAAATTCAAAAATATTCTGCCACAGTAAGCAAACAGCAGATTATTGAATTACAATATGAATGTGAATCTGATACCAATGAGGGATTTTTAAAAAAATTTAAAGGGACTCATCAATCATCTATCAAATGTCAAAGCAGATCCCTATTTAGAAACACAGACTATTTTAGATATGATTACATCAACAAGGTCTTTTTTTTTTTTTTAAGAGACCAGGGTGTCTTGCTGTCTTGCCCAGGCTGGAGGGCAGTGGCACAATATCAAATTCCTGGGCTCAAACCATCCTCCTACCTCAGCCTTCCGAGTAGCTGGGACTAGGCTCATGCCAACCCACTCAGCTATTTTTTTTTTTTTTTGTAGAGACGAAAGTCTTATTGTATTGCCCAGGTTGCTCAAACTCCTGGTCTCAAGCAATCCTCCTGCCTCAGCCTCCCAAAGTGCTGGGATTGTAGGTGTGAGCCACAATGCCCAGCACATGGTCTCTTGATTATTGAATTTGTCAAAGGGGAACAATACATACTGGCTTATTAAAATAAGACATGACTGCCATTGCCAGAAAATTCTTGTTGTAAATAAAAAAACCACCCAAATATAAAATCATCTGATGTTAGTTTACAAAACCAAAATATTTCTCAATTCCCAGTTTAAATCAACAAGTACCTTCATGATGACAATATGTTATACAATAACTTACATTTGTTATCATGAATAATCCATTTGTTATACAGCTTATAATTGTAAAAATATTCCATATGTTAAAGTGTTAAAGATGTTTACCTGTGAACAGCATCATGGTACTCTTTTTTTTTTTTTTTTAATTGAGATGAAGCCTTGCTCTGTCGCCCAGGCTGGAGTGCAGTGGCACGATCTCGGCTCACTGCAACCTCCGCCTCCCAGGTTCAAGCAATTCTCCTGCCTCAGCTTCCCAACTTGCTGGTATTATATGTGCGCACCACCACACCTGGCTAATTTTTTGTATATTTGGTAAAGATGGGGTCTCACCATGCTGGCCAAGCTGGTCTCAAACTCCTGACCTCAAATGATCCACCTGCCTCAGCCTCCCAAAGTGCTGGGATTACAGGTGTAAGCCACTGCGCCCGGCCAGCATCATGGCACTCTTGTACATGACTTAAAAAGCCACACATGGTGGCCTTGGATGCTCTGTGCTGGGGGAAGCAGACGTAGCTGATGAGTCCACTGTGGGCTGCTAAGAGCCCTATTGGAAGTATGTACAAATATGGTGGGTGACAGAGGAAGGCAAGATGAGGTCAGCCTGGAGGTAGAGAAAGGCTTGTGTGAATGAGAGGCTTCTGGGCAAGTAAGGGCCATGGCCTTTTTAACATATTTTGGCTGTAAGTAGCCTTTAAGCCTTCTTTCCTGGTTCTGGCTACTTTCTGGATACATGAGATAGCTGTGTTCCAGATTGGTGAGGTGTTTCTATCTTTAGATAGACTATCTGATCTTCTTTCTGCCTGCCTACAACTTCCCCTGTCTTCAGGTCTCAGCTTAAATCTCACTTTCTTTAAGAAGCCTTCCCAGCTCCTTCCTTCCCCACCTTGGGTTGATGCTCCTGCTTTGTGCTCCTTCAGACCCCATCATAGCATGAATCAACTTTATTGTGATGATTGCTTGTTTGATTTTCTTTCTTTCCCACAAGATTTTATTTTATTTTATTTCATTTTCTGAGATGGAGTCTCACTTTGTTGCCCAGGCTGGAGTGCAGTGGTGCAATCTTGGCTCACTGCAACCACTGGCTCCCAGGTTCAAGTGATTCTTGTGCCTCAGCCTCCCGAGTAACTGGGATTACAGGTGCATGCCACCATGCCTGGCTAATTTTTTGTATTTTAGTAGAGATGGGGTTTCACTATGTTGCCCAGGGTGGTCTCAAATTCCTGATCTCAAGTGATCCGCCTATCTCAGCTTCCCAAAGTGCTGGGATTATAGGTGTGAGCCACCACCCCTGGCCTCCCACCAGATTTTAAATTCAATAAGTGCAAGGGCCACATCTGTCTTGTTCATTATTGTTATTATTGGATCCTCATACTGCACAATGCCTGATAGACGATATAATCAGATTTTGATAAATATTGGCTGAAGTAATTTTCTCATTCATTCCTCAAACATTTTCTAAGCCCTTACTTTGTGCCATGGACCCTGCCAAGCACGGGCAAACAAAGAAATGACACCCTGTGTGTCCCTTCCCCGGAGAGCTCCCTCTCTGCTTATTACTATCCGGTGTAGGAAGCGCGATGTTACAGGGAAGGAGGAGGGGAGGGACGGCTGGCTTAGGTTAAGGGTCAGAGGGGTTCTCCTCTAGGATGCACCTCTGAGCTGGATCTGGAGGATGAGGGGTGAGCAAGGTAGCAGGGGGCAGGGGCTCAGCATGGATTGTGGCATGGTGGCAAGCGAGAACACTGGGTGTTTAGGAGACTGCAAACTTTTATTTTTTTGAGACAGAGTCTTGCTCTGTTGTCCAGGCTGGAGTGCAGTGGCACGATCTCAGCTCACTGAAACCTCCACTTCCCGGGTTCAAGCAATTCGCCTGCCTCAGCCTCCCGAGTAGCTGGGATTACAGGTGTGTGCCATCACACCCTGCTAATTTTTGTATTTTTAGTAGAGACGAGGTTTCACCATGTTGACCAGGCTGGTCTCGAACTCCTGAGCTCAAGTGATCCACCCACCTCAGCCTCCCAAAGTGCTAGGATTACAGGTGTGAGCCACCGCACCTGGCTGACTGCTAACATTTTACTCCGGCTGGATCACAGGATGTGGGAGGAGAGTGAAGGGAATGGATCAGAGAGGTATGCAGGAGCCAAGTCATACAGAACTGAGCTGCAAGCAGAGAGCTCTAGGGAGCCATTGGAAGGTATCTATTTTAAACTTTTAGAGACTGGGTTTTGCTATATTGCCCAGGCTGGCCTCGAACTCTTGAGCTCAAGTGATCCTTCTGCTTCAGCTTTCTGAGTAGCTGGGATTATAGGTGCATACCATCATGCAGGCCTACACTGGAAGGTTTTAAACAGGGGTGTATGTGTGTGTGTGTCTGTGTGTGAAAAATCTGATTTGTATATTAGAAAGACCCATCTGGCTATGGTGTGGAGTGTATTTAGGGGTTGCAGTGGTGAGTTGGAAGTGGGGACACCCTCCTTGAGGGCAGAGAGCATTGCTTCCTCCTCAGTCTCTAACATCTGGCGAGCAGCTGGTGTCCAGTAAGCACTGAAGTGATGCTTTGTGATGGAGTCAATCTGCAGAGACAGCAAGGTAGGATTCAAGAGTCCTTTATTGCAGAATGGCAGCAGAATCACCGCTGTCACTTTACTGAGTCTCCCGCAACCCTCTGAGTGAGTAGGGGAATAGCATTAGTTCCACTTTTCAGGCCAGGTACCTGATCAGGCCTGACCAGAGGACATGTCCCTGGTCACACAATCTTTGTGGGTGGCAGGTCAAGCACCTTCTCCTTCATCCCGTGCTGCACCTAGGGGCTGGGCTGGGGGGCGGCAGCAGTGCTGGGGAGAGCGAGGCTTGCTGGTGTCTCTCCTCTCTAGGGACCACCCTCCTCCTTTCTGCTGAGGGAGTGGCCCAAAGAGGCATCTCCAGGTTTCCAGCCACAGAGGGCCATCTCACTTGTCCCCTCTAGGCAGTGGTGCCCCCTTTCTTGCATCTCCTTCCAGGCAGAGAGAGACAGCGACCCAGGGGGCAGCTGAAAGCTTTCTTCACCAAAGCAGCGGGGAGAGATTTGTGTGCGGCTCGCATTCTCATTGCCTGGGTATCATGCTGCTATTTAATAAAGGCCTCATTGCTTGAAGGGCCATTAAGTAACCAATGACATATTTCAGCCTCACCGAGGAGGAAAACACAGAGTTAAATCAAATTCAGACCGTGTGGAAGTAAAATCCTAAAGAGACTATTCACATGCACGCCCTCTCCTAAGGGGAAGGGAACAAGCCATGGGGTCCACTCTAAGCCAGGCACTGGATAGATGCTTTTGCATTAGTTTTCTTGCTTAAAAAGTTCCAGCAACACTGACAAGCAGAGACTGTGCTGTCAGTTTTGTAGGTGAGGAAATGGAGTGCCCGAGACACTGGCCAGTTAGAGGTAGAACTATCCTCTCAGCCCTTGGTCTCTGATCACACGGTGCCTGCTCCTTCCATGATACCATGCTGCCCTCCTATGGAGCCTGTCCTCTCCATAAGACAAGCAGTGATTGCTTTTCGTGCCAAGGCTGAATGGCAGGGAGGTCAGCAGCCTGTGCCCGTGTACACCATACACCGCCCGAAGGTAGGAACCCCTCTGTCTGCCTCCACACCCTGGCACGATGCTGCACACACAGCCGGATGAAGGCTGGTAGGTTCTTCCTGCCCTGAGGAGGGGAGCGCTGGCCTTTGCTACCCTTTCATCACATTCCTTTTGTCTGTCCTTCCGTCTCCTTCATTCCTCTGTCCCCTCAGAGACACTCGTCCAGCCCTACTGGAAGATCATTTTGAGTCCATCCCAAGACCTTTGCTGGGTAGTAATGAGCAGGTAGATGAATCAGGTTGTGATTCTTCCTCGGGGTGTCACATTTAAAAGGAGACTCTGGATGACAACTTTGTCTGCAGGGGCCGAGGGGACAAGGTACCTCAGGTGGGATGAGGGCTGTGGAGTTGATGTTCTCACACTCAGTTTTTGCTCATGTCCTGGAAAAGCACCTCAAGCCCTCCCTAGCCAGCCTCACCCCTGCCAGGCTTGCCACTGCCCCCACCCCCTGTTGTGCTGTGGCCTAACAGCCCGAGGTAGTTGTGCCACCAACCTTTGCTCACACAGAGCTCTTGGCCTGGAATAACTTTTGTTACCCTGACTCCCTGCTGGCTGAATTGGAGCCCCTTTCAATATCCAGCTCAGTTATGAGCTCCATCTTGAAGCCTCACCTGCCCTGCAGAAGGAGCCACTTCTTCCTGTCTTGTCAGAGCCCTTGGTGTGTCCCTCCCTCTATATGTTGCTCTTCATGGGGGATAATGATTTGCTTAAGAGCCGTGTCTCTCACTAAACCCTAAGAAGTTTGAGGACAGAGATAGTGTTCTGGTGTGTGTGTGTGTGTGCGCGTGTGTGTGTGTGTGTGTGTGTGATTCTCTATGCCTGGCCTAGAGTAGGTGCTCTGGAAGGGATTGTGACCCAGGAGAATGTGAGAATGTATAAGGTGGGGCCAGCGGTGCCATGATGAGCAGGAGCAAGTCCAGTCCTATTATTCTCCTCTCTCTGTCCTCTGGCCTCCTTCTAGGAAAGGCTGTTTTTGTGTGGGGTCACACTGCTGGGTCTTCTCTGGGGCTGTCCAGCAGGGGTCTTCACCTACCCTCACCTGGGAGAGTGACCAGACTCCACTCCCTCGGAGTCCCATCCCTTCTGGCCCTTCTTTTGTTGTTGCTGTTGTTTTTTTGAGACGGAGTCTCACTCTGTCGCCCAGGCTGGAGTGCAATGGCGCGATCCCACTCACTGCAAGCTCCACCTCCTGGGTTCAAGCGATTCTCCCGCCTCAGCTTCCTGAGTAGGTGGGACTACAGGGATGCTCCACCACACCCAGATAATTTTTGTATTTTTAGTAGGACGAGGTTTTGCCATGTTGGCCAGGCTGGTCTCAAACTCCTGACCTCAGGTGATCTGCCTGCCTCAGCCTCCCAAAGTGTTAGGATTACAGGCGTGAGCCACCATGCCCAGCCCCTTCCAGCCTTTCTTGTCTTCTGTCCTGAACCCCTGGCTGACTAGCAGTGAACAAATGAAAACTGGCCACGCACGCTTTGCTTTGAAATGTCTCTGACCTAGCCTGAGGAGGTAGGGCTTAAGTACTCGGGGAGTCTCCCACTGCACAGGTAGGGACCATGCTATTCATCTCTGTATTCCCAGCCCCTTAGAACAGTGCCTGACTCACAGGAGTTGCTCAATGTTGATTTGTTGAACACAAAGGGGTTTTGCATTTCTTGGTCTCTTGTTTTCTTTGTTCACTGTGTGTATTCACTTGAGTAGGATAAACGGTTGTAACGAGTAGGCCCAAATGTGTAAGTTCTCAACATCTGGAAGTCTATTTCTTACTCTTGTGATATGCGCCACTTTCACCTTGGCAGGGTCGTCATTCAGGGGCGCAAGATCCGTCCATCTGTGGCTCTGTCATTCTCTGGGGTCTCTGCATCACCCACACCCAGGCAGCAAAAGGGGACAGAGCATGAAGGAGCACATACAGGAGGTTTTTATAAGTGAGCCCAGGAAGTGGTGCATGTCACTTCTGTCCCATCCCACTGGCTGGAACTCAGGCACCTGGTCACACCCAAGTGCCAGGGAGACTGGGGAATGTAGCCCAGTGTTTTGTCCAGGAATAAGAGGAAATGGATTTCGGTGAACACCCCCCAGTATCTGCCACAATGCAGTGTAGAAAAAGCGCAGGATTTGGAGTCGGCCAAAATCACCTTCAAACCCAGGCTCTGCTTCTTACTAGCTGAGTGCATTTGGGTGAGTGATTTAACTTCTTTGAGCCTTAGTTTCCTCAGCTGAATGATGGGGTATAATAACCCCCACCTTAGAGGAGGGTTGAGAGATAATGTTGGAACAGTCCCAATGGTACATAATAAGTATCCAACAATATAACTATTACTATTAATACTATGTGGACTTTTATCTTTATTATTACTGTATATCCCAGTTTTATTGATTAGCAATTTAATAACATGCACGTGATAATGAATTTACATAGTAGACCAGTACATCCCACCTATAGTTCCCTTCCTCAGAGGCAAACCACCTGGAGCAGTTTTCTTGGTCTGTTTCCAGAGGTATACATATCTAGGTATATATTGTATAAATAGCCCTTTTTATGTACCTAATGTTTTAATATAATCCACTCGATTCTGTTCCTTTTATATAATTTAGTAATATAACTTAGCTATTGTTTTGTATCGTTATATATTGATTTACTGCATCCTTTTTCATGGCTACATCACATTCCATAATACAAATGTACCATCATTTACTTAATTAATGCCCTATTGACACACCCTTGGCTACCTACAGGGTGTTACCACTGTATGTAAAGCTGCAATGACCATATCCTTGTATATATGTCTTTGTGTACTTGTGTAAGAATATCGTAGGATAAAAATCTAGGAATGACATCATGCATTTAATTCTCTTCAAAACTAAGGTATAAAATTTGGAATGTTTTCACTCTGGTAACTATTGTGGAGTGAAAGAATTAGGACTTGAGATTTGGCTTGTCATAAGAAGTGGGAAATTAAGTACATTGTTTACATTTAAAACCTTTTGCTCAGGCTGGGCATGGTGGCTCACACCTGCAATCCCGGCACTTTGGGAGGCAGAGGTGGGTGGATCACGTGAGGTCAGGAGTTCAAGACCAGCCTGACCAACATGGTGAAACCCTGTCTCTACTAAAAATACAAAAATTAGCTGGGCGTGGCAGTGGGCGCCTGTAGTCCCAGCTACCCGGGAGACTGAGGCAGAAGATCCTGGCTGCAGTGAGCTGAGATCGCGCCATTGCACTCCAGCCTGGGTGACAGAACGAGACTCTGTCTCAAATAAATTAATAAATAAAAAATCTTTTGCTCACATAGAGTTTTGTATCCTCTTCTCATGGTGCCTTGGATTTAGATTCTGCAGCAGTAATATTGGCAGATTTATAAACCAATGCAAACCTACTCTTAGTTTATCTTCCCACATGAATAAGTTGTCTACCAGCTTTCCGAAGCCCATACCTGTCAAAGAAGTCAGATTCACCGTAATAGAAACAAAGTGCCTCTTTTGTTTTTGTTTTGAGTGGTAGAGAAGCAAACACATTTGAGGACTTTTCTGTGTTAGGGAGTTTTTATAGGTTATTTTATTAATTCTTACAAATCCTTTGAGGTGCAATTATTATTCCTGTTTTCCAAACAAAGAAGGGGATGGGTTCACAAAGGTTGAGTGACTTGCCCAAGGTATGCAGAACTAGGATTTGAACTCAAGTCTTGATGTCATTATGATATGGGCTGGCTTTGTGTCCCTACCCAAATCTCATCTTGAATTGTAATCCCCATAATCCCTATGTGTCAAGGGAGAGACCAGGTGAAGGTAATTGAATCATGGGGGAAGTTTCTCCCATGCTGTTCTCATGATAGTGAGTGAGTTCTCATGAGATCTGATGGTTTTATAAGGGTCTCTTCCCCTTTTGCTTGGTACTTCTCCTTCCTGCTGCCTTGTGAAGAAGGTGCCTTGCTTCCCCTTCTGTCATGATTTTAAGTTTCCTGAGGCCTCCCTAGCCATGCTGAACTGTGAGTCAAACCTTCTTCCTTTGTAAATTACCCAGTCTGGGGCAGTTCTTGATAACAGTATGAAAACGGACCATACTACTCTGGACTTAATTAGGGGATTCAGCAGAACATTCCTGGATATCAAATAAGTTTTACCGATTGTGTAGACATTTGCTGATTTGCAGTGCTTCTGAGAGATTCTGTGGCCTCTCTAAGCTTAGTGGAGAAAGGGAGTCATGTCTGTTATGGCCCCAAACTTGGTTTTTAGCATGCTTAGTCCTAAAGTCATGGATCCAGCAATTCTCAGGTGACCAGTCCTGTCTTCACAGTCAGCTCTGCTGGTTTCCATCTTTCCGTGGTCTCCACCCCTTAGTTCTAAGGCAAGATTGCTGTCTGTGTGACCCTGGACTCTGGCTCAGTGATTTTTTTTTGTCCTTCCCTGTTGTCTCCCACTCCACCCCCTGCACCTTTGATTAAACTTCTCTTCTTGTGTCTTCTCTCTCTTAGTAAAGGGAAATCATTTAAAGCACTTTTTAAATTGGATGACATTATTATCACTAAGATGACCTATAAACCCTACAAGCCTACCACCACCACCACCACCACCACCACCACTAACAACAACAACAACAACAACAACACTCTGCTCCCCAGTCCACCAGCCTTTGAGCTGGTGTCACTTCAGTCTGTAGTCTGCTATCATTTTTGGAACATGCATTCAGTTCTTACAGCTTCCAGGAAATCTATTACCTAAGAACAAAATTAGCACATTAACACTCCCCCTCCTTCTACTCCACCCCCATTTAAGAACGTCCTACCCAGAGAACCAAACTGTAATTCAATCCACTGTACACTGGGAAGGGCCTGTTTTTCTGCAATATAGCTTAGAATCAGTACTTTGTGCCTGTGAGTGTCTCTTTTTAAGATTTAATATGTCTTTATTAACTGCTGATTACATATTAGTACAGTCCCTCTCTTGCTGGGCTATAAATTCACTCTTGTTTTATTATTCATTGACAAACATTTGTTAATGACCTGATAGTGTCAGGCCACCCCCTCCATTATCTCACCTATTCCTCAGAATAAGTCTACGATGGAGGTAATCATTAGCCCCATGTGCAGTTTGGGAAAATGCAGCTCAGAGAGGTTCATTAATTTATCTATGTTTGTCTAGTAAGTGGTAGGTCTGGGATTTGAACCCGGGTTGTTTGGATTCTAAATCCATAACCTCTCCCAGCTGAAAGCCAAGGCTTGTAGTTTCTTATTATCTTGCTGCTTCCGTGAGTCTACTCAAGTCCTTAATTAGTGATGACTGGAAATTAGTAGTGTGTTACTGAGCCTCCTGGTGTGGGAATCAGTTTTGTTTTGACAGAAGTCACATAACCTATGCTAAGAAGACATTACTTAATCCAGAATGAGAGACTGTAAAAACCCATAGGAAACCCGGAAGAAAGGAGGGGCAGCATTTTTATTTGACTGGCTGGCTGATTGACCTCCAGAGGTTTTTATTTTTTACCCATTCCTTTTCTTCTTGCGAGGCTAAATTACTTCGAGGAACTCTACCCAGTTCTTAAAATTGGCCAGGAGATTGCAGTTAAGTAAACGATTGTTTTGGGTTTTAGGTTTCCTGGAGCCATAACTTAGCATCTCCCAAACTTGTCTGATCCTAAGAATCACCTGGGGCATTTGTTAAAATGTGATTTCCCAGTAGGGATGGGACCTAGGGACTATTTATTTTTTTTAACAAGCCCCTTTACGTGATTCTTCTGATCAACTAGTTTGGGAGACACTGAGTGTCACCACTGGGAATTTGGTCCCCTTTGTGGACCATCCTCTTTAGAATTGAAGCACCAAGGCTCACATTATCTTACAGTGGAGGGAACATGAATTTTGGAGTCAGAAAGCACAGGTCTGAGAACCCCAAGCTGCCCCTTATAAATTGGGTTAATCTTGGACACATAACTGAGTGTTCTAATCTTAAGACCTCTGTGTGCCATTTCCTCTGCCTAGAAAGAAAAAATTGTTCTCCTTTCTCTCCCCACCTCTTCCCTCCTCCTTTGTCTTCTTACTCTTCAGCTTTCAGGAAAGCATTCCTTGATTCCTCCCAAGCTGGGTCACTCGTAATTATTTTTGTAATGAGTTCTTGTGTCTGTCATCCCCCACTAGATTCTAAGCTCAACAAAAGCAGAAACCATGGCTCTATTGTTTATTATTGCACACCCAACACCTAGCACAGTGTAGTGTGAATGACTCAGAGTCTAATTTGTTTCATCTGTAAAATGGATAAATGCTATTGATCAACAGGCATATAGGGAGATTAAAATACTGAGCATGAGAGCAACCAATATACAGTAGACATCTAATAAATGTTAGTTTTTGCCTTCTTTTGAGGAACTCATTTATGATTATTGTGCTGAATAGAATGGATTATAATCAAGGCTTTGAGGGTCTTTGCTTGACCCGCTATCCTAAAAAGTTTCCAGTATTCTTAACATTTTAGAATTTAGCCTTCTTTTCCTCCCCTCCCCCTAAGTCAAAAGAAAGTTTTTCACTGTCTTTTAACTTTGTTCTGGTGACCCATTTTGAGGTCTTTAATAATTTTACTTGATTTCCTGTGGATAGCATATCTTTAAGATTTCTTTATTCAGTTTGGTGCTGAGAAGGAAAATGATATAATTGTAGATTAAACTTAATATTTTAAAAAGATTATGGATGGCAGAATGGATTTCAAAGATAGCTTTATGGAATCTCTTTTCCTGGAATTCTTTAGAAGAGAATAAGAACATTGATGTGTGAAGAGTCTCTCTAATCCATTATGAAATCCAGGCTGATATTAAGTGAACTAAATTCAGAATTTTATTGTTTCCTAACACTTAGGAATACCTTTCAGATATATGACTGCCTTTGAAATTTAAAGGGTATGAGAAAGACTTGCTGTTAATAGGCTCTTCCTTCCATACATTGGCAAAAGGAGGCCGCCCCATTGCTAGGGTGACCAGCTGTCCTGGTTTGCCCAGGACTGAGGGGGTTCCTAAGACACTGGACTTCAGTTTTAAAACCTGGACAGTCCTGGGCAAACTGGGATGAATTGGTTGGCCATCATATTCTTGGAGAAAGAATTGGAGCAACAGTGAATTAAGCATTAGCATGCTTTTCTGTTGTTTTAAGAACAAAACAGGAACCATAAGAAGTTAAAATTGCCTTTAAGAAATTCTGTGAAAGTTTTTGAAAATAAATTTTGCTTTAAAGCCACTAAACGAAATACAGGTGATCTTAAATAAATGTAATGGTTTTTGCACCATTTTTGAACTCAATAATAGTGATTTCAAAATAAATAGTATTGTATTTTAAAACGCAATCTTATTTTTTCTGTACCTGAATGGCTACAGCTAGTGACCTGTTTTCTAGCATTAATATAATTTTCACTGATATGTTTTGAATAGTTCATGTTTGAAGTATTTTCTTCCAGTTAAAAATCAACAATAGATCTGATGTTATCATATATGGATCTTCAAATAGGTCGATTTTGAAGTAAGGGTCTTAACTCACCTAAGTTTTATATTATTTAAATCTCACAAGGTAAAATGTAAAATTATTTTAATATGTATTTATGCCTATTTTGTTCCCCAAAAGTATGTAAAATGGCTTTCAAAAAGACACACATTGTTATAAGTTTTTGGTTTCTTGACATTCAGGTAAAAAAAATTCGGGCAAAGGAGCAATTAAGATGATATAGTAAGATAAACTCAGGCCAGGTGCGGTGGCCCAAGCTTGTAATCCCAGCAATTTGGGAGGTCAAGGTGGGAGGATCTCTTGAGCCCAGGAGTTCAAAGCCAGCCTGGGCAAGATAGCAGGATCCTGTCTCTACAAACAATAAACAAAATTAGCCAGGCGTGGTGGCATGCACCTGTAGTCCCAGCTATTGGGGAGGCTGAGGTGGGAGGATTGCTTGAGCCTGGGAGGTCAAGGCTACGGCGAACAGTAATTGTGCCACTGCACTCCAGCATGGCTAATAGAGTGAGACTCCATCTCTTAAAAAAATCTGGGGAAAGTTAATATCTAGAAATGCATAATATATCATGCCTGTAATCCCAGCACTTTGGGAGGCCGAGGAAGGTGGATCACCTGTGGTCAGGAGTTTGAGACCAGCCTGGCCAAGATGGTGAAACCCCATCTCTACTAAAAATACAAAAATTAGCCAGGCATGGTGGTGGGTGCCTGTAAACCCAGCTACTTGGGAGGCTGAGGCAGGAGAATTGCTTGAACCCGGGAAATGGAGGTTGCAGTGAGCCAGGATCATGCCACTGCACTCCAGCCTGGGCGACAGAGCAAGACTCCATCTCAAAAAAAAAAAAAAAAAAAAAAAAGCATAATATAAAGATCTTGCACAGTTCTTATAATGGGATACAGATTTGGTTTGGAGCTCTCTGGTTACCAAGGAAAAACAGAAATGTACCAAGTCGTAGGTCATATCTATCAGATCAAATAGAAGATGTTGAAGAGAAGCTTGGCTTTTCCTAGCACTGAGGCTGGGAGAAACTCCCCCAGAGGGCTTCTTAAAAGAGCCCCTGTGTGATGTGGTGAATAGCATCCTCCAACAGCCTCCTCTGATCAGTGCAGTGTCACAGTTTTGTAAGAGATCGAGCCCCTCAGTGCACTCTGAGGTATAATAACAAAGTGCCCATGAGATTGGCTACTATATTTAATATAGCAGGATGTGCCCAGGGTGTGCCCCAATGGGGCTGTGCCTCAGGCTCCCCTGGTGAGTATTTTAACATCCAGATTCCTAGTTCCCTGACAGGATTACCTGACAGAGAACCACCTATTTAGAATTTTCAAAAGAAATTCAAAGAGGAAACCCAAATGTCTAATAGACACTTGAAAAAGATAATTCGGCTGGGTGCAGTGGCTCACACCTGTAATCCCAGCACTTTGGGAGGCCGAGGTGGGCAGATCACGAGGTCAGGAGTTCAAGACCAGCCTGGCCAATGTGGTGAAACCCCATCTCTACTAAAAATACAAAAATTAGCAGGGCGTGGTGGTGGGTGTCTATAGTCCCAGCTACTCAGGAGGCTGAGACAAGAGAATCGCTTTAACCCAGGAGGCAGAGGTTGCAGTGAGCCAAGATTGCACCACTGCACTCCAGCCTGGGCGACGGAGTGAGACTCCATCTCAAAAAAAGAAAACAAAAAAAGAAAAAAAAACATTTAGTCTTACTAGTCTAATCATGAAATGCAAGTTAAAATAACAATGAGCTACCATTTCACATCCATCAAATTGGCAAAAATATTTAGCAATATTTAGTGGTGTTAAAAATGTATCTACTCTTCAACCCCAAAAATTCCACTTCTAGAGAAATTCTTGTCCATGTGCTCAATGAGATACAATAAGGATGCTTATTACAGTGTTCTGTGTAATGGAAAAACTGGAAAGCACTGAAATTCCATCACTAGTGGGATGCATACATCAATTTATGTATAGGGGTTGAATTGTGCCCCCCCAAAAAAAGATATGTCCAAGCCCTAACCAGTATCTGTGAATATGACCTTATTTGGAAATAGTCTTTGCAGATGTAATTAAAGATCTTGGGATGAGACGATCCTGGTTTTAGGGTGGGTCCTAAATCCAATGACAAGTGTCTTTATAAGAGACAGAAAAGGAGAAGACAGACATATGGAGAGGGGGGCCATGTGAAGACGGTGGCAGGGATTGGAGTGATGTGTGAACAAGGCAAGTGATGCCAAGGGCTGCTGGCATCCACCAGAAGCCAGGAAGAGGCATGGAATGGATTCTCCCTTGGAGTCTTCAGAGGAAATCAACCCTGCTGACATCTTGATCCTGGATGTCGGGTCTCCAGAGCTGTGAGAGAATAAATTTCTGTTTTAAGCCACCAAGTTCATGGTAATTTGTTATGGCAGCCTTAGGAAACTAATACACTGATCTTCTCCCATACCCCAGGAATACCTGGAAGAGGGCATAGTTATACAGTTCTTCTTCAACAAGAAAATGGACCGTTGGAGCTAATAATCTCCCACAGCATAGTTGAAACAGTCTTGTCCTGATTTGAGGCTGAAAGAGCCCTTGGAGACCATGTAGTCCAACTTCTCCCCCCATTTTACAGATGAGGATACCCAGAAAGAGGAAGTGGTTTGCACAAGACCTGGAACTAATGGGTTTGAATCCAAGCGGCAAAACTTGGATTCAAACCAAGATCTGATTCCTGTGTTCTTCCCACTTCAGTCAAGGCACTGGCACTAGCTTGTGTCTGGTCCTTTTGGATCTATATGGCAGCACGGGCTAGAGGAAGGAGCTCAGATGTTGGAACTGGAAGGCTTAAGTTAACGTCTTGGCTTTCCCATGCTCTACCAGCATGGCAGGGAGCAGGCTATGTAACTTCTCTAACCCTTATATTCCTCTTCTGAGCAGTGAAGCTAACCTTTTCTCCTAGAGCACTGGGATTTCTGGATGGTAAGGCTCATATAAGAGACTACATGTGAAAAGGTATTTATTAAATTGTGAATCACTATACAAATAGTTAGCTATCATCATTGTCATCTAGTCTAGCCTCAGGAAAGTGAAAACTCAGCAAGTGTGGTGGGAAGAATTCTAAGATGACCTTGAATGATACTCTGCCTTGTATAATCCTCTTCCCTTTGAGTGTGGGTGGACCCTGTGTCTATGATAAGACATCGCCCCTGTGACCATATTACATTGTAGGGTAAAAGGGAGATATCCCTGGGGATCTAATCAGGCCAGCCCTTTCAAGGAAGAGTTTTCTCTGGCTGGTTGCAGAAGAGGAAGTCTGAGAGATGCATTCCAGCCAGTCAGGAAGAAAGCAGATACCCATGTTATCAATTACCTATGGGGGTCACTATGACAAGCAGCTGTGGGGAGTCTCTAGTTGCTGAGTGTGGTCCCTGGCTGACAGCTAGGAGGAAAATAAGGATCTCAGTCCCGCAGCTGCAAGGAGATGAATTCTACCAACAACCAGTGAGCACAGATGATGACCCTGAGCCCAGATGAGTGCCATAAACCCGGCAACACCTTAATTTGAGCCTCGTGATAACCGGAGCAGGGAACAGAGAAACCAGTTACACCATGGTGGATTCCTGACCTAAAGGACTGTGAACTAATAAATAGGTGTTGTCTTCAGGCACCACATTTGTATTAATTTTTTTGTGCAGCAATAGAAAGCTAATACAGGTTACACATTTTTTTTCTGAATCACAGAGCATTAAGTGCACATGTGTACATGTCTGTGTATCCCTCCAAGAAACTTCAAGCTTCTCTAGGGCTAGAGCTGCATCTCATTCATCTCTAGAGTCATTTTGGCTGGGTTTGTTCCTGGCTCTGCCACTTATGAGGTTGAAAACTGAGGCACGTTACTTGACGTCCCTGTGCCTCAGTTTCCTCATCTGTTAAATGGGTATGATAATAGCGCTTACCTGTAGGGTTGTTAGGAGTTTTAAGTAACTTCATACATTGAAAGTGCTTAGAGCCATGCCTGGCACATAGTAAATGCTCAGCAAACATGGCAATAGTGATTTTATTTTATATCCCAGCACTTAGCTCAGTAGCTAGCACGTGATAGGCATTCGATTAATGTTTGTCAAGTGGATGAATTAATTAATTAGGACTAGAATCTCAGTTTCCTGAGTCTTAATCCCACAATGTTTCTTTTAATCATTATTTGCAACAGGATACAGGCTTTTCCAAAGCTAAGTTGACTGGCTTGGTTTCTTCAAGGTGCACCGAGAAAGCATCAGATTTATCACAGCATGGAAATGCAGAGGTGTGTAAGCCAGTCCCAGAGTGCTTAAGGACCTGCAGGCTGTGGATGCTGACTGAAAGCCGTACGTGGCCTAGCTCTGCCTTAATAGACCACGCCAGCTGATCAGGGTGACACACACTTAATGCAATTGCCTCATTATCTGGTCATCAGGGAAATGCCAGCTGTCATTGCCAACTGAGCTGGGCCATCAATCAGTTTGTTCTGAATTCATTAAGTAAATTAAAAGGTATTGCTTAAATACTTAGTAGAGGAATAACAGCTCTCATCTCAAGGAGCTAGTGAAAGCACTGGATTTGGCCACAGCTATTAGCTGTGTTGAGCTGTGAAAAATGAGAAGATTTGGAAC
Organism: Homo sapiens; assembly: GCF_000001405.40. Classification (NCBI taxonomy): domain Eukaryota; kingdom Metazoa; phylum Chordata; class Mammalia; order Primates; family Hominidae; genus Homo; species Homo sapiens. The sequence goes on along the minus strand of NC_000009.12, from coordinate 122,058,691 downwards.
TTATAGCTCAACATCAGAAACAAAAGGAGGCTCCAAAATTTGATAAAGATGGCCATACGCGCTAGTCCCCTCTCCCATCATATTTGAGCAGTTATTGCTGATGATACCTTTTGAAATTCTAAACAGCAGAGTGGACTCTCCCTCTTGCATCCGGGAGCTGGCCCATCCCTCTTGAAATTAGACCCCACTGTAGTCATATATTTCCTTTCCCCTGTGGTGAGGTGGACATGAACGTTATTGTTAAATCCTTGCCTGGAGAAATGAAGGACCAAATCTGAACATGACAGCTGTAGGCTTGAGCAGTTTCACATTAAAATTGGTCTTGAGGCTTATGGATTCTGTCTCCACTGAGTTCCCTGTCTATTGCAAAGCCCCGTGGGCAGGCTTTCCTCCCTCCACATGGAGCTACATGCCATTAATTCCTCTAGCATCTGTTTCACGCCTACTCCCTCCCAGGCACTGGGCTAGGCACCAGCAGTATGGAAATCATGAAGGTGTTCCTGCCTCGAGGAAACCTATGATCATGCTCCTCATGGTCCCGTGCCCACACCACTTTCCTGGCTTCTAGACTTGGCAAATTCTACCTCACCTTTGACATTTCTTCCAAACCACACCTTTCCTTCCAGCAGAATAACTCATGCTCTGCTTCATGCTCCTGTAGCCCTTTGGCCCTCACCTGCTAGAACGTGGGTGAATTTGCATTATCATTTGTTTACAAGTCCATCCTGAAGACAGGGACTGAGCCTTATTCTTTTCTGAACCCCTCAGTGCCTGACACTGAGTTGATGCATAATAAAGTGGGCTTGAATGAGAGACTAAGTTCATAAAAGGGCATAACTATTTTTATGTAAGGTCTGTAGGAGGGTGGAGGTGGGGATGGAGCCAGAGAATAAATGTGCTTTTTAAATACCTCTTTTACCACCAGAGGGAGAGGTGTGTTTATAAATATCCCTTTATGTAAGCCTTTTGGTTCTGTGGTCTCAAGGCCAAAGAGAAGCTCAGGGCCTTTCCAAGTGACTTCTCAAAATTTTAAGATGTTTTTACTTCAATTAAAAGTGGATATGATTGGCGGGGTAGTGGCTCACACCTGTAATCCCAGCGATTTGGGAGGTTGAGGCAGGCGGATCACTTGAGGCCAGGAGTTCGAGACCACCCCGGCCAACATGGCGAAACCCCGTCTCTACCAAAAATAACGAAAATTAGCCAGGTGTAGTGGTGGGTGCCTGTAATCCCAGTTACTGACTCCGAAGGCTGAGGCAGGAGAATTGCTTGAACCCGGGAGCCGGAGGTTGCAGTGAGCTGAATTGTTCCAGTGCACTCCAGCATGGGTGACAGAGTGAGATTCAGTAAAAAAAAAAAAAAAAAAAAAGGATTTGAGCTTGAATCATGTCACCTTACAGCAGATCACTTTCTATTTTCTATTTTTCCCTGGAACACTTTGTCATTTCTTGTTCTTTCTTACTGGAGGTTTAGGAGTGGTAGTGGGAATTTATTCACCGATTTAAATCTACAGGCAGTAAAATGCCATCCTCCCTGAACACCTTTAAAACAATAATGGGGTTTAATGCAATATTTGTTCTTGGCGCCCACTGTCTAGGGCAGCTGAAAGGAGTCTCCTTCCCTTCCCACCTCTGGCTTTGCTGTTTCTCAGCAATCACTCCAAGAACACATCCACCCATTCAGCACTTCTTTCCTCTATGATTCCTCTGTGAAGCAGACACATGCCCTTCTTGCCTTGGCTTCTCTCTACTCCCATTCCTGAATTTCCAGTTCCTGTGGGATACCTCTGAATGATGTCCTGTTATCCCCTCTAGCTCAGTTCTTCTAAAAGTTAATTTTTTCTCCCGTTTATACTCCCATTCCCAACACTATTGCATTAGCGGTTCTGTTGGTCACTGATATCAGGAGGTGAGGCTTGACATAGACATGGACACCCAGGTGGAAGATGCAGTGCTTTGAGTGGGAATGCTGTGGCAGTCTGTTCAGCACTCTGGAGAGCTCCTAGGTGGGGCCAGGTCCCTCCCCTGACTCTTCTCCCAAGAATGGGCCTAGGAACTCAGTACACACCCCATCATCACCGCAGTTCTATGACAGTTAAAGGAATCTCATCCATTTCTCCTAGGCTCAGTTCCATGGGGCCTAAGGATTTAATGAGGCTGGGTTCTAGTCCTTGTTCTGCCACTTACTAGATGCAGTACCAGAGGGTTAAATAAACCAGTTATTTAATTGCTCTGAGTTTAGGTTTTTCACTTAGGTAAAGTGAAAATAATATATCTACCTATTTCATAGTGTTGTTGTGAGAGTGAATTGAGATAGCACGTGTAATATACACAGCACATAAATAGTAGCCATTTTCATTATTATTACAGAAATTATTGGTACAATATTAATTTTTGTTAATATGTGATTGTATGACTCGAGTCTCTTGTGGCAGTGGCACATCTCTGGGAATTTCAGGCTGGGTTTTGGGATCAGGAGGAGCAAATGAATTTGGAGGGGGCAAAGCCGAGTCACCTTTAGTTAGTCCTCTAGGAGACCTCTTCTCTCTCCCTTGGGTACGTTATTTTGGCAGCAGTGCATACATCAGGCTCAGGACAAGTCATTGTCGATTGCTGGAAAAGAAGAGCAGCCCCTTGCAGATTTGCAGAATGGGGGATATCCTGCATATGGCAAATGGGGAAATAGGCTTGAAGAGGTCTGTGAATGCCCGAGGCAGCTCCGCAAGTTAGTGGCCACACACAGGACCAGCAACTTGGGCTCCTGGCTTCTCGCTGCTCAGTCTTTGCCCATGCAGTTTGCTTCCTCCTGAGGGAACACCCTCCCTCCCAGTCTTTTGGTAACTTCCCTTTTTTTCGTCAAGAGTCAGTTCAAATGGCTTCAACCTTTCCGAGCCTTGGTTGCTCCTTCTGTGAAATGAGGATATGATGGCTATTTACAAGGTGGTGTGGAGCTTTGACTGGAAATTTGACAGCATAGGTAAAAAGCTTGGCTTAGATGGTGACTGCAGGCCTTATTTATCTGACTTGTCCACTGGTTCATTCATCCTCCTATGTTCCCTTGTGATGGTTAATACTGAGTGTCAACTTGATTGGACTGAAGGATGCAAAGTATTGATTCTGGGTGTGTCTGTGAGTGTGTTGCCAAAGGAGATTAACATTTGAGTCAGTGGGCTGGGAAGGGCAGACCCACCCTTAATCTGAGCGGGCACCATCTAATCAGCTGCCAGGGCATCTAGAATATAAAGCAGGCAGAAAGATGTGAAAATCCTGGAATGGCTTAGCTTCCCAGCCCACATCTTTCTCCCATGCTGGATGCTTCCTGCCTTTGAACATCGGATTCCAAGTTCTTCAGCTTTGGGATTCGGTCTGGCTTCCTTGCTCCTCAGCTTGCAGATAGACTATTGTGGGACCTTGTGATCATGTGAGTTAATACTTAATAAACTCCCCTTTATCTATCTATCTATCTATCTATCTATCTATCTATCTATCCTATTAGTCCTGTCTTTCTAGAGAACCCAGACTGACACATCCCCCCTTCAGCTTTGCCTGTCACCACTAACCCTCTGCTCCTGTGTGTGGAATTTCTGAGCATTCCCCAAGCATACTGCCTGGCTCAGAGGCATGACTTGCTTATGTGTTGAATAAATGAATTTATGGACCGGCAACACCATGGTGCCTTTAGACCAACGCTCTGGTGGGACTTTTTATTGGGGAAAGTACTGAATTGGACTGGGTTCCTGGATAACTGGGGAAAAGCTGCCCTAAGAGAAGTCAGGTGTGACTTTGGATAAAGTTGTCTGATATCCTGGGTGGGAGGTAAGTGTTGCTGAAATGGAAACCTGATTTGCATTGTTTCCATTTCAGTTAATAAACCATTTAAAGTTTCGATATGGAAGAGTCTAGGTAATTTGAGGCCTAGTGGTGAATTGATATAATTTACCAACTGTGAGGAAGTAGAGAACTGGGAGATTACTGTTGATAATTTGCAGGGTATAATGGAGTTCATTTATAATTTATAATTGATATTGGAACTCTTTTCCATGGGCTGAATTATGTTGGAATGGAGTAAGAGTCATTTAAAGAGATTATTTTGTTGTTTGTATCACCCTCATGAATTGGAAAGTGGAAAAAGAACATAGTGCTAAATTCGTATCTAATCTTTTCAGAGCTATTTGCTAAATAAACTGGAATTTTAATTAAAACTGCAAGCCAAGAGGTAAATCGCTTTAGAAGTTTGTGAAGTTTTTCTTTTTCTGTTGCCTAATAATATAATTACTACTAATAAAGATTCTTTATGGGTGGGAAATTAGATAGCAGAATAAATAACTGGAGGAGATTGCTATGGTACGCTGAAATTATGAAAGGGGCAAGGTTATCTTCCCCTCCTACTAATGGGTTTTTTTCCTCCCCATTGTTAAATTGTTTGGTAACAATTTTGATCTCATTAAAAGTATTGCAATCACAAGCGGAAGCAAGGCGGACGATGGGCCTCACCACCGCTCTTCCAGCTTCCATTCATATGAGTCAATTATAATGAATGGATTTAATAAAAAATACAACATGCTTTGGTGATTAACTCAGTGAAGGATGAATGGCACGCTTACCCGGGGTATCATATTTGCAATAATGAAGAAGAAGTGAACAGGAAAAGGAAACTTCATAGATCACAAGAATTGCTACTTTCCAGCAAAAGGTTGTTAATTACTTATCCTCTTGCTATATTTATTGGCTCTATTAGAGGATGAGTAATTATTGTGTTCCCGGGAAACCCACTGGAGCCAGACGGCGCCTTTATTACATTGGAAGGCTCTTCAGAGCGCTAGTTATCTCCGTGGGAGCCTCTCCCTTCAGATTCCCAAACGACTAGGAACCTGGCGGAGGTGAGACAGGAATGTAGCCCACGGGCAGGAGGGAAGGGCACTGTGAAGTGTGTGAACTGTCAGAGCAGTCCTTGCACGCGGAGCCATGACTGCCTTTACTCTCCCACGCCTTCCCCCAGCCCTGCTCCCTGCGCATACTTTTTTCTGGGCCCAGTCCCCACCCATGCTCCCTCCCCTTTCTCCCAGCCTAGGTCAGCTTCCTTATGGTCCTGGCTGCTCTCAGTCTCTCTCTACTCCTCATCCACTCTCCATTCTGCCCTGGTCTGACACAGCCCTGCTTGGGCACTTCCTCCACCTGCAGAGTCAAGCTCCAGCTCCGCAGCTTGCCCTGTGAGCCTACCGTGATCTGTGTGGGCTGTGTGGGCTGCGTGGACCTCTCCAACTTTGGCTGTTCCCCTTTCCCCCAGGCTCCAGGCACGTGGGACATCTCTGCTGTCCTATAGTCCTCTGCCTGATTTCCCTTCGTCTCTTCCTTTGCGAAGGCCTACTTCACGCCCCGCTCCAGTGGCCCCTCCTTGGTTAAGCTTTTCTCATCTAGACCAGAAACCACTGCTCCTCCCTCTGGGCTCTCACACAGCACTTTGACACGCAGAGTGCATTTGCAGATCTGCCCACACATCTGCCTCTACCCCGACCCGGCTCCTGGATTCCTGGTGGACCAGAGCCATGCTTGATGGACTTTTTCCTGAGGTGGGTTTGTGGACGGCCAGCTTCTGCTTTCTCTGCCAGCAGGCATGTCTGGGGACTCTTCCTCTCTGCCTTTCTCACCAAGGGACTTAATTAGGTGAATAATCCAGGAGGCTTGCTTTCAATATTCTCTAATTGGACTAATTTGACTCCTACTGTCTGCCAGGCCATTCACAAACAGACTTTCACCTATGCGGTTGTTTTCACCTTTACAACATCCCCTGTGAGGGAGGCTCTGCTACTCATCTTTCTCAGATGATGAAACCCAGGCCCTTAATAGTTGGCAGGGCTGAGATTTGAATCCAAGTTCCTGAACTCGAGGGAAGGAGCCTTTCTGCACTTGTGGGCTTTCTCCAGAGGTTACGTGCCTACCCATGAAGACTCACATGGCTTTAATACCCTGATTGTACCATGTGCACATTTAAACTTAGGCTAGTCCTGCAAAACACCCCCATCTCCTAGCTCTTTTGGGTAACAGAAAGATGGATGAAGGAAGAGTTTTTAAAAATCTTATCAGTCAATAAGTATGAGGTGAAGAATGATAGGAAAGAATGGAAGAGAAGAAGAAACCAGCATTTTTTGAACACCTGCTATGCATCAAGCATTGTGTGCCAGGCCCCGTGCTAGGTGGTCCAAACATACTATTAATCCTTGTAATAACCCAATCAAGTCGACATTATTGTTCCCATCGAGGAAACAGACTTGGAGTTGCTCCCACAGGTGGGCTTCCCCACCAGCCCCATCCAAAGACACTGCAGTCGGGAAGCTGTCTGGTCCCTTGCTGGCATGGGGAAACCTTTTCTCACCAGCTCCATTTTCCATAGGCAAGAGTGAGCCTGGAATCTTCCTGAGCCCCTCAGTTGGGGTGGAATTTCTCCTCTGTCTGGGGAGCAGTGCTGTTCACTGAGATGTGAGCAGCAAGGCAGAGAAGTGAGCGGGCCTCCCTCTTTCAGGCCTGAAAGGGACATGCCTTCTTTTGATGTGCTCACATTTGGCAGATAGAACTGTGTTCCATCTGGTCACACCCTTCAGGATTTCATCAATTTCCACCAGTATTTTCTTAGTCTGCTTTTTTTCTTGATTGAGGAAGAGTGATAGTTTTTTTTTGTCCACTCTTGAAGGGCAGTTGCTTAGTCCTTTCTTTGTCTTAATTGGCCTCTTCTGGACTTTTCTGTGCTATGTTTTTTCTTTTATGATTTTTATTGTTTTGGGTTCTTTCTAATTTGGTCTCGAGGTCTCTCTGTTGAGCGTAGCCACAGGCCAAGATAGCCAGTCTCCAGGAGAGCCCTGACCAAGGGGAAAGTTAGGTTTGGGTGTGTGTCAGATAAGACACAATGAGGAGGTGAAACAGAAGAAATTTATTACTCAGAGGATCCAGAGAGGTTAGGGGCATTGACTGGGGACTGTCTGGAAGTCTGGAGGGGACAGAGAGCTCAACCAGCGAGTGGGAAGTGAGAGCGAGTGAGTGAGCAAGAGAGAGACACAGAGAGAGAGAAAGAGAGAGAGAAGAGAGACAGACAGACTCTGGTGTTGGTGATTAGGTTTTGTTGTGGTCAGCAGCTGTGGGTGTGTTGGGTTTTGGGTCCGTGGGATGAGCAACAAGCAGGCAGTATCACAAGCAACCACATGGGAGGGAAAGTTTTAACTAGGCCAAAGGCGATGTGGTATGACTGGGTTTCAAATAACTTTATGCTAGACCACAAAATGGATGCCAAGGCAGAAACTGCAGGGTATGTTAAAGAAATTTATGATATCTTCTTTGAAGTGTTTGTCACAACTCTCTGCTGTATGTGCTCATTTCATCCATCCATCCATCCATCCCCCTTAGTCGAATTGAAGGAATGCAGTCTTTGGAGATAAACCAACATGGCTTCAAATTCTGGGTTTGTCACTTATTAGCAATGGGATTATATTTCTTTATCTGCAAAATGGAGGCATTTATGTAAGATACCTGGCACATTGTTAAGTACTCAATAGTAATTATTATATTCATTATATTATAAGGATATATTAATCTTAAATTCCTTCATTCTCAGAACATGTTCTTTCTCTGGGACCTTGCTCTAAAACTGAAATGGTGCATTCATTATCTATTGCTGTGTAACAAATTTCCCCAAAACTAAGCAGCTTAAAACAAAAACATCTATGATCTTACACCATTTTTGAGGGTTAGGAATCTGAGTGTGACTTAGCTGGGTGGTTCTGGCTTAGGCTTTTTCATGAGGCTACAATCAAGCTGTTGGGCAGAGCCGCAGACCCTGAGTACTTGACTGGGGCTGACAGATCCACTTCCAAGCTCACTCACATGGCTGATGGCAGGTGACTCCGATTGCTTACCATGTGGGCGTCTCCCTAGGCATTCCCAAAGCAAAGGGGGAGTGAGGAGACTAAGGCAGACACCGTAGTCTTTTTATAAAAATATCCTAAATATCAGAAGTGACGGCTTATCACTTCTGCTGTATGCCATTGGTCATCTAGACCAAGCCTGTGACAATGTGGGAGAGGACACACAAGGGATTGAATTCCAGGAGGCAGGGATCACTGGGGACCATCTTGGAGGCTGCAGACCACAGGTAGGGGAGAGGATAGAAAGAAGAATAAAATTTCTCTCCCCTGAAGCATCTGTCAGGTGAGGGAGGCCGTCATGTAAACATTAATGCCCCGTAAGACAGTGGCTATATTACTGGCACCAACAGAATGCCAGGGGAACATTGGAGAGAACTCTATTAACCTGCCTGAAGGCATCATGGAAGGTTTCCCAAGTGCACGCACACCGCAGTGTCCTTACTCAAGAGCTGTCCTAATGACACGCGATATTTGGTTGGTGTCTTTTTAAATTGAAGTTACTTGTTGAGGTGATTTCCTTGGACATTAAAAATAATAACTTGTCTCATATTACAGCAATGTACTGTTTGCAAAGTGCTTTCCCATGTGTTATCGCAGTCCACATAACAGCCCTGGGAGGTGGACAGGTTTTATTACTATTGTTTTTCTCAGTTGTAGCTGAGCTGCGGAAGCAAAGTCACTGCTGGAGTCTCTGAGTGGGGTGTGGTGGGTTGCGGCTTGAGCTGGGGTCTCGCTGGTCCACGCTTGGTACCTTAGCCATGACAGCACCTTCCCTGTGTTTCCTTTGAGTACTTTGGACCCCTCATCTTAGAGCAGCCATTTGGACCATTTCCCCCCTACAGATGCATTGCACACAGACTTGCTTATATCAAAGCTTATTTGCCACCTTTATCCTCAGTCAGTTGAAATGCTTTCTGTTCATAGAGAAGCTTTATGAAGAAAATCATTCACAAAGTACAGAAATGTGAACTGTGCTTTCATCAGCATTCACTGTGAAATTTCATTTTGCAAAGTCCCCAGGGGGACTTGAAATTTCTCTTTGGGCCATTAGAAGAGGGACCCGAACATCAATTCCTTAAACACAGATTTGCTCAAAGAACATTTAACAGCTTCAGTTCTCATTTGAACATGACTATTTTGCAAGTTTGTTTTTAGTTCTTCTGGTCAAGAGGGAAAAGATTTCGGGTCCATCCAGGTGTATACTCTGGGGGAGGAACTTTCTTTGTGACAAAGATGGTAGCATGTAGGGTGAGGGTTACAGTTATTCATGCGTGACTAGTAAATAAGACTATAGCAGTCTCCAAAAAGACATCTGTAGTGCTTAAGTGCATGGGCCTTGAAACTGCGCAGACCTGGATTTGATCCTGCCTCTGCCCTTACTATAATACCTCTGTGACCTTGGGAAAGTTATTTACTCTCCTAGCACTTGGTACCCTCATTTGCAAATAGGGTTAATAGTAGCACCTATATCATAATCTTTATCATCGGGTTAATAGCACTTTTATCATGTTTGTGGATTAAATAAGGTAATACATGTAAAGTGTTTAACACATAGACATAGGAATAAGCATTACCTAAATGCTAATGTTAGTGGTGATGATGATGACATGTATTTGAGTGGCTGCTCTTTGTGAGTTCATTCATTCATGAAACATTACTGCAGGCATTGCTAACACTGGTATCTGAGAACAACTAGGGGCTGTAGGGAGTCTTTGAATCTCCTAAGCTCATGTGGAAGATTTTGTGCATGTGCGTGCTTTTTTTTTTTTTCTGGCACGAATCTCAAAGGAATTTATGACCTCAGAAAGGTTAAAAACAAAGCCTACAGGGTGCTGAAGCCTTGGTGTTAGGGATACACTGATGATCATGGGCTCTCCTTGTGCTTAAGGAGTTTGCAAAGTGGCCAGGTGGACAGATGTACAGACAAGATGTTGCAGAATGGCCTGTGATGGGTGTAGCGACAGAGGCCACAGACAAAGAGAGCTGAGAGATCATCATCATGGAGGGGGAGTGGATGGGCAAGCCCAGTCAGAAGATCCCAGGCGGAAGGAATGACATGAAGAAACCCAGGCCACTAAATAATAAAGTGCTGTATCCTTAAAGGATCGAAATTAGTCACAGTGACAGTGCAAGTGCCCAAGAGTTAAGTGGCCCAACTTGAGGTGGGCAGGTTGGCAGAGGGGAGTCTGTGAAGTGTCTTTCAGATGAGGCTTGGAGCTTAGCCTTGATCCTGTGGTCGGTCCACGGGGAGGCATTGAAGAGTTGTAGCAAAGGAGCAATATGGTCAGAGCTGTGTTTAAAAATAAAAATCTGGGCTGGGTTCAGTGCCTCACATCTATAATCCCAGCACTTTGGAAAGCCAAGATGGTAAAACCGTTTGAGGCCAGGAGTTTGAGACCAGCCTGGGCAACATAGCGCAACTCTGACTCTACAAAAAGTAAAAGATATAGTCAGGTGCTGTGCCATTTGCTTATAGTTCCAGCTACTAGGGAGGCTGATGCGGGAGGATCACTTGAGGCTAGGAGTTTGAAGCTGCAGTGAGCTATTATCACACCACTGCACCCAGGCTGGCTGACAGAGTGAGACCCCATCTCTGAAAAAATAAAAATAAAAATAAAAATAATGAAAATAAAAGTCTCTCGTCCTGCTGTGTGTCAGGTAGACTAAAGAGGAGACCCTGGAGGAAGGGAGATGGGGGAGGAGGCTGGTGAGAGATGAGGCCCTGAAGTAAGGCAGAGGCAGTGGGGATTCAGGAAGGAGAGGAAATTAAAAATAAGCTAAGAGATCAGCCAGAGGGCTTGCTGCCCAGTGGATGTTGAGGAGGGAGAAGGTGACATGGGTGATTCTCAGGATTATGGCTTCTAATTTTCCTGTGGGCCTGGGACCTGCCAGATACCTGGTTACACCCCACTGGAGACCTGAGACACGCATATCAAATTGTCCCTAGCCCTAGAAATGCATAGTGTTAATGAAGGAGATAAGGATTACACATGAAATAACTAAAGAACAGCACAGGCACATCCTAAGCATAGTAAGGGAATCAGGAAGGTGATGGTGTGAACTGGAGTGGTTCCAAAGCTCTCTGTGGTATTATATCAAATGAGCAGTTTTTAATGTTCATCTTGTCTGACCTCTCAGCTTCCCACCACTCCTTTAGTCTTGAAACACTTTTCCCTTGCTTTTACAACATGTACTCTCTCTCTCTGTGGTCTCTATTTCCCAGCTGGGTCGCTGGGTTCATTCTCTTCTGGGGAGAGGGGGTGGGGGCATGCTCCAGCACAGGGTGCAGCCCTACCTGAGCTGCCCCCTGCTGAAGTCTCATCTCCACCACTTCCCTCTTGTCCTCTCTGCTGCAGCCACCCTGACCCTCCATCAGGCTTTGCCTTGAGCCAATGACAGTCCTACCTCTGTGCTTTTACACATTTATTTTCTGTCTGAACACCCTTCTTCCCTCATCTCCTAGTCAACTCCCATTCTTCCTTCCAATCTCAGCTCAAATTGCCCATCCTCGGGAAAAGGTTGACCATTTTATTTATTGCCCAAACTGGGATACATTTGAAAGTGCAATGGGTGTTATGAACAATGACACCAGGACAACAGGCATATGCTGGAAACTTCTGGACAAATGGGCAGGTGGTCACCTGACACGGGGTGGCCTTCTCAGGCTCCCCAGATGTGACTAGGTCTTCCTGTGCCCTCGTTGCTCTCTGGGATTCCTTCCACAGCCCCTACCATGGTTTATAGTGATACCTTTGAGCACCATCTGGCTTATCATCTTCTCCCCCATGGACCATATACTCCGAAGGCAGACATTTCCCATTGTGTTGTTGGCTCCTGAGACCCTTTGGCGCGTAGGAGGTACTTAATCAACACCTAATGAGTACCTGAATCAATGATGGAACTCAGATTGTGTTGTTCTGTGGCATGTACTAAGCCCTTCCATTTCCATATCTTGGTTGGTTCTCCTCGCTATCTTGCCACGTTTCCTCATCTCTATCTCCTGAGGATAGAGGCTTAATTACAATCTCACAGTGAGTGCCAGAGACAAGTCTAGGACTCTCAGGTCTGCTGATCCCAAATCCAGTGCTTTTTCCAAAAGTGTCTGAAGAAGAGAAAAGGAAAGATGACTACCAGATTTAGAACTCGGGAAACTGGGAGGATGGTCAGGACTGGAAAAAGATGGAGAATGGGGATCTGAGAACCATTTGTCAGCTTTCAATGCTCCATGACAATCTGAACAGCATTCTACACTGCAGACAGCTCAGAGTAGAGCCACAAATGGCCCCTCAGCTGCAGGGGGCGTATTAGTCTGTTCTTGCTATAAAGAACTACCTGAGACTGGGTAATTGATAAGGGAAAGAGGTTTAATTGGCTCATGGTTCACAGGCTGTACAGGAAGAATGGCTCTGGAGGCCTCAGGAAACTTACAATCATGGAAGAAGGCAAACAGGAAGGAGGTGTCTTACATGGCTGGAGCAGGAGGAAGAGAGAGAAGGAGGGGAGGTGCTACACACTTTTAAACAACCAGATCTCGTGAGAATTCACTGTCACGAGAGCAGCAAGAGGGAAGTCTGTCCCCATGATCCAATCACCTCTCACCAGGCCTCTTCTCCAACACTGGGGATTGCAAGTCGACATGAAACTTGGGCGGGGACACAAATCCAAACTCTATCAGGGGGCTTAAGTAGATGGTGTTTTGTTTTTATTGTGGTAAAACATACATGATATAAAATTTACCATTTTAACCATTTTTAGGTGTACAGTTCAGTGGCTTTAAGTACAATCACACTGCTGTCCAACCATCACTGTCATGCATCTCCAGAACTTTCTTATCTTCCCAAACTGACACTCTGTACCCATTAAACACTAACTCCCTATTTCTGTTCCCTTCAGCCTCTGGCAACCACCATCCTACTTTCTGCCTCTATGAATTTGACTACTCTAGGTTCCTCAGATAAGTAGAATCATACGATATTTGTCTTTTTGTGTCTGACTCATTCACTTAGCATCACATCTTCAAGGTACATCCATGTTGTAGAAGAATTTCCTTCCTTTATAAGGCCGGATAATTTTCTATTGTATTTATATACCATATTGTGTTTATTTCTTCATCCACTAATGGACACACCTGGGCTTTTTCTACATTTTGGCTATTGTGAATATGCTCCTATGAATGTTGGTATATAAATATCTGTTTGAGTTTCTGCTTTCATTTCTTTTCTTTTTTTTGCGATGGAGTCTCACTCTATCGCCCAGGCTGGAGTGCAGTGGCGTGATCTTGGCTCACTGCAACCTCTGCTTCCTGGGTTCAAGCGATTCTCCTGCCTCAGCCTCCCAAGTAACTGGAATTACAGGCGCGCCACGACGCCCGGCTAATTTTTGTATTTGTAGTAGAGACAGAGTTTCGCCATGTTGGCCAGGCTGATCTTGAACCCCTGACCTCAGGTGATCTGCCCACCTCGGCCTCCCAAAGTGCTGGGATTACAGGGGTGAGGAACTGCGCCCAGCCTGCTTTCAATTCTTTTGGGGGATACACCCAGAACTGGAATTGCTAGATCAATCAGCCAGTGATTTTTTTTTTTAACTACAGCAGCTTTCTATATTCTTAATGTGCAAGGGTTCCAATTTCTCTATATACTTGTCAACACTTAGGTCCTGTGATTTTTTTTCTTTTTTTTTAGATAGGGTCTCTATCATCTAGGCTGGAGAGCAGTGGTGCAATCATAGTTCACTATAGCCTCAAACACCTGGGTTCAAGCAATCCTCCTGCTTCAGCTTCCCGAGTAGTTGGGACTACAGGCATGCCACGATGCCCAGCTAATTTTTCAGGTATTTTGTTGTTGTTGTTTGTTAGATGGGGGCCCTGCTATGTTGCTCAGGCTGGTCTTGAACTCCTCCCGCGTCAGCCTCCCAAAGTGCTGTGATTACAGGTGTGTGCCACCTCGCCCAGCCTGTTTTTGATAATAGTTATCCTAATGGGTATGAAGCAGTTTCTTATGATTTTGATTTGCAATTTTTTAAATGATTAATGATGTTAAATATCTTTTCATATGCTCATTGGCCATTAGTATATCTTAGGAGAAATGTCTATTCAGGACTTTTGTCCATTTTGTAAGTGTTTTTTCATTGTTGAGTTGTAGGAGTTTAAAAATATATTCTGCTCATCATCACTGGCCATCAGAGAAATGCAAATCAAAACCACAATGCGATACCATCTCACACCAGTTAGAATGGCGATCATTAAAAAGTCAGGAAACAACCGGTGCTAGAGAGGATGTGGAGAAATAGGAACACTTTTATACTGTTGGTGGGACTGTAAACTAGTTCAACCATTGTGGAAGTCGGTGTGGCAATTCCTCAGGGATCTAGAACTAGAAATACCATTTGACCCAGCCATCCCATTACTGGGTATATACCCAAAGGATTATAAATCATGCTGCTATAAAGACACATGCACACGTATGTTTATTGCGGCACTATTCACAATAGCAAAGACTTGGAACCAACCCAAATGTCCAACAATGATAGACTGGATTAAGAAAATGTGGCACATATACACCATGGAATACTATGCAGCCATAAAAAAGGATGAGTTCATGTCCTTTATAGGGACATGGATGAAGCTGGAAACCATCATTCTCAGCAAACTATCGCAAGGACAAAAAACCAAACACTGCACGTTCTCACTCGTAGGTGGGAATTGAACAATGAGAACACATGGACACAGGAAGGGGAACATCACACACCGGGGACTGTTGTGGGATGAGGGGAGGGGGAAGGGATAGCATTAGGAGATATACCTAATACTAAATGACGAGTTAATGGGTGCAGCACACCAACATGGCACATGTATACATATGTAACAAACCTGCACGTTGTGCACATGTACCCTAAAACTTAAAGTATAATAATAAAATAAAAAAAGAAAAGAAAAAAATATATATATATTCTGACTATTGATCTATTATCAAATATATGATTTTGCACATATTTTCTGCCATTCTGTGGGTTACCTTTTCACTCTGTTCATAGTGTCTTTTGATGAAAAAAAGTTTTTAATTTTTATCTTTGATTTACCTATTTTGTTTTTTGTTGGCTGTGCTTACGTTGTCATATCCAAGAAATCATTGCCAAATGCAGTGTTATGAAGCTTTTCTCCTATGTTTTCTATATTTCTAGTGTTATGAAGCTTTTCTCCTATATTTTCTGTATTTCTAGTGTTATGAAGCTTTTCTCATATGATTAGGCCTTTGATTTGGCTCATATGATTAGGCCTTTGATCTATTTTGGGTTAATTTTTGTATATGGTATAAGGTAAAGGTCCAACTTCATTCTTTTTGCACGTGGATATTCAGTTTTCCCAGCACCACTTGTTGAAAAGACTGCCCTTTCCCTATTGAATAGTCTTGTCATCCTTGTTGAGAATCATTTGATCACACCTGAGAGGCTTTATTTCTGAGCTATCCTATCCCACTGTCCTCTATATCTGTCTTTATGCCAGTACCACACTGATTTTTTTCATTTGTTTTTATTTTCATTTTTAAAGCATTTTTGGTTCACAGCAAAATTGAGCATATGGTGCAGAGATTTTCCCCCACCTGCATTGATAGCCTCCCCCACCATCAAAATCCTGAATCAGAGTGGTGTGTTTTTTACAACTGATGAAACTACACTGACATGTCATCATCACCCAAAGTCCATAGTTTACATTACTCTTCACTCTTGGTGCTATTCTATGGGTTTTGAAAAATGTATAATGACATGTATCTACCATTATAGTATCACACAGAGTATTTTCACTGCTCTAAAATCCTCTGTACTTCACCTATTCATCTCTTCCTCCCCTCGGGCCCCTGGCAAATACTGATCTTTTTACTGTCTCTGTAGTTTTGCCTTTTCCAGAATGTAGTTTAGTTGGAATCATACAGTATGTAGCTTTTTCAGATTGACTTATTCCATTTAGTAATATGCATTTAAGATTCCTCCATGTCTTTTGTGGCTTGACAGCTCATTTCTTTTTAGCACTGAATAATATTTCATTGTTTGGATATACTGTAGTTTATTTATCTACTCACCTACAGAAGGACTCACCTACTGAAGGACATCTCAGCTGCTTCCAAGTTTTGGCAGTTATGAATACAGCTGCTATAAACATTCATGTGCAGATTTTTGTGTGGATATAAGTTTTTCAACCCATTTGGATAAATACCGAGGAGAACTAATTGCTGGATTATATAATAAGAGTATGTTTAGTTTTGTAAGAAACTGCCAAACTGCCTTGTAAAGTGGCTTTACCATTTTGCATTTCCACCAGAAAGGAATGAGGGTTCCTGTTGCTCGACGTCCTTGCCAGCATTTGGTATGTCAGTGTTTTGGACTTTGGCCATTGTAATAGGTGCTGGTGGTATCTCATTGTGATTGTATACACTATTTGATTACTGTAGCTTTGTTTTTGGCATCAGGAAATGTGAGACCTCCAGCCTGGGCGCAGTGACTCACGCCTTTAATCCCAGCACTTGGGGAGGCCGAGGCAGGTGGATGGCCTGAGACCAGACTGGCCAACATGGCAAAACCCAGCCTCTACTAAAAATACAAGAATTAGCTGGGTGCGCTGGCATGTGCCAGTAATCCCAGCCACTCGGGGGGCTGAGGCAGAAGAGAAAGAATCACTTGATCCAGGAGGCAGAGGTTGCAGTGAGCTGAGATTGTACCACTGCACTCCAGCCTGGGTGATGGAAGAAGACTCTGTTTCAAAAAAAAAAAAAAAGGAAGTATGAGAACTCCACTTGGTTCTTTTTTTTTTTTTCAAGATTGTTTTTGCTATTTGGGGTCCCTTGTAATTCCATATGAATTTTAGGATGGATTTTTTTATTTTGAAAAAAAGTTATTGGGATTTTGATAGAGACTGCATTGCATCTGTAGACCATTTTAGGTAGTATTGACATCCTAACAATATTAACTCTTCCGGTCTATGAGCATAGGATATCTTTCTGTTTATTTGTATTAATATCTTCTTTAATTTCTTTTACAAATATTTTATAGTTTTCAGTGTACAAGTCTTTCACCTTTTTGGTTAATTCCTAAGTATTTTATTCTTTTTGATGCTATTATAAATGGAATTCTTTTAAAAAAAGGTCCTTTTTGGATTGCTCCTCATCATGTATGAAACACAGTTGATTTTTATGTGTTGATTTTGTATCCTGCAACTTTGCTGAATTTGTTTATTACTTTGAATATTTTTCTGTGGAATCATTAGAGTTTTCTACATATGGGATCATGTCATCAACAAACAGATAATTTTGCTTCTTATTTTCTAATGTGGACACCTTCTATATCTTTCTCTTGCCTATTCTGGCTAGAATTTATAATACTATGTTGATGTAAAATAAAAGTGGGCATCTTTGTCTTATTCCTGATCATGGTGGAAAAGCTTTAAAGCTTTTAGTATTTTACCATTGAGTATGATGTTAGCTGTGTAAGCGGACAGTTTTTAAAGGAGCTTAAAAAGAGGTAGGATTATGAAATCCTGGGACTTAATTAAAATTATATCCCCCATATTCCTAGCACCTAGTCTGGCATATAATAATTACTGAGTGAATGGACATGTTTTTAAAAATGGTAGTTTCTCAAAACTGAATGAGCTAAAGGTGCCTCTAAAAGGGGGGGCAATTTGGTATTCATGAGGGTGGTAAGCATTGAAGAGTGATGAAAAAGGAGATAAGAGTCATTGGGTTGCCCACTGACAAGGTGTTGGTTCCTCATTGTGGGCAACAAAGCAAAGCCACTTTACCCTTTGCTCGGATAGCCTGCTTAATTCTGGTTATTTTCTCCTTCTCTATATTAGCACTTAACAGCTAGAAGAAAATAACATATGTTGTATCTCATTGTATTTATGAGTACTGAATTAATAACTTACAGCCCATTGCATAAAAAGAAAATGAGCAAAATGCTGTAAATTATAGATGGAAGTTGTTAATGTGAGTAGAGTGTACAACATATGCCTCATTGTGCACAGCTTTGAAATAATGTGACTGATTTAAATGACTTGAGGCTGGCTTCATTTTAATGTGGAATGTATGGAAAGCATTGAGTCACCACCATTTCATTAGTAAGGCTATGTTCTTCCATTGGACCTTGGCCCCTCAACTTGAAGTAGATAAAAATTCTGATTACCTATAGTCCTAGAATGGGAAAATCAAAAGATTTTTATTTAATATGTTGGCATATCTATTTGTGTGCACTTTTAACAAGCAAATTCTGAATATGAACTAACATGGCCTCTCTTTTCTCCTTTAACAAGGTCATCTGAGTTACAGATTTAAAAAATATGTTCATTAAATGCAGAGCTTGTTGATAACTTTGAGAAGCAACAGGATGTAGTGGAAAGAACAGGCCCTTTTGTCTCGGTGAGAAATTTTCTGGCTTCAAATAATTGAAACTCTATAGCTTGTGCCAAACAAGATTTTAGAAGACCAAAAAGGTATTCTCAGGATACAAGGCTATCTTACAGGCTCACGCGGGTCTGAGGCCACTCAGTCTGAGTTTCTAGGGCTATGTTGTCTCATCTCTGCTTTCCCTCCCACACCTGCTCCTTTCTTGTCTCTCAGCAGACTGGCTGTCTCTGCTCCTGTGCACATAGCCAAGCACAGCTGCCCTGCCCTGGCTTTTTATCCCTGCCAGTTCAAGGGCCAGCAGAGGCTGCCTGGCATCTCTGATTTCCAGATTCCTGGAAGAGAGAATCTGGTTATCTCATCTTGAGTCAGATGACCACTCCTGATTTGTTCATTTATTAATTCAGGAAGTCTTTACGAGTTTGGGGAACTGTTTTAGGCCCTGGGATTCATCTTACCCTCATGGAGCATATGTGTGTGTGTATGTGTGTGTGTGTGTGTGAGAGAGAGAGAGAGAGAGAGAGAGATAAGGGAAGAGGGACTCTGAAAGCTTATTCTTTTGGGCTCGGTTGAGGGTTGTAATTTTCAGAGGAAGGGATGTATGGGCTTGGAATTTGGATAGACCTGGACTCTAATCCTGGTTCCTCCCCTTACCAGCTCTGTGTGACCCTTGGGCATGTTAAATTACCTCTGTCAGCCCCAAGTTTTGAATCAGCAAAATGGGAGTAATCCTTTATAGGGTAGTTATAAGGATTAAAGTGAAATGGTGCCTGCAAAGCCAGGAGTGTAGTATCTGCCACATGTAATCAGAGCTCTACCACTTGGAACAAGTTATTAAACCTGTTTGAATCTGTTTCCTCATCTGTAAAATGGCAAAGAATATCACTTACCTCATATGCGTATTATAAGGATTAAACCATGGTAAGTACACCAGGGTGCCAGGAATTTGTACATAATGGATACTCAGTGTGGTCACTGCTCTTCTTATTCTTATTGCGAGTCACATTTTTTCTCTTCTAGTTCCCATTTGGCCGGCGCTTGCCTTGTGACATCTACTGGCATGGAGTTTCATTTCACGACAATGACATATTCTCCGGTCAAGTGAACAAGTTTCCAGGTATCTGCTGTTATTGTTGACATTTAAACATGTTTCTAGGGCCAAGTCTCAGATACACTCTTCTACTAAAACATGACAGTTATTTTTGAGATCAGATTTGAGGACTCTTAATTGGGAATTGCTGTGTTCACTAGCCATTAAGGTTTTAAGGATTGGAGACAGGCTTTTAAAGGTTCAAAGGCAGGCTTTCTTGGTCTAATGCCACTGGTGGAAGAACATGGTTTCCACTTTTTGGGTTATGCATATAATATGGGGTTCTAATGAGAGGAATATATTCTGAAAATGAAAAAATAATAGAACATTTCATTCTTGCGGGAAACAAAAGCACCAAAATTCTAGGCATATGTCATAGAAATGGGGTATCAGCTTCCCTTTTCTTTAAGTATTATATTTGGAGGTACCATTTTTAAAACCAAATATACTGGTCTCCATATTAAGTACTACAGGCTGCACACAGCCTCTGCCTTTTACCTAATGACATTATCTCAGCAAGACTTATCCTGCAAGGAGAAATCTTAGTGCTAGAAAAGCATCATAGCCAGCACTAAGATATCCCTCTCACTCCACTACCAACCTCCCAATACAACTTTTTTGTTTTGCATTTTAATCTCTACCACTTTTCTGAGATGGAGTCTCGCTTGGTCACTCATACTGGAGAGCAGCAGCACGATCTTGGCTCACTGCAACCTCTGCCTCCCAGGTTCAAGCAATTCTCCTGCCTCAGCCTTCCGAGTAGCTGGGATTACAGGCCTGTACCACCATACCCGGCTAATTTTGTATTTTTAGTAGAGACAGGGTTTTGCCATGTCACGTTGGCCAGGCTGGTCTCGAACTCCTGACCTCAAGTGACCCACCTGCCTCAGTCTCCCACAGTGCTGGGATTACAAGCGTGAGCCACTGTACCGGGTCTCTTCATTATTTTTGATGGCTGAATGAAGAGGATATTTAAGATGGTAGGACAGCTTAGGGAGAAGGAGCACTGGATTAAGCTGGGTATGATGCAGTCAAAGGGCCTTCCACTTATTTTTTAAAATGTTAATATATTACACAGACCATATTATAATGCCATAATAAATACTTTCTAAAAAGAACATCACCCTGAATCCCATATCTCATTTAACAAAACAGCAATATGAATATTTCTATATTTCCTCCCAAACCTTAAGCAAGTTTACTCATCCTTTTTGCATGGTTGCAGTCCTAGTGTAGTTGCCTAAATATAGGGTGTTTTCTCTTAGTATTTTATCAATTTTACCTATTTTAAAGGGAGAATCAATTTACTGTTTCCTTGACATTCTATCCCACGTCTTTAAGAAAACGCATTGCAGAAAACACAATAGCCATACGTTATACAGGGGGTGGTAGTTATGCCACATCCACTAGGGGTTTTCACCTAAGCATGCAGTCTTACAAGTTCACTACCATAGGCCACACTTAGCTCAGATTCACTTAGAAGGATACAGGGCAGGAAACACGGCTTGCTGGACAGTCAGTGTCAAGCATTTCTCTTCAGTGGAGTATTTGCAAGAGTTCCAGAGACTAGTCTCTGGCTCCTCAAGTGAAAGCTCAGGTGCAAAAGGACAAGATCCACATTGGTGGATATGAGTCTTTCTTGGCTTAGATGCCCCACAGAATCCAGTATCTTTTAGAACTGCTCCATAGTATGCCTTCTAAGGTCCAAGCAAGGGTCATATTAAGTTACAAGAATCATCGCACTCAGAAAAGCCTAGAGCAATGACTTTCTACTAGATATCTATGCAATTTACCAAATCAGGGATCATTTTAACCATATGCTTTGTGGCCTAGTAATTCAGCTAACATTCTACCTTCATTGTTTTCTAGGGGAACTGAGATAGAAAGTTAACCCAAGGTCAAATTTATCCTTAGAGAAGGAGAAAGGGTTTTGTTACAGAACAAGAATGATTCTTGCAGCCAGAGTTCTTACCCAACAGTTTAATGGGATAGCTATTATTTTTTGTGTCTTGCTGCTCAGAAAAGGATGCTTTGTGATGCCACTTAAAGGACTTATTAGGATATTGGGAGAATACAGTTTGGAAGAGAAAACGCTTTGAATGAGGACAGAGTTCCTAAGACATGAATCATCAAATGAGGCCTCATTTACATTTTCCCCATTTGCTCATGCCTCATCTAGTGTCTCAGAGTAGGAAAGAAGTAGCTATAGATCTACATTTGGAATACAAATTAGAAATATAGAATGAAGTACCCACAAAGGATTAGTTTCATAAAGGTGATAGAATGATATTCATTCCAAAGAAGCAAGTTTGCCCCATCCCATATTCCACATGCCGGTGATTGGAACATAGACTTTTCCACATTATTAACAGAAATTAATTAGTTCTAATGACAAAGCAGACTCTTAAACCTCTAGGCAGAGGAACAGTGCTGCCACACCCTCTACCCTGTGAAAGGTAGTAATCCTCAGCAGAGGGGTAATTCCAGAACAGTCTGGCCTCTGATACCAGTTTGTGTCCAAGCTTATCTTCTGTCTCTCATATATCTCATTATTCTAAAATGCACTTTCTATACATTGTATATTACTTAGGGTAAGTTCTAGTGGATATCCCAGGCAAGTGTAAACGCTTTATTTGCTGGGTCAACTGAGAACGGATATATACAGATGGAAGTGATTAATTTTGTTTGTGTCAGCACATTAGATTTTAGTCACTTTTCTATGGGTAATTTCCTGGTTCAAATTACATTATTATATTTTGGCTGATGAATTAAGACTTTCTATGAAAATAATCTGATTTAGATACGTCTAAAGAAAGTAGATTATTAGATATGTCTACTTTCTTTAGACGTATCTAAATCAGACATGTCAGATTAGACATATCAGATTTAGCTTTAAGAAAGTCCAAAACTGTCCATTCTCAGGTTCTGAGCAGGTCTTTTGCTGAGTTTCAGGGTCTGAGATGTATGGCATCACATGGCAGGTGGTACCTGAGAGCCCACCTGAGGAGGGGGCTTTCTGCTGGAGAGGGAGGGAGCTTCAGTGAGGAACCTGTGGGGACAGCCATCTGTCAAGCATTGGTCTGGGCTCTGGGGCTATAAAGACACAGAGAAAGGCATGTAAAGAGAGAAGAAAAATACAGCCTAGGGGCTTTGCTGGAGGAAGCTGGAATGCTGTGGGGGTCCGGAGCAAGGGCGGGCAACCTAACCCAGATTTGCCCAGGGAGCAGCAGGGTGAGAGCTCCTGGAGAACAGGACTGGCATGGAAACTGAGCCTCCAGGATGGATGGGCCTGATCCCCATGCCAAACAAGGGAGCAGAGTTGGTGCAAAGACAGAATGCCTTCAGCATATTACTCGTTCATCGAAGGGCAAGTGGCCTACCATGGTTAGAGGGCGTCAGGTGAGCAGGGCAGGGGAGGGGTGATGAGTAGGAACCCAACTACAGCATTGTTAGAGCCTGAAGGTCATAGGGAGCCACTGAGGAATTTTTAAGCCAGACAGTGACACGGGTCAGCTTGCATGTTAGCAAGATCAGCCAGAGGGACACATTAGAAATGAGATGGCTCAGAGAAGAAACAGAGATGTAGCTAAGAGTCTGCTGCAGCATCCACCCAAGAGATGAATGAATTAGTGGCAATCAGAATAGAGAGAACAGGATGGATCTGAAAGGATTTATTTGTTGTTTGGTGGTTCTAATATGTTTTTGCCAAGAATTATTGTTATAAATAATATTTTGATTGAATAGTGCTCCAAGTATAGCTCAGTTTTAGTTTGTTTTGTTTTACATTAACTGGGTTAAGTAGGGCTGCATGGGCAAACCTGAGGTTGAACTGTTATGCTGTCAGTTAACTTGAATGGGGTGAGACCCACCAGGCCTTGAGACTCCAGCGTAGCAGACAGAAAAGCCCAGGCCTCAGAAGGAGGGGCAGGAGGTAAGCCCTTGGTGTCAGAAACTCCCACCTGAATTAGGAGGTTTTCCCAATCGATAGGGGAACTGCCCTCATAGGGACATCTAGGGATAGACCTTATTGAGAAACCTAGGTGGGCAGTCAACCTCAAAAGGAGCTGTTAGGTAGCAGGACCCCAGACACTGGGTGAAAGTCACAGACAGGAGGATTCCAGCCCTTGCAGGGTGGGCTTGAGGGGAACAGAGGAGAGGTTGGAGAGAGGAGGGGCATTGGAGAGAACAAAGAAAAGGACGCAGCTCTGCATTGCTAAGGCAGCCACTCAGGCTCCAGGAGCAAAAGATAAGGTCACCAACATTTGGATACAAGCAATAGAACACCGGAAAAATGGGTAAAATCCTTCTTATCTGGTTGGAATACATAGTCTAGGTCAGACTTTTAGCAGAAGGGAGCTGGGGGTTAGACCTAGAGCTTCGATCTCAGTTCAGAATTGGTCCTAGAGCCCAGGGAGGGGACACAGGTGACGAGGGGTCAGGCGCTGCAGCTGCTTAGGGAAAGGGGACAGGGCCTGGAGCCAGTAGGGCCTGAAGTCAGCAGAGCTGGCCATGACCTTCCTTCTCACAGATTTACTCTGGGAACGCGTGCCCTGGATCAGCTAGAAACCCTGCTACGCTTGTCAGGGTCATAATGGAGAAGTTGCCACTCCCACACCTGTCTCTGAGCCACCTCCAGAGGTGGAGATGCCAGGAGCTTCCATGTGGGTTCTAGTGAGGGGCCAGAAACTCTTTCCCTGGTGGCACTGGATAGGAGCACAGCTTAGATATGGAGGAGCAAAGGTTTGGTGCTAAGTGGATTGAGAGAAGTCTACACCCGTCCCTCCTGGAGACAGGCATTCAGGCAGGTTTGGAGTGAGCTGCCTCCGGCCTGCAGGCAGGAAGTGCCTGGCTTCCAGGGGTGCTTCTTAAGTTGGCCATTTTCAGTAGAAAAACTGCCTGGAGACATGAAGGTAAACTTGGAAACACCTATTAGCTGGTGTGGGGCCTGATGGTGCACATTACAGAAGGAGCCATTGCCGATATTAAATGAATATTGACTGAATTTGCTGGACATAGATTTTCACAAAACTTTTCTGGAGCACCCAGACTGCCCTCAAGTACCCACAGCTCTCTGTGTTGTGTGAGCCCTTCTGACCTGCTGAGGGATTTCGGAAGAGAACATTCCCCCGGCACAACGACTTTAAAGTGCAGAAAATACCACAACACTATTTGGTCAGGAGGCATCCTCTACGTGGAGTAAGGTGCTGTATTACAGTTAGTTATGAAGGCTTTCAGTTCAATACGGTAACATTTTAATGTTAGTAAACCTCAAGCAAAAGGATTCCAAAAAAGTTGAAGTTTTGCTTTGTTTACTTTGCGGTCAGCTCTAGTGTTTATTATGCAACAATTCTAATTTCGAGGGAGAATAAAAGGAAATAGCTGTGATTTTCCAGACTCCCTTCTTGGGAAGCTCAGAACAGTGTCCTCAGTGAGTTTTCTTGACTATTGAACAGTCCATGTTAGAGCAGTTTATTAGTGCTTTTTAAGCTCCTTTATTTCTTACTTAATCCTTCCCTACATCCTTCTAAACAACAACTAAGACCTGGGCACTGACGTCTTGAAGCTGGGATCTTTAGATTTATTGCACTTTTTAATACGCTGATGGAAGCAAGAAGTTGGTTCTTAAAACTTTCCTTCCCAGATGTTTACCCTTTTCTTTCTGAACGTGGGAATTTAGAGGAAACTCATTCATTCTGACTGCCCATTTGGAATGTGTGATAATTTGGGCATGCCAAGCTGACATGGAACTTTGTATTTTCTATTAAAAATAGCTTTGCCAAGCACATTTCTAGTATCAGTAATGGAACTGTTTGGTCTCTTTCAGGGTAAAGGCCATTTGTAGCCACCATTTTTGGCAATGATATTTGTCTTAAGAAACAAGCATGATAGCCGGGTGCGGTGGCCACGTCTGTAATCCCAGCACTTTGGGAGGCCGAGGGGGGTGGATCACCTGAGGTCAGGAGTTTGAGACCAGCCTGGCCAACATGGTGAAACCCCTTCTCTACTAAAAATACAAAAATTTGCTGGGCATGGTGGTGCACACCTGTAATCCCAGCTACTCAGGAGGCTGAGGCAGGAGAATTGCTTGAACCTAGGAGGCGGCGGTTGCAGTAAGCCAAGATCGTGCCATTGCACTCCAGTCTAGGCAACAAGAGCGAAACTCTGCCTAAAAAGAAAAAGAAAAAGAAATAAGGATGATGCCAGGCATGGCGGCTTACACCTGTAATTCCAGGGCTTTGGGAGGCCAAGGCAGGTGGATGGCTTGAGCCTAGAAGTTCGAGACTAGCCTGGGCAATAGTGAGACCCTGTCTCTACAAAAACAAAAACAATACAAAAATTAGCCGGGCATGGTGGCACACACCTGTAGTCCCAGCTACTCGAGAGGCTGAGGTGGGAGGATCCCTTGAGCCTGGGAGGTGGAGGTTGCAATGAGCTGAGATCATGCCACTGCACTCCAGCCTGGGCATTAAAGCAAGGCTGTGTTTCAAAAAAAAAAAAAAAGAAAAAATGAAATAAACATGCTAAAATTGATAATAATTTTTACCTATTTGCTTAAAATTTGCTACAATATATAGTACTCAGTTTCTTCTCTTGTCAGAGTTACTAATGATGTTACAAGAAAAAAAATCCACCAACCTTTTTTTTTTTTTTGAGACGGAGTCCTGCTCTGTTGCCCAGACTGGAGTGCAGTGGCTCGATCTTGGCTCATTGCAAGCTCCGCCTCCCAGGTTCACACCCCCACCATTCTTTTAATGTTTTATAACAGTGAGACATTTCAATTCCCTCTGGGCAAATTAATGAGATAGGATCAATGTCAGTGTCAGTCCTTATAACTGAGGAACTCCTACAGATTGCATTTTTCCCTTGAAGTATAAATTTTGGTATTCTTTTTATTTCCTGTCCTTCATTCAAGGAGACAGATTTTATGCTGAAAGATGTGTGTTTTCCTATTCCATGCCTTTAATACTCATGAAACAGTAAAAGAAGTAAACTTAATTAAGCCTCTCATAATGTAACCAGAGTCCACTAGATGATATTCTCTAGGGTACAAGACGGAAGGAATCCCAGAAGCACGTAAGGTGGCCCCAAATTAAAGAAGGTATTAAATTTTAAGTGCAAGATATAAATGCTTCCCTATTCATTACCTAAGGGGGTGACAAAGAATAAAAGAATAAACTAGGTGAAAACTCATTCCTTCAAACTGATGCTTCATTTTTATAAAGAGAAAAGAACACCCGTCCGTTACCTCAAGTTTTTCATTAACTCAGTAGTTCTTTCCAAACCATGAGTCACCGCTGTGGGGAACAACTCAGACCTTTTTTAAAAATCCTGCCTGAAAAAGAGAATATGTCGGGTGGGTGGTTTTAAAAGTCCCAAATAATGGCTGTTTTATAGCTAGTAGCCCACTGTTGTTAAAACCTCACAGCGTCTCTTCTCCCCAGGCATGACGGAGATGGTGCGTAAAATTACTCTGAGCAGAGCAGTGAGAACCATGCAGAATCTCTTTCCTGAGGAGTACAACTTCTACCCTCGCTCATGGATTCTGCCTGACGAGTTCCAGCTCTTTGTTGCTCAGGTAGATGGCACTCCGTCCCCATGACCCCTGAATTATATTATGCTTGCAACTGTGTCCTGGGTCCTGTGTGCTGGGAGCTGGGACAGGGGGTCCCAGGGAGCTGCGACTAAGGGAGCATCTTAACAGTACACAGTAGGTGTTGGCAGCTATCAAAACAGCTTGCAGAGTTGAACGAGTAGGGTGACAGGTAGGTAAACTGAAGAAACGGGTCTTGACACAAGGAGACAGCCCTAAGGCGGATATCAAAACTGGATCATGGAGTCAGGACGCTGGGGAGCCAGGGAGCTGGAGCCGGAGCAGGTGGCTGGGCCCCCAAGTAGGATGGGGCCGCTGGGGGAATCCTAGAGCCGTGGCCTCGCCGGCTTCCTGTGGCCTGAGATGTGGGAGGTCAGGCTCTGTTTAAAGGCCAGGGAGCAGGTCTGACAAACTCATGGGGAACCTTTTCAGTGTTTTGCTTTAAACTTGTTCCAGAATCAATTGTCAAGTGACCCATTCCATCTCGAAGCACCAGGTTTGAGCATGTAATACACTGGAGCCCTCACCACTGATTGTGAAGTGGAACTCAGAACTGCCATTTTTGTTAGCCTTTTAACAGTTTCATTTAGGACCCCTTCAAAGCCTTTGTGTACAAGTTTCACAGTCTGTCCCATAACTCTGGGGTGACTATACAACCAATGCCTGTCTAATTGTGATAAGGCTAACACCATTTACTGGTCCTGCTATGTTCCAGGCTTTGTGCTAGAAGTTTAACATATTTTATTTATTTTTATTTTTGTGTTTTTGAGACGGAGTGTTGCTCTGTTGCCTAGGCCAGAGTGCAGTCGTGAGATCTTGGCTTACTGCAGCTTCCACCTCCTGGGTTCAAGCCATTCTCCTGCCTCAGCCTTCTGAGTAGCTGGGACTACAGGCGGGTGCCACCACACCGGCTTTTTTTTTTTTTTTTTTTGTATTTTTTGTATTTTTGGTAGAGATGGTGTTTCACCATGTTGGCCAGGCTGGTCTCGATCTCCTGACCTCAAGTGATCTGCCCGCCTCAGCCTCCCAAAGTGCTGCGATTATAGGCATGAGCCACCACGCCCAGCCCACATTATTTCTTTTAATCTTCATAGCAATCTTGTGAGGCTGGTTTTATTATTATCCCCATTTTATGGATGAGGAAACTGAGGCTTTGAAAAATTTAGCAACTTGCTTGAGAAGTAAGGTTTAAAACCTAGAGCTATTTCCAAGGCATATGCTTTCTGAGTCTATTTTATTGCCTCTGTATTGTTTTGGTTTTAATATTGAATTATAAAACTTGTAATAAAATTATCATTTACTAAACACAAAAACAGCTTGAAGTGATAATTTTTAAAGGAAGTTTTCTCTGAGATGGTGGTCACATGGGTTTATATACATTGCTTAAAATTCATCGAACTATTAACTTAAAATGGGTGCATTTAATTGTATGCAAACTATGCTTCAATAAAGTTAATTTTAAAAGATAACTCTCAGCTGTTCCTCATAATTACCCCCCCCCCCCCAATGTCTCTCTTCTGTGGCTCTGCTCATGCTGTTGTTGCTATGTGGAATACCTTTCCTTCCCAGCTTTGCATCCAACTACAGTCATGAGTCACTTGACGGGCACACATTCTGAGAAAAGTGTCATTGGGTGATTTCATCATTGTGCCAACACCATAGAGTGTGCTTACACAAGCCTAGATGGTATAGGCTCCTACACATCCAGGCTATACGGTATAGCCTATCGCTCCTAGGATACAAACCTGTATAGCATGGTACTGGACTTAATATTGGTAAGTCTTTTTTGTATCTAAACATAGAAAGGGGAAAATACTGTATAAAAGATGAAAAATGATACACCTATGTAGGATACTTCCCATGAATGGAGCTTGCAGGACTAGAAGTTGCTCTGGGTGAGTCTGTGAGTGAATGGTAAGGGAATGTGAAGGCCTAGGACATTATACTACTGCAGACTTCAGAAACACTGTACACTTAGGCTACACTAAATCTATTTTTAAAAAATTTTCTTCGATAAATTAGCCTTAGCTTACTGTAACTTTTTACTTTCTAAACTTTTTATTTTTTAAAAACCTTTTAGACTCTTTTGTAATAACACTTAGCTTAAAACACACACTGTACAGCTGTACAAAAAAAATTTCCTTATATTCTTATTCCCTAAGCCTTTTTCTATGTTTAAATGTTAAAATTATTTTTACTTTTAGAATTTTTTGTTAGAAAACCAAGACACAAACACATACCTTCGCCTAGGCCTACACGGGGTCAGGATCATCAATATCACTGTCTTCCACCTCCACTTCTTATCCCACTGGAAGGTCTTCAAGGAGCAGTAACATGCGTAGGGCTGTCATATCCTATGATAACAGTGCTTTCTTCTGGAATACCTCCTGAAGAACCTGCCTGAGGCTATCCTACAGTCAACTTTTTTTTTTAGAAGTAGAAGGAGTACACTCTAAAATAACAATAAAAAGTATACTATAGTAAATACAGAAGCTAGTAACGTAGTAGTTTATTATCATTATCAAGTATTCTGTACAGTGCATAATTGTATTATACTGCACTTTTATACAACTGGCAGTGCAGTAGGTTTGTTGACACCTGCAACACCACAAACATGAGTAATGCACTGTGCTACAAAACTAAGATCACTGATTTTTAAATCTTAAAACAAATTTCTTTCTAGGCACTGCTATGGATACATCTCAGGAATTTTTGTATGTTACATTTTCATTATAATTCAGTTGAAAATGTTCTCTAATTTCCCTTGGGATTTCTCCTCTGCCCATGGGTTATGTAGAAATGTGTTGTTTACTTTTTAAGTCATTTGCGGACTTTCCAAATATTTTTTGTATGATTTCTAATTTAATTTTGTTGACATCAGAGAGTATATTCTGTATTATCTCAGTCTCTTTAAATTTGTTGAGAGTTTTCTAATGGCTTACACATTGTCCATCTTGATGAGTGTTTCATGGCCCTGGGAAATAATAAGTATTCTGGAGTTGTTGATGTAGCATCTTATAAGTGTCAATTAGGCCAAGTTGCTATTGGTGGTATTCACATCTTTTTTACTACTTTACTACTTACTAGTTCTATCAGTTACTAAGTTAGTGTTGAAATTTCCAGCTTTAATTTTGGATTGTCTGCTTCTCTTTTTAGTTCTGTCAGTGTTTTCCTCATGCATTTTGAAGCTCCGTTATTAGCTTGATGATTTGACTCCTTTATCAGTAACTTGTCCTGAAGTCTATTTTGTCTGATATTAATTTAGCACCTCCAGTTTTCTTTGGCTTAGTATTTGCATGGTATATCTTTTTACCATTATTTTACTTTTAACCTATCTGCATTTTTAAAGAGTGCTTCTTGTTGGCAGCATGAAACTGAGTATGGTCTTTTATTCAGTTTGACAGTCTCTGCCTTTTGATTTGTGTGTTTAGTCCAGTTAATCTTAATATGTAATACTAACTGTTGGATTCAAGTCTACCATCTTACTATTTCTTTTCTATTTATTCTGTTGGATTAATTGAATATTTTTAGTGTTTTATTTTATCTCTTCTTTCGGCTTATTAGCTATACTTCTTTTAAAAATCTTTTTAGTTTTCACCCTAGCCCTAGTATCTAGGGTTTACAATGCATCTTTAACTTACCACATTGGCCTTTAAGTATTACATACTTCAAGTAACATATTAGCGCCTTACAGCAGTATAGTTCCATTCCCGCCCTCATCCTTTGTGCTATCGTCATCTGTTTTACTTCTAACAATATTATAAACCACACAATACATTGTTATTATTTTTGCTCTAAAAAGTCAATTATCCTATAAAGAAACTAAAAGATTAGTACATTTGTCTTTTATACTCACTCATGTATTTACTATTTCCAGCATTCTTCATTCCTTTGAATGGCTCTGGGATTCCATTTGGTATTATTTTCCTCTGGCCTCAAGAATTTGCATCAACACATTTCTCACAGTGCAGGTCTGCTGGTGACAAATTCCCTCAGCTTTCATTTGTCTGAAAATGTCTTTATTTTGCCTTCAGTTTTTAAACTGCTTTGAAATAATTTAAAACTCAACAAAAAAGTTGCAAAAATAGGACAGAGAGAGCACCCCAAATTCTTCATCTAACTTCCTCTAATGTTAACATCTTACACAGTGACTGAAACTAGGAAATTAACATTGATATAATATGAAATAACCTATGCTCTTTATTTGCATTTTGCCTGTTGTCCTACTAATGTCCTTTTTCTGGTACAGGATTCACTCCATGATCCCTCATTGCATTTAGTTGTCATTTCTCCCCAGTCTTCTCTAGGTTGTAATGGTTCCCTGGTCTTTGTCTTTTGTGACCTTGACTCTTTTGAAGAGTACTGGTGATACAGTTTGGATCTGTGTCCCCACCAAATCTCATGTTGAATTGTAATTCCCCTGTGTTGGAGGTGAGGCCTGGTGGGAGGTGATTGGATCATGGGGACAGATTTCC
The DNA here is from genome assembly GCF_000001405.40 of Homo sapiens. Taxonomy (NCBI): domain Eukaryota; kingdom Metazoa; phylum Chordata; class Mammalia; order Primates; family Hominidae; genus Homo; species Homo sapiens. Next base: position 122,027,232 of record NC_000009.12, on the reverse strand, counting down.
CCCCTTGGTGTTGCATAGTGATAGAGTTCTCATGAGATCTGGTTGTTTAAAAGTGTGTAGCACCTCCCTCCTTTCTCTCTTGCTCCTGCTCCAGCAACCTAAGATGTGCCTGCTTTCCTTTTGCCTTCTGCCACGATTGAGAGTTTCCTGAAGCCTCCCCAGAAGCCAAGCAGGTGCCACCATCATGCTTCCTGTACAGCCTGTGGAACTGTGATCCAATTAAACCTCTTTTCTTTATAAATTACCCAGTCTCAGGTATTTCTTTATAGCAGTGTGAGAACAGTCTAATACGACTGGCTAGTTTTTTTTTTTTTTTTTTTTTTAGAATGAACTTACATTTGGATTTGTCTGATTTTTCTCATGTTAGATTCAGATTAGACATTTTTGGCAAGAACACCATGAAAGTGATGTTGCTAAGTACATGATGTCAAGATGTCTTATCCCTGGTGATGTTAACTTTGATCACTTAGTTAAAGTAGTGTCTGCTAGATTTCTCCACTATAAAGTTACTATTTTTTTCCTTTTTAATTACTAAGTGTCTAGTAAGGAGATATTTTGAGACTCTGCAGAGAGCCTAGTTGTCTTATACTTTTTAACAGACAGCTTTATTGAGATATAATCGACATAGAATAAACTACAGATATTTAGAATGTACAGTTTTATACATTTCATATATGTAAAAATCCGTGAAATCATCACCACAATCAAGATAATGAACATATGCATCATGCTGAAATTTTTCCTCGTGTCCCTTTGTAATCCTTCTGTCCTTCCCTTCTTTTTTTTTTTTTTTTTGAAATGGAGTCTTGCTCTGTTGCCCAGGCTGGAGTGCAGTGGCGTGATCTTGGCTCACTACAACCTCCACCTCCCAGGTTCAAGCAATTCTCCTGCCTCAGCCTCCTGAGTAGCTGAGATTACAGGTATGTGCCACCATGTCCAGCTAATTTTTGTATTTTTATTACAGATGGGTTTCACCATGTTGGCCAGGCTGGTCTCCAACTCCTGACCTCAAGTGATCCGCCTGCCTCAGCCTCCCAAATTGTTGGGATTATAGACATGAGCCACCACGCCCAGCCCCTCCTTCGCTTCTTCCCTCTTTTCCTCCTCTCCTATCATCAGGCAACAGTGGATCCACTTTCTGTCAAGATAACTTTGCACTTTGTAGAATTTTATGTAAATGGCATTATATAACAGGCACTCCTTTTTCGGGGGAGGTCTGGCTTCTTTCAGTTATTTTGAGATTCATCCATATTTGTAGTATGTATCAATACTTCATTGCCAAGGAGTATTCTATTGAATGTTTATACCACAGTTTGCTTAGACCTTCACCTGCTGCAGGACATTTGGGTTGATTCCAGTTTTCTGGCTGTTACAAATACACCATGAACACCTGTGGTAAGTCTTTGCGTGGACATGTTTTCATTCTTCCTGGGTGAATGCTTAAAAATTGAATTGCTGGATCATATAGTAGGTGCATATTTAATTTTAAAGAAAGTATTGTCTTCCAAAGTAGTTGTGTCATTTTATCATCCCATCAACAATGTATGAACATTCCAATTCCTCCATATCTTTGCCAGAATTTGGTAATGGTCAGTCTATTTATTTATTTACTTAAGAGTGGGTCTTGCTCTGTCCCCCAGGATGGAGTGCAGTGGCCCGATCACAGCTCACTGCAGCCTCCATCTCCCAGGCTCAAGCGATCCTCCCAAGTAGCTGGAACTACAGGCACAGGCCACCACACCTGGCTAATTTTTGTATTTTTTGTAAAAACAGGGTTTCACCATGTTGCCCAGGCTGGTCTTGAACTCCTGAGCTCAAGCGATCCACCTGCCTCGGCCTCCAAAAGTGCTGGGATTACAGGCGTGAGCCACTGCTCCTGTCTGTCACCTTACAGGGCCAGTGGTCAGTCTTTTTAATTTTAGCCATTCTAATAGGTATGTAGTGACCTGTCATCAGTTGTATTTTGCACTTCCTAAAGACTAATGATGTGGAGCTTTCTTTTCATGTGCTTGTTTGCCATCCAGATATATTTTTTGATGAAATGTCTGTTCACATGTTTTGCCTATTTTTTTTTAATTGGGTTGTTTATTTTTATTATTGAGCTTTGAGAATTTTTATATATTTTGAATACAGGTGTTTATGAGATATACCAATTGTAAATATTTTCTTCCAGTCTGTGCCTTTTTTTATTTTTTAATTTTTAATATTTGTGTCTACATAGTAGGTACATATACTTATGGGGTATGTGAGATGTCTTCTCATTCTCTTATTATCCTTTGAAAAGCAAGTTTTTAATTTTGACAAAGTCCAATTTATCAATTTTTTAATAGATCATGCTTTTTGTGTCATATATAGGAATTTATATCTAACCCAAGCTCACAAAGATATTCTGCTATGTTTTTGTCTAAAAGTTCTATAGTTTTAGCTTTCGAATTTAGGTCTGTGATTCATTTTGAGTTAATTTTTGTATATGGTGTAAGGTATGGGTTGAAGTTCACTTTTTTGCATACGAATATCCAGTTGTTCCAGAAACATTTGATCAGAACACTAATCTTTCTCTTCCAAATTGCCTTTGCACCAGTGTCAAAAACAGTTATCCAAATATGTGTAGGTATATTTCTGAATTCTGTATTCTGTGTCTTTGATCTATTTGTCTCTCTTTCTGCCAAAACCTCACTGTTTTGATATAGCTTTATAAGCCTTGAAATCAGGTAGTGTAAGCTCTCCAACTTTGTTCATCTTTTTCAAAGTTGTTTTGGCTATTGTAGTCTTTGATCAGCCATATGAAATATAGAATCAGCTTGTCAATGTCTACAAAAAAGCCCACTGGGATTTTGAATGGAATTGTGCTGAATCTATATATCACTTTGAGTAGAATCAACATCTTAACAATGAGTCTTCTGACCCATTGACATGGTGTATCTTTCCTTTTATTTAGGTCTTTAATTTCTTTGAACAGTGTTTTTTAGTTTTTAGCGTACAAGTATTTCACATCTTTTGTCACAATTTTCCCTTATGATTTCCAATTTTTGATATATTGGCAGTGTTTTATTTTTAAACTTCCATTTCTAATTGTTCATTGTATGTAAAAATAAAATTGCTTTTTGTGTATTGATCTTGTATCCTGCAACCTTGTTAAACTTATTTAACAGTTCTAGTAGCTTATTTTGTACTTCCACTGGATTTTCTATATGGACTATTACATCCTCTGAGAATTGAATGGTTTTGTCTTACTTTGTAATTAGCCGTTTATTTCTTTTTCTTGCCTTATGGCACTGGCTAGAACCTCCAAATAATGTTAAGTAGAAGTGGTGTGAACAGATGTCCGGGACTTTTTCCTGATCTTAGGGGTTATGGATTTCGTCTTTCATCATTAAGTATTGTTGTTAGTTGTAGGTTTCTTGTAGATGTTCTTTATCAGATTGATGAAGTTTCCTTTTATTTCTTGTTTCCATGGATTTTGTTTGTTTTTAATTAGGAATGGATGTAGGATTTTGTCACTCTTTTTTTTTTCCCTGTGTCTACTGAGATGATCATATGGATCTTCTTTTTTAGCTTGTTAATGTGGTTGAGTTACATTGGTTGATTTTTAAATATTAAACAAACCCTGCATCCCTAAGACAAACTCCACTTAGTCATAACATATTATCCTTTTTATATATTGTGGAATTTTGATTTACTAAAATGTTCTTTATTTGCATCTATATTCATGAGGGATATTGGTTTGCATTTTTATTTTTATTTTTTTGTAATGTCTTTGGTTCGTTATCAGGATAATGCTGGCCACACAGAATGAATTATAAAATATTTTCTACTTTTAAATTTTCTAGAAGAGTTTTTTCAGAGTTGGTATTATTTCTTTAAATGTTTGGTAAAATTCACTAGGGAAATCATGTGAGCTTGGTATTTTCTTTGTGGGAAACTTTTAACTACAAATTCAATTTCTTTGATAGATATAGGCTGTTCATATTATCTATTTCTTCTTGAATGAGCTTTAATAGTTTGTTTTCAAGAAATTTGTCTACTTTTTCTAAGTTTTCACTTGTATTGGTGTAAAATGATTCATAATGTTACCTTTAGTAATCTGCCTTTACCTTTACTAATGATACCTCTTAGTCCTAACATTTGTAATCTGTGTTTTTTATTTTTCTTTTTTTCCCTCTGCTCAGTCTGTTTAGAAGTTTTCAGTTTTATTGATTTCCTTTGTTGGCATAATAGCTATAGTTGTTTTGTTTTTAGTGGTTCCTTTAAAATTTATGGTATACATTTTTGAGTTATCACAATCTACCTTTAAGTTATATAGTACTATTTTATTTATAGTATGAGAACCTTATAACACTCATAGTACTTCCATTTTCCCACACCTAGCTTTTATGCTGTTGTTTTTATACATTTTACTTTTATACTTATTATAAACTCCAGACTACATTGTTATCATTTTTGTTTTAACAATCAACTCTATTTTAAAGAGATTTAAATAACAAGATGAAATAATTTTAAATATTTACTCATATATTTACCATTTCCAGTGTTCTGTATTTTTTTGTGTAGATTCACATTTCTGTCAGGTATCATTTTTCTTTTGTGTAAATAACTTTCTGTAGCATTTCATGCAGTGAGGGTCTTTTGGTGATGAATTCTCTCAACTTTTATATTTCTTGAAATTTATTTTGCCTTTGGTTTTGGATGATATTTTCTCTAGGTGTAGAATTCTAGGTGGACATTTTGTTTTTCTTTCAGCACTTTTAATATATTGCTCTTCTGTCTTCTTGCTTATATTGTTTCTGAAAAGAAATCTGTTTTCTTCCTTATTTTTGATCTTCTTTATATAACATTCTTTTTCTCTTGCTGCTTTTAATATTTTTTCTTTATCATTGGTGTTGAACAATTTGATTATGATGTGTCTTGATGTAATTTTCTTTTATATTTCTCATGTTAAAGCTCATGTTTCTCATTGAGCTTTTGGACCTGTGGGTTTATAATTTTAATAAAATTTGGAAAATATTTGCCCATTATTTCTTCAGATTTTTTTTCTATGCCTCTTCACTTCTACTTCACTCTAATTACGTACATATTAGTACATCTGAAGTTGTCCCACAGTTCACTGATGTTCTGTTCATTTAAAAAAATCATTCTGTTTCATTTTGGAGAGTTTCTGTTGTTTTGTCTTCACATTCACTCATTTTTTTCATTCTTGTCGAATAATCCCATTCAATCTCTTATCTCACATATTGTAGTTTTTATTTCTAAACATGAGAGTTGAGTCTTTTTAACTATCTTCCATATTTCTACTTAACTTTTTGAACATATGGAATGCATTATAATCACTCTCATAATGTCACTGTCTCCTAATTCTAACTCTGTCCATTCTGAGTTGGTTTTGATTTTTCTCTTCATTGTGGCCCATATCACGATGTTTTTTTCATGTCTGGGAGTTTCTAGCTGGGTGACAGATATAGTGAATCTTACCTTATTTGGATGTTGGATATTTCCATATTCCTGCACATATTCTTGAACTTTGTTGTAAGATCCAGTTCAGTTACTTGGAAATAGATTTCAGGTCTATTTCAAGATTTTCAAGATTTGTTAAGCAGGACTGGAGTGGTACTCAGTCTAAGGCTTACTATTCCTCACTACTCAAGCAACAGTCTTATGTGTGCTCTACCCAGTGCTCCATGAATCATGTTTTCTAGTCTGGCTGGTGAGAAAGACACTACTCCTGGCTCTGTGTGAACACCAGGCACTGCTACCTCTGCTTTTTTGGGGGTGTTTTTCAGGTAGTTTGGCCTTGGGTAGTTTCCTCACGTGCATGCTGATCTGTACCTAGCAAAACATTTAAGGAAGACGCTCCAGAGTTCTCTGTACAAAAGTGTCCTTCCCAGTACTCTGTCCTGAGAACCCTGGCTATCTCAGTCTTCCCTGACTCACAGTTCCATTTTCTCAACTCAGGGCGTCCACTGGGCTTCACCAAGGTCCTACTGGGGCACTCTGCACTGCAGCCTGGAATCTTTCTCAAGGCAGTAATCTGAGGCAATCCTAGGGTTCACATCGTTCAATTCCTATCTCTCAGGAATCACTGTCCTTTGTTGCTTCATATCCAGGTCTTCAAAACTGTTAACATATTTTGTCTACTTTTTGGTTGCTCGAGCGATGCGGGGCAAGAGTCAATCTAGTTTCTGTTATTACACTTTGGCTGAAAGTGGAAGTTCTCTAAAAGAATGACTACATAACAATAACAATAGCAACATTTGCTGAGTGTTTTTATCTAGACTACTGTTTTAGGAAGTTTGGGCTGCTACAATTGAATATCATAAACTGGGTGACGAATAACAAACTTTTTTTTCTCACAGTTTCGAAGGCTGGAAATCCAAGATCAGCATGCCAGCATGGTTGGGTTCTGGTGAGGGCCCTCTTCCTGGTTTATAGCTGGTCACCTTCTCATTGTTTGCCTACCTGGTAGAGAGAAAGGACTAGCTGCCTTCCTCCTCTTATAAGGACACTAGTCCCATCGTGTGGGGTCCACCTCCATGCTCTAATTGCCCTCCAAAGAGCCTACCTCTTAAAACCATCCCCTTGGGGGTTAGGGTTTCAATATCTGAATGCAGAGGTGGGGTGGGAACACAAGCATATAGTCCATAACAATTACCTAATTTAAAATTCTTTAGCAACCCTCGCAGGATTCTTCTATTATTCATAGGAGAGGAAACTGAAGTACAGAGAGGTTAAGTCATTTGGCAGGGTTAACACAGTTTGGAAGACTGGCTTCAGTGCCAGTACTTTTCCCTTCTGTGTAATAATGTGGGAGGATATTTAAATAGAAGTGTGTATAAGGTACAGAAATGTTCCAGAGAAAAGGAGTAAAACTTTGTTGGTGATGGGGAGCAGGGTTGGACAGGGCTGAGGGCAAATGGAATAGAGGGAGAGAAAAAGCTTCCTGAGTAGTGGTGACACCTGACCTGATTTTGTATAATGAGTTTACCTGGCAGACCAGCCACAGAAGAGCATTCTACCTAAAAACAATAGCTTGTGCAAAGGTACGAAGTCATGAAATAGTATGGCATTTTGGAATGATGAGCAGTGTGGAGTCACTAAAGTTTAAGAGAAAAGGATTTAGGGCAGGCATGGCGGCTTACAGCTTGTATTAGTTTGCTTTCATGCTGCTGTTAAAGACATACCTGGGACTGGGTAATTTATGAAGAAAAAGAGGTTTAATGGACTCACAGTTCCACATGGCTGGGGATGCCTCACAATCATGGCAGAAGGCGAAAGGCACATCTTATATGGTGACAGGCAAGAGAGACTATGAGAACCAAGTGAAAAGGGAAACCCCTTATAAAACAGTCAGATCTTGTGAGACTTATTCACTACCATGAGAACAGTATGGGGGAAACTGCCCCTATGATTCAGTTATCTCCCACTGGGTCCCTCCTACAATACATGGGAATTATAGGAGCTACAATTCAAGATAAGATTTGGGTGGGGACACAGCCAAACCGTATCATGCCTGTAATCCCAGCACTCTGGGAGGCTGAGGCAGGCAGATTGCTTGAGTCCAGGAGTTCGAGACCAGCCTGGGCAACATGACGAAACCCTGTCTCTACTAAAAATATGAACGATTTACCGGGTGTGGTGGTATGTGTCTGTAGTCCCACCTACTCGGGAGGCTGATGTGGGAGAATCACCTGAGCCCAGGAGGTCGAGGCTGCAGTGGGCCAAGATCATGCCACTGCATTCCAGTCTGGGCAAACAGAGTGAAACCTTGTCTCAAAAAAATAATAAAAATAAATGAAAAGGATCTGACCCCAGATGAGATTTGAGAAGGAGAGGGTAGATCACAGAGGGTCTTGAATGCCAAGGTAAAGCGCTTATCAAGGGGAAGCCATGCAGGGGTTTTAAGTGCAGAGGGGAGAGGTATATTATCAAGTTTTAGTATTAGAAAGGTGATCTGTTGGAGAGGATAGCGTAGATTGGGAAGGAGGAGAAATGAGACCTATTAGAAAGGCTGTTCTATTCATCTAGGCAGAAGAGATGCTGAAGGTTGTATGGAGACACTCAGGCAGGAATCTTAGGCAGAGAAAGATCAGAGGTGAGTAATATTTGGAAGTTGGCATCAATGGGATTTGGAGACTGATAGAATTGAGGGTGAAGAAGAAGGCAGACTTGGTGCTTTCAGGAGTCTGCTGGGTCACCATTTGCCAAGATGGGAAACCCAAGAGGAGGAGCGGGTTTAGTGGAGAAGAAGGAAAGTTAACTCCTTGGAGATGGCAAGTGTTTGTTGCTCAAGTATTGACTGCCTGATTTTAGCTGTTCGGGGAGTCTCTTTTCTCAGCAGTAAAACAGGGAGACTGAGTTAGGTGACTGCTCTGGTCTTCCCGCTTTAGCGTTCTAAGCCCTGAAGTTTCAAAGCCCATTTGATTGATGCTGAAAGTCCTCAGGACTGGATAGTTCTCTAATATAAAGGAGGATTTCTTTGTCCACATAGTGAAGTCAATTTGAAAACTGCTAGTTTAGGGCCTGGCGCATACAGAATAAGACTCTGAAAACCCCACAGTAGTCATTTGCTGGAGCGCCCTGGCACCATCATCTCTTCCTTACAGGATCTTGGTTCCCTCTCCTCGACTCAGTCCCATTTCTTCATCTCTTGAATATGAAAGTGATCCTAGCCTTAGAGCAAGTGAGCATCCAGTGAGTCTGTGATGATGAAATGCAATGAATGCCATGTCTCCTGCTTCTGAAGCAAAGCATCACATTTCATCGCATGTGATGATGAAACACTTTATTAGCTGCAAACCTGATTTTTTAAGAATATGGCATTATTACTGGCCGGGCGCGGTGGCTCATGCCTGTAATCCCAGCACTTTGGGAGGCCGAGGCGGGCAGATCATGAAGTCAGGAGATTGAGACCACCCTAGCTAACACGGTGAAACCTCGTCTCTACTAAAAGTACAAAAAATTAGCCAGGCGTGGTGGCGGGCGCCTGTAGTCCCAGCTACTCGGGAGGCTGAGGCAGAAGAATGACGTGAACCCAGGAGGTAGAGCTTGCAGTGAGTGGAGATTGAGCCACTGCACTCCAGCCTGGGCAACAGTGCAAGACTCTGTCTCAAAAAAAAAAAAAAAAAAAAAGTGGCATTATTATTTTAGTAGCTCCTTTGTTTTAATACAATGCATTGATAGTAAAAATTCAATTAGTATAGGCATGTGAAAGTAAAAAGTAGAAAAAAGTCCCCATTCTTCAGAAATTGCTTTTGTTTAGTGTGTATCCTTTCAACCTTTTCCTGTGTATAAACAAATATAGCTATAACACACAGAGCTGTTTTTTCTTTAAAAAGGCTTCTTTTTTCTTTAAAAACATGGGATTATTCTATCCATTCTTTTCTTTAGCCTTCATTTTCTCCCATTGAATGTGCGTAGGACATCTCGCCATGCCAGTGCTGCATAGATGCATTATGACTTTAAAAATCCTTACCCTGTTGGCTGGGCACGGTGGCTCACGCCTGTAATCCCAGCACTTTGGAAGGCCAAGACAGGCAGATCACAAGGTCAGGAGTTCGAGACCAGCCTAGCCAACATGGTGAAACCCCTTCTCTACTAAAAATACAAAAATTAGCTGGGCATGGTGGTGGGTGCCTGTAATCCCAGCTACTCGGGAGGCTGAGGCAGGAGAATTGTTTGAAACAGGAAGACGGAGGTTGCAGTGAGCCAAGATCGCACCTCTGCACTCCAGTCTGGGTAATGTGGGTCTCAAAAAAAAAAAAAAAAAGCCTCACCCTGTTGTTGATGAACATTGAGATATTCTCATATTTTTTGGTTCAACAAATGATGCTGAAGGGAATATCCTCGCACAGGTATCTTTATACACCTGTGCCAGCATCTCCTTTGGATAGATATCTCAAAGTGGAATTGACATACTAAAGAATATAATGCATTGACGTTTTTGACGGGTGAAAGCCAAACACGGGGCTTTATTAGAGGTAGTGCACTTAATCCTGAGGGTAAAACAATGTCCTGACAGTGCCTCAGAAGTGAGGTCTCAGAGGTGTGTGCATGCAGGGGCTTTGCTTTGTGGTTCCTGGCAACAACAGGAAGAAGTGTGAGTTTCTGTAAAACAACGGAAAACCTGACACTTTGTAGGTTATTTCTTACATTAATTAGGATTAAGTTTATTTCATTAAAGAAAGAGGGAGACCCATGTTACCCTGCTCTTCATTTGCAAAACCGGTACTCAAATGTGATCAGCAGGTGGCACCAGGCGGAAGCGAGTGGGATTCTCAGTGAAAATTTTTGTGAAGAGTCGAGGCGGATGCAGCCTTTCCAATTTTAGCAGATGGCCAATAAAAAAATTCCTTAGAGTTTATTTTGCATATGGTCTTCCATCTGGGTATTTGAGAAAAGTACAGTTTTGTTATCAAAACAGTATTTATTATGGTGAAAGAGTTTGTATTTCTCAGCAGAAGAATTTTTCACTGAATATAGCCAAAAACCTGTTCAATAATGTTTTGCAGTTTCTTGGAGGGAAGCAGCAAGCATGAGATTCTTCCATTTTCCTCTCCAGTTACCATCCCAAGTTAGTGTTTATTGATTCAGCTCCTCAAGGCTGAATGAAGTGCATTATTTGCAAAAACCCCCAGAGAACAACGTCCTCCGCTGGGTTTAGGAACCAGGAAAATGTGGCATTATAAGTGGGTCAGAGTCAAGGCAGAAAGAAAACTTGCAGTGTGAAGTGTATATTCTTTGTCCTGATTCCACATTTATCAAATAACCTTCCGGTAAATCTATTAGTCACATCATTTTCCTTCCTGTAGACAATGTGCTGATTTGACCGACTTTGGGTAACCCACTGGTTTATCAAAAAGATGCAGTTTAAACTCCTGCACACGCCTTATAGAGCCCTTGCCAACCTCGGCAGCTACGCTTGTCCCCATTTCTGAACTCTTCCTCCTGGGTCCTTCCATATTTAACCTTTTATTAGATACTCAATGGCATCAAGACCTCTCTTACCTCTGACTGCCCTTCTTTTTGCCTGGAGCACCCATCTTCTTTCTTTGCACCCCACTGCCACTTCCAAGCTGCTGCTTTTCACCTGACAATTTTGTTAGTTTTTCGGACCCCCTGCTTAGCTTTAACTTTCTCTATAAAGCCTACTCTGCCCCCGACGTCTGGAGCAAGTTCTCAACAACACCTTGTTGTTTTTCTTTTCATGGTACTTATGCTAATTACACTGTCTAGTGACTACCTGTTTAATTACCTCTCCCTCCTACTGTAAGTTCCACAAGGCAGTGACCAGATGGGTTTCATTCATCATTATCTCCCCAGTGCCTATCACAGTGCCTGGCACACAGTAGGAACTCAAATATATTTGCCAAATTGAGTTGCAAATTAATATACATATGCTGTGGTTTACTTTCTTTCTTTTTTTTTTTTTTTTGTCTCTTTTGAGTTTAGTCATCAAAAGTTAGCCTCTTTGAGGCCAGGGGTATCTGCAGGACCCAGCTTGTCACTTCACAACAGGGTGGGCCAGGCTCGGAGCATGAGAAACTTACCAAAGTGATGCCGTCCGGTGGGAGCGCCAGGTGGCCACCAGCCAGCCTTTCCCTGGTGATGACCCAACCTTCAGCCACACACATCGCCCTCACACGTCTGCAGTAAGCCTGGGAAGTAACATGGAGAATGCAGTGTCTCCTGCTTCTGAAGCACGGCATCCCTGGAGGCCGATGCAGTGGCCCTGGGTTCTGGCGCATAACTAGTAAAGGAGTAAAGACAGAAGTGAGGGGACTCCAGCTGTCAGAAGAAGGCAGATGGTTCAAAGCGGCTGGCAAGGACTCCATAGGAGCCATGGTTTCACCTCCCCATCTGCTTCCAGTGTTATTTCCTTTGTTGCCAAAAATAGAACTTCACCTCCTGCTTGGATGTATTATACTGTTCTTGTGCCCCTTGCTTAACAGTTCAATGTGTTAACTGGGAAAACGATATCATCTGAAACTCAAGATGCTGCTCCCCTCTGGAAAGTATATTTTCCTCTCTGGAAAACATACTTAGGTCCTGTTCATCAGGAAGTCCTTTTAAACAGCCCAAATGACGACTGGCATCTGTGTTGTGCTTGCAGTTTACCAAATGATTTTTATATACATGACCTCTTTTATCTTCACTCAGTTTGGGAAGGTATCATGATCTCTGATTTACAAATGAGGAAATAAAGGATCAGAATCACAGGTACTTGCTCCCGGTTATACAACTGCTGGTGTACTCAGATATTCTTATGTGGTTTAGTGCAATCGTTTCCCGAGGCCTGCTAAGTGCCAAGTGCTGTGGATACAAAACAAGTTAGAAATCCCCTTGCCCTCAGGATTTCTGGTAGAGGAAGGTGACCATTCATTCATTCAGTTGGACATTTATAGGGTCTACATCCCGTCATCTTTCCACTACATCATGTTCTTATTCATCATCTTATAGATGAGGAAGCTGAGATTCAGAGGGTTGAGTAACTGGCCCACAGTCCCATGGCCTATAGGTTCATGTAGCTGGGACTAAGACCCACATCTTCTGACTCTGTCACAGTTTCCTTTAGTGTGAACAAATATTTACTAAGTGCCCTTTATATGTCCAGCCCTGGCAGACTGGGGAGTCAGACAAAACATATAGTCTTGGCTTCCAATGAAGGGTCCTGCTTAGCAGAGGAGACGGATGGTCCAAGCTGGGATGGAATTAAACACAGGCACTATGGAAACCAGCATAACATGGAGTGGGGAAGGTGGGAAGGTGGAGAAGTCAGGAAAAGTTCCTATGCAGTCATTTCAAGTGAAATGAAACACTGAACTGGAGTTAGGAGACAGAGGTTCAAGTCTTTTTATTTTATTTCATTTTTATTTTTTTGAGACAGTCTTGCTGTGTCTCCCAGGCTGGAGTGCAGTGGTACGATCTCGGCTCACTGCAACCTCTGCCTCCTGGGTTCGAGCAATTTTCCTGCCTCAGCCTCCTGAGTAGCTGAGATTACAGGCCTGCGCCACCATGCCCAGCTAATTTTTGTATTTTTAGTAGAGACAGGGTTTTGCTATGTTGGCCAGGCTGCTCTCGAACTCCTGGCCTTAAGTGATCTGCCCACCTCTGCCTCCCAAAGTACTGGGATTACAGGTGTGAGCCACGTGCCTGACCATAGGTTCAAGTCAGGACTCTACCTTTTCACTGACTATGAGACCCTGGCCAAGTCATCTAGCCTTCCCCCACCCGCCAAGGCTTCTTCAGTGCCTCTTCTGCAAAAGGAGGAGATTGTAGATTTTCACTAAGATCCCTTTCTTCTAATTTTTTGTGATTCTCTGGGTTTGGCTTTCCTGGACTTTCATAAAACTCTTCATTGGAGTTAAAATTCTGCACAAGTTTCTGCTGCCAGGGTTTCAGTTGGAGCACAAAGGGCTTTATGTAATCCATCATCATCTTGCTAATGCTGGGGTCAGTGTAGCCTGGGGCTCAGCATCACAGCCAATAATGAAGGCTACGGTATGGCTGCCTCTGTGGGGCTGGCTGTGGCAACCCCCAGGCAATCGCAATTCCTTTATCTCAGCTTCACCCCCTCCCAGGTGAGGAACTGAAGCTGTATCTGCACATTCCTGCACAATCCCTGTGGTGTGATTCGCTGAGACTAGCAGATATTGGCTAAGCCAAGGCATCCTTCCTGTTGGCTCCTTCTGAAGGCCATTCAGAAAGATTCATATCTATCAAGGTTCTCACACTTCTTGACTGTTGCCCTTGCCGCCATTTCCTCTGTTGGGAGACCCTTCCTCCTCTTCTTCACTGCACAAACCTTTGCTACGTATCCTTGTTCAGAGCCGATGTCTCCAAATCTGTGAAGGCCCTTTCTGATACTTCCTCCCCTACTCCACCTCCTATACCCCTGCTGCCTTGAATGTGGGATAGTTGACCACTCTGTCCTCTGATCCCAATCCTGTACTCTCTCAATTATAGGACCCTAAAATATGCTATTTGCAGTGTTCCAGGCTGAGAGACAGTGAGGCAAGGGTTTGGGGTCAGAATAGACCTGGGTTGAAATCCTTTCTTCATTACTTCCTAAGTGTATCCCTCGGGTAAGTTAATTACTCTGAGCCTCAATTTCCTCATCTGTAGCATCAGAGGTTTGCTAGGAGAATCACACTCTATCCCCTCACTAAGTGGACATTTACTTATCTGCTCTCCCTGTTAAACTGGGGGTCCCTTGAGGAACTGGAATCTGGTCAGATTTATTTCTGCTCCCCAGTGCCCAACACAAAGGGGACCCTCAGGTGTATGTGTGAAATGAATGAATATTAAGAAAGGATTTGCAGTTTCAAATGGAAATCTAAGCTGGAGCTAAGAATGCTTAGACAAAGTGTTCTGGGTCTTCATGGCTTTTTGAAAATGTGGAAATGAATATATTTTAATTTTTAATAAAAATCTGATCTTGAGATGAATTATCTCATTATATGATGATAGATCACTTAGGAGAAGAAAAGAGCTAAGACTTCTTTTTGACTGAATTGTATCCCTGTTTGGCTTAACTTGGTGTGTGTGTGTGTGTGTGTGTGTGCGTGTGTGTGTGTGTATGTGTATTTTTTCCTCCTGCCAGAGACAGTCCTGTGCAATAACACTTCTCATACTAGGAGCTTATTGTTTAATTTTCTAAACTTCAATTTGCCCCCAATACATTTAATGTTTTAAATCACAAGTATTACAATCTTGCTACCTTGCCGTACTGATTTATTATGTGGAATTTTGAGATGAATACGATCATTAGAGGGCCACTGCTTTAATATGCTTTTTTTTTTCTCTCTCTCTCTAATGGCAAGCTTTTAAAAAGAAAAAGTAGGAGAAGTAAACATTTTTCTGGGACAGTCTATTTTAAAGGTCAAGAAAACCTTGCTTCCCCAAAGGAAGTTAAAGGTCATCTTTCACCCTTCAATTTTTGTCCTTTCATTTCATTTTGCAAAAGTTCTTAGTGATGTAGCCTGAGTCACTTGACTAGAGATGTCTAATTTTCTACGAGAAAAGAGCAGAGCCAATCTTGACTTCAATGCCTATTTCAAAAGGAAATTATAAAAATTGCTCTGCTCTACCCTTTTTCCTCATCTCCAAAGAAAGAAAGAAATCTCTCCTATTCTGTTTCTTGTTCAACTTCTTTTCTGTGTAATTGTATCTTGGAGGGGTTCTAATGAAAGGCAAAGCAAAGTAGAGATTTGAATTTAGAAAGGTGATGTAATCAAATTTTCTGGCCTTGCTAATGAAAGGATTCTCTTGTCCTTTCCCCTCACGCAAACATGCACCCTCTTCTCCCACCTTCCTTCTGAAATTAACCCTGTACATTTGCTAGAAGGATTAGAAGAATAAGATAAAAGGATATGTTTGGCTAGAATATATCGATAACAGTTCTTCTCTGTGTGTTTGGACCTAAGGATCCCTTCTTTTTCTTTTAGCTTTTTATTTTGACATAATTTTGGACTTACTGATAAATTGTAAGAATAATACAAATAATTTCTACATATCCTCCATGCAACCCCAGATGTTAACATTGATGTCTGCCGTCTCTCTCCTTTTTGAGAGTATGTTGCATACATGATGTTCCTATATGTACCCCTAACCACTTCTGTGTGTATTTCTGAAAAATAAGAGCACTTTCTTTCATAACCAGTGTCATTATCAAAATCATGAAATCAACAGCTATCTAGTATTATCATTTTCAGAATTTATTCAGATTTTAAAATTGTAATTTTTTATATATTGACTAGGGTTATTTAAAAACACACACTAGTTATGGGGCATACATCACATGCTCTGGCTATAATCGTGAATACATTATATACTTTTTTTCTTATTTAATTCTCACATTACACCTATAAGATGGATACTCTTATTACCTCCATTTTATAAATAAGGAGAATAAAATAAGGCTATATTAGTCTGTTTTCATGCTACTGATAAAGACATACCTGAGACTGAGTAATTTATTAAGAAAAAGAGGTTTAATGGACTCATAGTTCCATGTGTCTGGGGAGGCCTCACAATCGTGGCGGAAGGCAAAAGGTACATCTTACATGGTGGCAGGCAAGTGAGAATGAGAGCCATGAGAAAGGAGAAACTCCTTGTAAAACCATCAGCTCTGATAAGACTTATTCACTACCACAAGAACAGTATGGGGAAAACTGACCCCATGATTCAATTATCTCCTACCAGGTCCCTCCTGTGACATGTGAGAATTATGGGAGCTACAGTTCAAGATGAGATTTGGGTAGGGACACAGCAAAACCATATCAAAGGCTTAGAGAGTTCAAGTGCCATGCCCAAGCTTACGCATTCCTCTCTAGGTACTTAGCAGGTACTAACAACCATTAGGTGGCAGATCTTGCTTTGAATCATGACCTATCAGACACTGAAAGCCATATTTTTAACTATCATGTAAACTACAACTCTGATTTTGAGGACATTTTGGCAGATTTCAGTTCTAGAGAGAATTACCTTGGAAATAACCTATTAAATGTAAACAGATGTGATATGGAATATTCAAATGCCCATGGAAAGCTGTCCTTCGATTGGATACATTTGTCAATACAGCTAACAATACTATATTTGAATGCTTGTTTTTGTAGCAGCATAACTAATGGTTAGATGTCCCTCCATTGCAGAGGATGGCAAACTTCCTGTAAAAGCCAGATAGTAACTCTTTTCAGCTTTGTAGGTCATAGAGTCTCTGTCATAAATACTCAGCTCTGCTGTTGGAGTGTGAAAGCAGACATAGACCATCCATACGTAAATGAGAAAACTTTCTTTACAAAACAGGCACTGGTATACTTGAACCACGCTCCAAAGTTTGCCAGCCCCTGAGATAGAGGGCTGAAATAATCTCACTTCATTGAGGAGGCTCTAAAGGGGTGTTACAATTGCAGCAAGAAAAAATAGATGTATTTTCGTTTTAAGCAATACCTGAATCTCATTTTTATAAAGGGAGGGAGTCGACATGGTTTTCATTTTCACTTAATACAACTTTCATTGTGTGTCAGTTGTATTAAATGATGATTAAGAGGAAAGAGACTTGTGTTAAATGATAAAGGTAATTTATAAGGAAGAATGAACTGTCAGATTAACTAAACATT
Source organism: Homo sapiens (assembly GCF_000001405.40). Classification (NCBI taxonomy): domain Eukaryota; kingdom Metazoa; phylum Chordata; class Mammalia; order Primates; family Hominidae; genus Homo; species Homo sapiens. The sequence goes on along the minus strand of NC_000009.12, from coordinate 122,010,121 downwards.
AGAAGGCACTTCAGAGGCAATATTAATACATGAAATAATGTTAAGAAAAACATAATAAAGCTCAATACTAGTCTATTTATACAGGTTTAATGACCACGTAGGATACAGTTTCTCTTGGAGAGATACAAAGACAAAGAGGAAGGTGGAAAAAGAGAAACAAATATTAGAGAATTAAATTTAGTTTATGGGAAATTATATGATTATTTATTAAAATTATATATAGTAGCCATCTCTAGAGATAGCAAAGAAGAAAATAGATCAGCCTTCATGGACTGGATTTAGATTTCTAACTATCTGAAATCATGGAATGGATTCATATAACCCCTTGAAATTAGTACATCTCTATTATTCTATAGTTTTATGAAGCAGACACTAAAATGGCTATGTGTGTATACAAAGTCATATATATATTTTAAACTTTTATTTAAAGTCATATATATATATATACAACATTCATTCTTCTCTGGACAGTATATAGTATTATATATGTGCATATATGTGTTCTTTATGTATATCTACTTATATATAGTGTTTATATAGTAAATGTGTTTATGTACACATTATGGTATATAGAGTACATACATATATGTCTACATATATACTATACAGAGAATAGAGAACAATAAGTAATGTACAGGTAAATATTTATGCATCATTCATTTTATTAGATTTTCACATCAAAAAAGCTGGTGAAGTTAACAGTGAGTAGATATTAAAAATTTTTTAAATTTTAATAAATTTGTATTTTTATTGTTTACTTAATAAAATTATCATTTTGTTATGTTAAAATAAATATTTAATTGGCAAATAAAAAATGTATGTATTTATCATGTACAACATGTTGTTTTGAAATATGCATACATTATGGAATGGCTAAATTGAGCTAATTAACATGCAGATTACCTCACATATATATCATTTTTGTTTGTGGTGAGAACACTTAATATCTACTCTCTTAGTAGCAATTTTCAAGAATACAATACATTGTTATTAACTATACTCACCATGTTGTACAATAGATCTCTTGAACTTATTCCTCTAATCTAACTGAAATTTTGTATCCTTTGACAAATAGCTCCCCAATGCCCCTAGCCCCTGGTAACCCTCATTCTATTCTCTACTTCTGTGTGTTCAACTTATTTAGATTCCACAGATAAGTGAGATCATGCAGTATTTGTCTTTCTGTGCCTGGCTTATTTCGCTTAACGTCCTTCAGGTTCATCCAAGTTGTTGCAAATGACAGGATTTCCTTCTTTCTTAAGGCTGAACTATATTCCATTGTGTAGACATGCCACATTTTCTTCATTCATTCACCCGCGACGGACACAGGTTGATTCCGTATCTTGGCTATCGCAAATCATGCTGCAATAAGCACGGGAGTGCGGATCTCTCTTCAACATATTGGTTTCATTTCCTTTGGATAAAAACCCAGTAGGATTTCTGGATCATGATGGGTAGTTCTATTTTTAGTTTTTTTGTTTTCCATAATGGCCATACTAATTTACCTTCCCACCAACAGTGTGCAAAGGTTCCCTTTTCTCCACATCATCGCCAAGATCATGTCTTTTTGATAATAGCTGTTCTAACAGGTGACAGCTCATTGGGTTATTAATTTGCAGTTCTCTGATGATTAGTGATTCTGAGCATTTTTTCATATCCCATTGGCCATTTGTATGTTTTCTTTAGACAAATATCTATTCAGATTCTTTGCCCATTCTTTAATAGGGTTATTTGTTTTCTTACTACTGAGCTGAGTACCTTATATATTTTGGATATTAACCCTTTATCAGATGTCTGGTTTGCAAATATTTTCTCCCATTCCATAGGTTGTCTCTTTATTTGGTCGACTGTTTCCCATTCAGATTTTGACAATTATCCAAATAATGTATAGCAAAAGAAGGTCCTGGATTGTGCATCACATTTGGTTGTTGTGTCTTTTTAGTCTCCTTCAATCTGGAAGAATTTCTCAGTCTTTCTTTGTGTTTCATGACATTGGTATTTTTGATGAGCACAGGCTACTTAGTACACTGCCCCTCAATTTGGGTTTGTCTGGGGTTTCCTCAGTATTAGATCCAGGATACACATTTTTGGCAGGAGTACCACAGAAGCAACATTGTGTTTTTCTCGTGGGTATCATATCTGGAGGCACATGATGTCCTTCTGTCTTATTACTGGTAATGTCAACTTTAATCATTTGGCTAAGGTGGTGTCTGCCAGATTTTCATGGAAAAGTTGCTATTTTCCCCTTTCTAATTAGTAAGTATCTTGTGGGAAGATACTTTAAGACTACGTAATGTCCTGTTACTCCTCAGACTTTCCCCCGCCTCCAAGTCTTCACCTCTGTTAAGGATTCTTGCCTGAATCGGTTATTATTGTGATGTTGCCAATTAGTGATTATCTACCTCTATCTTCCCTTCTGCATTTGTTAGCTGAGTTTCTACTAAAAGGGAGAGCTTTGCCTTCTGATTTAACTATCTATGTATGTGTGCATGCCTGTTAGTGTGCACTCATGGATTCTTACTTTATTCTGTGGGTTATAATATTTTACCATCAATATCTATTTTGATGCTCAAATTTATTTGAGATTTGGCCATGGGGGCCTGAATCCTTTTTTTTTTCTTTTCTTTTTTCTTTTTTTTTTTTTTTGAGATGGAATTTCACTCTTGTTGCCCAGGCTGGAGTGCAGCGGCGTGATCTTGGCTCACTGCAACCTCTGCCTCCCGGGTTCAAGTGATTCTCCTGCCTCAGCCTCCTACAGGCGTCCGCCACCACACCCAGCTAATTTTTTTGTATTTTTAGTAGAGACAGGGTCATTTTCTGAGCACCCTTTTACTTCTGCCACAACAAGACATTCCAGGCTTTTCTTATACTTTTCCTGCCCTGCCCTGGACTCAGCCAATTCTCCAAGAAAGCCTGGTTTCTTTTCATGAGTGCCAGGTGTGCTTATTGCTACAGGGGTGTCATTCCAGTGCCCTCTCCCCTACTTTTAATCCAAATTATTTGTGATATTCTGTTTAGTATCCTGAAATGAAATATAAGCAACCTATACATGTAGTTAAAATAAAAACAACCCCACCCTAAATGCTTGCTAAAGCAGAAAAATAAGGAAAAGTTTTTTTTTTTTTTTTTTTTTTTTTTTTGACAGAGTATCTCGCTCTGCCACCGAGGAGTGGAGTGGCTTGATCTTGGCTCACTGCAGCCTCCGCCTCCCAGTTTCAAGACACTGTCATGCCTCAGCCTCCAGAGTAGCTGGAATTACAGGCGTGTGCCACCACACCTGGCTAATTTTTGTATTTTTATTAAAGATGAGGTTTCATCATGATGGCCAGGCTGGTCTTGAACCTCCTGGCCTCAAGTAATCTTCCCGCCTTGGCCTCCCAAAGTGCTGGGATTACAGGTGTGAGCCACCACATGTGGCCAGAAAAGCTCTTTATAATGAAATGCTATACAATTCAATAAGTAAATGCTTTGGCACCGTTATACTCTGTGACATAATAAAGTGGTCAGATGCTACCACTACCTATAATGAATAAGTTTAGATATAAGAAAAGTGAGACAATATTTGATTAGTTATTATAGTCTCTCTAATATTTCTTCATATGTAACATTTTGAACTATTTTCCTATATAATCACTGGGTGTTGTATGAGTGACTCAAATACCATGGTCCGCAATATCATTAGTGATGTGATGTTTCTGAAATATCAAATAAACTAAAAAAAAATCCAGAAAAAAAAAGCAAAATGTAATTTCTCTCTTTACATAATTCTTTTTTTTTTTTTGAGATAGTCTCACTCTGTTACCCAGGCTGGAGAGTGCAGTGGTGCCATCTCAGCTCACTGCAGCCTCTGCCTCCTGGGATCAAGCAATTCTTCTGCTTCAGCCTCCTGAGTAGTTGGGATTTCAGGCACCCGCCACCATGCCTGGCTAATTTTTGTATTTTTAGTAGAGACAGGGGTTTCACCATGTTGGCCAGGCTGGTCTCGAACTCCTGACCTCAAGTGATCCACCCGCCTTGGCCTCCTAAAGTGCTGGGATTACAGGCGTGAGCCGCTGTGCCTGGCCCTTATTTACATGATTCTTATATTCTTGGAATATTGTGATACTCAGTTTGAACCTTGTAAAAACACTTTATATGTAACATGGAGTTAGAGTCTAGGCTGTCTTCATGTTATATACAGATAGATTATTCACCTTTATTAAGGTGTGGCAGGACTGCCCAGCTCATGGCTGTCTGTGTGGCACTCCAGGCCTCTGCCCAGTAATAACTTCCATACATTGTGACAGTGAGAAACACCCCTGGAAATTTCCAAAACCCTCCCTAGGTGGCAGTACCAGCTCCACTGAGTTACACGGATGGATCCTTCTGGAGCAGAAGGATTTTCATCTCTCTTCCTTGAAGAACATGTTGTTATATTGCTGGAGGGCATTTGATTTTTGACACATTCCAGAATTATGTTTAATACTACTGGTTTGCCTGATTCCCACTTAATTTCTGAATCAGAATGGACCTGGTCTGTCTCCCTGCCTGGCTGGGGAAGTGGCCTGAGTTCATTGCCAGGGTAGCCAGAACTTGTGTGCAGAGAGGGCACCAGCAAGAAGGTTTGTGACCTCTTAGCCCAATGCCACCCTGCAGGCAACCTTATCATAACCCTTGTTCTTTAGAGAGTGTGTAGGATCTTGGAAGCCCTGAGCAGAATTATCAATGGGGTTATTCATACAGATGCCTCCATCGTACAGATAAGGAAACTGAGACCCAGAGAGGGAAAGAGACTTGGCTGAGTCACATAGCAAGTCAGACACTAATTGGGCCTTGAGTTGAAGTCAGTACCAACAAATAACCTAATCTTAGGGGTTGGAAAGGACCTGAGAGACCATCCAGGCCACTCCCCCGCCGAGTGAATCCCCTCCGCACCCGGACAGATGATCAGGCTCCAGCCTGTACTTGATCATCTTCAGAAACGGGCAATTTACTATTTCTCAAGGTACTTTGTCACATGACAGGACTGCTCTTTTAAAATATTCCTGAGTTGACACGTTTCTCCCTGTGTCTCATCCTCCTTTCTGTCCTCTCTGGGAGCAGTTAGGCCCTCTTGATCCCAGGGACATGGGTGTTACCTATAGCCCCTATGAGAACCCTTTAGAAATGCCAAAATTGTATCCATGTCTCCTGGGCTTTCTTCAGTCTCTGGCATTGTACTTGGCACTGAGAGTATTGTGCTGAACCAAGCTGATGTGGTTCTTGTCTTTGTGGAGCTTTTATTACAGTAGGAAGGCAAAGACTACTCAAGTGTGAGCAGGTACACTGAGGCTCACTGCCCCATGGCCTCCGCCAACGTGGTGTCATGGAAAGACTTGGGCCCTGGGGCTGGCCAGACTGCATTTGATTCCATCCACGGTGACATATGTGGCCTTGCAGTACTGCTTTCAGTCTATCAAACTCAAATAATCGCTATCTCATAAGGGCGTTGGAAAGATGAACGAGAGAGTATTAATAAGAATGCTGTATTGGGAGGCTGAGGTGGGTGGATCACCTGAGGTCAGGAGTTTGAGACCAGCCTGACCAACATGGTGAAACACTGTCTCTGCTAAAAAAAAATACAAAATTAGCTGGGCATGGTGGTGCATGCCTGTAATTCCAGCTACTTGGGAGGCTGAGGCAGGAGAAGTGCTTGAACCTGGGAGGTGTAGGTTGCAGTGAACAGAGATCGCACCATTGCACTCCAGCCTGGGCAATAAGAGTGAAACCCAGTCTCAAAAAAAAAAAAATGCTGTAAAGCATTCAGCATCCTGATGCTCAATGCATATTAGTTTCTTTCTCTTTCTCTTTCCTTCCCCCAGTCTGACATGTTTGGAGCATCTTCCAGAAAGGGCTTCAAGCTCAGGACAAAATGATTTATCAGAGGAAAATCAGCCAGATTTATCTCTGCTGCTCTTGAATTTCACCCTTTGGTTAGATAACCATGAGGTACTTTTTATTTTTATTTTATTATTTTTTTTTGAGATGGAGTCTCACTCTGTCATCCAGGCTGGAGTGTAATGGCGTGGTCTCGGCTCACTGCAACCTCCGCCTCCTGGGTTCAAGCAGTTCTCCCACCTCAGCCTCCTGAGTAGCTGGGACTACAGGTGCGTGCCACCACACCCAGCCACTTTTTGTATTTTTGTATTTTTAGTAGAGACGGGGTTTCACTATGTTGGTCAGGAGTCTCAAACTCCTGACCTCATGATCCACCCACCTCGGCCTCCCAAAGTGCTGGGATTTTACAGGCATGAGCCACCATGCCTGGCCGAGACACTTTAAACATCATACAGGCAAAACATAAAGAAGGAATGTATGCAGCTGGGTGCGGTGGCTCATGCCTGTAATCCCAGCGCTTTGGGAGGCTGAGGCGGGTGGATCACGAGGTCAGGAGTTCGAGACCAGCCTGACCAACATAGAGAAACCCTGTCTCTACTAAAAATACAAGAAAATTAGCTGGGTGTGGTGGCAGGTGCCTGTAATCTCAGTTGCTCAGGAGGCTGAGGAAGGAGAATCGCTTGAACCTGGGAGGCAGAGGTTGCAGTGAGCCGAGATTGCACCACTGCACTATAGCCTAGGCGACAATGCGAGACTCCATCTCAAAAAAAAAAAAAAAAAAAGGAACGTATGCATATTTCGATTAAAGTTGAAGGCAAAAAAGTAAATGGTCTCACAGATTAATTGCTAAAATGTTATAATATATATTGACTAACGTCACCATTGACTAACATCACCATATCACCATATCTTATATATGACATTATAATCAGTCCACATTATTAATCTGAATATGTATGAGTGCCTATTGATGTCCCCCAAGTACATTATAATTTTAAAAGCATTCCCTGACCATGCAAGTCTGGGAAGTGCTGGACCGGAGAGGTTTTATGATCATCTCTCTTTGACAGATGAAGATATTGATGCTATTGAGTAACACATACCTTGCTATTTCTTATACATATTTCTTCTGTGGCTGTTTAGCTCATGGTATTCTATCTTGACATCCTGAAATAGCTGTCCTGTTGAGACTGTGGCATAGCTGTTCTGTCTTTGTGGGTCATAGGTGAGGTTTTCCTAAGCTGGGTGGACTTTCCAATGTCCGGTGGGTTGGCAGGGAGGCTCGACACGCTGGGGATCTCTTTTTTTTTTTTTTTTTTTTGAGACAGAGTCTCACTCTGTTGCCAGGCTGGAGTGCAGTGGTGTGCTCTCGGCTCACTGCAACCTCCACCTCCCAGGTTCAAGAGATTCTTCTGCCTCAGCCTCCCAAGTAGCTGGGACTATAGGCATGCGCCACCACGCCCAGCTAATTTTTGTAGTTTTAGTAGAGACGGGGGTTTCACCATGTTGGCCAGGATGGTCTCGATCTCTTGACCTCGTGATCCGCCTGCCTCAGCCTCCCAAAGTGCTGGGATTACAGGCATGAGCCACCGCACCCAGCCACTGGAGATCTCTTAAAGCTGAGCCTCCAGGGAATCTGGATGTTTTCCCAGGGGATGGGAAAACATTGCCTCTGCCATCTAAGAGCAAACTAAAGAGCTTTGTCATGCTGAGATGAGAGTATCCTGTAAACACAATTATCAGTGCTTTTCTCTGTATTTATTTCCCTTCTCCTCTCCTTGAGTCATTAATAAAATCTCAGAAGCTATGTCTATGGCTACAGGGGCCTAAGGAAAGAGTTGGAGCCCAGGTGTTGTCCAGAGCATTAAAGGGTATCAAAACTTCCCTCCCTGTCCTAAGACCGTTGTGGTCGTGGTAGTGGCTAGCGAGATATCCCCAAAGGGAAAGTAAATTTGGAAGAGCAGTCGGGGCATCTGTTTCCCCAAAGAGAGGCTGCCTTCAGTGTCCCTCTCTGATTTATTAAGGAAGCAGAGAGGTTTCCTTGCAAATGAACACCCAGGTGAAGTGACTGGCCAGAGGTCAGGAAGCAGGTGCCGGGCTAACATTTCCTGGGAGCCCATGAGAGGGGGCTTAGCCCAAGGTCCTGTTTTCCCGTGGCCACCTGATGCCATTGAAATGAAAGTTGGGGAAACAGGCAGTGTTGATTTAAGGAAACGTGGCTTCTGTAGCAGCCTCCAGTGGCACAGTAGGAGTTCCTTTGTAGAACTCAGCTCAGCTTGGCTTCCAACCAGCACACTCATTTAGAACACCCTGGAGTTTTAGGGTGATCAAAGGCATGTACAAGTAATTCCTTACATGTCAACACCTTCGTGCTTCTCCTTGAAATTTAAACCAGCAGTTGAAATCCAGAGGCTTGCAGCAGATCTTGTTCTCACTCTCATGGTGTAAATGATCAGGCTGAGTGTCCCGTTCCTGGGCAGGCATTTGGCTGCCCTGACCAGGCTCTCTGAGTGGCTGGGTGGGTGTTTAAAACTATCCTCTTGGTGTGTTGGTTTCCAGCCAGTTCTCTTTAGAGGTCAGAGCTGTTGCCCAGAAGCACCAGCTCTGCACTGCTGTCTCTGCCCACCCTGGGCTTGTGAACCTGATCCAAGCACAGGCTGTGCCGCTGGGACTCAGGGCGAGTGTCCATCTTGGCGACCTTGACCCCTGAAGTAGGCTTAGCTTCCCTGTCCCGCCCCCCCTTCCCCCTTCATGATTCCCACCCCCTGCCTCTTGGCTCACCACCTCCTGTGTGATCTGCAGGTCACCTGGCTTTGCTCAGTCTCAGATCCTTATTTGTAACATTATTAAGAACAGTGTTGCAGCTGGGTGCGGTGGCTCACGCCTGGAAGCCTGTAATCCCAACACTTTGGAAGGCCAAGGTGGGTGGATCACCTGAGGTCAGGAGTTGGAGACCAGCCTGTCCAACGTGGGGAAACCCCGTCTCTACTAAAAATACAAAAATTGGCCAGGTGTGTTGGTGCACGCCTGTAATCCCAGCTACTCGGGAGCCTGAGGCAGGAGAGTCACTTGAACCTCGGAGGCCGCAGTTGCAATGAGCCGAGATCACGCCATTGCACTCCAGCCTGGGCGACGAGTGAGACTCCATGTCAAGAAAACAAAAACCAAAAAACAGTGTTGCACACACATACACACAAACAAGGTACTGAAGAACAAAACAAAACAAAACCTGAAAAAGAAAAAAACCAATATCAGTAGATTTCTCATAACTTAGCTGTGGAGATTAAGTGAAATAACTATTGTAAGGCACCTTATAGGTGCCCATAAATGGTAGTTGTTACTGTTATGTATTACTGTTAATAACATTTTAAAGTGTAACCAGAAACGGGTCCTGATCCAGACCCCAGGAGAGGGTTCTTGTATCTCGTGCAAGAAAGAATTCAGGGCAAGTCCGTAAAGTAAAGTGGATGCAAGTTTATTAAGAAAGTAGACAAATAAAAGAATGGCTTCTCCATACAACAGCCCCGAGGGCAGCTGGTTGCCCATTTTATGGTTCTTGATGACATGCTAAACAAAGGGTGGATTATTCATGCCTCCATTTTTAGACCATATAGTGTAACTTCCTGACGTTGCCATGCCATTTGTAAACTGTCATGGCGCTGGTGGGAGTGTAGCAGTGAGGATGACCAGAGGTCACTCTTGTTGCCATCTTGGTTTTGGTGGGTTTCAGCTGGCTTCTTGACAGCAAGCTGTTTTATCAGCAAGGTCTTTTTTTTTTTTTTTTTTTTTTTTTTGCGACGGAGTCTCACTCTGTCACCCAGGCTGGAGTGCAGTGGTGAGATCTCGGCTCACTGCAAGCTCCGCCTACTGGGTTCACACCATTCTCCTGCCTCAGCCTCCAGAGTAGCTGGGACTACAGGTGCCCGCCACCACATCTGGCTAATATTTTTGTATTTTTAGTAGAGATGGGGTTTCACCGTGTTAGGCAGGATGGTCTTCATCTCCTGACCTCGTGATCCGCCTGCCTCGGCCTCTCAAAGTCCTGGGATTACAGGCGTGAGCCACTGCACCCAGCCATCACCAAGGTCTTTATGACCTGTATATTGTGCTGACCTCCTGTCTCATCCTGTGACTTAGAATGCCTTCACCTTCTGCGAATGCAGCACAGTAGGTTTTAGCCTCATTCTACCCAGATCCTATTTAAGATGGAGTGGCTCTGGTTCAAACACCTCTAATAAAAGTATTAAGATGTATTAATACTCTAAGTAATGTATTTAGGGCTGTGAGCATTCTTCTAGGAACTGATATGTGGACCTGAAGATGATATGATTTAGCAGAAAAAGTGTGGCCTTTGGAAATTTGAACACACACCCATGTTCAGATCCTGGCTCCCCAGGGTATAAAATGTGTGATTGGGGAAATAAATTACCCTGTAAATCTCAGTTTCCTTGCCTGTGATGGGGGCTGGTGGGTAATAATAATAGTATGAGGTTGAATCACATGCAAATGTGTGCACGCGCACGTGTGTGGGTGTGTGTGTAGCTGGGTTTGGCTTATAAAAATGACAGTTTGATGTGGCTCACCCTTTAATGCCTATCTCACAGGGTTGCTTATTAGAATGGAAACTAATGTATGGGAAGTGCCCAGCACAGAGCTTGTACTGCAGTCAGGTCACCTAGGAAGCTATTGCAGCAATTCAGGTGAGAAATGCTGAGACGATTCAGGGACTGTAAGGTGTGTTCAGATGGAGAAATGTCAATTTGATGACTGGGTGGGGGTGAGTGATGTGGGAGAAGGTGATCTCAGATCTCTGGCTTGGGGACATGGATGGATGGTGGTAATGTTTACTGTTAGAGGGAACACAGGAGGGGTAGATTTGAGAGAAAAGACAATGAGCTTAGTTTTGGACGTGTCATATTTGACATATCTCATTGTATGAGTCTGGAGCCCAAGAGAGGTACGCTCCAGAGATAGAGAGTGGGGAGTTATCTGCTTTTGGGGCATACTTTAACTGAAGTCCAGGAAGTGGTTGGCATCACCCAGGATTAGCGTTTGAAGAAATGTCACCTGTGATCCTGGATAGAACATGACAGCATTGAACCAAATGAGACAGAGGTGGGTTCCCATAAGCATTTACTGAGTCCGCCTCCATTAAGGCTCTTCCAGTGATAGCTGGGGATGTAGTGGGCAAGAGAATCGAGGGATGAGGGAAATACTGCCCCTGTCTTCAAGGAGTTAGCAGTGTAGTTAACTCTGCCACTTTTTTGTAGGATCTTGGAATATGGGGAGAAACCTCTAGTTACAAAGCCTAAAAATGAAAATTCTGGGTCGGGTACAGTGGCTCATGCCCATAATCTCAGCACTTTGGGAGGCTGGGGCAGGAGGACTGCTTGAGCTCAGGAGTTCGAGACTAGCCTGGGCAACATAGCAAGACAATAAACAAACAAACAAATGAATAAGTGAATGAAAATGCTATTGCCTGTCTTGTAGGATTAGATCTCATGTATACATATTGACGTGCCTAGTGCACTGCCTGGCACTGATCAATACTGCAATTGCTCAATACTGCAATTGAGCAATACTGCTAGTTTAGCGAAAAGAGCACTGGGAGGGAGGGCACCTTGTTTGAGTGTTGCAAAATAAGACATTGATATTCTTGCATTAAAAAAAAAAAAGTTTAGGCTGGGTGCGGTGCCTCACACCTGTAATCCCAGCACTTTGGGAGGTCGAGGCGGGTGGATCACTTGAGGTCAGGAGTTTGAGACCAGCCTGACCAACGTAGTGAAACTCCGTCTCTACTGAAATACAAAAATTAGCCGAATGTGGTGGCGGGTGCCTGTAATCCCAGCTACTCGGGAGGCTGAGGCACGAGAATCGCTTGAACCCAGGAGGCGGAGGTTGCAGTGAGCCGAGATCACGCCATTGCACTCCAGCCTGGGTGACAGAGCAAGACTTTGTCTCAAAAAAACAAAACAAACAAACAAAACAAAATGAAAAAAACCCTAAGCGACTTAATGTGTAAATTATGGCAGGACTGCAAGGGACATAGGACTGTGGTGTGGGGAAGGAGGAAAAGCTGGGCCCAGTGATCTGAAGCGCCTGTGACTATAACCAGTCGTATACATTCGGAAGTGAGCTGAAGATTATGTAGCCAGTTCATTAGCAGGAAATCCTCACTATTGGAAAAACAATTTTAGCTGCAAGGGGAGCTTACTCAGCAGTGGAGTGTTATGTTCCAGGCAGGCTCAGCTGTGATGTCTTCTGGGCTCTCAGTAGGAGACCTGGGGGAGGAGAATGAGGCTGTGGGCCAGGGAGACGAGGCAGGCTGTGGGCTGGACTCTGATGGGGTGGCCCCCAGGAGTTGGGAAATGAGAGGCTGACACCCAGGCAGACCCAGGAAACAGCCGAGTCTCAGGAGACGGGTCCCAGCCACCCATGGGCGAGCACTGGAGGATAGGATAGGATAGGCAGGAGCTGAGACTCCCTCCAAGTAGGTTGGAATGAGCCTCACCTGGGAATCTGATCACTTAGGAGGATGATCAGGAAACCAAGGCAGCCTAATACAAATTAAATGAAATGCTAAAAATAGTACCATAAGAGGGAGTAAGTAGCTTGGCCAAGGTCCTACAGCTAGGAAGTGGCTGAGCTGAGATCTGAACCCAGGTCTGCCTGACTCCGAAGCCCACGCCCTCTCTGCAGCTGCTGCTTGCAGACACCCAGTATGTGGACTCGGAGGAGGTAAAGGGAAGCTGCAGTCTGAGGGCCCCCACGTGCGCCTGTGTCACCCAGGGTCCTTAGGAAGCTAGGCTTTAGGCCAAGCAAGCTGGGCTTAGAACCCACATGGTAGGGGAATTAGGTGGGGCTGGACAGAGGCTGGCTGGGACTGCACTGTGGGGAAGGAGTGGGGAGGCCAGGCAGGGCTGACTCGCCAGGCTGTGTTCTCACTCCCCTCAGCTCCAGCAGTTAGGGGCAGGGTGTGAGAAGGGACCTGAGAGGAAAATGGAGAGTCTCACGGTACGACGGCCCTTCCTATCAAACAGGTTTCAGTGTCCCGGGCGTGTTCTAGAGAGGCTTTTTTGTTGCTCACTAATGATGGGTAGATTATGGCTCACAGAAGGCTGCTGTTCTCCAAAAGCAGGGTCCATTAAGTTGCATTGGCAGCAGGCTGGCATTGGGGTAAAGCATGTGGAGAGGCTCTTCCTTGCCCCTCAAGTTTTCTGAGCAGAAGCACCAGCTGCCTTGAGCAGCCGTGTGATGCTGTGTCCACCTCCACAGTGAACTTGAGAACATCTTCAAAGAAAGGGCAGCGTGGCCCAGAACTGACGCTTTACTTCCGCCTTCTAGCTAGATGACTGTAGATTTCTCACTGGACTCTCTGGGCCTCAATTTCCTCATTCTCCATAGAGTGGAGAGTTGGCAATTACATAAAGTAATATCTTTGCAGAGCATCAAAATTTATAATAGCAGCAAACAAATGTGTTCAGAACGAGAATGAAAGAGAGTACTTATTCCAAGGTTTCTTCTGAAAGATTTCTTCAGATCCCTGAATTAATTATGGTAGAAAGAGCTTAGGGTTGGATATCAGAAGATTTAATGTATTATTTAGGTTGGTGCAAAAGTAATTGTGGTTTTCACATACTTTCCCTAATAGTTCTGGTTCTGCTACTAGCTGTGTGGCCTTGGGCAAGTCTCCTTGCCCCTTGGCCTCAGTTTCTTTGTTTATAAAGTGTGTACGTGTGCATGTGTGTGCATGTGCTCGCATGTGTGTACTCTATACATGTGTGTGCATGTGTGTGTGTGTCTGTGTGTGTGTGTAGTGATGATTCCTTCCTGGACCTCAAAGGGCTGGTCATGAAGATATGGGGAAGCTCAATATGGAGAAGGACTTTGGGAAGGAAAAGATGTCTGTATAGAGGGTTGCAGGCCAGTTCTCAGAGGGAACTTCCCAAGGGACCATAGATGATGGGCAGGAGCTTTACAGGCAAAGAAAGGGCAGGAGGTCGGTGGAGGTCCAGGGAAAGCCGGTGTAAAGGCATAGAGGTGAGAGAGGACAGGAGGGAAGGGCAGGAAGTGAGACTGCCAGGGTGCATTGGTGCTGGCTGCCAAGGAAGGGAGGACCATCCAGGCCACTCGAGGAGTGCATGCAGGGGGTCAGCCCCAAATCCTCAGGGGTAATCGATGCCACTGCCCCAGTAAACTCAGGATACTCATCAGTGATAAGCCGAACAGGGTGCTTTCTTTGCTGCTTAGATTTTCTTAACTGGAACTCTTCAAAAGCCAGGGAGTGCTGAAAATGTTTGCCTGCACAGTGGCAGGCACTACTTCTCACGGGCCCGTGGTTCCCGCGCTCACCACGGAGCTTGAGAGGTCTGTTCGGATACCTGTGCTCCAGTTCGAGGTATGCGCCATCTGAGTTTAGAGTCTGAGTCTCATCCCTGTCGGACAGCAGCTCTTATTCTTTCCAAGCTTGGGAGAGTTGTTGTATCAGAATTAATCATCTGTAGGAGATATCGGACAACCTGGCCTGGTTCCGATGAACAGTAGAGGGCTTGCGGGATATTATAAAGTCCTAAATTAGCTCTGTCTGGAGTCGTGCAAATAATACTCATTAGATGAAGTGAATTCCTCCTCTCCTTGTCCCCACTTTCCTTCAATGAGACCTGCTCCTCTCCCTGTAGTCCCTAAATCTGTTAATGGTAACATCACCCCTCCCAAAATTGCTGAAGTCCCAAACCGTGAGCTCACCCATGACCCTTTCCTCTCTCGCCTTTCACATCTGTCCAGTCACCAGGTGCCCTGATTCTACCTCTTCTCTCAGCTCCCTATTTCAACCGCATTGTCCCTGCCCCAGCTCAGGCCTTTGGACCTTTGATAGCCTCGGGTCCTTCCTACACCTGGTTTCATTCCTTCCAAACTATCTTCCTCCTGGGTGCCCTGGTGATGCGTGGATGCATGTCCCTCGCCAGTTGAAACTCCATCCTTCGCCTGCAGATCGAGTATAAATACAGGGTGTTTGGGGTCTGTTCTGCCCGTTCCAGCCTCTGGCTCCCAGGTGCCCTCTTCTTCCTCTCTATCCTGTCTCTGGATAATCTGGCCCATTGCGAGGGCCTTGGCCATCCTTGGGGGCCTGACGACCCCAGATCTCTCTCCCAAGCTCCAGACACATTTCCCAGGGACCACAAACCTCTCTAGGTGCGTGCCCTCCAGGGTCCTCTGTGCAGCTCATCATCTTCCCACTGCCTCCCCTCTGCCTTTCCTCATTCCCTTATATTCCCTGTGACTACCTAGACATAGGGGGATTATCCTTTATGTTCCTGTCTCTCTCTCCCAGTCATCCAGTTTTGTTGATTTTAGCTCCAAAATATTTCCCAAACCTCTGTCCTTCCCTCTGACTCCACTGCAGCCTCAGTTTGGACTTTTCCTGTCTGCCCCAGACCATCCAACCACTTGGGTAAATTTTCTATGTGACAGCCTGAGGCATCATCCCATAATACACATCTAATTAAGTTGCTTTCTTCTCAAAACCTTTCAGGGAGTCCCCATCATTTTAGGACATTGCTCAAACTCTAAACCAACATTCAAGGGCCTTCCCTATGAGACTCTTACTTCCTAGCTAGGCCTGATCTTCCTCCATCCCCTTCTCATACATCTCTCATTCATTCTGGCATGGGCTCTGGAATCTGCCTGCCTGGGTTCAAATCCTGCCTTTGTGACCTATTGGCTGTGTAATCTTTGACAAATTACTTGACATCTCTGGGCCTCCCTCTCCCTATCTGTAAAATAGGATTGTTGTGAGGATTAAGTGAGATAATACCTCCAAAGTGCTTAGAACAGTGCCTGACCCATAATAAGTGCTCAGTAAGCGTGTGCTAATGTTATTATTATTATTCGTGGTGGTGGTATTATCTGGCCCCTGCCAATCTCACTAGTGGGATTTCCATGTGCATACCCCCTCCACCTCTTATGTTCTCCAGCCGTCGGAACTATCTACAGTTTCCCAGAAGTGTCCTGCCCGCTCCTGCCTTCATAACCCCCCACCGAAGCAGCACATCATCTGCCCAGGTCCTTCCTTTCTGCCCCACTGCTCTGTCTCCCACTCTGCCCCAACAGGCCATTCTTGCCCTTTCCATCTGGCCCTAGGTGACCTCACTGCAGACTGCCTTCCATCTTAAGTGGACTCAGAAATTGCCCTGAACATTGAGGTAGGAATTTGCCCTGGGTACCAGGCTCATATCCCTGAGGCTGGCAGGGGCTGGCCCTGCCTCCTGTCTGGCATGCACCGTGTGACACTGATTTTGTCTACCAGAGGCTTGTTTTTGCCTGAGATCTGTAGCGTGTACCTGTGACATCAAAGGTCTGAGTTGCTAAGATTGGATGCAAATCCACCTGAGTGACAAAGGACTGCCCTAACTGGTTTTGACTTCCCCAGTATTGCAGACACAGTATTTCTTCAGAAATTGGCCTCTTACCTGCCCCTCATTGCTAATAATGTTTTGTGGCTTGATATTCTAGTTGCTGAATTTCTCCCTCCAAACATTTTAGCTTGCTTCCTCCAAATGCCCTGCTGATTTCCTCAAATGCATCATAAATCTCAGACCCAAATCTCCTCCTCTTATAGATCATCCCAATGTGCTGATCCCAACAGCACAGCAGGAACTCTCCGACGTGATGAATGCCACTTGTGTGTTTGTAACGCAGCCTTCGACTGTGGTGATATCAAGATAAATCATGGTTCAGCATTTGCTCGCTGGCGGAAGCCAGGGACCTTAGTCTGACCCCTTTATTTTATAGGTGACTACAACAAAGCCCAGAAAGTTAGGTGACTTTCTCGAGGTCACACAGTCAGAAACAATTGGGACTAAAATCCAGATTTTCTGTTTTTCACTATAGTACTATCTCTAACTTACCAAAAGCTATGACTTAAAAAAATTAAAAATTAATCTTAAAATTTTGGTAAAATATACATGACAAGATTTACCAGATTAACCATTTTTAAATGTACATTGTATGTATGTTAAGTGTACAGTGGCATTAAGTACATTCACATTTTTGTACAACTATCATCCATGTCCAGAACTTATTTTATCTTGCAAAACTGAAACTCTGTACCCAATAATCATTAATTCTCCATTCCCTCCCACCCCAGCCCTGGAAAACACCATTGTAATTTCTGTCTCTATGAATTTGACTGCTCTAGGTACCTCATATAAGTGCATTCTTACTTACAGTATTTGTCTTTTTGGGTCTAGTTTATTTCACTTAGCATAGTATCCTCAGGATGCATCCATTTTGTGCCATGTGTGAGAATTTCTTTCCTTCTTAAGGCTGAATAATATTTCATTTGTAGTGGTGTTTCTTTAAGACCATTTTAATGTCTTAGTAGAGTATCTTACTGCTCAGTAGTGTTGGAATTTTGAACGGGGTGACTTTCCCAGTAGCGGTTTCTAAATGTCCACTAGGGGGCAGTAAAAGCCACATAAAGTTTTCAGTAGGCCCGCGGAGTGCCAGGCAATTAGGCCACCACCTCCTCTGTGTATCTCTTTCAGCCATCCGTGTATACCGTTACAAGGTAATGGATTTCAGGTCCAACAGCAGGTTTGGATAAAACTAGAGATACCATCAGTTGTAGCATAAGCGCGAGTCTTCCTCACACTCCAGCTAACACCAGTGCAGAATACTTCATTCAATATGTTGGTTTCAGATGGTATTTTTATTTAATTCACTTAGTCTAGTGATTCTCAGACAGAGTGCTCATCAGAATCACCTGCGGTGATTTTTCCAGAATACACATGCCCAGGTCTCATCTCAGATCGATTAAATCAGAATTGCTGAGGCTGGGGCCCAGGAATATCGATGATATTTTCATTCTGGTCCATGACTTCTTTTTAAGAGCCAACGTGTTACTTTTTAACTTTAATAACTGCTGGGAAAGGGTCATTCTTGAATAAACCTCAGAGGAGAGTGAATATGAATTCTGAAAAATGTTTCTCTTTTTAGGGTAGTAGTGGCGGAAGGGTCTGGTGGCTATGGGAACCACGTTCTGAACAATTGTGAGGGTTTCCTGTAAATCACACCTGCGCTTTAACAAGCAAGGAACCCAGACAGAAGATTTGAAACTGGGGCAGTCTGGCCAACTCAGGATCTACAGATATAGTTCCTGGATGGCCATACTCAGGGCCAAAATCTTTAGGGTGAGGCCAGAGTACAGACCTCAGTGCTGTCTGATACATTAGGAGGATCTTTCCTACAGTAAGCGGAGGAACAAGAGATCTTCAGTTTTATCTTAGAGGCAAAAATGGCACCGCAAACTTGAGGTGGGGTCGGGAGACCTCAGTTCTCATCCTGACCATACTGCCAGCCAGTTGTGGGACCCAAGGGAAGTCACGTCACCTCTCTGAGCCTCCGTTTCCCCCTTGACTTTTGAGAGTACTGGGTGATGATGATCCCTGAGGATTCTTCTAGTTCTAAAAATTCAATGATTCTATGAGTATTAATAATCTTGATTTGTATGGCACTATTCTGGCAAAGAGCAGAAGTATTCAGGAATCCAATGAGTGACGGAGACTATTGACCAGGTAGTTTAATTTATTTAAGGCATATACATGGAATTCAAAGGAGAAAATATTGCTCTGGATAATATATTGAACTGTTAGTGTCTTCGGCATAGCAAAAGCTTTCCAGAGGGAAAAATTTCCCATCAGTGCAAACTTGACATTTTTCACTTCCTGGTCCATAACTGCCATTTGTCCAGCACACTTATATTTACTGTAAAGGGCCAAGTGTACGAATGCTTTGGTTGAATATTAAATAACTACATAAACGTCAAGGTCACAGTTGCAAGAAAGCCTCAGTGGAAGGCCCTGGGAGGCTTGCATTGATCTCTTGTGAAGTTCCATTCTCGGATCCTGCTGACAAGGGGAAACAATTGATGTGGACCATTATTAAGGCTTTAAGTGTTTCTCCATTGTTAAAGATCTTTTACAAGCCCAGAATAAGTGATAGTGCCCAAGGAATTGGCAAAAGCTTTATTTAGAAATATAGGCTGGTCAAAGAGATAAGCGCAAGGCACAAGCCAGAGTGCAGATGTCCTGGCTTGGGCTTACACAGCAAAGGTGGAGAGCTGAGAGGAGTCTGTCACTGGGGCACCCACCAACTCAGCCTGCCAGGCACTGCTGTCAGATTTCAGAGGGGAACTTTCACACCAGAAGCTGCAGAGAGCATGGATCCCTCTTTCAAATCCACCCTTACATTTCCTCCAGCTTCTCTCTGCTTGTGAAAACCTCCTCTCCTGCCATTTCAGTCCATCCGCTCTCCATAGCTGCAGGAAGCACCTCACCAGCATCAGGGGCAATGGGGCGAGGATGAATTATGCAGACCCACAGGTCCAGATCGACTATCTGGACTGGTCAAGTGCCTGGATAGTTAATTATGTGAGTGTTCTGCTGACCTGGAGCTGGGAGGAGAGCAAATACTGTGGACGACGGGATCTTGTTTCAAAAAGATCTCAACAGATGGAAGGATTGGTCAGGTCTACCAGATGAACTTTAGAAGGGATGTAAACATAAAACAAACATTTCCTGTGCACTAGCTCAGCTCTGTGTTTGGTGTTGCGCTTGGCCCTTTGTACGTTTTAGTTTATTTCATCCTTACAACGACACAGTGAGGGTAGGTGTCTATATCCCCATTTTTAAAGTGAGGAAACCAAGACATGGTAGGATAGAGGAAGGTCCAAGGGCTTCAGTCATCAATCTAGATTCCAATCCCAATTCTGCCCCCGCGTTAGCTGGCAAGTCACTTCATCTTCTAAAAAGAGTGACAGCCAGGCTTTGGATTGTCTTTTATTTCTCAGGTTCTAGGTCCTTAGCCTCTTGCATTTATGATTGCATTTAATCCTCAAAACAACCTTTCTCCTATTTCACAGATGGAAAGGGTGTAGATAACTTAAGTCACTTGTCCAAGGCTGCAGGGTAAGGAGCAGGGCCAGTGTCTGAGCCCAGGCCATCTGACTCCAACACCCATGCCCTCAGCAACTGCTGTACCCTCTCTGTTCCTGACATAAAAAGACACAACCATATTTTCTGTGAGGGTTAGATGAGCTAATTAGGTAAGTGCCTGATATAGTGCCTGGCATTTCACAGGCGCTCATAAATGATATTAGCTCACCATCATTATCATTCTCAGCACTATTATTAGTTATATGACCTGTTCAAAGTGGTAGCTAATAACTGGCGAAACAGGATTTGAACCCAGGTCTTGTGACTGCCAGTCCACTACACTCTCCACCTCGCTCTGGAGCACAAGACTGGGGACAGTCCTGATGTCACCATCTCAGTACCTTGTGCAGTGTCATCTCCATGGAAGATGCTCAGCCCCTGCTCAGATCGGCAGGGATCATCTTGTCACTCATTCACCACACATTTGCTAAGGCCTTGCTCTGTGTTAGGGATCCAGAGGGAAAACAATATAATGTCGGCCATCCTTTTTTCCCCCTCCAGGTTCAAATGGTGAAAGACGATGACCCCTCCTGGAAGCCCACTTTTATCGTGAAACCTGATGGTGGTTGTCAGGGTGATGGAATCTACCTCATTAAAGACCCCAGTGACATCCGCCTGGCAGGGACCCTCCAGAGCAGGCCAGCGGTGGTCCAGGAGTACATCTGCAAACCTCTCCTTATCGACAAGCTCAAGTTTGATATTCGTCTGTATGTCTTACTCAAGTCCTTAGACCCCTTAGAGATTTATATAGCCAAAGACGGACTCTCTAGGTTTTGTACCGAGCCATATCAGGAGCCCACCCCCAAAAACCTGCACCGCATCTTTATGCACTTAACCAACTATTCACTGAACATCCACAGCGGCAACTTCATCCACTCGGACAGTGCTAGCACTGGCAGCAAAAGGACTTTTTCCAGCATCCTTTGTAGACTGTCTTCCAAAGGCGTTGACATCAAGAAGGTCTGGTCTGACATCATCTCCGTGGTGATTAAGACGGTCATCGCGCTGACTCCAGAGCTCAAAGTCTTCTACCAGTCAGACATCCCCACGGGGAGGCCGGGCCCCACGTGCTTCCAGGTAACCATTGCCAGTTCCCAGCCTGCGTTTCCAGCCTTGACCGGCCTCAAGAGGGCTCTCTGGCTTCGTGTAGGATGAGTGATCGGGGTGGGATGGCCAGAGGAGGGGACAGTGTTGGTGGTGCTGTGGGCTTGGGTGTTAAACCTGGGCCCAACTTCCAAGCTTTCTGTTTGCTCCCTGTGTGATTTGGGGCAAGCTACTTCCCCTCTGTTACCTGTAAAATGAAATGAAGAATACCTATCTTAAAAGGTTCTTGTAAGAATTAAATGAGATAACACATGTAAAGCAGAGTTTTACATTCATTCGTTTACTCATTCATTCATTCACTTACTCATTCAACAACCTTTGCCACATGCTTAGTAGCGGTCAGACATTGTCCTGGGTTCTATTGAGACAGCAAGTCAGGGCCTTGCTTGCTGATGCATAGAGTCTGTTGTGAGAGACATATAATTTAAAAAGCAATGATTATGGAGGGTTTTAAATGCTAGAGTAGAATAAGAAACGTCTGAGGTGCTGAGATCGTGGGGCCACGTAACATTCTCTGGGCGGGAGTGGCGTGGTCAGGGAAGGCTTCCCAGAAGAAATAGCAGTTGAACTGAAACCTGGAGCGAGAGTTAGATGAAGCAGGAGAAACTGGGTAGGGGTAGGGGAGGCAAAGGGTTCCAGGTGGAAATGTGCTGAAGCCAGAGGGGTGAGTGGGAAGCAGGAGGCACTGGAAGAGGTTGAGTATGGTTGCTGGGTGGGGTTTAAGGCAGAGATGCGGGGGAGATGAGGGAAGGTGAGGTGGGAGAGAAAGGTAGGGGCTGTGTCGAGAGCCTGGGTATTGGTTCGGGGGGGTGGTCCCTGGAGAATTTTAAGCAGGGGAAAGATGCATTCCAATTTGTATGTTTCAAAGAACAGTGTCTACAGAGTAGAGAACACACTGAGACAAGGCTGGAAGTGGGGAGGTCCCTAGGAGACAGTTGCTTTCACATAAGCTGGAGAGGATGGTGGTATGGACTGGGAAGGTTGTGGTGAAGGTAGGGGGGATAGACAGATCTGGGTGCCAGGGAAGGAGCAAGAAGGGCTCAGCTTGGTGACTGGATGAGGCTGGAGAGAGAGGAGAGATGGTGGCAGTGAGGGCAGGGAGAACCTGAGGCTGATGTGCAGGTGGCTTGGGTACTTGCATGGATGGAGGCCCCGGAAGAGGACCAGGCTGTTGGGGGAAGGTTGGGAGTTGGACTTAAAGTGCCTATGTGACATCCAAGTGGAGAGATTAAGGGGACAATTGGCTATTTGGAGCTTGGAGTTCAGGAGACAGAGGCCTGGGTTGGGGACAGAGATGAGAACTCATCAGCAAATGGTGACCAAAGAGGGTGACGAGAAGACTGAGAAGACACCTGTGGGAATCACATTTCACTAAGGGAAAGGCAGGGGAGGGGGAGGGAGCCAGGAAAGGAGGCCAAGAAGCAGTGTCTTGAGATAGAATAAATATCAGGAGAGAAGGAGCCGGAATGGCAAGGATGAGGTGCCTGGGGAAGCAGACAGGGTCAGCGCTTCAAATGCTGCTGAGACGCCGGGCAAGACCAGCACTGAAACTGTCCTCTCCACTCGTAAGGAGTTGACTGGAGACTTCAGTGAGAATTGTCTTCAGCAGAGCGATGGAGCCAGGGCCAGAGTCTGGTGGACTCAGCCAGAGTGTGGGAGGGAAGGGAATGAGGCTGGAACATTCTTACAGGCCATTCAGCTGTGACAGTGCAGGGTGGGGAGACGTGGTGTCCAGACACTCCATAGGTACACACTTTCCTGCCCCCAGATCAATCAGTGTGGGTAGGAGGAGAGAAGAAGGGGTACCTCTGGGACCCTCTCCATCTAATCCTTAAAGTCATTTTGTAGCATTTGATATATATGAAAAAAGAATACATGGAACATACTTGTAAGCCATGAAGCCAAACAACAAAATGATTATCTCAAACCTTCCTCCCAACCCAAGATCTCCAACTAGTGTGTTTCTGCCCCAAACCATGTCCCTGCCCAGCCCTGGGGTAGACATTACCCTGAATTTTATGTTGATTATTTCCTTGCTTTTGAAAATACTTTTATTAGGCATGAATGTATCCCTAAACAATATATTGTTTTGTTTTGCTTGTTTTTGAGTTTTATAAAAATGCTATTATAAAGTATGGCGTCTTCTGCAACATTCTTTTCCACTACACATAAGGTTTCCAAGGTCCACCCATGCTGGTGGGGGTCGTGGGTACTGCCTCATTTGCACTGTTATAGATTCCATTGTGAATATG
This sequence comes from Homo sapiens, assembly GCF_000001405.40. Lineage (NCBI taxonomy): Eukaryota > Metazoa > Chordata > Mammalia > Primates > Hominidae > Homo > Homo sapiens. The sequence goes on along the minus strand of NC_000009.12, from coordinate 121,986,915 downwards.
CACAATTTATTATCAGTTCTTCTGTCAAGGAACATTTGGGTTATTTCCAGTCTATGGCAAGCAGGTGACAGGTCTCTTGGGACAAGAAGTGAGAACGGAGGGAGTGGGGCAGTGTCTCTAGTGGATGGGGCATTCATTCAACAGCAGAAGAGGAGGCTGGTCCCAAAGTGCAGCCTCAAACCCAGAGAGGACACCCCAGGGGCTAGGCGCCAGCCAGCAGGATTTCCAGGCAGGCTGGCGGCACCTTTTGGAGGGCTATTCAGGCCATGATCAGTACCAGGAAGGGGTAATTGCCACCCAGAAATCTGTCCTGAGAAACTGGACCCCTGGCCTTTGGTTCCCAGGGAGGATGCACAGCTCAGCCATCAGGTAGGTGGCTTAAAACATTAGAAAGGAGAAAAGGGAAGAACTTAGAGGTAGGGCCAGAGAAAACAAGTCCTGACGTAAGCCATCAAAAAGCTAGGGTCAAGGAGATAAGTTGCAACGTGGACACGTCCAGGGGTCATCCCGGGGGACCATGTGGTCAGATCTGTTTGACAATGACAGCTATTCTAGGACTATCATGTGGGCCCGGCATGCAGAGCCAAGCCACAGAGCCCTGGCTTGGACCGAGTGGCAGGGTGGAGGGCCAGGCTGGTTGTTTTGCTGCATGTCTTGCTATGGACAGGCCACATGGGGCAGCCATCAGTGGGGCCCAAGCTGTGGGGAGCTGGTGGAGGGGGCAGACAGGGAGGGAGCCACTGGTTTGGACAGATCATGTCTGCAAGTGGAACCACAGTCTTGGGACTGTTTCCCACTGCTTGACCACACTAAATGCTTCCAGGCCTGGGCCAGAGGAGGAGCATGGGGGGAGACGCCAGGATCAAGGAAGCGCTTTTCCTCTTCCCAGCTGTGCGAACTTGGGCATGTTTCTTCACCACTCTGAGCCTCTGCTTCTTTCTCTGTAAATCACCTACGCTCACTTCCCTGCCTGCCTTTTATTGTGAAGTAATGTGGGTGACAACACTTTGACAGGGTATAAGGTGTTAGATATTTGGAATTTGTCTTACCATACATTTCAGATTCCCAGTCATTAAGGGAGAAAATGGTATCCTTGGGCCGGGCGCGGTGGCTCACGCCTGTAATCCCAGCACTTTGGGAGGCCGAGGCAGGCGGATCACGAGGTCAGGAGATCGAGTCCATCCTGGCTAACATGGTGAAACCCCATCTTTACTAAAAAAAATTACAAAAAATTAGCCGGGTGTTGAGGCAGGCACCTGTAGTCCCAGCTACTTGGGAGGCTGAGGCAGGAGAATGGTGTGAACCCGGGAGGCGGAGCTTGCAGTGAGCCGAGATCGCGCCACTGCACTCCAGCCTGGGTGACAGAGCGAGACTCAGTCTCAAAAAAAAAAAAAAAAAAAAAGAAAAGAAAATGGTATCCTTTTCTCCTTGGAGCCCTCTCTTACTTTATTCTTATCACTTGTAAGAACACTTTTGAGTTTGGGTCTCACATACCTGAGCTGACTTGGAACCTAGAGATTAAGGGACCCGGTTAGGTTCTGCCATTGACTTGCTGTGTATTCTTGTATAAGTCACTTAACTTCTCTGTGCCTCATCTTCCTTGCCTACCTCAAAGGGTTGTTGTCAAATTCCAATGAGATAAAGATTGTGAATGGCTTTTCAAGCTGTAATGTTCCGTGCAGATAGAACACATGACTTCTTTGCCACACAGCCCCTCTCGCTTGTTGCCTGGGCTTGACTCAGATTGCAGCATTCCAGAACATAAACTCTAGCCAAAGAAATTACATTTATCTTAAACATGTGACGGTGACCCCTTTCCAATCATAGCCACAATAACTACTTGGGAAATTGTGATGGCACAGAGCAGTTGCGGGCACTGCTCAGGCTGTGGGCAGGTTTCCTGTAATCTGCTGCTGAGGAACGTGGCTTCCCTGTCATTCCAGCCTGTCCCCTGTCATTGCCTAGGTAGCTCCCAGCAACATATCCTCATGTCAGCCTTCTTGAGGGTACCAGTGTGACTCTGACTTATACAGCAAGGCCTGTCTCAGTGTAGATGAATCATATGGCAGAAATAACACATGCAGAGGAAAGGCTTCCAGCTCAGCTTTCAAGAACGTTCTTTCCCAGTTCCATTGCTTGGTCTGTATCTTCTTCTAGCTCCCTGTATCTAATTATCTCCTTGGCCATGATCCTTTTGCTTAGATGCCTGAAGGAGATGCTCTTCCTAAATCCTAAGATGTTTCTCCTCTTTATTCTTTGTTTTTTTGACCTCCTCCTTACCCTTCAGCCAGTCACCCCAAGGGAAGAAGGCCAAGGAGCAATGCAGTGAGTGGTCAAGGGCTTGGATTTGGTTCTTAGACGGCCTGGGTTTGGGCTAACCCTGGCACCTCTAGCTGGTCTGCTTGGCAAGTTAACAATTCTTAGTCTCAGCTTCCTTATCTGCAGTTAGAGACCATATTTGTACCTCCCTCTCAGAATTATTGTAAGCACAAATAAGAGCAAACTAGGAAGAATATTTAGCACAGCACCTAACACATAGGAATCACTTAATAAATGACAGTTTTTATGTTTATTCCATTGTTTGTTATCTGTAACCACAACAGCTCTCAAATTTGTCTATGATGAAGTGCCTTAAAGTTGTAAGAAACCATGAAATATTCACATTTTAAACCTAACAGGAACACAAGTGTTCCAAGGAGTATAGTTTGAAAACCATCTCCTTAGCCTGGCATTTGTCACCCCTGACCCCAACCCCAGTCTAGCTTCCCTGTACCCTCCCTGAGCTCTGCAGTCTTGAAAAACAGATCCAATTGCTGTCTTGGACATAATTTGTGCTTTCCCATTGCTGCCCTTTGATTCTCTTCTGTCTCGGCTGACCTGGCATGCTCTCTCTCATTCTTGCTGTTTCTTGAACTTCAACGCCTTCTAAGGTGCTATTCAAGCCCCACCTCCTAGATAAACCCTTTCTCCAGAAACAACTTCTGATATTTCAGCTTTTTCTTCCTTTGGACTCTAACACATTCCCTGGGCACCCACTAAGACAAGCCCTGAGCTAGTATGGGCATGTGGTTATGGATAAGACAAGGTCCCTGCTCTGAGGGGGCACACAGTGTAATGGGGAGAGCTGACTCATGAGAACTCCAGTCCCTTGTAAGAAAGAAATGCTATGAGAGGGTCCATGTGGGATGCTGGGAGAGCCCAGAAAAGGGAGTCGCTAACTTTGCCTAACCCTGTCAGGGAAGGCTTCCCAGAGGAGGAGATGCTTAAGCTGGAGCGTAAAGCATGAAGAAGGGTTTGCCAAGCAGAATATGATAGAAGGATACACTCCAGTTTCCCTCCTACCTCCCTGGCTGCTGCTTCTCAGCCTCTTCTTCTGGACCTGTCAGTGTTGGAGAGTCTCAGGCCTCCATCCTTGGAAAGGTGTCCCCCTATTCACAATCACTCCTAAATGATCCCGCGTAGCCCCCATGGCCTTAAGCACCAGCTCTACGCTACTGGCGCCTATAGCTGTATTTCCAGTCCTGACCTTTCCTTGAGCTCCAGATTGGTATATCCCAGTGCCCACTTTAATTTTCTACTTGGATAGTTAATAGCCATCAAACACTGAACACGTCCAAAGTCAAGCTCTTGACTTCCTTCCCAAACCTACTCTCTATCGTCTTTACTGTTTCAGTAAACAAATGGCATTCAGTCAGTCACTCAGACCAACAGCCTGAGACATCCTTCTTTTTTCTGTTTCCCTCCTTCATACATCCAATCCATAAGCAACTCTTGCAAATATCCTTTAAAATATTCCCAAATGTAACCGCTTCTAACCAACTCCACTGTTGCCATCCCAGTCTAGGCAGCCATCACCTCGCACTTGAATGGCTGCCATAGCCACCCTTACTGCCTATAGCCTATTTTTCTCACTGTAGCCAAGGAGATGCTTTAAAACACAAGGTGGATCCAGTTACTTTCCTCACTGAAACCCTCCAATGGCTTTTTCATTGCACTTACAATCCTGGCTCCTTCTCATGGTCTACAAGATGCAGCGCCATCTGCCCCTTGTCTATCTGACCTCATCTTCCGCCACTCTCCGTTTCGCTCACTCTTTGCTATTCTTTGGAAGAGGCCTTTGTTCTTGCTGTTCCCTCTCCCTGGAATGCTCTTCCCCAGCTATTCAAACATGACTTATTCTTTTTTTTTTTTTTTTTTTGAGTTGGAGTTTCACTCTTGTTGACCCAGGCTGGAGTGCAATGGCACTCACTCACTGCAACCTCTGCCTCCTGGGTTCAAGCGATTCTCCTGCCCCAGCCTCCCAAGTAGCTGGATTACAGCTACCCGCCACCACGCCCAGAGAATTTTTAAAAAATATTTTTAGTAGAGACAGGGTTTCACCATGTTGGTGAGGCTGGTCTTGAACTCCTGACCTCAGGTGATCCACCCGCCTCGGCCTCCCAAAGTGCTGGGATTACAGGTGTGAGCCACCATGCCCAGCCCAAAAATGACTTATTCTCTCACTTTATTTAGCCCCTGTCCATATGTCACCTCCCTGAGACTTTTGCTTCTGGTGATGAGGGAGTAACAATAACCTCCTTCTGCAAACAACTAGACTACCAGAAATATATATGAGTGTGTACATGAAAGAAACATTTTCAGACTTTGGACCACAGATAGCTCAGCACTGTGATCTCTGAGAAAAAGGGGAAAAAACAAGGTGAGTCTTATGGTTGCCTCAGCTTTTCATCTGGGGGCAATTTTTGGAATATGGACACAGAGGAGGTAAACCTAAACAGCATCCAGTGACCTCATTGAGTTGAGGAGTTGAAGATTGAAGTTTGGGAAGGCTAAGGTAGCTGGAATTTGTGGGGCAGAATTACAGAAAGGAAGGAGCTAAGCAGGAAAAGAGCTCCAGAAAGCTGAGTGAGATCTCAGTGGGTCTCTGCTGAGTCCTAGGCCATGCATATATGGAGGGTTAATCCACAAAGCTGGACAAAGAATAACTGGGGGACTGATAAGCTAAACCATTTCCAGGGCTCACACAGGGCACGGAGGCATTTGAGCCCCGAACAGAGTGAAGAGTCTTTGGTGATGGCTGGGAGCATGCAATGGAGTCTCCAAAGAAGTTCTGCCTTAACAGCGAGGGTTAAATTCTCCCTGGGATGAAGGTTACTCTAGACCCATGCTATTCACCTTAAGCAAAAGGCTTTGAAGGCATCAGGCTGATTTGCAAATAACTGACTGCCAAAACAAAGCCCAGCACTTTAAAAGAAAGACAAAGTCCAGACACTCAGCATTGAAATATCGCAACGTCCAGCATTCAATTATAAAAAATCTCTAAACATTCCACAAAATAGGAAAAGGTAACCTTTACCAATGGGGAAATCATTTCAGAGAAACAGATCCAAAAATATCAGAAATGATGAAACTAGCAGGAAAAGGATACTAAAACAGCTATTATAACTATATACACAAATTTTAAGGAACATATGAGCTTAGTGAAGAGAGAAATGGAAACTAGTGAAAAGAGCCAAATGAAACTTCTATAACAGAAAATATAATCTCTGAGATGAAAATATCACTGGATGTGATTAACAGCAAATTAGACACTGAAGAAGAAATCATCAGTGAACTTGAAGACGTAGCAATAGAATGTGTCCAAAATTAAGTAGAGAAAAATGACAAGGAAAAAAAAGAACAGACCCTCAGTGGACTATGGTCCAATATCAGGTGGTCTAACATATGTGTAATTGAAGTCCCAGGGCAGAAGAGAGAGGGAATATTTAAAAAAAAAAAAACTTTTGAAGAAATAATGGCCAAAATTTTCCAAATTTGAAAAAAAACTATAAACCCACAATCTAAGAAGCTCAAGACATTCCAAGTAAAATACACACACATGCACAGACACACACACTCCCCCCAGATTATAATCACACTATTGGAAAACCAGTGATGATCAGAAAATCTTAAAAGCAGTCAGAAAGAAAAGATACACTATGTTCAGAAGAACAAAGAATAACCACAATGTTCTCATCAGAAACTGTTCTGGCCAGAGACAATAGAATGACAAGTGTCTCCTCTTTAGAAAGGCCTCCCTTTTTTATGGCTGCATAGTATTCCATGGCGTATATGTGCCACATTTTCTTAATCCAGTCTATCATTGATGGACATTTGTGTTGGTTCCAAGTCTTTGCTATTGTGAATAGTGCCACAATAAACATACATGTGCATGTGTCTTTATAGCAGCATGATTTATCATCCTTTAGGTATATACCCAGTAATGGGATGGTTGGGTCAAATGGTAGAACTAGACAAGACTCATACTGGTGGACAGGAGGAATCTGAGGTTCTTACAAGTATGGTCAACTAGAAAACCACAGAATCTATCTGGAGGGCTGCATGTGAGGTGGGTGGGAAGGTAGCTGGTTCAACTGCAGAGCTGCTGGATCTAGGTTAGTGGAGAGCTAATAGGAACTGACATTACTATAATCAGAGCTTTTGGTGCTTTTCCTACAGTTCACAAAGTGCTTTCCCTTGGTTTACTTGTTTCAGTCCTTACTATGAAAGAGGTAAGGCACGAGGATATTTCCTTATTTTATAGTCTGGAGATGGGTTACTGCAATGGTAAGGTGTTTCACTCAAGTATACCTGTCCAGTGTTTGTATTAGAACTGGAATCCAAATCTCATTCTCTGAATTTATCTTTTTCAATAAAAAACTTATTTTGCTGTGAAAAAAAATGAAAAAAGAAAGGCCCCCCTGGCCCTCCTAGGTAGATCACCAAATGCTCTCCTCCACCCACTGTATCACACTCTGTGTTCTTACCTTGCTTTCATTATTGACTTGCTTGTGGTATCTCTCCCATCTAAAACATAAGCTACAAGGGGGTAGGAGTTTTGTTTTATCACTGCTTTATGCTCAGTGCCAAGAACAGTGCCTGGTATCTAGTAGTGCCCAGTAAATAATTCACAAAGTAAGTAATGCCTTCAGGCAGAAAAGTATGAAGGCAGAGAGCACTAAAGCATCCTTGAACTACTAATGTTTCAGCACAATGAGAGCCCAAGATGTGTAGTAATAGTAAGTGGGAGGAGATAAAGCTGGAGTGTTGACAGATGTCAGGCCATAGAGCAATTTGTAGGACATGCTGTGGGACTTGGGCTTCATTTTGTAGACACGGATTTTGGGCAAAGGATTGTTAATAGTCTATTTGCACTTTAGAAAAATGGCTCTGGCAGCCCCTTGTGTCAGATGAATTAGAGGAGCAAGTTTGAGAGCAGAGGAAAAGTGAGAGGTGGCACAGACTTGTGGAGAGTAGAAGCAGAGGGGATGGGCCAGGTCTAGAAAGCTTTTTAGGCAGTAGAGTGTGCAGGTGTTAGTGGCCACCTGGTTGTAAGGGATGAAGGGAAAGTTTTGACTTGTGTGATTGGGTGGATAAGGAATACAGAAAACAAAGGAGATTTTAGAAAAATATGGTGTATTTGTTATCTATTGCTGTGTAGCAAATTACCCCAAACCTTAACAGCTTAAAACAACAAATACCCACTATCTCGCAGTATACATGGATCAGGAATTTAGGCTTAACTGACTGCTTCTGGCTCAAAGTCTCTCTCAAGGCTGCAGCCCACATGTTGGCCAGGACTGCAGTCATCTCAGAACTTGACTGGGGAAAGCTCCTCCTCCAAGCCCACTCCCATGGCTGTTGGCAGGTCTCAGGTACCCTCTAACTGTTGGCTGGAGAAATCAGTTCCTTGCCACCTGGGCCTCTCCATGGGACAGCTCATGACAATATGGCAGGTGGCCTCCCTCCGAGTGAGTGAGCAAGAGAGTGAGAGAAAGCCCCCCAAGATAGAAGCCACGGTCTTTTTATAACCCAATATTAGAGGTGACATTTCATCATTTCTGCCCTATTCTATCTGTTAGAAACAAGTTACTAGGTGAGGTCACACCCCAGTGTGTGCGAGGGGGCATTCCACAAAAGGAATGAATACCAGGAGTTAGGGATCATTGGGACCATCTTAGAAACAGTTGACCACAGAGTGAGTTTGGATACGCTGAATTTGTGGACTCTAGGACCTCCCAGTTGGGGATACTGTGGATGCAGATGGAAGGGTAGGCGTGGGGCTCAGGAACGAACCACTGCTGTTAGGATGTAGTTTGGAACCTTTGCATAAATTTATAATTAATGGCTCAGGAATCTCCCCAACTTGATTTGAAGCTTCTAGAGGTCGGGAATGAAGGACAGATATCTTTAAACCCCCCAGGGAGCCCCTCAAGTAGAAGGTGATCAACACATAATTGCTGATTTAATTACTTGGGGAGGCAGAATATCACATGGTTGAAAAGCTCTCCATTTACAATTCCTGCTCCGTTAGAGGGACTTGGAAAGAGGCTTTCCCCATGCTAAGCTGCACATTCCTTGTCTGCACAAAGTGAATTTTCAATAAATAAATAAATAAATAAATAAATAAATAAATAAATAAATAAAGCTTTTTCCTTGGGAACCCCAGTTTATCACATAGGTAAAAGGTCAAATTTGATCTGATCTGGTTGGCCTCTCCCTTGGGACCCCAGAAAAGAACCCCGGTTTGAAAACCACTGGACCAAGTAAATACCTGATTTTCTGCCAGCTGGGACATTCTGTGATTTTATGACAAGATAACTCTACATATCTCCCAGTTCTGTGATTCTGTTTATTAAGATCCATTGATGCTACATATTTTATTGGACTTTTGAAAAGAAAATCATGCATATTTCCTTGAACTTGTGAAAAAATGTCATAAAGCTGGCTCTCATTAAGCACTTTCTATGTATCAAGCACTGTGCAAAAAATGTTATATTGCATTATCTTTATTTGATCTTTTCTCCCCTACTGGAGTCTAAGACTTGTTTAGTTCACTGTTGTATTTCCAGCAGCTAGAATAGTTCTTGGGACATAGAAAGCATTAAATAAATATTTTCTGGGCCGGACGCGGTGGCTCACGTCTGTAATCCCAGAACTTTGGGAGGACAAGGCAGGCGGATCACCTGAGGTCAGGAGTTGGAGACTAGCCTGGCCAAGATGGTGAAACCCCGTCTCTACTAAAAATACAAAAATTAGCTGGGCATGGGGGCACGTGTCTGTAATCCCAGCTGCTTGGGAGGCTGAGGCAGCAGAATCACTTGAGCCTGGGAGGCGGAGGTTGCAGTGAGCCGAGATGGTGCCACTGCACTCCAGCCTGGGCAACAAGAGAGAAACTCTGTCTCAAAAAAAAAAAAAAATTAAATTAAATTAAAAATAAATATTTTCTGAATGGATGAACTAAGGTAAGTAAGTAACATTCATAGTTCCATTTTATAGATGAGGAAATTTGGGCTTAGAGCTGCTAAGTAACTTGCCTGTAGTCACACAAGTTAAAGGCAGAACTAAGATATGAAATGAGCCCCTCTTGACTACAAAGCACACTAATGCCATTTCTTTTTGGTGGAATTGGCAGGAAACTGGAAAGAGATAGCATATATTGAGTACCTTCTATATGATGAGCATAGGCCTAGGTATTGCTTTTCACTGCCATTATCAACAACCCTGACAGATAGCTATTGTTATCCTCATTTTTCAGATGAGATCATTGAGGCTCAGAGTGGCTAAGTACCTTACCTAGAGTCATGTAGCTAGTGTAAGGGACTGAGCTGGGATTGGAGCCCAGGTCTTTCTAACTCCAAAGCATTCCTATACAAGACCCAGCATATTCAAAAACATGCACTCAAGTTTAGGTTCTGGAAAATTTCATGCCACTGGTGGGTGTAGACAGGGCTGATGAGGCTTTAACACCCCTGCTCCAGCTCCCAGCATTCCCACCTTCACATTCATGAAACCACTGGGCATTGAACTGGGAAGAGTCCACCAGGCTGAGAAAGTACAAAATATACCAAAAAGTAAGAGTTGATGACTAAGGATGATAAACGTCATCACCACAGCCTGCTGCTCTCTGTAGCCTCATCAACATCACATGTCTCAGACCAGGTCTGGAGTTAGACTGATGATGTCACCAGAGTCTCTAAAAGGCCTCATCACTCACATCCACTTGTCATGTATTATTAAGCAGATCTATAATCCATGCAACATTTTCTACTGAATTTCCATTTCTTTCTTTTCATGACCAAGGAAAGAAAAATAGAGTGAGGATGACTTTTCCCAACTTTTCATCCTTATTGCCCTTCATTGAAAAATAACTTCATCTTGAATCAGCCCCCAAAAATGGTCATTCAGGCTCTAATTTCATTAATAAGGATGGAGCTACAGTTTAATAATTATCATTTAACTAATGCATATTCTATATAGACTAGTAAATGGATTTCCCTCATCTTTCCTCCTTGAATCCACAGAGAAGGGGAGTCTACAACCCTATCTTTTTCTTTTTTCTCTTTATTCTCCACATTAATTTTTTGAGACTTTGGGGTTCTATTAATTATGTTAGAAATTTTCTGCATTATCACTTCTGTAGCCATAATGAGAGTCCTCTGGAAAATCGAAAGTCCTTGTCGTCTGAATCAGAATCTCATTAGGGGCAGCGATCTCAAGGATGAGCAAAAGTTATCCAGATGAAGAGTTGTTCTAGGCAGAGAGAACGAGATGCTCATGAGTGGCTGGCCCCAGTTGTAGGAGCTGTAAGGAATAGAAAGAAACCCGAGTGACTGGAAGACAAAGCTTCACCCAAGGCAGAATGCTGGATTTAAGAGCAGGCGTGAAGCAGACGGTGTTGGAGAACTCCACCTGTGCAGGGGTGTCACACAGGGCCCTGCGCTTAGAAGGGCTCTGAGCTTGGTTTAACTATGTGAAACTGTTCATCCTTTTTGAACAAAGGGCCCTGCATTTTTATGTTGTGTAGTCAGTCCTGCTTGGGTGTGAAAGCCAGCTCTGTCATTGATTAACTAGCTAGGCGGTTTCTGGGAAATCCATTGGCCTTCCTGAGTTTCAGTTTCTGCTTCTGTAAAGTGGAGCACATAATCCCTTCTTCAAATACGCTGTCATGAGGATTCAGTGAGACTATGAATAATCAGTGCATTGTATAGTAATGGGTGCCTAGTAGGTGCCTAATCAATATTCCTGTCTTCTTAACTAAGAGGGTGTATCTGAATCACCTGGGGAATTTGCTTTATTTAAAATACATTCACCTGGGTTCCGCTCTAAGCACTTCTGACTCTGTAGGGATGTGGTGGGTTTTTTTGTTTGTTTGTTTGTTTTTTGAGACACAGTCTCATTCTGTCACCTAGGCTGGAGTGCAGTGGCACCATCTTGGCTCACTGCAACCTCCACCTCCTGGGTTCAAGCAATTATCCTGCTTCAGCCTTCCATGTAGCTGGGATTACAGATTCGCGCCACGACACCCAGCTAATTTTTGTATTTTTAGTAGAAACGATGTTTTGCCACATTGGCCAGGCTGGTCTCAAACTCCTGACCTCAGGTGATCTGCCTGCCTCGGCCTCCCAAAGTGCTGGGATTACAGGAATGAGCCACCAAGCCCAGCTGATGTGGTGGTTTTGAACGGGGTCCTTATATGACACTGATGTATACCTCAGGTTTGCAAAAGCAGCCTTAGGTTCTCAGAGAGCTAGCTAAGAAGCCACTTAGTAAACGAGAGCAGAAGAAAAGGCAGAGGGAGAAATTGATGGGCTACTACTCATCCTCAACATAATAAAAAACCTGTTAAAGAAGAAAGAGGTCATCAACAGCCCTTCAGACGACAAAGACAGTGCTGAAACGCACTGTGGGAACTCATCCCATTATCAAGGTTCCTGTAAAATTTTCTGCTGTCCATTTGGTCTGACAAGTACCCCCAGAGGAAGAGGGGCTGTGGACAAGAGAAGCCAGGGTCAAGGCCAAGGTTGGGGACTGAGTTTGAATTTATTTTCAACTTAATGACCCTAATACCATACTCAATAGAGACAGTAATTCTGAATTGTGTTTATCCTGCCCAGATTTTAGGCTTTGACATTCTTCTAATGAAAAATCTGAAGCCTATACTACTTGAAGTAAATGCAAATCCCAGTATGAGAATCGAACATGAGCACGAAGTAAGTATTTTGAGCATCTCATTGACTATGTTGCCATACAGCTGAATATTCCTACCCTCATGTTGCTCACTTAACAAAACAAGATTGGACATTCTCAGATTTTCATAGCCAAATTCTGTTCAAGTCAAATAATTTCAGTTTTGTTGAGTTCTCAACATAGACTATTAATACAAAGCCTATCTGACCTGTGGTCACTTCCCAGCATGCTGTTTTTCCAGTGTTGAAGGTTTGGAAACTTAGAAGCAGCTGAGCCTTCCCATCAGTTTTGACATGAACTAATTAGCCTCAGGAGATGAACTAATTGAAATTCTATGAGTATGATTTAGTCATGTTGACATACTTGAATCACTAAGATAAATAATACATTTAGCAGTGGTTATATTTTTCTCCCCCTCCCCCAAAAAATGCATTTAAAAAAACTGGAAGGAAATACAGCAGATATCAATATTGGGTTTAGAGAGGATTATATGGATTATTTTAGTTTTCTTAACCCCTTTCTATATTTCTTAATTTTTTGCAGTGAGCATGTATCATTTTGATAATTAGAAAAACATAGTGCTATTTTTCCTCTTCATGTATTTGGTTAATTTATAAAAGGAAATCGACATTCTTAAGGTAGTATAAAGGAAGTCTTTAAAAATTTTCTTCTATAGATTAGCATAAGCAAAATTTACTAGTATAACCCCTGGAGCTAGCTGGATAGCCACTTGGCACGGAATCACGGTCTCCACTGTGACACAGAATCCTTACCCGTTCAAGCTTTCTCCAGGGGTGTTTGAAAATGTCCCCAGCCTCGTTGATGAAGAAGTGAAAGTGGCTGTGATCAGAGACACTCTGCGCCTCATGGACCCACTTAAGAAGAAAAGAGAGAATCAGTAAGTACTTTTTTATGTCATTCATTTCTATCAACTCTGCCTCCTAACCCGGCTTCGTATCCTAAGCAGGTAAGTTCTTGGAACCTGTTACCATTGTGAGTGAGATTTACATCTTAAACAATTCTAATAAAATATCTTTGTTTTATAAATATCAGCCCCCAAGCAATCAGTGACTCAAATCCGGAGTAATCTGACAAATAGGCTTCCGTTGATGAATTTCTGAGTGTTATCAAATCTGGAATGTCTCTTCCTTTTTTTTATTATTATTATACTTTAAGTTTTAGGGTACATGTGCACAACGTGCAGGTTTGTTACATATGTATACATGTGCCATGTTGGTGTGCTGCACCCATTAACTCGTCATTTAACATTAGGTATATCTCCTAATGCTGTCCTTCCCCCCTCCCCTGACCCCACAACAGGCCCCAGTGTGTGATGTTCCCCTTCCTGTGTCCATATTCAACATTCTTAAAGAAAAGAATTTTCAACCCAGAATTCCATACGGAATATCTCTTCTAAGAAGCTGTCTCCCTCAAGGCCAGGCCTCCCACTTGCCCACCATTGCACACATAGTGCTTCTCTTTGAAATCCTCAAGCACAGGAAAAGTACAATAAAATGCAGGAGAAGAGGGCCATAGGTAACTAGGACATGGTAAGAGTTGCTTCCTTTTTATTTTCTTCATGTTTACACTCTTGCAGTATAAACTTTTAGTTTCAAAATTGGCAGGGCCAATTTAATGACAGTTCTATGATATTTACAACACTTGTAATTCTGCTTCGTCCCCACCCACTCAGTGGTACATTACATTGCGCTGTTGGTGGATATATGTGCTTCGCCCTCCCTCCATGAAATCACCCCAGAAATGAATATTTCACTTGAGTATGTTGTTTTGTTTTTACCAAATTCCAGGCTCTCACAAAGTAGGTGTTGAGTACATATCATTGTGTCAATGTTTCAGGAAGAAAAATCAAAGGCATCTCAAATAGCACTTCTCATATCCCTAGACGAATCAGATTGACCCTAATGAGCGCAGACAAATAAAGCACTTGTCAGTAATTGTTCAAGACTGGGAGGAATGCAGACTTCCCCAAGCAAGTGGTGGTTTGCAGGTTCCTCTACCAAGGCTTCTCACCACCTGGGCTCAAGCCCAAATATCACCCTATGGTAGTGCTTCTTACGCTTGGCTGCACGTTAGAACCCTCTGGGCAGCTTTCAGAAAACCAATACTAGAGTTTCCACTTCTAGAGGTGCTGATTTTAATTGGCCTGGGTGGAAGGCCTGGCCACAGAAAGTTTCTAGGTTCCCTAGGTGATTCTGCTGTGCAGCCAAGGCTGAGTGCCACTGCCCTGCAGGAAATATTACCCTGAAGAAGTATTGGTCATAGTCTGAGTCAGGCTGGATGGCGCCGGCCCGGCTGAGTTCTTGTCAAGAGTGTTCTTGACTGTGTGAGGCACAGATTGCCATTGTTGGCAAGACTCGGCTGAGAATGTTTACCTGTAGTTTGCATGGGCCAATCCCACCAGGTGTGGCTTCTTCCACCGATCAGTGCTTCAAAGCTGTCCTCTGAGCAGCTCAGACCCGATGGCAGCCAAATAATGTGTTCACCAGTACGTATGTGTCTGCAGCTGCCTTCTTTAGCCATCCCAAGGGAAAAGCAATGGATTAATTGCTATTTGGTCAGAATTACTGCAATAAAACTCATTCCTCAAAAATCTATTCTCTAATAGTTATTGGTCTCAGCAGCAGATATTAGGTTCTGAGAAATCGTATGGTACTGTAAGGAGATTTGGGTAGCCTTTTATGCCAGTATGGCATGGCAGTACAGTTTTCTTAGGATGACTTTGACACATCAGCATTCTTTTTTTTTTTTTTTCTTTTTCATACTTTAAGTTCTGGGATACATGTGCAGAACATATAGGTTTGTTACATAGGTATACACGTGCCATGGTGATTTGCTGCACCCATCAACATGTCATCTACATTAGGTATTTCTCCTAATGCTATCCCTCCCCTAGTCCCCACCCACCGACAGGCCCCAGTGTGTGATGTTCCCCTCCCTGTGCTCATGTGTTCTCATTGTTCAACTCCCACTTATGAGTAGGAACGTGCAGTGTTTGGTTTTCTGTTTTTGTGTTAGTTTGCTAAGAATGACGGTTTCCAGCTTCATTCAGGTCCCTGCAAAGGACATGAACTCATTCTTTTTTATGGCTGCATAGTATTCCATGGTGTATATATGCCACATTTTCTTTTTTTTTTTTTTTCCCAAGGCAGAGGAATTTTTCTTAGTGCAGAACAAAATGAAAAGTCTCCCATGTCTACTTCTTTCTACACAGACACGGCAACCATCCGATTTCTCAATCTTTTCCCCACCTTTCCCACCTTTCTATTCCACAAAGCCGCCATTGTCATCCTGGCCCGTTCTCAATGAGCTGTTGGGCACACCTCCCAGACGGGGTGGTGGCCGGGCAGAGGGGCTCCTCACTTCCCAGTAGGGGCGGCCGGGCAGAGGCGCCCCTCACCTCCCGGACGGGGCGGCTGGCCGGGCGGGGGGGCTGACCCCCCCCACCTCCCTCCCGGACGGGGCGGCTGGCCGGGCGGGGGGCTGACCCCCCCACCTCCCTCCCGGACGGGGCGGCTGGCCGGGCAGAGGGGCTCCTCACTTCCCAGTAGGGGCGGCCGGGCAGAGGCGCCCCTCATCTCCTGGACGGGGCGGCTGGCCGGGCAGGGGGGCTGACCCCCCCCCCACCTCCCTCCCGGACGGGGCGGCTGGCCGGGCGGGGGGCTGACCCCCCCACCTCCCTCCGGGACGGGGCGGCTGGCCGGGCGGGGGGCTGACCCCCCTACCTCCCTCCCGGACGGGGCGGCTGGCCGGGCGGGGGGCTGACCCCCCCACCTCCCTCCCGGACGGGGCGGCTGGCCGGGCGGGGGGCTGACCCCCCCACCTCCCTCCCGGACGGGGCGGCTGACCGGGCGGGGGGCTGACCCCCCCACCTCCCTCCCGGATGGGGCGGCTGGCCGGCCACATTTTCTTTATCCAGTCTATCATTGATGGGCATTTGCTTTGGTTCCAAGTCTTTGCTATTGTGACTAGTGCTGCAATAAACATACGTGTGCATGTGTCTTTATAGTAGAAAGATTTACAATCCTTTGGGTATATACCCAGTAATGGGATTGCTGGGCCAAATGGTATTTCTGGTTCTAGATCCTTGAGGAATCGCCACACTGTCTTCCACAATAGTTGAACTAATTTACACTCCCACCAACAGTGTAAAAGTGTTCCTATTTCTCCACATTCTCTCCAGCATCTGTTGTTTCCTGACTTTTTAATGATCGCCATTCTAACTGGCGTGAGATGGTATCTCATTGGGGTTTTGATTTGCATTTCTCTAATGACCAGTGATGATGAGCTTTTTTTCATATCTTTGTTGGATGCGTAAATGTCTTCTTTTGAGAAG